>NC_000002.12:69792625-70417625 GCF_000001405.40 Homo sapiens | reverse complement strand
TTTTTACTATAAAATTATATGACTACATTACCAAATACTCATCCTCAATTCTGTCTCCATAGCACAAGTTCCCGTCATCGCAAAGCAACTATTTTCTCCCTCATTGCTAGAGGATCACCATTACCTCAGAAGAACAAAATACCTGTGTTTATTGTTTTAAAAATTGCTTTTAGAAAGCACACTTCTAAGGGTCACTTGTCATCACTGATAAATGGGCAGCATATTCATAGCCCTTCTCTTTATAAAAGGAAATTTCTTGTTTTTAAGCATTCTGCCACAAGATAATCAGCTAATCTCTATGTGGTATAAAAGATGCTTGTAGTCACTACCCATCTCATTCAGAATATTAAGATTCCACTGTATTTTTATAGTCTTTTTTTTCATTATTACCAAATTGCTGATCTAGCACCTAGGGTACATATGGCTTCAACAGCATTATTGGAAAGCTTGCTTTTTAATAATATAGTGAATTAATTTCATCTAAGGTGTTACCTCTATAACCTTACTTCTGAATCCTCTTTTGTATGTTGTTCAAAGCAAACACTCGGTTAATGATTACACAATTTTTTCTAAAATTAAGTGTATTACAAAGCCACTCACTGTTGAAAAATATCCTTTGTATGATCTTCCTTTAGTAATTAAAAATTATGTCTTTTGGGTTCTTGTTTCCTGCTATAATTATGTATTTGTCTAGTCCTTCTCATTCCATCAGTATTTGTTTTATGTTTTTTGAAGCTTTTTATTGGGTACATAGATATTTAGGATTGTTATGTCTTCTTAATGTATTGACCCCTTTAACATATGTAACGTCCCCCTTGTTCTGAAGTCTACTTTGTCTCATATAGCCACTCTTTTATTATTACTTGCATGGCATTTTTCATGTATGTTTTTATATTTAAAGTAGGTTTTTTGTAGTCAGCATACGATCAGTCTTGCTTTTTTTTCCAATCTTACCACCTCTGTTTTTTATTTGGAATATTTAGATATTTGCATTTGATATAAATATGGTTGGACTAAATCGACCACCTGACAATTTGTCCTATCTGTTCTTTGTTCTTTTTCTCTCTTCCCGCCTTTTTTGGATTAACAGAGTGTTTTAATAATTATTTATCTCTACTACTGGCTTAATAATTACACCTCTTTGTTCTACTTTTTGGTGATTGCTCTAGTGTTTATAATACACAGTCTACCTTCAATATAATACCTCTTCAAGTACACTGACAAAACCTTACAACAGCACACTTCCACGTCCTCACTCTCGTCCTCTGTGCTATTGTTGTTATACATTTTACTCTACATACATTGTAACACCCCCAAACACAAGTAGGTTTCCTTCTCCTCCCCCAGCAGCAGTTAGCTTTTACTTTTACTCCTAGCCCAGAGATTGTAGCTCTTAGCCTAGGACAGGGGATGAGAGAGTTTCCTTCCCTTCAGTCTCCCTCTAAAGTGTATGGCTTTTGATTCATATGAAAGTAGTATCTGGAAAGTAAGTAGGGTCCATGCCTGTGCACCATGGAGGGAAAAGCTCTCTCAGGTTTCCTATCTCACCCCTAATCTTCATGAGTACCTGGTGGCGGCTCATACAAAAGGGCTGGCAAGTTAGCATGGGTTCCTCTTGGGTCTGGGGTTTCTAGAGATTCTAAATGGAGATACTAGAGGCACACTTGGCCCTTAAGAATTCATTAAAATTTTTTCTTACATGTTTTTTTGGCAAAGTGCTGATAGTTCTGTGCTCTATCTTATCTCAGGGGCTTCTCACCCCCTGGAATTTAGTAAACCCGGTTGATTTGAGACCTCAGCTCTCTAATGAGCTGAAAAACATTTAATGACTTATCTTTAGCCAGCTTTTTCTCATTACCTAGGGTGGATGCAATGAGCTCGTGTGACTTTCTGTATTATTTAAAAAAAAAAAAAAGGAATTTTTGTGGTATTTCTTTATTGAAATAGAATCTTAGAATGACCATAAGCTGATACATCTATACTTCCATCCAACAGTATAATATAAAACACCTCTCACGCTGAGCAATCCATTTTAATGCTTCTTGCTCCAAATTTTAAGCAATGTTTTCTAAGCATCATTCAACAGTTTCCAATGTTGTTTTTCTAACAAATGAATGCATCATAGTTTTTTGCCATAGTGTGTTCTATGTATTTCAGCCAGGAACTCAGAATATTTTCCAGTGTCAGAAAGTATTCCTCTAGTAGTGTACAACTTTTTGCCTTTTGCTATTGCATAAGAAACCTCAAAAGAGACTTTAAGCTGGGAGCAGTGGCTCACACCTGTAATCCGAACATTTTGGGAGGACACACAGGGAGGATCACTTGAGCTCAGGAGTTCAAGACCAGTCTGGGCAACATAATGAGACCCCCATCTCTACAAAAAAAAAAAAAAAGAAAAGAAAAAAAAAACCTAAAAATTAGCCACTCATAGTGACATGTGCCTGTATTCCATGCTTCTCAGGAGGCTGAGGTGGGAGGATTCGTTGGGCCTGGGAAGGCAAGGCAGGCTGCAGTCAGTGAGCTATGATCGCACTAGTGCAGTCTAGCCTGGGGGGTAAGAGAGATCCTGTCTCCAAAAAAAAAAGACACTTTAAACATATATTATTATGTTTAATAAAATTTTCTGCATTCAGAGTCCAGAGTGCTCACCATGGAACCATCTGTGTTTAGTAAAATTTTCTAACAAGATTTTTTTTTCCTGACTTTAAATATTGCTGAAAAACTGTAGAGACATGTCTTCATGTGTTGGGTGCTTAGTTTTTAAACACGCTGCTAAGTGTGATGGGGGTTTTTTGTTTTTGTTTTTTTGTTTGTTTTGAGACAGTGTCTTGCACTGTTGCCTGGGCTGGAGTGTAATGGCACTATCTCGGCTCACCGCAACCTCCACCTCCTGGGTTCACACGATTCTCTTGCCTCAGCCTCCCGAGTAGCTAGGATTACAGGTGCACACCACCACACCTGGCTAATTTTTTGTACTTTTAGTAGAGACAGGGTTTCACTATGTTGGCCAGACCGGTCTCAAACTCCTGACCTCGTGATTCGCCTGCCTCAGCCTCCCAAAGTGTGAGGATTATGGGCATGAGCCATCACGCCCAGCCAGTGTGATGGTTTTATATCACCATTTGCTAATCTCTTGAAGCATGATATAAACTTAGAGGGAGGCTCACCTTAAAGATTGTGGATGTAAATCCATATTCCAAATTGCCTTCCTTACCAGCTTTCTTCAACTTCTCGGATCTGATCAGATTGTCATTGTTTTTACTTTGTAACACAATGAGCCTGACACAGCTCACTGTGGGAATAGAAATGTCCCCTACTTTTTCTCTGTGTGTTCATGAGATTTGCTTGGATTTATGTTTTAGTAGGATTTTCAATCCATGCCTTCTTTATAAGCCGCTTGTCCACTTGTGAGCATTATTTTAGAATTTATAAATCTAATGTTCATTGCAGTTTGTCTCAGTATGCTAAAAAAATAAACAAAAGCCCAAGAATGCCACTGTTAGCCTTCTGTGTGATTGAAACCCTCATTCTGCCCTCAAGATACCTTACATGCCAGGCATGAAGGTGCTAGCTTCCATTAAATGTGAGTAAACTTCATCTCTTTCTTGTATCTTGGATTGGAAAATAAATATGAGTAGGAGTACTGGCATGTTCTTCCTGCTCCCCAGTGGGTCATCCTTGGGGATCTCACAGCCCACCTTAGAGAGCATTCATGTAAGACACATAGGGGGTGCTTCACACACAGTGGGTTTGAATTCCTGCAAATCCTCTTCCCTCGGGGGAACATGTGTAGTAAAAAACACTGGGAATGTCATCCAGTCCTCAGCTCTCTGGGGAATCTCGGAGGTTTATCTCTATAGGCAGGAGAATTAGGGAAGAACAAGTAAGGGACTAAACCAAGGGGTCTTACCTGAAAACTCAAGATGAGGCTGGACAAGGCTTGTGTTAGATCAGAGCCTGGGGACCAAAAGATGAGAGTCATTGGGTATCTCACAAGGTCATAGACATGGGGATGACTGTCAGCAGAAATGGCTCACCCAGATGTTTCTGAAGACAGATTCTCCCGAAAAGGAGGGGAGAGGACTCTGATGAGAGAGCCCAGGCTCCCCCAGCACAGGCAACCTGACCCAAATAATAACTACTTTTAGCTGACAGGAGCCATACAGGCCCCATGCAGGCAGGGGCACCTATATGATTACCAGCAGCACCCAATGTCCTTGACTCAGAAATACAGCACTCCTTTTTCCTAAGTGTTCTCCTAAAACCAAAGTAGATGGTGGCCAGGTGCAGTGGCTCATGCCTGTAATCCCAGCACTTTGGGAGACTAAGGAGGGAGGATTGCTTGAGCCTAGGAGTTTGTGACCAGCCTGGGCAACATAGCAAGGCCCCATCTGAATTATTTAAAAAAAGAAAAAAAGTAGATGGAGACACTGCAACCAAAGCCACCAGTCTGAGGCTTCTGTATCCCTAGATGTGATTGCATGTCTTGCCTGCTACTTCTGGGATCTGGATAAACCCCACAGGTGTCCTTCTCCCCACCTCCTCCTCCATCCTCCTCCCTACAGAGAGGATGAAAACCAACCCTGTGGTTCCTGCAAGGGGCAGCCTGACAGAGAGCCTCTGTATCCACACAGGAACAGTTCTGCGTGTCCGGCTGCCGGCCTGTGGCCTTTGATAAAGCCACACAGGGGAAACCTCTTTCAAGCAATGAGCATCGCTAGCAGAGCATTTATTGGCCTGCAGCAGTCCTGTGATGTGTAAGCCACTGCCTTGGCCTTCAGCCCACTTCAGAAGCACAACTTAAATAACGGCTTTCATGTTAGACTCTGAAGTGAGCCAAGGTTTGGGAAGCTCCTAGCTTTTAAGATGTGGCTTTCCTCATGTTTTGAATGGTCTCCTTTGACTAAGCCTAAACCAAGGTATCAGTCAACAAAAATTTATTGAGTACTTACTATTTTATTTCATTGCAAAAAAAAATTTTTTTTTCACATGCTCACTTGTACCCAGACACAAGCAAACTTCAAATCAAGAGAGAGAAGATAGATAAGAGGCATGGACTCCAGAGTTAGAGAGACTATAATTGAACTTCTGTTTCAAAGGTGACAAAACTGAGGCCCAAAGGTTAACTAACTTTTCCAAGGGCTTCCAGCCAGTCCCAGTTAATAAACAGCTTTAGAAGTTGAATCGTAGACTCTCAGAGTAGGGAGGGACCTCATAGTATGTTTTCTCCGGCCAGCTTCAACATAAGTTTGCTGATACCTGAATCTTTTCCCAAGATATGCTGATTGAGAGGTCTGGGTAAGGTCCAGAGATCTGCATTTTAACCACTCCTCCCCACTCACCACCCCACTTCCCACACATATCTGATTCTGATGCAGGTGGCACGCTCTTTGAGAAGCATTGGTCTAGTCCAAATTTCCAGTTAACGTCAAATTTTCAGGAAACTATGCCACCTGAGCAAAAGCAAGTGCAGTGATAGGACAATCTGTACTTCCTAAGGGGCTAGCACATTCCACTGTTGTGTGGCTGTTAGCATTAGAAAGTTCTTCCTTAGAGGTAACAATGTTTCAGGGAGGCTCTTCTGGGTCCTGGGAAGGCATGCGCTCATGAACCTAGATGATGAGGGAGTAGGGTAAGGTCACATGCAGAAGGGAGGAGGCAGGAATTCCAAGACAGGACTCTGCCTGGATTGCAGGGGTCACTCACAGGGAACTGAAACAAGAGCCAAGTGTCATTGAGGTCCTATAAGCATTCCCAAGGACCGGGTGAGTCGTCTATCCTTAGCAGCAGGCATTTGTTCTTCACAAGGGAGCAAATCTGGTTGGGTCAATTTGTCAGCATGCAATTCAGAACCCCGTGGAAATGCTCTTTCCAAGCTTCCCTTCTGGGAGGGTGTAGTCAGTGGACAGCCTCTAGCGGCTGCACCTCAGGATCCACCACAGCCTTCACAAGCCCCACACCGAATGGGCTACTCCCAGTCAGTCACTGAACACAGCAAGGGAAGCAGAGATAGGGCACTGTTTCCTGACAAAGGACTCTTCCAGCAGGCAACCTCATCTGAAGACTCCCCACCCATCCAGCTGAGATTTTTCTCAGATGCCCTGCAGCCTGAGGCTCTTCCTACACAATCCTCCTTTCCCTCTCTCCTTTCTCTGGTGTCAGACGAGCTTCATGGTCTACAGGATCTTTCTGTCTACTCCTGCTTCCTGTCCCCTGTATCCTTCCCAAACATTTCCCTCCAGTACATCTGTTGCTCTTTTAATTCCATCTTGGCATCTGCTTCCTGAAGGGCCCAACTCACATGCCACCTGATATGCAACAGCTTCTTTTATGTTCTTCCTTTATGTCCATGCTTGCTTTGGCCTGGGCACCAACCTTGGTCTAATCAGGTGTCGGGATCGCACAACCCCAGAAATAACTGCTCTTGGAAAAATTAATTCCTGGGGCTCTACCATAGGAGAGGGCTATAGATATGACAATCCAGTAAGGCCAGAATCAACTTTCTTGAAATTCTCCTGCTGGTACTAGCTGTCCCCACAAAACCGTGGTCTCCATATCAGGGTGTGCACATTCCAGGGGCAGCACAAGTCACCCTCCAGAGTGGGGGGAAAATACAAAGACGGCTTATTTTCCATCTTAAAAACAAAAAAGAACTTCAACTCTGCTAACAATTAATGTGCATATAACTTGTAAATAAATATATACTTGCCGGAAGAGTACTGAAAATATTTTACTGTTATGGGTGAACAATTTTTTAAAAGTGGAGAGTAGAGCTTTAGAGTGATAATGAATGAAACTAATCCCTGTTTGACATAATGCTTCCTAACACTTAAAGACAGCTTGTATGTCCTTCCTAAATTATCTCTTCCTCAGAAGAGGTATCCTCAGGTACTTTAGTCGGCACTCAGCTAGCTGAACTCCAAGATCCTTCATCAACCCTAGTTGTTATTTGTTAGTTACCATGAGAAAGTATTTGGCTAGGACTTAGTACCACTAACCTCCATCTCAGGGTTAGTGGCACTAAGTACTAGCCAAATACACACACACATTATATATATATATATACACACATATATGTAATTGTAAGAGCACTTAACAGATTACTGTGTTAAATGTTTAAGAGTACAATACAGTATTGTTAACTATAGGAACAGTGTTGTACAGATCTCTAGAACTTATTTAGCTTGTGTAATTAAGACTATACCTGTTGCAATTAGCAACTCCTCATTTCCTCCTGATAACCACAATTCTGATTCTATAAACATGACTATTTTAGATTCCATATATATATGTAAGATCATGCACTATTTGTCTGTATGTGCCTGGCTTATTTCACTTAGCATAATGTTCTCCAGGTTCTTCTGCATTGTTGAAAATTGAAAGATTTCCTTCTTTTTTAAAGCTGAATAATATTCCATTGTATCTATAAACCATATTTCCTTTCTATTCATTCAACATTGGGCATTTAGGTTGTTTCCACATCTTGGTTATTGTGAATAATGCTGCAGTGAAGTTGGGAGTGCAAATACATTTTTGAGATCCTAATTTGAATTCCTTTGTGTGTATATATATCCAGAAATGGGACTGCTGAATCATATGGTGGTTCTATTTTTAATTTTAGGGAGAGTCTTCATACTGCTTTCCATAGAGGCTGTAACGTTTTGCATTCCCACCAACAGTGTCAAGTACTCCAATTTCTCCATGTATTTTCCAACACTTGTTATCTTTTGTCTTTTTCATAATAGCCATCCTAACAGTGTGGTTTTGATTTGTTTCCCTGATAACTAGTGACGTTCAGCATCTTTTCATATAGCTATTGGCCATTTGTGTGTTGTCTTTGGAGAAATGTCTGTTCAAGTATTTGGCCCATTTTTAAATTGGTTATTAGCTGTTTTCCTTATATATTTTGGAAATTAACCCCTTATTTGATATATGGTTTACAAACATTTTCTCCCATTCTATAGGCTGCCTTTTCACTCTATTAATTACTTCTTTTGATGTGCAGAAGCTTTTTAGTTTGATGCAGTCTCATTGTTCTATTTTTGCCTTTGTTGCCTGTGCTTTTGGGGATATATCCAGAAAATCATGACCCAGACCAATGCATGAAGATTTCTCCTATGTTTTCTTATAGGAGTTTTATAGTTCAGGTCTTACATTTAAGTCTTTCATCTATTTTGAGTTGATTTTTGTGTGTGGTGTAAGATAAAAATCAAATTTTTTTATTGCATGTTGATACCCAGTTTTCCCAACACCATTTATGAAAAAGACTATCCTTTCCCCATTCTGTATTTTTAGCACCTTTGTTGAGGATCAGTTGACCATGCGTGTGTGGATTAATTTCTGCGCTCTTTATTCTGCTCCATTGTTCTATATGTCTATCCTTGTCCAGTACTAGACTGTTTTAAATTGTTGTAGTATTCTGAAATCAGGAAGTGTGATGCCTCCAGCTTTGTTCTTCTTTCTCAAGTGTGTTTTGGCTATTTGGGGTATTTTGTAGTTTTATATAAATTTTAACTTTTTTTTCTATTTATGTAAAAAATGCCATTGAGACTTTTATAGGGATTGCATTGAATCTGTAGATTGCTTTGGATAGAATGGATATTTTAATAAGTCTTTCAATTCATGAACATGGGGTGTCCATTTGTCCTTTTTTTTTTATTTTCCCATAGGTTATTAGGATACAGGTGGTGGTTAGTTATATGAATAAGTTCAATAGTGGTGATTTGTGAGACTTTGGTGCACCCATCACCCAAGCAGTATACCCTGCACCCTATTTATAATGTTTTATTCCTCCCCCCTACCCTTCCCCCAAGTCCCCAAAGTCCATTGTATCATTCTTATGCCTTTGCATCCTCATAGCTTAGCTCCCACATATCAGTGAGAACATACGATGTTTGGTTTTCCATTCCTGAGTTACTGTACTTAGAATAATAGTCTCCAATTTCATCCAAGTTGCTGTGAATGCTGTTGATTCATTCCTTTTTATGGCTAAGTAGTATTCCATTGTATATATATATATACCACAGTTTCTTTATCCACTCATTGATGGGCATTTGGGTTGGTTCCACGATTTTGCAGTTGTGAATTGCGCTGCTATAAACATGCGTGTGCAAGTATCTTTTTCAAATAATGACTTCTTGTCCTCTGGGTAGATACCCAGTAGTAGGATTGCTGGATCAAATGGTAGTTCCACTTTTAGCTCTTTAAGGAATCTCCACACTGTTTTCCGTAGTGGCTGTACTAGTTTGCATTCCTACCAGCAGTGAAGAAGTGTTCCCTGATTACCACATCCTTGCCAACATCTACTGATTTTTTTATTTTTTGATTATGGCCATTCTTGCAGGAGCAAGGTGGTGTTGCATTGTGGTTTTGATTTGCATGTTCCTGATTATTAGTGATGTTGAGCATTTTTTTATATGTTTGTGGACCATTTGTATATCTTCTTTTGAGAATTGTCCATTCATGTCCTTAGCCCACTTTCTGGGGGGATTTTTTTTTCTTGCTGATTTGAGTTCCTTGTAGAGTCTGGATATTAGTCCTTTGTCGGATGTATAGATTGTGAAGATTTTCTCCCATTCTGTGTGTTGTCTGTTCACTCTGCTGACTGTTCATTTAGTTTAGTTTAACTAAATCTCTTTAGTTTAATTAAGTCCCATCTATTTGTCTTTTTTTTTTTTCTTTTTTGTGAGAGGGAGTCTCGCTCTTGTTGCCCAGGCAGGAGTGCAGTGGCGCGATCTTGGCTCACTACAACGTCCGCCTCCCGGGTTCAAGCGATTCTCGTTACTCAGCCTCCCAAGTAGCTGGGATTACAGGAGCCTGCGACCACGCCCAGCTGATATTTTTATTATCAGTAGAGACGGGGTTTCCCCATGTTGGCCAGGCTGGTCTCGAACTCCCTACCTCAGGTGATCCACCCGCCTTGGCCTCCCAAAGTGCTGGGATTACAGGCATGAGCCACCGTGCCCGGCCTGTCTTTGTTTTTATTGCATTTGCTTTTGGGTTCTTGGTCATGAAATCCTTGCCTAAGCCAATGTCTAGAAGGGTTTTTCCAATGTTATCTTCTAGAATTTTTAGTTTCAAGTCTTAGATTTAAGTTCTTAATCCGTCTTGAGTTGATTTTTGTATGAGGTGAGAGATGAGGATCCAGTTTCATTCTTCTATGTGTAGCTAGCCAATTATCCCAGCACCATTTGTTGAAAAGGATGTCTTTTCCCCACTTTGTTTTTGTTTGCTTTGTCGAAGATCAGTTGGCTGTAAGTATTTGGGTTTATTTCTGGGTTCTCTATTCTGTCCCATTGGTCTTTGTGCCTATTTTTATATCAGTACCATGCTGTTTTGGTGAGTATGGCCTTATAGTTTGAAATCAGGTAGTGTGATGCCTCCAGATTTGTTCTTTTTGCTTAGTCTTGCTTTGGCTATGCGGGCTCTTTTTTGGTTCCATATGAATTTTAGAATTGTTTTTTCTAATTCTGTGAAGAATGATGGTGGTATTTTGATGAAGATTGTGTTGAATTTATAGATTACTTTTGGCAGTATGGTCATTTTCACAATATTGATTCTATCCATCCATGAGCATGGGATGTGTTTCCATTTGTTTGTGCATCTGTGATTTCTTTCATCAGTGTTTTGTAGTTTTCCTTGTAGAGGTCTTTTGCCTCTTTGGTTAGGTATATTCCTAAGTATTATTGTTTTTTGCAGCTATTTTAAAAGGGGTTGAGTTTCGTTGTTGTTGTTGTTTGTTTTTTGTTGTTTTTTTGTTTTGTTTTTGTTTTTTGAGACGGAGTCTCGCTTTGTCGCCCAGGCTAGAGCACAGTGGTGCGATCTCGGCTCACTGCAACCTCCGCCTCCCGGATTCAAGCTATTCTCCTGCTTCAGCCTCCTGAGTAGCTGGGACTACAGGCATGCACCACCACGCGCCCAGCTAATTTTTGTATTTTTAGTAGAGACGAGGCTTCACCATGTTGGCCAGGATGGTCTCGATCTCCTGACCTCGTGATCCACCTGCCTCAGCCTCCCAAAGTGCTGGGATTACAGGCATGAGCCACCATACCCAGCCAGGGTTGAGGTCTTAATTTGATTCTCTGCTTGGTCACTGTTGGTGTATAGGGGAGCTACTGATTTGTGTGCATTAGTCTTGTATCCAGAAGCTTTGCTGAATTCTTCTATCAGTTCTAGGAACTTTCTGGAGGAGTCCTTAGGGTTTTCGAGGTAAACAATCATATCATCAGCAGACAGTGACAGTTTGACTTCCTCTTTACCAATTTGGATGGCCTTTATTTCTTTCTCTTGTCTGATTACCCTGGCTAGCACTTCCAATACTATGTTGAAGAGGAGTGGTGACAGTGGGCATCCTTGTCTTGTTCCAGTTCTCAGAGGGAATGCTTTCAACTTTTCCCCGTTCAGTATTATGTTGGCTGTGGGTTTGTCATAGATGGCTTTTATTACATTGATGTATGGCCTTTGTATGCTGATTTTGCTGAGAGTTTTAATAACAAAGGGATGCTGGATTTTGTCAAATGCTTTTTCTGCATCTATTGAGATCATGTGATTTTTGTTTTTAATGCTGTTTATGTGGTATATCACATTTAATGACTTACATATGTTAGTCATCCCTGGTATGAAACCCACTTGATCATGGTGGATTATCTTTTTGATATATTGTTGGATTTGGTTAGATGGTATTTTGTTAAGGATTGTAGCATCTATATTCATCAAGGGTATCAGTCCGTAGTTTTCTTTTTTGGTTATGTCCTTTCCTAGTTTTGGTATTAGGGTGATGCTGGATTCATAGAATGAATTAGGGAGGGTTCCCTCTTTCTCTATCTTGTGGAATAGTGTCAAATAATTGGTATCAATTCTTCTCTGAATGTCTGGTAGAATTCTGCTGTGACTCCATCTGATCCTGGACTTTTTTGTTGGTAATTTTTTAATTACCATTTTAATCTTGCTGCTTGTTATTGATCTATTTATTGTATCTAATTCTTGCTGATTTAAGCTAAGAGGGTTGTATTTTTCCAGGAATTTATCCATCTCTTCTAGGTTTTCAAGTTTATGTGACACAAGACAAGTTAAAAGTACATAGGGTGGGTCCAGGGGACCAATGCTAGTATGGAGGCTGTGAAGCCTCCGAATTCTGGGAACCCACACTATTTATTGGTGATCAAAGAAGCAGGTGGTGAGGATGTGAGGATGTGGGAGTAGCAAGATAATGGTGCATCAAGCGTAGATGTGACAGTTTAGCATATGCTCTGCTACTTGAGATAATGGAGAACAGGTTCTTCTAACTCAAGGTACAATCAATTTTTGATCCTGGGAGAGCAAGAAGCAAGGCGCCAGCGAGTCTGGACACATTCCAGAGGCCACGAGGGGTTTTATGCCCTGAGTCCCGGATTCTCTCCAAGCCACAAGGAGTTTTATGTTTGGGCTTAGATTGTAGTGTGGTGGGGCAGCCTTCCACCCTTAGGCACAGAGCTTGGTGTTCCATGGGCCATGAGGGGTTTTAGACCCTGGACCCTGGATATGTTCCAAGACTCTCTTACATTATGTCAGACAAGCAAGCCCTGCCTCAGCCCTTCTATCAACATATGTGGTTAGGATTGTGATATTTTCCTGTTGGACAAGGTCTTTTACCATTATGTAATGTCCCTCTTTGTCTTTTTTGACTGCTATTGCTTTCAATTTTGTTTTGTCTGATGTAAGAATAGCTAGCCCTGCTCACTTTTGGTGTCCATTGGCATGAAATGCCTTTTTCCACCCTTTACTAAGTTTATGTGAGTCCTTATGTATTAGGTGAGTCTCTTGAAGGCAGCAGATAGTTTGTTGGTGAATTCTTATCCATTCTGCAACTCTGTATGTTTTAAGTATAGCATTTAGGACATTTAGATTCAATGTTAGTATTGAGATATGAGGTGCCATTCCATTCATTGTGCTATTTGTTGCCTGTGTACCTTGGTTTTCTGTTTTTGCTTTTTAACTTGTATTTTTATTTTATAGGTTCTGTGAGATTTATGCTTTAAAGATGTTCTGTTTTGATGTGTTTCCAGGATTTGTTTCAAAATTTAGAGCTCCTTTTAGCAGTTCTTGTAGTGGTGGCTTGGTAGTGGTGAGTTCTTTCAGCATTTGTTTGTCTGAAAAAGACTGTATGTTTCCTTCATATATGATGCTTAGTTTCTCTGGATACAAAATTCTTGGCTGATAATCGTTTTGTTTGAGGAGGCTGAAGATAGGGCCCCAATTCCTTCTGGCTTCTAGGGTTTCTGCTGAGCAATCTACTGTTAATCTGGTAGGTTTTCCTTTATAGGTTACCTGGTGCTGTTGTCTCACAGCTCTTAAGATTCTTTCCTTCATCTTAACTTTAGATAACCTGACAACTCTGTACTCTCCCCCTTTTCCTATGGATGTGGCTTCCTGAGAGCCAAGCTGTAGAGATCGTTATCTCTCTTCTGGGTCTAGCCACCCAGCAAGTCTACCAGGCTCTGGGCTGGTACTGGGGTTGTCTACACAGAGTCCTGGGATGTGAACCGTCTATGGGTCTCTCAGCCGTAGATACAGCACCTGTTCAGTGGAAGTGGCAGGGGGATGAAATGGACTCTGTAAGGGTTCTTAGCTTTGGTGGTTTAATGCTCTATTTGTGCTAGTTGGCCTCCTGCCAGGAGGTGGTGCTTTCCAGAGAGTATCAGCTGTGGTAGTATGGAGAGAAACCGGCAGTGGGTGGGGCCCTAGAACTCCAAAGAGTATATGCCCTTTGTCTTCAGCTACCAGGGTGGGCAAAGAAGGACAATCAGGTGGGGGCAGGGTTAGGCGTGTCTGAGCTCAGACTCTCCTTGGGCAGGTCTTGCTGCAGCTGCTGTGCGGGATGGGGGTGAAGTTCCCAGGTCAATCGAGTTGTGTCCCTAGGAGGATTATGGCTGCCTCTGCTGAGTCATGCAGGTTGTCAGGGAAGTGGGGGAAAGCCAGCAGTCACAGGCCTCACCCAGCTCCCATGCAATCCAAAGGGCCATTCTCACTCCCACCGTGCCCCCTCTCTGCAACAGCACTGAGTCTGTTTTCAGACAGTGGACAAGCAGGGCTGAGAACTTGCCCCATGTTACCCACCTTCCAGCTGCAGAAGAAAAGGGCTTTAGTTCTTCCTGCACCTGTGGAGTCTACATGCCGGATATGTGCCCTCCCCTAAGTTCTGGCCAAGAGGCTTCTCAACCAGTTCAAATTGTTACAAAGTTCAGCTGAAGACTTCCTTCTCCCTGTGGCATTTTCCCCGAAGGATCCCTGTGGTGCCAGGCAGAAATGGCCTGCTTGGGGACCCAGAGAGCTCCAAGGGCCTCTCCCACTGCTTCCTCTACCCCTGTATTTCGCTTGGCTCTCCAAACTGACTCAGCTCCAGGTAAGGCTGGAATCTTTTCCCGCAAACTAGACCTTCAGGTTCCCCAGTGGGGGTGTGTGTTTGGGGGTGGATGATCTCCCTTTCCCACTTCCACAGTTTGGGCACTCACGGTATTTGGGGTGTCTCCCGGGTCCTGCAGGAGCAATCCACTTCCTTCAGAGGGTCTGTGGGTCCTCTGGGATTCCTGATTTATTCCTGCAGTCATTCTGGAGCTAAAATTCATGATGCGACCCTCCACACAGTGTTCTGTCCATCCAAGTCAGAGCTGCAATCTAGTCCTGCCTCCTGTCTGCCATAATCTTGAGTATCTCTACTTCTACTTCTGTGGCACAGAAGGGCTCCCCAGCTCCTATTCCCTGAATCCTCCTCCTTCTCCCCTCTTTCTCTGTCTCTCTCCCTCAGTCTGTCGTCTTTAATTTTTTTTAATCAATGTTTTGTGGTTTTTAGTGTACAAGTCTTTCACCTCCTAAGTATTTTATTTTTTTCAGTGCAATTATAAATGGGAGTTTTCCTAATTTTCTTTCCAGATAGTTCATTATTACTTCACAGGTTTTTAAGGTAACTAAACAAAGAAAGAACAGGACAAAAAAAAAAAAACGCTTTTTAATTCTAGTTTTCATTCAAATGTGTTTATTGAGTACCTACCATGTAAAGTTACTGTTTTAGCACTGGAAATATAATGTTGAAAAAGTTAGGAAGGGTTTCTGCTCTCATGAGCTTATATTCCAGTAGAGGAAGCAGTCAATAAACAATAAATATAAGTGCTATGAGGAAAAAATAAAGCAGGATAAAAAGTTAGCCATAGGAATGGATGGCTTTTTAGATAGGATGGTCAGGGAAGGTCTCACTGATTGTTAACTCTTAAGACCCAAATAAGGTAAGGGAGGAGACATGAGACAATATGGGGGAAGTACATTCTAGACAGAAACAAACAGCCCATGCATAGATTCTGAGGCAGGAACATACTTGGATTTGAAGAGAATAAGAAGGCCAGTTGGTTAGAGTGCAGAGAAGAAAGAGATGAGGTCAGAGAGACTGGTGGGGTTGGATTAGAGACAGAAAGAGGCTAGAGGGCCCTCAGGTCTTTGACTCTTACCAGTATGGACCACCAGACCTGTGAGTGAGTAATGTTTCAAATTATTCTAGCCCCAGATCTCAAGCTGCTCTATAGAGATGAGCCTGCCCCACTGTGTCCTGTCTAAACTTCTGGCCCGCAGAATCTGCGAGCACAATAAATGGTTGTTTAACACCACTCGGTTTTGGAGTAATTTGTTAAGTGCCAAAATAACCAGAATAGAAGGGAGGGATAGTCTTTGCATCTCAAACTATAACTAGAGCCCACTGTTACAAGGGTGACTTTGCAAATATACGATTGAATCATGTGTGTTGATTTGATTGGTCCTTCTATCAGAGTTATGGGATTATCAGGAGATGCTGGATTCACTAGTAAAGACTTGGTTACCAACCCGGGTGGGATAGGTTCAATTAGTGGGCTATATGCTCTTCAGCTGAAAGGGGCTCTGGGTTTCCCCACTTATTTGTCACTGAGATTTCAAGTAAAATAAACTGGAGATGGCTACCCTGCCAGAGATGTTGGAAGAAGGCAGTCCTCTTACAAAGGGACTTCTTTATAAAAAGTCTCTTTGCTAAACTACAATTGGATTCATGTATTTAAAATTGTTCCTTCAGTCGATCAACTAGGAACCCACGATGTGCCCGATACGGGATTCTGTGTAGGGCATCTCTTTCCTGACCTCTATATGAATTTTAATATTTTCAGCTGTAAGAAATAGAAACCCCAATTTAAAATAACTTTAAACAATAGGGGAATTTAGTTCCTATAACAACTCCAGAGGAACACGGCTCCAGTGTTGGCTTCCTCAGTGGCTCAGCAATGTCAGCAAGGATCCAGGCTGCTTCCACTTTCCACTCAACCATCCTCAGTGTGTCCTGCCCAGACCAGCTCCCCTCGTACTCCCAACATGGCTGCTGCAATTCCAGGCATCAATACGCAGACATCAACACATACACAGGGCAACATCCAGAAGGAGAAAGGGACCATGTCTTATGTATCTAGTCCTTGATTTAAACAGTTCATGATTCACCCTATGGAACTGGACATGGGGCCCAGGCCCCTCTGAAGATAGAGGTGGACAGCAGGAAGCAGGATGTGGGCATCACCCAACAGTCTGCTCCAAACTCTAAGCCTGGTTAGAGAAGATCTCTCATTACTACCAAATAATCTCTCTCTGTAGTTAAAGTTTCTCCTTCTACTTCCTAAGGATGCCAAAAGGAATAGTTTTGTTTACAGGTCTTGCTACAGTGTCCTCGGCTCCTTGGAGAAAATACATGAGCTTAAAAAAAAAAAAAAACCTAAGCCTTATATTTTCTATCAATCACCTGCCCACGTGCACTTGAGCACCTTTTGCTCAGGATGAAGTTGACAGATAAATAAATAACATTCCTATCTTGATTGGCACTCCTTGTGGGTGAGAGCTGGTTTGTAGGCCATTGTCAATGGAGAACTGAGAGGGTCTGGGGAGGGGAACAGATGAGGAAGCATTTACCATCTATCAAGCTGTGAGGAATGGCTGCCACTCATCTCTCAGAGCAGGGATCTGCCAGGTCAAATCCAGCTTAATCACTTGTACGATGCATAAGCTAAGAATGGTTTTTAAATATTTTTTAATGGCTGAGAAAATAAGACTATTCATGACGTGAAGATTATTTGAAATTCAAGTTTCCGTGTCCATAAATGGAATATTTTGGAACATAGCCATGCTCATTCATTTACTTCTTGTCTATGGCTGCCTTTTACTTACTTACTTACTTACTTATTTATTTATTTATTTATTTATTCATTTAATACAGGATCTTGCTCTGTGGTCCAGGCTAGAGTGCAGTGACGCAATCTCGGCTCACTGCAACCTCTGCCTCCCAGGCTCAGGTGATCCTCCCACCTCAGCTTCCCAAGTAGCTGGGACTACAGACACATGTCACCACATCTGGCTAATTTCTGTATTTTTTGTAGAGACAGGGTTTCGCCACGTTGCCCAGGCTGGTCTTAAACTCCCGGGCTCAAGCGATTTGCCCTCCTCAGCCTCCCAAAATGTTGGGATTACAGGCGTGAGCCACCGCACCCAACCCTATGGCTGCTTTCACACTTGAACAGCTGCATTAAATAGTTGTAACACAGACTGAATGGCCCATGAACCCTAACATATTTACAATTTGGCCCTCCACAGAAAGCATGCTGACCCCTGCCTTGGAACAAAGTCCCTGACAGGGTCCCCAGGCATTGAGTAGGGCTGTGCCTGGAGCCTCCAGAGATACCAGCCCTCAGCCCATCTGCAGACCAGCCTCTTCCCAACTGAGTGGGATAGGAACCCCCGATGCTGTCTCATCCATTTAGCACAGGGGTCCTTAGACCTGAGTGCACATTAGAATCACCTAGGGAGCTTTGAAAAAATCCCATGCTTGGTTTCCACCCAGCACACTTTTTCTGTGGAGGGCCAAATTGTAAATATGTTAGGGTTCATGGGCCATTCAATCTGTGTCACAACTATTTAATGCGGCTGTTCAAGTGTGAAAGCAGCCATAGGGTTGGGTGCAGTAGCTCATGCCTGTAATCCCAACATTTTGGGAGGCTGAGGAGGGCAAATTGCTTGAGCACAGGAGTTCAAGACCAGCCTGCGCAATGTGGCAAAACCAATTAAAATCTCTGGGGATGGGCCCAGGCATCTGTCTCTTTCAGAAGCCCCCCAGGTGATGGCAAAGTGCAGTCAAGCTTGAGAACCGCTGCTAGATGCTTGTTGCCAATGTCAAGCCTGGTTTCTGGAGCTTTTTCTAAGCAAACACCATCACCCACCCTCAGGCAAGTGTTTTGGGGACAGCCCATCAGCACCACGCTAAGGTGGAGCTGGGCAAGAAGACATGGGAGAAGCAAGCTGTGGTTAACCCCTACCTTTCATTTGTACAGGTGTGCAGCCAAATGACCTCACCTGTGTACAGATGAGTTCCTGAGGTTTCCCAGGCTGGGGAGTCCTTGCCACCAGGGTTCTTCTTGTATCTCTTGCCAATTCTCAGCAGAGAAAACACAGTGTCTCACCCTAGCTGCCACTCATGAGTTTATTTTCCTTCACCTAAGAGGAGGCAAACAAAAGCCTGGTCATTGTCCAACCCAGGGACAGTTTAGTTGCATATCTTTCTCAATGGCACCAGAAACCTCTCTCTTCCTTGGCATGTAGTTGGAGAAGAAGAGCCACATATAGCACCCTCTTTCCTTTATTCACTCGCACAACAGATACCTACTGAGCACCACCTACTTACTAAGCCCTGTAGATTTTCAGAGTACAATAGTGAATAAGAGCCCCCAAAAGCTCATGGACTAGGAGAAGCCAACTTAGCCCACTCTTCTGCAGTGCTGAAGGGCTGCATCCAAGGGACATCTGCAGACTGAGTGAGGAAATGACTCTCCTTGTCAGGGGAAGAAAGGCATTTCATGCCAAGGATAGAGCATTTGCAAAAATACAGTGGCTGGAAGAAGTAGACATGGATCTGACTGGATCTGGGGCAGAGGGCTATCGGGTGGGCAGGAGTTGAGGCTGGAGATGAAAACTGGAGGCAGCATGAGAACAGCAGTCTGGCCAGGACCAGAGGAAACCATGGGAGCTTTTCTGGAGAGGAGTGAGCGAGGTTCAGAAGGAAGGAACCCCCGGCTGGATGTGCTGGATTCTGGAGAACAGAGGAACAGCCCCCATGTCCAACACTCTGTCCATTGCTCAGGATAAGATGCAACAAGCTCCCAAACTACTGCCATGGGAGTGGGGAGAGAGAGGAGCCAGATACAAGAAGTATCTCAGAAATACATTCAGTAGGACGTAGAGATCAATTTAAAGGGTGGTGCCAGAGAGTCCCTGCCACAGCTACCCAAGTCCCTCCCCAGCTGCCCAAGGTTCCAACCTCTCCTGTCCCCTGCTGGCTTTGCTCTCATCCCCAGCCAGAGCCAGTGAGAGAGAACACCAGGAAGGGAAAGAATGCTATTGGGGGATTTTCTTCTGTTTCTGTTTGTGTTCCTTTTTAACACCTGTTGTTAAGCCTCCCAAAAGTTCCCCTGGCTATTCTTCAAAATGGATTTTTTTGAAACGGCTCAGTGGGCTTCCCTTACAGACCATGATTACATTGCCAAAGCTCAGTGTTGCTCTCTGGTTATGCCCATGAGCTCTGGCATCAGAAAGGTCTGGATTTGAGCCCTAAAAAAAACACTAGCTGAAAAACCTGATCAAGTCATATAACCTCTCTAACCCCCAGACTCCCCATCTGTCAAATGGGTAAAGCAGTACCTGCCTCTTGAGGGTGTAGTGAGGATTAAATGAGATAGTAAAATAAAGACTTTAGCACCGACCCTAGCACATAAACTGCTTGGTAGATAGAGGCTGAGGTGGGAGGATCACTTGAGCCCAGAAGGTCAAGTTTGCAGTGGAGCCATGTTCACGCCACTGTACTGCAGCCTGGGCAACAGAGTGAGACCCTGTCTCTAAAATAAATATTAATAATAAATAATCATGAGAGCCTAAGGTCAATGGATGGGCAGTCTCAAGGAGACCAGGGTGTTCTACAGTACGGGCTCTAAAGTGAGGAAGCAAGAAAAAGAGTAGCTCATTCTCAAAGAAGGTGAGAGCAGTTGCTTGTGATAACACAATCTGTGGTGTAACCAAGAGAGTGGAAAGCTGAGCTGGATTGAAAGAGATTTTTGGAGGTTCAAAGGTTAAGGAACAACAAAGCCAGGGTGTTGGATGGATCATGCCATTAGATTTTGTTGCCAATGATGACAAAGGCAGAGATGGAGAGGAAGACAGTGCTAAAGTTGTTAGTAAGGGAAGGAAATCTCAGCCATGAGGAGGGGAAACAGATGGGATGGCAAGATAGCCCAAACCTCAGAGAAGTTGGTTTTAGTTGTTCATTGATTAAAAGGTTGATTTTTGTCTATTCAAAGGAGGAATGAGGAGAAATGGTTTAGAAACAGGAAATGTAAGGAAAATACCTACCATAATTCTTTGCTTATCAAAATTTAAGCTGTCATCTTTGAAAAGATTTCCCAAAACACTGCTAGGAGATACCCCAAAATGTTAATAGGGTTGTATAAATGTATATTTTCTGGTCATCTATTGACGTATAACCAACCACCCTAAAACTTAGTAGCCTAAGACATTAATTTTTCTCATGAATCTGCAACTTTGGCCAAGTTCAGCAGGGACAATTCATCTCCGCTCCACTCTGTGTCTGCTGGGGTGATCTGAAGGCTCGTTCATTCACATCTGACGGTTGATGCTGGCTGAGCCTTTAGCTGAGGCTGTGACCAAAGGACCTAAGTGCAACTTCATCTTGTGGCAACTTGGCTTCCTCACAGAATCGTGGCTGTGTTCCCGGAGTGAGTGTCTCAAGAGAACCAGGCAGAAGCTATATCAGCTTTCATGACTTAGCCTTGGTAATCATGTGGCCTCATTCTCCTTTAGTCACAGGTTCACCCAGATTCAAGGAGGCAGAGCAGAGACCCCACCTTTCAATGAAGGAGTGTCAAGTTCACATTGTGAGGAAAGCTTGCAATGTGAGATGGAATGTTGATGCAGCTATCTTTGGAAAATACAATCTATCATAGTGACTTTCATTTTATTCCTCTTTTACCTTATGGGATGGTGCCCAGTGAGTTCAAACTTTAGCCATTTGATTTTTTTTTTTTTTTTTTTTTTGAGACAGTCTCACTGTGAGACTCAGGCTGGAGTGCAGTGGTGTGATCTCAGCTCACTGGAACCTCCGCCTCCCAGGTTCAAGCGATTCTCCTGCCTCAGCCTCCGAAGTAGCTGGGATTACAGGTGTGCACCACCACACCCAGCTAATTTTTTTGCATTTTTAGTAGAGACAGGGTTTCACCATATTGGCCAGGCTGGTCTCGAATTCCTGACCTCAAGTGATCCGCCTGCCTCGGCCTCCCAAAGTGCCAGGATTACAGGCATGAGCCACCGCACCCAGCCTAGGCATTTGATTTTGAACCACCAGCCTGATCATTAAAAGGTTATCAGTCTTTCCTGTTTAAATGGAAATACTAAGAAATCTTTGAACAGACTTTCATTTGGGGAAGAATCACTTGAGTGGCCCCTTTCAGTTATGTTGATATAAAGCAAGAAAGCACACATGGTTCTGGAAAGACAAAGGACAAAAATTGTATCTTTTTGTTTGATTAATTTTTTGCTTGGCAAAGTCCTGGGCTCAATGCTATAAGCAGATAGAATTAGGCTGCCTCTCCCCAACACTCATTAATCAAAGGAACTTAAAAGTTATTGGGGAATAAGCAGGCAAATTTGCCAAAAGCACAAGGAGCTTTCTGGGAGGAAGAGGATCAATATCTTGACCTTTTCCCTTTAACATTCAAAGTTATCATAATAGGTTTAATTAATTGTAGGTATTTTGTAGAATGCACCTCCATTGAGGTTTGTCTTATGTTTTTCTTATGATTAGACTGGAGTTATGTGGTTTGGGGAGGAAGACCCCAGAGGTAACATCCCATTCTCATCCCATCATGTTAAAGGTACACACTATCAACATGACTTATCACTGTTGATGTTGACCTTGGTCACCTGCTCAAGGAGTGTTTGTCAGGTTCCTCCACCATAAAGCTACTCTTCCCCCACCTGCCCACCTTCTCATACAGTACACTTTGGACAAAAGTCACTATGCAAAGCTCATACTTAAGGAGCAAGGAGTGTGGTAGACTGCCTAATAGGCCCTAAATATGTCCACATGCTAATCCCCAGAATCTGTGAATGACACCTTATATGTCAAAAGTGATTTTATAGTTGCGATTAAATTGAGGATTTCACCATATAGAGATTATCCTGGATTATCAGAATGGGCCCTAATTGTAATTGCGAGTGTTCTTGTAAGAGAGAGGCAGAACAGGAAAAGAAACTATCATCAGAGTGAACAAACAACTTACAGAATGGGAGAATATGTTTGCAATCTATCCATCTGACAAAGATCTAATATCCAGAGTCTGCAAGGAACTTGAACAAATTTATAAGAAAACAACCCCATTAAAAAGTGGACAAAGGATATGAACAGACACTTCTCAAAAGAAGACATTCATGTGGCCAACAAACATATGAAAAAAAGCTAATCATCACTGATCACTAGAGAAATGCAAATCAAAACCACAATGAGCTACCATTTTATACCAGTCATAATGGTGATTATTAATAAGAAACAACAGATGCCAATGAGGTTGCAGAGAAAAAGAATGCTTTTACATTGTTAGTGGGAATGTAAATTAGTTCCACCATTGTGGAAGATAGTGTGGCAATTCCTCAAAGATCTAGAAACAAACACAGTTTGACCCAGCAATCCCATTACTGGGTATATGCCCAAAGGAATATAAATCATTCTGTTATAAAGATACAAGTCCACGTATGTTCATTATAGCACTATTCGCAATAACGAAGACGTGGAACCAACCCAAATGTCCATCAATGATAGACTGGATAAAGAAAATGTGGTACATATACACCATGGAATACTATACAGCCATAAAAAAGTAATGAGATCATGTCCTTTGCAGGGACATGAATGGAGCTGGAAGCCATTATCCTCAGCAAACTAACGCAAGAACTGAAAACCAAACACCACATGTTTCCTATTAAAAGTAGGAGCTGAATGATGAGAACACATGGACACATGGTGGGGACAGGGAACAACACACACTGGGGCCTGTCAGGGAGGGCAGGGGGAAGGGAGAGCATCAGGAAGAATAGCTAATGGATGCTGGGCTCAATACCTAGGTAACAGGTTGATCTGTGCAGCAAACCACCATGGCACACATTTACCTATGTAACAAACCTGTACATCCTGCACATGTACCCCAGAACTTAAAAGTTGAAGAAGAGGAGGAAGCCAGAGGGAGATTGACCCAGAAGAAGGGAAAAGCAATGTGATCCCAGAGGCAGAGAGTGGAGAAATGCGGCCAGCAATCAGGAGAAACTGGAGGAGGCAAGGAGACCCCAGAGACTCCAGAGAGAGCACAGACCCACTGACACCTTGATTTTAGTTCAGTGATACTGATGGCAGATTTCTGGCCCCTATAACTGTGAAAATAGATCTTTGTCAAAAATCGCCGAGTGTGGCAATTTGTTATAGCAGCCACAAGAAGCTAATGTGGAGAGTTATGTTCTACCTCCTTGAGGGTGCAGTGTCTATATAAATAATTTGAAATTCTTCTGCATTGGAGATTTGCCTCTTTGCCCACTTTGTTATTTATTCATTTATTTACAAAAATATATGAACTCATAAATATTTATACTTTGTGTTATAATCCATTACTGCTTTATTTTGTTCTCCACATTCTTTTGAGAGACACATGTCTTTCTCTTTGCAGGTAACCTACTACATCCACAGGTGCCTTGGGCAGGGCACATGAGAAGGTTCTAGAGATTAAATGGAGATTTAGAAGATGAGTTTGTCCACACCCAAGACAGTGACCTGCAGGCTGGGTGTGCAGATTTTGAAACAGAAACAGAGTAATAAACTTTCCATTAAAGCAAAAATGCAAAGGACAGTGTTACATGCACACATAAAATGGATTTTGCACACAAGTGACTAAATGGATAAATAATATCTCTAAAATATGCATCAAGTCTTCTCAGTAGTATAAGTTAACAAAATATCTTAGTTTATTCAGGCTGCTATAACAAAATACCTTAGACTGGGCAATTTATAAACAACAGAAATTTATTGCTCATGGTTCTGGAGGCTGGGAAGTCCAAGATCAAGGAGTCAGCAGATTTAGGTGGAAGGGAAAATCAAGCTCCCTCAAGCCTCTTTAACAAGAGACCCTAATCACACTCATGACAGCAGAGCCCTCATGACCTCATCATCTCCTAAAAGCCCCACCTCTTAATACTTGCAATGGAGATTAGGTTTCAACATATGGATTTTGGGGAGGACACAAACGTTCAGATCATAGCAACGTGGAATTTATAAGAATAAAAACTTAGTTTGGGTCTTGGTTGATGTCACTGATGGATTTTAGTCACCCTGAACTAACAAAAAACAGCAGCTATAGTCTATTTTCTTCAGAAAAACCTCAAAGCAAAGCGACTCCACACCTGTATGTCATTCTCACTCAAAAAATTTTCTGTTCCTTGCTGACAAGGTTTTCCTTGTTTCGAACAGAAGTCTCTTCAGCTTTAATTTCTATTTTCAGTCATCCAGAGATAGAACGAATATGTGTTTCCAAAAAAGTTTTAATGCCAAATTGGGTTGGGGACAAGGAGGGCTGCAAAGGCCATGGTACTTGAGGGAACAGTGAGAGGAAAGGGCCCTGGTCTAAGTGCTAGATACACAGGCCTTAGATTTCCTTCATGTGCCATTACTTTGCTGTGAACAAGATTGTTAATTTAAGAACATATTTCTCAAAGAAGGGAGAGATCACAGCCCAGTCTCCAGGAGTTAAAAGGGTAGTCTTTGGCATAGGACAGACCCGGGTTTTCGTTTTGGCTGTACCTCTTACCAGTTGTGAGATGTTGGGCAAGTTATCTCCCTGGGGCTCATTTTTCTCATCTGTAAAATAAAGACCATATCTATGTCATAGGTCATGTGAAGAGTATATGGAATCATGTTGACAGAACATGGCAAGCCCTGAACTGACCTTAACTAGACCTGGCAGTATATTAGGGTCCAATCCCCACCCTCTTCTCCCCTTCCCCCACTGCACAGGTGGGTTCCTGAATTGTTCTTGCTGCCTTAAATTAGTACAGCCCCAAACTGCAACCTGTAATCTTCCCTCTGACACTGAACAAAGGCCTTCAGGCCAAAAACTCATCCTCTGCCTTGGGTTTCTGAGTATACCCTTGATGAGGCTAAAAGTGGGCCCCAACCCACCTTGTTTAGCATACACTAACCCTGACTCCTTGCCTAGCATGCACTAGCACTGACTCCTTGCCTAGCATGCACTAGCCCTGGCTCCTTGCCTAGCATGCTTTAGCACTGACTCCTTATCTAGCATGCACTAGCCCTGACTCCTTGCCTAGCATGCACTAGCCCTGACTCCTTATGTAGCATGCACTAGCGCTGACCCCTTGTCTAGGATGCAGTAGCCCTGACCCCTTGTCTAGCATGCACTAGCCCTGACTCCTTGTCTAGCAGGTACTAGCTCTGACTCTTTGTCTAGCATGTACTAGCCCTGATTCCTTGTCTTGCATGTACTAGCTCTGACTCTTTGTCTAGCATGCACTAGCCCTGACTCCTTGTCTAGCATGCTGTAGCTCAGACTCTTCGTCTAGCATGTACTAGCCCTGACTCTTTGTCTAGCACGCTCTAGCCTTGACTCCTTGCCTAGCATACACTAGCCCTGACTCCTTGTCTAACATGTTCTCGCTCTCACTCCTCACCTAGTATTCACTAGCCCCCTCTCTGGGACCTGGTACATTCTACCTTAACCCTCTCCTGCTGGCTATAACCCTGCTTTGCCTCCCACACACATCTCTAGAACTAGGGCCTCACTCAGAACCTCCTATTGCCTCACCTCAGTCACTAGCCACAACTCTAAAGATGCTGGCATAACCTTGCCCAAACTGAAGGTCACTGTGTCCTCTAAGATTCTAACATCCAAATGCCACTACCTCTTGGTCCCTGTAGCCCTAGCTCACCCTCTAGCTGGCTCCTCCTCTGCTGATAGCCTGCTTGCTTCACACCTGAGGCACTGAAGGTAGCCTTTATCTTGTTTTACCTTCCACAGCAACTTTTGAATTGCCCCATTTCACAGATGAGAAAACTGAGCCCCAGAGATATTTGGTAATTTGCCCAATGTTCATGACTAATAACCTCCAGAGAACTTGGGGCCCCCTGACCTCTAATTCAGGTTCCACTCAGCTTCCTGTGTCACAGATCCAAACATCAGAAGAGCCAGCTCCCTAATTTGCACTTTGGATGGCAGTGAATTAAACTTTAAAGACTTGGCAGGTAGTGCTGTTCCTGACTCCCAGGCATTTGGCAGTGGTTGGTATATGTTTCCAGAGATACATTTCTACATGAAGGAAAAAAAGAGGGAACATATTTCTGTTTGACTAATAAACATCCAATCCCAAGGGCTCTACAAAATTTTAAGCCCTCAAATGGCACAGAGACCTGCCCAGTGAAAGACAAGGAAGTATTGAGTCGGGCAGAAACATCTGATTTTATTTGCAAAGGGGCCGTTTGGGATATAAGTGCTGTTAACATGATCCCAGGAGGAGGGAAACAGAATTTTCCAAGGCTCTCCCACAGTCAGTGAACTCTGTCTCTCAGAGGACATGGGGCCTTGGTGTCTGACCAGCCAGAAGCTTAGCCCACAAGTCTTGTGTGTGCACAGGTAGGCACAATAGAATCAGCCCTGGTGGCCTTGAAATGACATTCAACGTTATCAGGAGGAAAAGACTCCAACACATCAGTCTGAAAACAAGATGTCTCAGCCCTCATCACCATTGGAAATGACCTTGTTAATTAAATTGTTTATGTATATTCCATGGGGTCAAGGATGTTGCCTATTCACTGCTGGGTCCCCAGCTCCTAAAAGTGTCTGACATACAGCAGGAGATCAGTAAACATTCTTTGAGTGCACATATTATAGTTTCCATCTTGGACCTTCTTTGTTAGACACCAGCAAGACAAAAGGTACTGTGCTTTCATGGTCCTGGGGTGGGGTAAGCCAGGTCGCCAGCCCTAGTCTGCTGCCCAGGGGTCAGAGGTTATTGCCTGGTATGACCAGGATAGGGGAGGTCAAGGGCATCTATCCTAGTTATACCTTTGTTTATTTGTTTTAAATAACAAGTATTATCATGAATTTCTTTGCCAAAAGGCCCATCTCATTAAACCTACCAAATATCCTCCCTATCCAAAACTTAGTTGTAATTAATAATGATTACTATTGGCTATCATTTACTGATTGATCACCATGTGCTATGTATATATTATCTTATCAAGTTCTTAAAGCATCTCAGATTTGTATTATCCCTATTTTACTGATGAAGAAACTGAGGCTTGTAGAAGCTAAGCAATTTGGTCTAGGTTATACAGCTGTTAAGCAAGGGATACAAGCTGTGGACTTGAACCAAGTCTATTCAAAGCCCCTGACCTTCGCCACTATGCTATACTGCCTCTCACAAGGTCATAAAATTAGTAAATTGCTTGTTTTTTTCTCTTAAGTCAAAATTTCACAAGGAAAACCATCCAGCCCAGATTCTCCTATCAGACTTGGATTATTCAGTTACCTCCTGGAAAGCAGCAAAACTGCCTTTCTGAGCTGACTGGGTCACTGAGGTCATCTCTCCCTGACATGCTATCAGAGTCAGATCAGAACAACTGAAGTGGAGACCAGGCATGGCAGCCTTTACCTGCCACGAATGATATAGATGGTGGCAGCATCACAAAAGGAAATCAACTTGGGCTTTCATTCAACTTGCGGTCTCCCCTCTGTGGGTCTTTCCTACCTTTCACCTGTCTTGGGAAGAAGTAGGCATGGGTGAATTAGTTTACAGAAGTGTGCCAGAGCTCTGGGCACAAGGTGCCACTTCCTTAGGTCATGTGCATCCTCCACCTAGGAAAGACCAAAGCTCACCCAGAATCCCTCCTGATATTTTCAATAATAAAGGTTATGGTGGGTTCCTGGTATCCTCCCAGGAGGTGGTTCTCCCAAGGGTGTTAAAAAATATATATATCAGTTCTCCCTTGTTAAATGTGTGGTTTCCTATAATAGCTTGACATGGGCCATTACTCCATCCAGCACCACTCTATCTTCTTGAACCCTCAACCTCACCAGCTTACCTATTACATTAACTCCCAAGACAATGTCATCTCTATCCTCTTGGAAGGGAATGAGGCCTAGGACTCCATCTGAAGAGGGGTCACAGTTCTGACTGACTCAGGAAGGATGGATGTCTACCAGTCTCCATTTGCTAGAGAAGGGTTCGGTAGGCATCCAAAATTCTACCCTCTCAGAAGAGCCACCCCACACCATTTCCAGTGGCTGCCTCGGGGAAGGCCATGCAATAGTCCTCAGCTTTCCATCAGAGCTGGCAGTCCAAAATCAATCTCTCATCTGTGCCACTGGCAGCGCCCTCCATTGTGGGTGCCAAGAAAGTGGTACTTAAGCTGGGGGGTCAAGCAGAAAGGAAAAGATACATAACTGCAGCTGCACCGTGTCATGACGTCAGGGTCTAGAAACTGAAGAAGGCACGGGAGGGAGAAAGAAAAGGGATGTTTGTTGGGAAACCATCTCACACAGTCCAAATTAAACAGGCTGTTTGCTCAAGTCTACTTTCCATTTCTGCCCCTCTCTCTACTAATTATTACCTCTCCTAAAACCTTTCTCCCTTAACCCAATGTCCCACTTCTAAAAGAGTCTAAGGAATTCTTCCTGATCCTTTAAGAGCCTGAATTGCTGCATAAACTTAGTATCACTGGTCCCATTTTAAAATGCCAAGAACAAAGCAAGGCCCATGTCCTCTCCTTGAAGTCTTTCTTGAAAATTGCAGCCATCTCTGATCTCTCTCCCACCTCACCAGTCTTGAAATTTACTGACTGTATCATCCATTTGAGCACTTGAGCCTCTGTTCAGCCCAACAGAGGCCATGGCTTTTTTGTCTTGACTATTCTCAGACTATTTCATGTAAGTATCTTGTCTTCCTGGGAAAACTGTAAGCTCCCTGGAGTCTAGGACTGGGTCATGTAGTTCTTTAGTATATGACACTGTGTCATATATAGTGTTCTGTATATGGCTCTGAATACACAGGAAATATTTTTTATGAAACTGCAATGAGCTGAACAGAATCAAAGGGAGGCATATGACAAAAGATGAAATCACTGGGCACTCATCAGGAAAATATTTAGTGGCCTCCAATTTCAGGTGAGCAATGTTTAGGATGGGGCCACAGTATAAGCCAGAATAACACATGGGCCAGTACCTGTTGCAATAGGTAAGCTGACAGAGTGCTGTGAGGCTTTGGATTGAGCAGTCTGCACATGCAGAGGGAAGAGGAAGGAAGATCCATACTTTATTTGGACTGAGACTCAACACCAAACCATAGTCCAAGCGAGGCCACCCAAATGGCAATGCTTCCCTAGAACAGGTGCCAAGTTCACCAGATTAGCTGTTGATTTGTCCATTTTAGCACTATTCTACATCTCCATGGTCATCCAGTTTTCAAAGGACACCTGATTTTACCTCAACCACTACCTTTGTTGAAACAAAAAATAACTCATCAACTTACCCAGTCAAACAATATAAGTCAGAGGTAGCCTTGGGAATTTCACTGACAGCTCTAGAATTCCAGGTCTACTCCCTGCGGTTGGAAGTAGGCGTCCTTGTTCTCTCACTGGCACGTTTGAACTCTAAAAGGGCCTTTTTTCTAATGGCCTCCCGTGCAGATGTTAGCAAGAATGAACCTTCGGCCAGGCACAGTGGCTCATGAGTGGGAGAAATCAGCAGCCTGAGAGAGGATGGCACTCACAGAGTGTACAGCGTGAGGCTAGTGTTGGAGTCCCTGGAGGGTTTGTCAGCATTGGGAGGGGCTTCAGAGAGCACCTGCTCCATCGCCTGTGTTACAGGCCAGGAGCCTGAGGCCCTGGGAGACTGGACAACCTCCCAAGGCCACACAGTGTGATCACAGTGTTCCCGCAGCTGGGGCTTTGGGCTCCTAACTCCCAGTCCCCGGTTTTCCCAGTACCTAAGAAAAGAATGCAAAGAATTAAAAAATAAGGTGCAAACTCTGTGGTAAAATTTGATGGGTGAGAAGTACAATATCCTTTGAGAGCTCACAAAGAACAGCAACAGAAAAGTTCCACAGAATAGCTAGAGCGGGTTGCAGAGCTCATCATTGCCAGAAGTATCTATAGTGCCCACCAGACCCAGTGTGTCTTTCCTAGGGATGCTGTCATGAAGCCCACTGGGACTGGGGGGCTTTTTTCTTTGAGACAGGGTCTCACTCTGTCACCCAGACTGGAATGCAGTGGTGATCACGGCTCACTGCAGCCTTGACTTCCCAGACTCCAGCAATCCTCCCACCTCAACCTCCTGAGTAGCTGGGACTACAAGTGTGTGCCACCACACCCAGCCAATATTTGAATTTTTGGTGGAGATGGGGTGTCACCATGTTGCCCAGGCTGGGCTCAAGCAATCCACCCACCTCGGCCTCCCAAAGTGCTGGGATTACAGGCGTGAGCCACCATATCCAGCCAACTAAGGGGCTTAAACAACAGAAATTTATTTCCTCGAAGCTCTGGAAGCTAGAAGTTCAAGACTGAGGTGTCAAAAAGGTTGGTTTCTTCTGAGGCCTCTCTGCCTGGCTTGTAGATGCCTGCCTTTCCCCGTGTCTAGACATGGCCATCCCTCTATGTGCCTCTGAATCCTAATCTTCTCTTCTTACAAGGACACCAGCATATTGGATTAGGACCCACCCTAAAGACCTCGTTTTAACTTACCCTTTTAAAGTCTCCATCTCCAAATACAGTCACATTCTAAGGTACTGGGGGTTAGGACTTCAACATATAAATCTGGGGAAGACACAATTCAGCCGATAGCACCCAATAACATTTCATTCTGAATCTACTAGTGGGGAGTTGTCCAGTTCTTCTCCTCCTCCGACAGGGGATTTGGGCTAGTCTAGTGGGACATTGGCCTAGAAGCTACAGTGGGGCTGGGGCCTCTCAATCCAGCAACCAGAGCAGGATCACAGGGCTCCTTGAAAAGCCATGAGCCAGCCTTCCAGGAGCTTCTGCCCTGAGTCATTCCACATGCCCTCGTCACATCCTTCTCATCAATCTCCGCGGATCTCCACGTGCAAGTACAGAATAAACAGGAGGCTTTCTAAAAGAAATGCAGTTTGGCCTTTGTCCCATTCACGTGGAACAGAACTCCTGGGCTAAAGAGTAGAGGCAAATGTGATGGAGATGAAGATTATGCTGTGGCCCTGGCCTGGTCCCAAATGAGCAGCGCCCTCAGGCCCTGAGGCTGGAGAGACTGCTGCCACCCCAGCTGGCCTAGCCTACCCTGCAGGGGTGAGCTGGTGGGGCAGCGCCCCCCTCCGGCTTCACATTTTCTTCAGATTCTTCGCACATCTGCAGCAGCTTCCTGAAGATAGAAATCGGTTGGTGCCTACCTGTTTGGAAACCCACCAAAGCAAAGAGTAAAACAGCATCCAAATTGGTAGGAAACACTGTTTCAAGTCTGGAAAATACTCTTTTGATTATGTTAAAAAAAAATGACCATAAAGATAGCACAGAAACTGTGTCATTGAGAGCAAAATATGTGTTGATTTAAAAAAAAAAAAGTCCACGGCCTGGGAACTGTGTTATGAATCATGTTCCACTTTTGGAGGAAGAGCCAATTAGAGTACAAAACCTGGCTGGGCATGGTAGCTTACACCTGTAATCCCAACATTTTGGGAGGCCAAGACAGGAGGATCGCTTGAGGCCAGGAGTTTGAGACCAGCCTGGGAAACATAGCAAGACCCCATCTCTAGTTAAAAACCTGAAAAAGCAAACACACAAAAACCATAACCAAGTATGGTGATGCACGCCTGAAGCCCCAGTTACTCAGGAGGCTGCGGTAGGAGGATCTCTTGAGGCCAGGCATGAGGCTGCAGTGAGCTATGATTGAGCCACTGCACTCTAGCCTGGGTGACAGAGCAATACGCCATCTCTTAAAAAAAAAAAAAAAAAGCACAAAACCATTGTGTGCCCCTGTAACAAGGGACTTATGAGAAGGGCAGGTTTGCCCAACTCCTAGGACAACAAACATCAAGCAAACATCAAAAATGCTTCTCTGACCTTGCCCTAGGCTAACTTGATCATTTACAAATGAGCCCTGTCTACCTACACATGTGAAGTTCTCTATGAATGACATGAAACTTTGGTTACTTGCTGTATGTAGGGTCAAAGAGCTTTTGTTCCACGTTTGTCAGAAAGACTCAATGACATAGGACACAAGGCAGAATGCCAAAAACTACCCATGCCTTTTGTATTTTCATACCCTTGGAGTCATGGGTCTTTCCTTAACAAAGCTGGTGGACTAGTCCAGTCACAAAAGATAAACTGACATTATTTAAGGTGCCTTCCCAGCTCAGAGTTTGATGGTTGCTTTACTTCCCATTGACTGTTCAACATTAGCCAATCCCAGGGCTTTTCATGAGCCTGACACCAAGCACTGCCCTTATCAGAAGCATGGCATATTCAGGATAGCAAATGGCTCCCCACGGCTGGTACCTAAGGTGTGTTTTGCTTTGTATAACATAAAATTTTCGTCTCTCCAACTGCACACGAATTCTTTGTTTTCTGTTTTTGAGACAGTTTCTCATTTTGTCACCTAGGGGCTGGAGTGCAGTGGCGCAATCATGGACCACTGCACTCCAGTTTCTGGGCTCAAGCAATCCTCCCACCTCAGCCTCTCAAGTAGCTGGGACCACAGGTGCATACCACCACACTTGGCTAATTTTTTTTATTTTTTTGTAGAGATGGGGTCTCTACAACTGTGTTGCCCAGGCTGGTCTCCAACTCCTGGGCTCAAGCAGTCCTCCTGCCTCAGCCTCCCAAAGTGCTGGGGTTACAGGCATGAGCCACTGCACCCAGCCTGCACATAAATTCTAAATAGGGCCAGTAAGCCAGGCAGGTGCTATGTAGGAATTTTTAAATCTGAAAATCCAAAATCTATGTGTGAAAAACACTGCCTGAATGTACAGAGAGAAAATGTTGTGTTCTTTGTTGATGAAGAAAACCAAATTTTGTGAAATATTTAAAGAGGTTTGTTCTGAGCCAATATGAGTACCCAGGCCCCAGGGAACAGTCTCAAGAGGTCTTGAGAAACTATGGCTGAGAAGATAGGGTTACAGTTTGGTTTTATACATTTTAGAGAAATGGAAGTTACAGGCAAAGACATAAATCAATACATGTTAAGGTATATATTGGTTCGGCCCGGAAAAGCTGGGTATCTCAAAGCAGGGACTTACAGGTCACAGATGGATCCAAAGATTTTCTGATTGGCAGTTGGTTGAAAGAGTTGAACTTTGTCTAAAGACTTGCCAGTAGAAAGAAATGCTTGAGTTAAGCTAAGGGAGGTTGCCACGACCAGGGCTCTTGTTAGGTATATGAAGCCTCATAGGTAGCAGTCTTTGGAGAGAATAGATGGTAAATGTCTCTTTTTGGACCTTAAAAGATGTTTATCCCTCCTAAATTCAGGAAAGCCCTGTCCGCATTAATGGAGATTCTCTACAGATACAAATGTCCTCCCCTAAAAGACAGTTTTGCAGGACCATTTCAAAATATGTCAAAGAAATACATTTTGGGGTAAAATATTTTTATTTCCTTCAGGGTCTGCTGTCTGTCCTGTGATGCTAACCAGAGTCAGGTTGGCATTTGGTGTCTTATTCCCAGAGTCTGTTTTGTTAGTCTTATGATCTGTATTTTAATATTAATGCTGGTCAATTGCGCATAGACTCCAAAGGAAGGGGTATAATGAGGTGGTCCTTCCTTCTTGTATTAGTTCATTTTCACACTGCTATAAAGAACTACCTGAGACGGGGTAATTTATAAAGAAAAGTTTAATGGACTCACTGTTCCATGTGGCTGGGGAGGCCTCAGGAAGCTTACAATCATAGCGGAAGGCAAAAAGGAAGCAAGGCATGTCTTCCATGGCAGCAAGAGACAGAGAACAAGGGGGTAACTGCCACACGCTTTTAAACCATCAGATCCCGTGAGGACTCACTACCACAAGAACAGCATGGGGGAAAATGCCCCATGACCCAATCACCTCCCACCAGCTCCTTCCCCTGACACCTGGGGATTAAAATTCCACGTGAGATTTGGGTGGGGACACAGAGCCAGACCATATCACTTCCCATCATGGCTGGGTGTGATGGTTAATACTGAGTGTCAACTTGATTGAAGGATGTAAAGTATTGATCCTGGGTGTGTCTGTGAGGGTGTTGCCAAAGGAGATTAACATTTGAGTCAATGGCCTGGGGAAGGCAGACCCACCTTTAACCTGGTGGGCTCAATCTAATCAGCTGCCAGCAAATATAAAGCAGGCAGAAAAACGTGAAAAGTGTGAGACTGGCCTAGCCTCCCAGCCTACATCTTTCTCCCATGCTGGATACTTCCTGTCCTCAAACATCGGACTCCAAGTTCTTCAGTTTTAAGACTTGGACTGGCTCTCCTTGCATCTCAAGTTTGCAGACAGCCTATTTTGGGAACTTGTGATCATGTAAGTTAATACTTAATAATATATATATAATATATATATAATCTCATATTCTGTCCCTCTAGGGAACCCTGACTAATACACCAGGAATTCAGTTTTTCAGGTTTCTCTGGGGTCCCCTTGGTCCAGAGGGGATCCATTCAGTTTCAGGTAGGTAGCGAGGGGGTGCTTAGGATTTTATTTTTGGTTTACACCTTATTTGTAAGGATTTAGCAAACATACAACTAAAAGTGAATGAATAAATGATCCTGACAAGTTTGCTCCACACTAGTCCCCATCCTCCATGGAACTAGGAATGCCCATGGGCCCTTCATCTCCTTGAGACTGAGTTCCCAGAGGCTGCTCCACAGGCAACCCAAGGAGTGCAGGAGGTATTTGCCCTGTTTTTTGCATGTAAGATTTATCTGCTAGAAGTCAATGATAATAGTTAATATCCATGTTGGTTTAATTAAAAGAATTAGTTTTTCTCCCATATAATTAAAATGAAACTTGATGTCAGAATACAGAAGCACTCTAGTAATATACATCCAATTAGATATCCAGGAGATTTCATAACAACAGAATGCTAAGAGTTCTGTGGAAAGAGAACAGGGTAGATACTCATTTGCAGTAACATTCCAGTTCTTTTTTCATTCATTAAGGAAAGGCTGCCCACTGGACAAATTCAGGAAGTTATTATTCTAATCAAGATAAAGACCCAGACCTGACACACTTATAATAGCCTTAGGAATGCCCAGGGCAGGATGAACCAACCCAACCTGCTAGGACAACAACTGAGGTAGAGACCCAGGTGTGGGAAAGGTTTAAATGTAACCGCCACAGCCTGGATGAGGACAGGAAGTCCCAATCCTATACTGGAATGGGTGAGAACATTCTACCAGGGCCACACTTCCTGCTGCACCCAGTGTCAGCTCGATCCCCCAGGGCATGCAGATGAGGTCGGCAGCACAGCCCTGCCCTGCCCTTGTGGAGATGACAGCACAGGGAAGAGGAGATTAATGCCGGGGACTATCAGAAAGCAATCCAGACTGCGTGTGAGCAAGTGTTGGGTAGAAACTCTGACCACACACACCAGAAATGCAGAAAAGACAGTGATGAGTGGACGGGATTGCCCAGAGGAGCCTCACCAAGAGGGAAAAACTGAAACTGGGCGTTCAAGGGACAGATAAGGACTTCCTGCAGCAGAGAAGAGAATGGCAAAAGAAAAAAGGAAAAGAGAAAGAGATTTCTTTATAAAATGGAGTCACATCTAAAGAGTTGGTGGGAGTTTTCTATGTCATAGGTTATTATAGAAACTTCATGAGGGCTTAGTATATTCTCTCCCCCAACTTTCTCACTCTCTCTTTCTCACTCTTTCTCAACTGTTGATATGCATTTTGTCCAGTTATGAAACCAGAGGGCATCATTCTATAAATTAGAACTTTCAGGAGAGTAGAGGCAAACCTCTGAGGTCATTCAGAGTCATTTAAACATTGTCATTAGCAAGTAAGGGTGACTCACTACAACCTCTCATAGGCAGGTAGATTGGGTCCAAGAGGGTCGTGATTCATTCTTCCTCACCCCAGAAATCAGTCTCCCTAGCAGGGCAGGAAGTGGCCCCTGCCTTCTCCAGGACAGTTGACCAGGGACTTCCAGTAGGTTTCATGAGCCTGCTCAGCAGCCCTCTCCTGAAGGCCACTAAGACTTACTGTAAAGGGTGCAGCTCAGAAGGGGAGATCCTCATCACCTCTGGAGAATTCAAGAATGAGGCATCAAGCCAGAATTCATTATACCCTTCCCCACCTTCCACAAAACTTCTTTCCCTGAATGTTTCATAGGTTCAAAATGTAAGTCCCAGAAAGTTGACCACATGGATGGGCCTTATAAATGAACTGTTTCAGACATTAAAGAAGGTCTAAATAAATGGAAAAATTCCCTGCTTATGGGTCAGTAGACTTAACACTGATAAGATAGTGAAACTCCCCAAACTGATCTGCAGGTTCAACAAAAACCCTATCAGAATCCCAACTGATTTCTTCGTAGGAATCAATAACGATTGTAAAATTCATATGGAGTTTCAAGGGACCCAGACTAGCCAAAACAGTACTGAAAAATAACAAAGTAGGAGGACTACACTTCCTGATTTCAAAACTTACTACAGAGGTTCCTGGTTACTATAAAGCAATCAAGACAGTGTAATACTAGCACAGGAATAGACATGTCGATTAATGGAGTAAGATTAACAGCCCAGGAAGAAACCCATACATCTATGATCAACTGATTTTCTACGGGGGTACCAAGATTGCTATGTGGGGAAAGAAGAGTCTTTTCAACAAACAGCACTGAGTAGACACAGGCAAAACAATGAAGTTGGATCCTTCCCTCACACCATATGCAAAAATTAATTGGTCATTAGGAAATGTAAATCAAAACTGCAATGACATACCACTTAATACCTATGAGGATGGCTATAATAACTTTTTTTTAAAAAACAGAAGATAAGTATTGATGAGGATGTGGAGGAATTAGAACTCTCATGCATTACTGGTGGGTATGTAAAATAAAGCAGCCACTATAGAAAACAGTTTGGCAGTTCCTTTAAAAGTTAAATATAGAATTACCACATGACCCATCAATTCCACTCCCGTGTGTGTGTGTGTGTGTGTGTGTGTGTGTGTGTAATGTATATATGTGTGTATAAATATGTACAAAGTTTGTATATATATATAATATATATACACACATACATACAAGAGGAATGAGAACATATACCCACATAAAAACTTGTACACGGATATTTATAGCAGCATTATTTATAATATCAAAAAGGTGGAAACAACCCAAATGTCCGTCAATGGATGAATATATCAGCAAATGGCACTATATACATACAATGGAATATTCAGCCATAGAAAAAGCAATGAAGTAACTTGGATGAATCTCTAAAACACTACGCTAACTGAAAGAAACCAGGCACAAAAGGTAACATACTAGAATATTCCTTTTATATAAAATAGCCAGAATAGGCAAATTCATCAAGACAGAAAGCAGACTAGTGGTTAACAGGGGATTTGTGGAGGGGGCTAATAGAGATTATTTCATGGATACAGGTTGTTCTTCTGGGGTGGTGAAAAAGTTTTGAAACTAGAGAGAGGTAGTGGTTCACAACATTATAAATGCACTAAATACCACAGAATTGTACATTTTAAACTGGTTAATAGTGTGTTACATAAATTATACCTCAATTTTAAAATATTAACTCAAAAGGGAGGAAAGATCTAAATGTAAGAGCTAAAGTCTGAAAGTAAGGGCCCGGGGCCAGGAGCCTTGGCTCATGCTTGTAATACCAATGTTTTAAGAGGCCCAGGCAGGAGGGTTGCTTGAGGCCAGCAGTTTGAGATGTTGCCTGGGCAACATAGCGAGACCCTGTCTCTACAAAAGATTTTAAAGCTAGCCAGGCATGGTGGTGCACACCTGTAATCCCAGCTACTGAGGAGGCTGAAGCAGGAGGATCACTTGAGTCCAGGAGTTTGAGGTTACAGTGAGCTATAATCATGCCACTGCAATCATGTTGCTCTGGGCAACAGAGCAAGACCCTGTCTATATTAAAAAACTTATGACTCAATGTAAAAAGACTAATTATCCAATATTAAAATGGGCAAAAAAATCTGAATACCCATTTCTCCAAAGAAGATATGCAAATGGCCAATATGCATATCTATAAATGCTCTAGATCATTAGTCATTAGGGAAATGCAAACAAAAACCTTAACACCACTTCGCACCCACTAGGATGACTATGTTTAAAAAAAAAAAAAAAGTGTTGGCCAGGATGTGGAGAAATTGGAACCCTCATACGGTCAGGCAATTCCTCAAATGATTAAACAGAGTTATTGTATGATCCAGCAACTCCACTACCAGGTATATACCAAGAGAATGAAAACACCCCCTCACAAAAACTTGCACACAAATATTTACAGCAACATTGTATAAGAGAAATGAAAACATATACCCACAAAGAAACTTGAAAACAAATGTTTATAGCAGCATTATTCATTATAGCCAAAAGGTAGAAGCAACCTGAATGTCCACCTGATGAATGGATAAACAAAATGTAGCATATACATACAATGGAATGATAGTCATAAAAAGGTATGAAGTGATGATACATGCTACAACACACATGAACCTTGAAAACATGCTAAGTGAAAGAAACCAGGCACAAAGGCCACATATTATATAATCCCATTCATATGCAAGTCTGGAATAGAGAAATTTACAGAGACATATCAGTGCTTTTTGAAGGCTGGGGTCGGGGGAAAAGATGGGGTGATAGTTAAAGAGTAGGGGGTTTCTTTTGGAGGCAAAGGCTCTAATACTGGCTGTGATGATGGTTGCACAACTCTGCACATACTAAAGCCCAGTGAATTGTATACTTTAAATGGACAAATTGCATGGTATGTTAATTATATCTCAATCAAACTTTTTTAAAAATTAAGGCTCCAGTCTGGGCATGGTGGCTCACACCTATAATCTATGATTCCAACAATGGGAGGCCAAGGTGGGCAGATTGCTTGAGCCCAAGAGTTCGAGACCAACCTGGGAAACATAGCAAAACTTCATCTCTACAAAAAATACAAAAATTATCTGGGCGTAGTGGTACAACACACCTGTAGTCCCAGCTACTTGGGAGGCTGAGGTAGGAGGATTGCTTGAGCCTAGGAGGTCAAGGCTGCAGTGAGCTGTGATCCCTCCACTGCACTCCAGCCTGGGCAACAAGAGCAAGACCCTGTCCCAAATAAAAATAAATTGAGGCTCCATTCCTCCCCTACACGTCTATATACACATGCAAAGCCATGCTGTCTCCAGATCTACACCTGGAACTTTTCAAAACTGGGTTAGTCCATTCCCTGATTTTGGGGAACTGATCTTGAGATTTCTGGGCCCTTCTGACAGTTCGAGGTAATTGGCCGTTTACACACAAGGGCAAAGTAGTATTTGATAATTACTAAAGCCACAGTCCTGAATCACAGGAGTTAGGAGTTTGGGAAAACATCAACCACCCAACAGCCAGGTTTCCATGAAAGGAGGCCTCAGCTTCTGATAATCTCCAGCCCATTCTTAGTACATTCCACTTGTCTCTAGCTTCTCCTTTCCCATTTTGGCAAATTTCCCTCCGTCTCCCGTCTCCCAGCCTAACAGATTCTTGACTCTGAGAAAAAGCAAGCACATGCCCACCACCCCCTTTCCAATCAAGCTCAACTGCCTCCAGCCCCCTGCTCACATGTAAAGCCCAGCTGAACTCTGATCTGAGTTAAAAAGCTTTGTGTGTGCTAACAAGCTGTGGGTTTTTGCCTTTTTTCCACCAGCTCAGATTACCTGGTTTCCAAGTGGGCCAACTCTGGGAGAAACTCTTCCAATCAATGCCTTCAGTTGAGGTCTAAATGTCCATGCCTCTTACTCCAAAGGAATAAGAAACCAGAGGAAAAACACATTGCAACACAGTTATTACATTAGTTCTTTATAGCCAAGGTCTCCAGCTTGGAGGTGGGGTGGGGAGGGGAATGAAAGGTTTTCGTATTTGATGAATAAATGCCTTGTAGTCCCCTTTGGTTTTTCTTTAAAAAACTCCAAACATGTAGCAAATATTCTCTCGGTCCTGCACGTGGCACCCCCTCCTCTGGAAGAGAGGTTGAAAAGTAAAATCCATTTTACAGATACAGAAATGGAGGCAACAAGCCACCTGATAACTTTCTTGACTCCCAAACAAGTTCTAAGGCTACAACTTTCACCATCAAATTTACTTTCCACTTCAAATGTTCCTCTTAGACTCCCACTATCTGCTTTTCCAAGACAAATCCTACTTCTATTCAAATATTCAGACCCTCTTGGTCCATGATGTAGCCACCAAAACATAGCCCCTCCTGATCCTAACTTTGCTGGAACACACAAAATCAAGTCCCTGATCATATTGTATCATATTCTCTAGTTGTTTTCATGTGGAGTGCCCTAGCTGAGTGGTGCCCTTCCAGAGATTATATTTGTTTTATTTTTTTCTTTTCTGTAGAGGGAAAATGACCAGCTTCTTCAAGACATTGGGCCATGACATAAGATAAAATAGCCTAGATTGGTACAGCCATTATAAAAAAAAAAAAAGTATGGAGTTTCCTTAAAACATTAAAAATAGAGCTACGATATGATCTAGCAATCTCACTTCTGAGTATATATCCAAAGGAAATGAAATCAGTATCTTAAAGAGGTATTTGCTCCCCCATGTTCATTGCAGTATTATTCACAATAGGCAAGGCATGGAAACAGCCTAAGTGTGTCAACAGATGAATCGATAAAGAAAATGTGGGCCGGGCGCGGTGGCTCATGCCTGTAATCCCGACACTTTGGGAGGCCGAGGCAGGTGAACCACTTGAGGTCAGGCACTCAAGACCAGCCTGGCCAACATGGCAAAACCCTGTCTCTACTAAAAATACAAAAATTAGCCAAGCGTGGTGGTGTACACCTGTAGTCCCAGCTACTCAGGGAGCTAAGACACGAGAATTGCTTGAACCCGGGAGGTAGAGCTTGCAGTGAGCCGAGATCCACCACTGCACTCCAGCCTGGACGACAGAGGGAGACTCCAGCTTAAAATAAAATTAAATGTGGTATACATGATGAAATATTAGCCATTAAAAAGAAGGCAAGCCAGGTGCAGTGATGAGCACCTATAGTCCTAGCTACTTGGGAGGCGGAGGCAGTAGGGTCACTTGAGCCCAGGAGTTTCAGAACGGCCTGGACAACATAGGGAGACCCTGTCTCTACAAAAATTTTAAAAATTAGCCACATGTGGTAGTGCATGCCTGTGGTCCCAGCTACTTGAGAAGCTGAGGTGGGAGGATCACTTGGGCCTGGGAGATCAAGGCTGCCGTGAGCCATGATCACACCACTGCACTCTAGCCTGGGCGACAGAGCAAGACCCTGTCTCAAGAAGAAATCCTGTTATTTTCCACAAAATGGATGAACCTTGGGGCATTATGCTAAGTGAAATAAGTCTGAGAAAGATGAATACTCCATGATCTTCCTTATGTGTGGAATCCAAGAAAGTTAAGTTCATAGAAACAGAGAGTAGAAGGCTGATTACCAAGGGCTGGAGGTTGGGGGAATGAAGGAGGTGGTAAAAGGATACAAACTTTCAGTTTTAAGATTAGAAAGTTTTGGAGATCTAATGTACAGCATGGTGACTATAGTTAATAATACTATATTGTATACTTAAAATTTGCTAAGAGTGGATATTAAATGTTCTCACCACCACCAAAAAAAAAAAAAAAATGCTAACTATATGAGGTGATGAATGTGTTAACTAACTTGACTGTGGTAATCATTTCACACTATATATGTATATCAAAGCATCACGTTGTGTACCTTAAATATATACAATTTTATTCATCAGGTATAGCTCAATAAAGCTGAAAATTTTTAAATAATAGGCTGGCATGGTGGCTCACACCTGTAATCCCAGCACTTTGGGAAGCCAAGGCAGGAGGATCACTTGAGGCTAGGGGTTTGAGACCAGCCTGGGCTGACCTCATAGCATAGCAAGACCTCGTGTCTATAAAAAAATTAAAAAATTAGCCTGGCATAGTGCTGTGTGCCTGTAGTCTCAGCTACTCAGGAGGCTGAGGTAAGAGGGTCCCTTGAGCCTACGGGTTTGAGGCTACAGTAAGCTATGATCATGCCATTGCACTCTAGCCTGGGCGACTGAGTGAGACAGTCTCAAAAAGTACCAGTTCACATGTATTATTTAGGAGATGTACAGTCTGTGGAGTATCAGGCTGACTTACAGCTTTAGGTAAACATTAAACACTCAAATGTAAATTTGGGCTCAGGAGTGAGATATAGAATGGAAATGTGGGTTCAAGAGCCAACCCTTTAGTTGAAGCCACAGGTATGGATGATATGGATGGAGAGAGAGTAGTATCTGGAGGAGTCTAAAGATGGGGAGAGGGTTAATAAGATAGAGGAGACATGAACTATTGGTTATTCTTACCACTCCTACATTTGCAACCTGTCTTCACATCTCTTCCTTCCAAGAAGAATTAGCAAGGGCCAGGGCTGCAAAGAGCACAACATCAGTAATTGACTTTGGTGCCAATGCAGGCTGCAGCTGTGTCTGTAAACAATACAGTTCAGGATTTGTCACAGATGGTGCCAGCCAACGAGAACGTGCCTAGGGAGTCAAAGCAGGGTATCTTAGTACATTTTCTGTTGCTTATAATAGAATACCTGAAACTGGGTAATTTACAAAGCAAAGAAATGTATTTCTTGCAGTTGTGGAGGCTAAGAAGTCCAAGGTTGAGGAGCTGTGTCTGGTGAGAGCTTTCTGGGGTCTCTGCAGAGTCCTGAAACACAGGGTATCACATGGTGAGGGTGCTGAGCATGCTAACAAGCTCAGGTCTCTTCCTTTTCTTTTAAAGCCATCAGTCCCACCGGGCACAGTGGCTCATGCCTGTGATCCCAGCACTCTGGGAGGCCAAGGCAGGAGGATCACCTGAGGTCAGGAGTTCCAGACCAACCTGGCCAACATGACAAAACCCCATCTCTACTAAAAATACAAAAAGTAGCTGGGCATGGTGGTGGGCTACCTGTAATCCCAGCTACTCATAAGGCTGAGGCAGGAGAATCATCACTTGAACCTGGGAGGCAGAGGTTGCTGTGAGCTGAGATCGCACCATTGCACTCCAGCCTAGGCAACAAGAGCGAAACTCTGTCTCAAAAAAAATAAAGCCACCAGTTCCACTTCCATGATAATTCATTAATCCATTAGCCCATTAACCCATGAATCCATTGATTCACGAATGTATTAATCCATTCATAAGGGCAGCATCCTCATAATCCAATCATCTCTTAAAGGTCCCACCTCTCAACTGGGGAATAAATTCCAACAGGAGTTTTGGAGAAAACATTCAACCCATAGCATGGGGTTTGCTATTTTTTCAGTAGTTAATATTATATGTCAGTTATTTTCTAATAAAAATTGGATGATATACATATTTAACTGCTATATATATGTATATAGCGATTCTCCTGCCTCAGCCTCCTCCCAAGTAGCTGGGATTACAGGCATGCACCACCATGCCCAGCTAATTTTTGTATTTTTAGTAGAGACATGGTTTCACCATATTGGTCAAGCTGGTCTCGAGCTCCTGACCTCAGGTGATCCGCCTGCCTTGGCCTCCCAAAGTGCTGGGATTACAGGCGTGAGCCACCATGCCGGCCCCCAAAATATTTTTATACATAGCTTAATTCATACAATATGAGTACATGGTAAATTTGGCATAAACACTGAAAATTATGCACCCCCTTTTGATGAATACCCCAATTTACACCTAAGTAAAGCACCTAATTTAGGAAATTTATGTTTGGATATGATTTTGTTGTTTCAAGAGTAAATGTTATGGTGTGATTTTATTGTAAATTGTTCAATATGTGGTATGCTAAAAAGTATTTTCTATTAAAGATACTCAGTTAAATAGATAAATAATGAAATAGCCTAGATAAATTGTATATGAAAAATAAGATTGAGACATGATTAAAGAAGAATGCCTGTTAAACTAAAACTCAACAGAAATGAGACCTAAACCAATGAGAATGGAAAGAAATAATATAGAGTGTTGGGATGATTGGTTAGTTAGTTGCAAAATAAATCAATTTAGGTCCTTACCTTGTACTATATATCAGATATAACATATATCAAAATCAATTCCAGAATTATTAAGCTAAATGGAAAAAATCAAATCATACCTGATATAATGATTAATATGTACCAACTTGACTGGACCATAGGATGCCCAGATATTTGGCCAAACATTACTCTGGCTGTTTCTGTGAGGGTGTTTTCGGATGTGATTAACATTTAAATCAGTAGACTGAGTAAAGCAGATCCCCCCACTCTTCCATAATGTGAGTGGGCCTTACCCAATCAGTAGAAGGTCTGAATAGACTAAAAGGCTGACCCTCTCCCAAGCAAGAGTGCCTTCTCCTATCTGACAGATCTTCAAACAGGACCATCAGCTCTTCCTGGTTCTACAGCAGCCTACTGGTCTTCAGACTTGAACTGGGACATTGGCTTGGCAGATTTTGAACTTGCCATCCTTCATAATCATATGAACCAATTCCTTATAATCTTTCCATATATACACATCTTGTTGACTCTGTTTCTGTGGTAAAGCCTGACTAATACATGTGGGGGGGGAAAGTTAGAAGAGAATTATAAACCTTTGGCTTAGAAATGACTTTCTAGCCTTAAAAATGATGGTAAAAACATAGATGCAAAAATCTTCAACAAAATACTAGCTAACCGAATCCAACAACATATCAAAAAGATAATCCACCAAGATCAAGTGGGTTTCATACCAGAAATGCAGGGATGGTTCAACACATGCAAGTCAAGAAATGTGATACACCACATAAACAGAATTTAAAACAAAAATCACATGATCATCTCAATAGATGCAGAAAAAGCACTTAACAAAATCTGGCATCTCTTTATGATTAAAACCCTCAGCAAAATTGGGATAGAAGGGATATACGGTAATAAAAGCCATCTATGACAAACCCACAGCCAACATTATACTGTGGGAAAAGTTGAAAGCATTCGCCCTGAGAACTGGAACAAGACAAGGATGCCCACTCTCACCACTCCTAGTCAACATAGTACTGGAAGTCCCAGCCAGAGCACTCAGACAAAAGGCCTCCAAATTTGTAAGGAGGAAGTCAAACTGTCGCTATTCACTGAGGGAAATATTATTTGGCCATAAAGAGGAATGAAGTACTGACACATGCTACAACATGAATGAACCTATAAAATATTATGCTAAGCGAAGCCAGACACAAAAGGCCAGATATTCTATGAGTCCACTGATATGGAATTTAAATCCAGAATAGGCAAATTCATGGAGACAGGAAATAGATTCATGGAGACAGGAAATAGATTCATGGTTGCTAGGAGATTAGGGGAGTGGAGAATGAGAAGTGACTAATAAGTATGAAGTTTCCTTTTGGGGCGATAGGAATGTTTTGGAGCTAGGTATTGGTGATGGTTGCACAATACTGCACGTGCTAATTGCCTCTGAGTTGTCTGATGTAAAATGGTTAAAATGGTAAATTTTATGTTTATCTTACCACAATAAAAGTAAGTACCTCCTCAAATAATATCTGTTGAAAAATTCAAAAAGTTCCAAATTTAAATGAGAAAGTAAAAGCAATATTAGTGGCAGAGTACTAAGATCCTTAGTGGTCGCAGCCTGACACTGTCTGTTGCTTTTCATCTCACTGAAACCAAGGGCTTAGTAGCCAGGCCCACTGTCAACCAGACACCCAAAGGTCCTTGCCACTGCCTTTATGGGGCCACTCTCATCCTTGGAATGACCTCTGTGGATCCATTAGAACCAGTGGGATGGGCAGTGGTCTCTCAGGGCTTCAGGAATGTTTCTAATGCAGCCCCCAGAAGGCTCTGAGTTGGCTCACCTCATCTCCCTAGCTTCTGGAAGAGTTTTGGAAAACTAATTTTTTGTTGTTTTTTTTTAAGCCAGAGTCTCGCTCTGTCGTCCAGGCTGTAGTGCAGTAGCACGATCTTGGCTCACTGCAACCTCTACCTGCCAGGTTCAAGCAATTCTCGTGCCTCAGCCTGCCGAATAGCTGAAACCACCGGCACCTGCCACCTGCCACCACACCTGGCTAATTTTTATATCTTTACAGCTATTTTACAACTATGCAAGTTGCAGAAAGCTAGAAATAAGTGCAAATTCCCTGTATCCACAGAAATGCAAATAGATTGTATCCAGTGGGGTATAATTGATTGTTGCCCTCTGGGGAGTCCAGTTTTGCATCTTTAGTAGAGATGGGGTTTCATCATGTTGGCCAGGCTGGTTTCGAACTCCTGACCTCAGATGACCCACCTACTTCAGCCTCCTAAAGTGCTGGGATTACAGGCATGAGCCACTGCACCCAGCCTCGAAAACTAAGTTAAACATAGATTTTTATCTTATCACTCTTGGGCTTAAATTCAAATATGGTACTGCTATCCTACCTGTATAATCTTGCTAAAAGGAATGACAAGAGCAGAGAGACAAAGCAACAGCTGTGTCCCCCATGTGGACCTTTGCCTCAAGTTAATTAGGGAACTGTGGACATCAGGCTTCGGGAAAGGCTTTTAGGGACCATCCAACCATCCTCACTCTACAGATGAGGGCCTGTGGGCCCTGTGAGGTTCAGTGACTTACTGCCTCTCAGATGGGTAGAAAGCCAAGCTTCCTGTGGCACACACGTTCATGTAGGGACACGACACACGCAATCCTAACAGCCACATAAAATCACATACATCTTACCAGGAAAAATTGTAAAGGACATTCAAATGGCCAAAAAAGATGACTGGGTTATAACTGCCTTTCTTGGTCTTTAAGCGATTTTACAACTATGCAAGTTGCAGAAAGCTAGAAATAACTGCAAATTCCCTGTATCCACAGAAATGCAAATAGATTGTATCCAGTGGGGTGTAATTGATTGTTGCCCTCTGGGGAGTCCAGTTTTGCATCAACTGTACTTGTTAATTCATTTCAGCATTTCTTACCTATATATCTGTGGCTCTTTAAATTCTTCCTTTTGAACCAGTTGTATCTTACTCCTTTCCTCATTAGTTAATCATTTAAGTAAAATCTTTGACATGTTGATTTTATATTAGTATGAGAATCATAATTCTACCTTTGAAAAATTATCCATTAATCTGCAAGAGAGAATGGCAGTCATTTAAAAGTGTGTTTACAGAGCATTTTGCTTGAATGACAGTGAGACTGCAAAAGAAAGAATATCAAATGAAGAAAACAAGATGCAGTATTGACAAATATGGTGTGTGGCCGGGTGTGGTGGCTTATGCCTGTAATCTCAGCACTTTGGGAGGCCAAGGCAGGCAGATCACCTGAGGTCAGCAGTTTGAGACCAGCCTGGCCAACACAGTGAAACTCCATCTCTACTAAAAATACAAAATGAGCTGGGTGTGGTGGTGTGTGCCTGTAATCCCAGCTACTCGGGAGGCTTAAGCAGAAGAATCACCTGAACCCGGGAGGTGGAGGTTACAGTTGTGCCGAGATCATGCCATTGCACTCCAGCCTAGGCAAAAAAAGCAAAACTCCGTCTCTAAAAAAAAAAAGAAAAATACAGTGTGGCCAGGCATGGTGGCTCACACCTGTAATCCCAGCACTTTGGGAGGCCGAGGCAGGAGAATCACGTGAACCCGGGAGGTGGAGGTTGCAGTGAGCTGAGGTCGTGCCACACTGCACTCCAGCTGGGCGACAGAGTGAGACTCCATCTCAAAAAAAAAAGAGTGTGGTTCAATGATGTCAAAAATACAAAGAAAACCTAATGGAAAGAAATCAGGCAAAATATGAATAGGGGTTGCCAATAGGTACTAAGATTTATGAGGGTTTTTTTTGTTGTTGTTGCGGCTTCTTTATACCATTCTGCACTTGGCATGTTTTTACAATGAACATGAATTGCTCATTCATAGCCACACATACAAAATCTTTGAAGAGGAAAGAATAAAATATATTCTCTACTAAAAGCAAGAACTAAGACACCGAGAAACAGGTAGAGCAGGACTTGGAAACAAACAGCCCCTGCAAGATCATAAGCCAAATGCCTCCACAGGGGAGATGCAACTGGCAGGGTGCCAAGACCCCGAAGGCCCCTCGAAGTCTGTAGATATTTTATTTTTCCTGTTTATGATGGAAATATGCATGGCTCCATGTTTGCTTCTAACAACTTCTAGATTAATCTGTGTAAAATAACGATTGAAATTTAAATTATACGTAGAGCCTGGAAAAACACCTGCTTAACCTTTAATCTCCACTGAGAACTAAGATGCTCATTTGGCAGTTTGGCGAATGCTTATTAAACACCCCTGTCAGAGACAGGATCCGGGTCTTTTACATCAGGAAGCCTACCAGAGCCACATTCCAGAACTTTGCAGAAATACACAAACCAGAACAACATTCCAAAGCCTGTGTTTAGCAGATGACAGTCACTAGTACGAAAAGACACCTGCCATATACAGATGAAGTTTAATGCTCAAGGTAATAAAATGAGTTCATTTACCCCCATTTTTATATCTTCCTTTATAATAAAATTACACATGTATGTTTGTCAGGTGCTTTTCTTAGGCCAAAGCCCAACTGCCTCTCACTTCCCCTGTGTCTGATGCAAGGCATCAGTTACAGAGCTGGGATTACAGGTGCACACCACCACACCCAGCTCATTTTGTATTTTTTGTAGAGACGGAGTTTCACTGTGTTGGCCAGGCTGGTCTTGAACTCCTGACCTCAGGTGATCCGCCTACCCCGGCCTCCCAAAGTGCTGAGATTACAGGCATGAGCCACCACACCTGGCCACACACCACATTTGTCAATATTGCATCTTGTTTTCTTCATTTGACATTCTTTCTTCCGCAGTCTCACTGTCATTCAAGCAAAATACTCTGTAACTGATATCACGGTTGTCACTGCGATATCAAGAGAGAATAAAGAAGGCAGGAATAGAGGTGACCCTGTGGAATTAAAAAGCTACTCAAACCTCCCTTCACCCCAAGTTCTTCTTGCCTCTGGGCAGGGAGAAGAGACTCAGCACTGGAATCAACTGTGATCCACCTGTGAACAATTTAAGTGACTCCTTCCTTACTTTTGATGCAGGGCAGGTGAGCCCCAAACTGGGGCTTAGCCTATGAGAGTTCTTGGCTTTGCCCAGGAAAGAACTCGAGGGCAAACTGGAGGTAGAAGAAAATGGCTTTATGGAAGCAGCAGTGTTACGGCTCTGGCGGTGATCCAGCTCCGTGATTGCTCCTGCAGAGCAGGGCTGCCCCATAGGCAGAGAGTAGCAACTCAGGGCAGTTTTGCAGTCATGTTTATACCTACTTTTAATTTCATCTAGATTAAGGGGTGGTTTGCAGAGAAATTTCTAGGAAAGGAGTAGTAACTTTTGGATCATCAGGTCATTGCCATGGAAAGAGGCGGTAATTCCTGGGTGTTGTTCCTAGTGTTGTCATGGCAATGGTAAACTGACGTGGCACACTTGTGGGCGTGTCTTTTGGCAAGCTACTTGCCAAAAGTACAGCCCTGTTTTAGCTAGTCTTCAATTTGGTCTGGTGTCCGAGCCCCTCCAGAGTTGAGTCCTGCCTCCTACCTCATTTTTGCCTAGGTAAAAGTTAATTTACAGAGAGATGGAGAGGAATTCAAGGCAGGAAGTGCAGTAAAGAGGCTTAGGTGGAAGATATTTGGGAGAACTGGCAGCATTGAGCAAGGCCCCAGGCTGCTGAAAGGGCTCATCTTGACCATTTCTCACTTGGCGCAATACTTAAAATATTCGTGTTTATCATTTATACCACTTACTATGGAATGAACTGTGTCCCCTGCCCAAAAAAAAAAAAGTTACATGTTGAAGCCCTAACCCCCAATGTGACTATAATTGGAGACAAGGCCTTAGGAGATAATTAAGGTTAAATGAGACCATACGGGTAGGGCCCTGGTCTGATAGAATCAATCTTAAGAGACACCAGAGAGCCCTCTCTCCCTTTCTCTACATTCACAGACACATGCGAAGGAAAGGCCATGTGAGCACACAGCGGGAAGGCGTCATCTTCAAGCCAGGAAGAAAATCCTTCATCCCATAGCAAAGAGAAACTTAGGCTGTTGGCACTATAGCTGCCCCTTCTAAAGAGGCTGACTTAGATTAGTGTTGCTGGAAGTGAGAAATTTCATAATTAGGTACCCCCAATAGGAGCCTGGGTAGGTCTTAACTACGGCTGGGAGGACCCATCTTCTCAAGTAGGAACTAATGCCTGAGCTGGGTACTCGGCTGACCCAGCCAAAGCTAGGAGCTAAGGCTCAGAAAACAGCACTGAATTAGAAAAGTTTAGGAATTCCATTCCTGATGATTCTACTCCTAGAAAGGTCAAAGCATAGTCGGATGAGTTGGTGGGCGCCTGTAATCCCAGCTACTTGGGAGGCTGAGGCAGGAGAATTGCTTGAACCCAGGAGGCAGAGGTTGCAGTGAGCCAACAAGATCGTGCCACTGCACTCCAGCCCAGGCAACAGCATGAGGCTCAGTCTCAGAAAAAAAAAAAAAAAAAGTTCAAAGCAGCCCTATGTGCCTCAGTCAGGAGGGTTTGGAAGATGTGGAACCCAGAAGCAGAGGAAAGGGCACTCAGCAGCCGTCAAATGTTTAGAAAACATTTCTGCTTCTTTAGAATTCATTCTCCCTGCACCTCTCACACATGCAGGCCCACCCACACCCTCTCACCCACCTGGCATCCAGCACATCTCAAACTAGCCGTGCCCAGAGATACATTCCTTGAGAACTCAGTTTGCATGTCAAGAAAAGTTGCATTCTCTAATTTCCTTTATATTTACCTCTTCTACTGGCCAGTGCCAAGCTGCTGGAGCCCCCTCCACAATAAGCTGCTTTTCTTTGCAACAGGAAGTGCCATGTGGCCCAGCCTAAAAGGAGTGGTGCCTGAAGCCTCCTGGAGGAGCACCACCTGGGATTGGCTCTGGCACCTTCCTCTGTCCACCAGCTTTGGGCTGAGGGGGGCTGTAGGGTGGGATCAGGCAGTACCTGGTGGGAGCAGGGGTTGGGGCCAGGGGAGTAGCTCTCACAAAAACCTCTGTAGCTAGAACTGGCAGAACTGGGCCCATGTCTGCTGGGGAAAGACCAGGACCTTTCATCTAAAATAAACTGAAAGGGACCAGGCACGGTGGCTCATGCCTGTAATCCCAGCACTTTGGGAGGCCAAGGCAGAAGGATCATTTGAGGTCAGGAGTTCGAGACCAGCCTGGCCAACATGGTGAGACCCTGTCTCTACTAAAAATACAAAAATTAGGTGTGGTGGTGCACGCCTGTAATCCCAGCTACTTGGGAGGCTGAGGCAGGAGAATCACTTGAACCCAGGAGATGGAGGCTGTAGTGAGCTGAGATCGCACCACTGCACTCCAGCCTGAACAACAGAGTAAGACTCCATCTCAAAAATAAATACATAATAAAATAGATTGAATGTCCACTGCAAGGAAGACTAAATAGGTAAGTGGCCATGAGCTCTCTATGAGCACTGCTAGGGTAAGGGCCATGAGATTAGAAGGTGGGGGAGCAGGGAGAGAGTCCGCTCCTCTTTGCCTTGGTAACAGGGCAGCTTACAGGTCCATGTTAGCAGCAGCTGAATGAGATTCTTCCCTCGCCCTTCAGTCCCCAGGCACTGCCCAGTCGCCAAAGCTACAGCCCTGATTAGAGAAGGCTCTGCCCAGTGTGCCCTCCAGGTGGTGAGAGGCAGGCCAGGGCTACTCTGCAATTCCAGGCTTGTCTTTGGCTCTGGTGCTGCCATACTACTACCCCTTCCTCTTACTCCTCCAGATCTTCACCCAAAGGTCCTGAATTCCTTGCTAAAGGATGATAAAGCTCAGAGCATACCTAACCATGGTGGACTTTCTGGTGGGAAGAAGAGCACTGAGGGTCAGGAGGCTCTCCCTCCTTCCATTCCCACCGTAATGGGAGCTGCCTACTGCTGAGAGGACCTTCCTATCTGTGAAGTCTGAACCACTCCTGGCCTGTAAGTTTGGCCAGAAAGCAGCTGTGTGTGGAAAGGGCCCCTGGAGGTTGGAATGCCATGAGGTTAATCCTGCCGTGGGGTCAGGCAGGCAGGAAGCACCATGGACGTGGGGAAAGCATCCTCTCATCCTTGTTCTCTTCTCACCATCTCACCAGGGGCAAAATTGAGGTAGGAAATTTGCATTCCGATCAGACAGTCTGAGACCACTGTCAGGCTCCAGTCCTCAAAGATTAAACAGGGATTCCACCCCCCAGCTGTGACTCCATTTTCTGACCACAGGGTCCTTATGTAGCTGCTTGGATCGCTGTAGCAAATCTCTATACCAAAGGCCCCAGTGTCCTTGGTAATGTGATGTCTCCTCTCATCAAGAGGTGGAGTCCAGCAGCCAGGGCAGCAGCTCACATCTGTAATCCCAGCACTTTGGGAGGCCAAGGCAGGAGGATTGTCTGAGCCCAGGAGTTTGAGGCCAGCCTGAGCAACATAGTGAGACCTCACCTCCACAAACGAAACAGTTAAATAAAGAGGTGGAGTATATGTCTCCACCCCCTTGAATCTGGGCAGTCCTTGTGACTTAGAATGTGGAGGAACTGTTCTATGCAAGTTCCGGAGCCTAGGCCTCAGAAGGCCTTGCAGCTTCCACCCTCGCTCTCATGCCGTCCAGTGAGTCTAGCATACTCCTGGAGAGCAAGGTGACCCGGCCAACAGCCAGAACCCCCTGTCAGATGTGTGAATGAGACAAGCTTGGCCCATGCAGCTCTTTGAGGTACCAGTGACTGTTCACAGCATTCGTGAGCCCAGGCAAGATCAGAGAAGACTGAGCGCTTGGCCCTCCACCCAGAAAAGTTGTCATCTAAATGTCCTCGGGTTTTACTCGTACTGTTAGCCTTGCCTAGATGAAGGGTCCTCAATCCAAGCTGCACATTAGAATACCCTGGGGAGTGGTTTTTTTTTTTTTCCTTCAAATCCCAAGGACACATCTAAAACCAAGCAAATCAGAATCTCTGGAGGTAGCACCCAGGCGTCAGTATTGTTTAAAGCTTCCAGGTGATGTCCATACACAATTAAGGCTGAGAGTCACTGGTATAGAAACTTGCTACTCAAAGTGAGTTCCCAGACCAGCAGCTCTGGAGCCACTTGGGAGCTTGTTAGAAACAGAATCTTGGGCCCCACGCCACAACAAGGTGCCCAGGTGATTGGAATGCCCATTAGAGTGCTGGCCTGGAGCACTGCCCACCGCGCCTTCCTCACTCCATCTGCCGAACTCACACTCACCCTCTCATTCTCTCAGTGAAGCTTTCCCAAACCACCCCACCCTAACTCAGGCGCATCCCATGCTGCTCTTGGGGCACCCTGTGCTAACTACTTCATGGCTTTTCCCACAACTGAGCTTCAATCATTGTGCACTGATTCTGTTGATGTCTGTGTCCTCTAGTAGAAGGTGAGTTCCCCTGGGGCAGGATTCAGTTCTGCCTTATCCACTATTGTGGCCTCAGCACCAAGAAATGTGCCTGACACATAGTAAGGCTTTAGTAAGTATTTATTGAATTTCAAAGTTACTCCTAGGCAGCACAGAGTTCTTCCAAATAGTGCTCACTATGAGACATCTATGGCTGTGGTGGAGAAGGTAATGGAGTAACAGGGATGAAGGCTTACTTGCTGTGAAAGGAGGTTTCCAGGGGTGTATGAGAAGTGGCATGGTAGCCCCTGGAGGTCGAGAATCTCCATGGTAAACTGATGGTGCTGGAGCCAGAAGGACATGGGAGCTGCAAGGGATGTAATGTACCACCTGGATGAGGGCAGCCACCGCCAGCAGGGGACAACAGGGCAAAGGAGGAAAGAGGTGAAATCTAGAATGGTGGAGGCTTAGGGGTGTTCAGTGATCACAGGATGCAGCACAGACAGGTTCCCATGGATGTGAGACACTCATTCTTGGTAGATTTATTGATCTCAGAATTTTCTTTCCAGACACATGCATGTACATACGTATCTCTTGCACCGGCAGTCTGGAGTCCTCTCCTCTCTCTGAGTAGAAAACTCTAGCTTTAGTAACACCTCAGTCCAACTGCAGAAATGCACCATGCTAAGACAAGGAACACAATTTTTTTTTCTATGAAAAGAGCTGTAGAAATACAATTTTTAATAGTGAACTGGAATGGGACATGCTGCTGAGATCAGACATGGATGAAGGATTGAGCTCCCCAGACTTGGGCCCCCAGCCCCTTGGATGTCAGCAAAGCGGTGGGTGCAGGGGTGAGCCAAAGTGGTCTCCCAAGTCCCTGATGAGCATACACTCCGTGGTGGCCCTGAGAAGGTGACAGTGGGGTTCCAAATGAACTTCTCTTCTCAGATGAGGATCGTTAGTTTGGAAACAATGAGGGGTTCATTCCACTTAAACTATAGTGAAGAGCCTGGTCTCCCACAGCATCGTGGCCACTAACCTTGTCACTCTTCTCACAGCCACCCCCAGCTTAAGGATTCACTCATTACTCATTCATTTGGCAAATATTTGCTCGGTATCCAACGCACTCAGGCACTGTGCTAAACCCTGGTGATACAGTGGTGAAATAAAGACTATCAGGGCCAGCTGCAGCAGCTCATGCCTGTAGTCCCAGCGCTTTGGGAGGACGAGGTGGGAGGATTGCTTGAGCCTAGGAGTTTGAGACCAGCCTGGGCAACATAGAAAGATCACATATCTACAAAAAAGAGAAAATAATTAGTGGAACATGATGGCGTGTGCCAGTAATCCCAGCTACTGTGGAGGCTGAGGCAGGAGGATCACTTGAGCCCAGGAGTCAAGGCTGCAGTGACCTATAATTGCACCAACACACTCCAGCCTAGGCAATAGAGCAAGACCTTGTCTCATTTAAGAAAAGAGTATTCCCTGTTGTCCCAGAACTCAGAGTCTGGGTTTTAAACATTACTAAGAAGAGTCGTCACATAGCCCAGGGTTCACAAGGCCCAAGCTGTCTTCTTTAAAATTCATTGATTAGGTTTTTCCTTCACAAAAGCAATGTGTGTTTATTGCATTTAAAAATACACAAAAGTAGAGGAGAGAAATAAGTACCTTTTTTTTTTGAGACAGTCTTGCCCTGTCACCCAGGCTGGAGTGCAATGGCGTGATCTCAGCTCACCGCAACCTTCGCCTCCCAGGTTCAAGCAATTCTCCTGTCTCAGCCTCCCAAGTAGCTAGGATTACAGGTGCGCACCACCATGCCCAGCTAATTTTTTGTGTCTTTACTACAGACGGGGTTTCACCGTGTTGGCCAGGCTGGTCTTGAACTCCTGACCTCGTGATCCACCTGCCTCAGCCTCCCAAAGTGCTGGGATTACAGGCATGAGCCACCGCACCCAGCCAAGTACCTATTTTTAAACTAGCAGACTGCCACATCACATGTATGTGTATGTGTGTGTGTATATAAGTAAATATAATTTTCGTTTATAAAGCTGTGATCATAGTAGATACACAAATATAGTCTATTTTTCACTTACTATTATATCTTATGTATTTCCTTTGTTATTTTAAATTTTTAAAAGCATCAATTTAATGGCATATAATATGCCGTAGAATGCACATTTTATGTAGCCATTCTTTGAGTTTAGGACATTTTGTTAGTTTCTATTTATCGATGTCATATATAGTACTTATAGAATATCTGTATGCATAAAACTTAACTTAGATTTCCAGAACTGAGGTTTGGGGGTCAAAGGTGGAGGAAGGAAAAAGGGAACATTTTAGGGGAGCTCCTTTTATTCTTGCTTATGCTGGCGTGCTTTAGAATTCAACACAGCTCCTCAGATTTTAGAAGACCACACCTTTGGCCGGGCACAGTGGCTCGCACCTGTAATCCCAGAACTTTGGGAGGCCGAGACGGGTGGATCACCTGAGGTCAGGGGATCGAGACCGGCCTGGCCAGCATGGCGAAACCCCATCTCTACTAAAAATACAAAAATTAGCCCGGCATGGTGGCACGTGCCTGTAATCCCACCTACTAGGGGAGCTGAGGCAGGAAGATTGCTTGAACCTGGGAGGTGGAAGATGCAGTGAGCCGAGATCGTGCCACTGCACTCCAGCGTGGGCAACAGAGGGAGGCTCTGTCTCAAAAAAAAAAAAAAAAAAAAAGACCACACCTTTGCCATAGGCACATTCCATTGCCTGCCCTGCCCAGGCAGTTCCGAGGAACTGCCACACCCTCAGACTCTGGAAGAGGCGGCCTCTATGGCCAATAACTCTGCCCTTCACTGCAGATGAAAAAGTTGACTGGAGGAGGTTTGACCACATGACCCAAAATCAGCCAGTCCATTGGCTGGCTAGAAACCAATCATATTTCTATCCTCTGAAAAATTGAACTAGGAGGCCCAGAGACCATAGGAAATAGGTGGCCTGAGGGCTTACGGAGAAAAGACATTAAATCAAAGTTAAGATGAAGCACACATAAAAGATGTGTGCCTGGAGGGAAAGGGAGAAAAGGGGAGATGTGCCTAGAAAAACAGAGAAGAGAAAGTGGCCTTTGTTTCTGCTGGCATTCCAGTACCTGCCCCAGGCCAGCTCTATTTCCTGCCTTTGTGTTTTGAGAGATACCCCTGCTTCCCCTTCCCCCAAATAAATCTCATTTATCACTTGATCTAACTTGATTAGGTCTCTGTTCATTTCAACCAAAAGATCAGTGATTAAACCAATGGAATGTCATTTCTTTTTAGAGCCAAAGAACATTAGAACTGAAAAAGGTCACTGTATAATAAACAAACCCCTACCCTCTCATCTGTAGCTATGAGGACCGTGGGATTGGCCCCACCCAGTTCCAGAAGTGGCCTCTGAACCAATCAGGTGAATCCCACTCATCTGGCCACAATGATAGACCCTCCTATCTCCTAACAGTGATGGGTTCAGGAATAGGCATTTGACCTAAGATGGTCCCATCAAGGCAAATAGTCCTCATCTGTGTGCTATGTCTGCTTTAAGAAAGAGGAGGAGGAGAGAACTCCTTCCAATATTATGAAAGTAGTGTATGTTTCCTGAAAAAAAAAAAAGGTTAAATACGGGAAAAGATGAAGAAATAAAATAGCCTCACTGGTAATCAGGAAAATGTCAAAGAAAATCAATGAGACATCACTTTTTATTCAGCAGATTGGTAATTTTTTTCCTTTTCATTCACTGTTGACAAAGTTATGGGAAACACTTTAGTAATGCAATTGGGAATATCAATTATTACAGCCCCTCTGGAAGGCAAATTGATGGTATCTATTGAAGATTAAAGTCTTAGAACCCAGTGGTTCCTCCATACCTGCCCTGGGGAAACCCTTGCACATGTGACCAAGGAGTTACCTTCGAGGGTGTTCACTGAAGCATTATATGCAATAGGTTAAAATTAGAAATAATCTAAATGTCCATGAGAAAAGGAATAGCCATAAATATAGTTCTGAATTTCTCCATAACTACTTCAATGCTTAAGCCACCCTATGGACTAGTATGCTATAGTTAAAAGAATGAAGTAGATCAAATTGTCATAACACCCAACAAGACCTGTTGAGTGAAAATGCAAGTTGCAGAAAGAAATGTACAGTCCATGTAAACTAGTTCAACCATTGTGGAAGTCGGTGTGGTGATTCCTCAGGGATCTAGAACTAGAAATACCATTTGACCCATCCATCCCATCACTGGGTATATACCCAAAGGACTATAAATCATGCTGCTATAAAGACACATGCACACGTATGTTTATTGCGGCACTGTTCACAATAGCAAAGACTTGGAACCAACCCAAATGTCCAACAATGATAGACTGGATTAAGAAAATGTGGCACATATATACCATGGAATACTATGCAGCCATAAAAAATGATAAGTTCATGTCCTTTGTAGGGACATGGATGAAATTGGAAATCATCATTCTCAGTAAACTATCACAAGAACAAAAAACCAAACACTGCATATTCTCACTCATAGATGGGAATTGAACAATGAGAACACATGGACACAGGAAGGGGAACATCACACTCTGGGGACTGTTATGGGGTGGGGGGAGGGGGGAGGGATAGCATTGGGAGATATACCTAATGCTAGATGACGAGTTAGTGGGTGCAGCGCACCAGCATGTCACATGTATACATATGTAACTAACCTGCACATTGTGCACATGTACCCTAAAACTTAAAGTATATAATAAAAAAAATAAAATAAAAAAGAAATGTACAGTCCAATGTCATTTCTGGGTTTTTTTTAAGCCATTCACACAAAGCAATCTGATTCTCATTCATGTGTTTCTATATATGAATGTGAATATATAGGAAAGAAGTGATGGTCAGGGGGACAGTTTACTCTTACCATGGAATAGTAATTTTGTATAAAAGGACTGTAATAACATGTTAATTGTATAATTTTACATTAATACAATTAAGGTTTTAAAAATATGTGTGCAAGGCCAGGTATAGTGGCTCATGCCTGTGATCCCAGCACTTTGGGATGCTGAAGCGGGAAGATTGCTTGACCCCAGGAGTTCAAGACCAGCCTCTATGTAAAATAAGCAAGACCCAGTCTCTATGTAAAATAAAAAATTAGCCAGGTGTGATAGCACATACCTGCAGTCCCAGCTACTCAGGAGGCTGAGGTAGGAAAAGGATTGCTTGAGCCCAGGAAGTCAAGGCTGCAGTGAGTAGTGATTGTGCCACTGCACTCTAGCCTGGGTAACAGAGCAAGATCCTGTCTCAAAAAACATATGTGTATGTGTGTGTGTGTATACACACATACACACAAAATTTGGAAAACATGCAAAGAACAAAGAAGTAAATAAAATAACCTCCAATCCCACCTCAATTCCTAACTCTGGAACTCTTCCTTCCAGTGTTTTTTGGAGTCGGGGTCTGCTCAGCGTCACTCAAAGTATACCCAATCAGGCTGTCAGCTGCCCTTCTGCCCACAGGAGAGTCTGGGACCATCCAATCCAGAGAACTTCTCATCTAAATAGCACCTTGTCTCTACAAAGTCATTTGAATCACCCACCCTTTGTGATTCAAAATACTAAACAAAGTTATGAATTTTCCTATGACTGTTTCAATGCTTTTTTTAAAGCAGTAAATGTCAAAACCTTTCCAAACAAATGCTCCCCCTCCCTTTCTTTGTTTGGGCATTTGTTTTGTTATGCTTTGCCTTGTTTTGTCAGGATTTTTCATGTCCCTGTTTCTTGGTGCCCTAAACCCACATACAGTCTGCCTCTTGATTGATCCTATCTCTCCCCACCCCCAAAAAGGCTATGTTTGCAAAGACACACCCAGTTTGTCTGCCCCCACCCCGCCCCACATCTATTCCTCCTGTCTCAGTCTTGCCATTGTGTCCAGGGCAAGCTACAGAACAATGAATTCTTAGCAGATGATGGTATTGCCCTGTCCCCATGTTCTGAGCCAACCCCAGTTATGCCTGGCATCCGGGAGTCAGCGTTTTGTAGGCTTCTGTGACATTTGACAGCTCACATCCCACTTCTTTCAGCATTTGGAGCAGGAAGGACAGAAGGCTGCTCTTGTCACCACCAATGAGCTCATCCTTCTCCGAGAGGCAATAAGAAAGCGAAATTTCACCCCATGAATCAGGAAGCCTGAATTCATGACAAGGCACACATTCCCCAGCTTCCTGACCCACCGGCTGACCTTTCCATAAAAAGGAAAACTAGACAAGGCCTCCTCCCTAGAATAAAATAACCGATCAAACAAGGATAAGACATTTTTTACTAAAACAAACCTTTCACCCCATCGACCTGAATCCTTTGATTTCTGTATACCTTTCAAGGTCAGAACACTTTCTTTTCAGTCCTCTTGGGGATGAAGTCACACATTTCCGGGAGCCTTTCCCAACTTTAGCACTTGGGGCAGCGTAACCATGAGCATGTCACTTAACCATCCCAGTTTCTTAATCTAGAAAGTTAAACTAGAACACTCATTTCTATCTTTTTGCATTGTTGAAAGGGTTCGCTCTATAATCCTAGTGCAAAATGTGCCCTCAGCATCATTCACTATCTCATAATACTGGCTGCCCAACTAGTAGATAAATAGCACCTTGGAATTCAGATTGACCCTTCTTGGCTGTGCTGTTCTTGAGAGGTTAAGTCTAGGAAGGAAGTAATAACAATGTAAGGTCAACGGCACATGTTCCAGAGAGTCAGACTGCCTGGCTTTAAACATTCTCTCCAACACCTACTGGTGGTGGAACCATGAACAATTTCTCAAGTTCTCCAAACCTTAGGTTCTTCAAATTAAAAGTAGGGAAGTGGAAATAAATAATGCTGTGTAGGGCTTTTGTGGTGAGTAAAGGAAACAATGCATACAAAGCACTTAGCACAGTGCTTTTGATAAGATTTTGATTGGAAGATGTTAGCTATTCTTACTTTGGTGGTCACTGTAGTAACATTGTGTGAGTACACTGTTGGAGATCAGAATCATTAGGGGTTCCATCCATAGTAAGATCACACATTCCCTGGAGAAGTGTCAGGTGTGGAAGATAGTCAAAGTTGGTATAGTCAGCTGTGGACTAATAAGGGCTCTTTGGATTACAAGTGTCAGATGCTCAACTCAAAACTAATATTAATGAAAAAAAGGGGATTCATTAGCTCTTTGTGGCAGGGTTGGAGTTCGCCTTGAGCATGATTGGCTCCAAAGACTCAAAGTCATTAGGGCTCTCTAACTCCTTCCCTCAGTCCTGCTTCTCTCTGTAGATTGGTCTCATTCTCTCTTTGATGGATGACTTCCTCTATGTAGCAAGTAACCCCAGAGGAAAGACAGAGCTTCTCTCTTCCAGCATGTGTGTGTGAAATCCAGGGAAAGATTGGTTTTGAGTTGAACATCTGACACTTGTAATTCAAAGAGCCCTAATTAGTCCACAGCTGACTATACCAAATTTGACAATCTTCCACACCTGACATTTCTCCAGGGAATGTGTGCTCTTACTATGGATGGAACCCCTAACGATTCTGATCTCCAACAGTCGGCCCTGTTTAGATCATATGCCCACCCCTGGACCAATCACTGTGGACAAATGGATGGAGTATCCTGATTGGCCAAGCTAGCTCTATGCCTTTGGCCAGGGTGCTCTTCCTACCACGTAGAATGGGGGTTGTTCAACTCCACAAAGGAGATGGGCTAACGCTGTTACCAGAAAGGAAGAGGGTAAAGAATATTGATCATATCAACAGATGCCTAGTGTAGATAACATCTAGGGGTCATATTTCCTTTTTTTCTCCAGTTCAAGGTTCAGCTTTATTACTTGACACATTTCCAGTGTCTGGAACACTGATTCTTCTAAATTTGACTAATTAGAAGTTTATTAATGTGTAATATCTAATGTAATGCCAATGTATAATAGTCCCTTGAAAAGCATTTCCAAGTTAAGAATGAAAAATAAAGGTATATTATATATCATTAAATACAGATAGTTTCTATTCAATCAGGTCCACAGTCAACAATCAGCAAGATCAGTCTTAAGTTCTTCAAACTCTTCTGTTAAATCTTCTGTTGTTTTCTATGATGGGGGAAGGAATGAAAATCCCCATTGTTTTTCTACCTCTATACATGCTTGTGATGCTGGAGTTATTTGCACAAATTCTTTAAGGTCATAAGCCTTGCTCTTCAAGATGCATCTCTCGGTAAAAGGGTCACAGGAGACATCTCATGCAGAGATGAGACCTGGTCCTCAGATGCTTATTCTAGGTTCTTGGAAGTCCTTGAACAATTTGGTCTTTCGGTGAGTTTTTTTAGAACTTGTCAGAGTAAAAAACTTCAGCCAGAGCACCAAAGTTGTTACTGTTTTGAGTGCTATGAACCCATTCTGGTTGTTAGACAGCAGTTGGCCTGCTGTATTTCTGTAGCCTCCATGTGTTTTGCTGTGTCAAGCATCCTATTGTGACCTTCACCTTCGGGTGATAGCATTTCCAGCTCTTGCAGGATTCTAGTATGTCCTCCTTTCATGAGAATATCCAGTAAACTACCTGCCATAATATATGGGTAATCTTGGCATATAACAACAAAAATAAAGACCAAAACAAAATATGGATGCTGCAACTACTGGGAAGCTCAGCGTCCTCCCCATAAGTTCAGTCACTTAAATTTGAATCATCCTTACTAATAGTCACAAATGTGGAGTCATTGCATACTGTGAAAGAACTTTAGGGTCTGTGATGCAAACATAACACTGGAATAACATGATTCCTTTGGCCTTCTTGGAACCTCCACAAGACAGTCACTCCAGACTGAAGCCATTGAGTTGTTATCCCCAGTCTTACAGGACAGAGGGTGGGTTCTTCTACCACAGGATCTTCAGAATGGAGAAGTCTCCATGTTGCTGGCCATCTGGCCTTCTTTCAGACTCCCCCAACTATAACAAGCCAGCTGGTCAGCTTTCCTCCAGGTCCTTTAACTATTTTTAACAGGGCTAGTCTGCCTCTGTTCTCTTTCTAAATTATTGCTTTACAATTATCTTAGCGCAAGTCTCTGACTTCTTTTTATTTTCTTCAATGGGAATTTTGAAGTATTTGGCATCAGTGACTACAGGGTTTTCTTTCTCCCTAGGGTGGCAGCCATGGTTCTCCCCATCTCTGTAAGGTGTGTGATTCAGCATTCTGCTCTGCAGTCTTTTTTAGTCTGTCATGAAATCTATGCTCTGACTCAGGCTCTGAGTTTGCTCCAAGCTAAGAGTCTGCACCCCTGAGTGTGATAGCCTCTTTGCAACTTTATAATAAATGATCTTTGTTTGTTATAAAGCATGACACTTCATATCTTTTAGTCTCCCTATGGACTGGTAGCCATTATTCTAGGTCTCCTCTTTTAAGTACTAAAATCACTAATATTTAATAATTACAGAGTAGTCAGGAGTCACAGGAAGTGAAAAGAAAGCTCCTGCGTCCTTTCTCTGCAATTGCCTCATCTATTGATTCAGAACTTCTGGAAGGTATGTCTATTGTCCTAACTAAAGAGCTTTCAGGAAAGTTCAGAGGTAGAAATTCCAAACTTATAGGAGCCTGGCCCCAGAAGCATCCTGTTTTATTCTCCATAAAGTGTTGGTCTTGCTGCTGCTTGTAATCCTTTGCTCTTCTTTGTTTTTCCCTTTTTTCTTCATCTGGGAACTGCTTTTCTCCTTTCTTTCTCTTTTTCTTTTTTCTGCCCTTGTTTGTCATGATCATTTCTGTCTTCAAAGAGGCTTAAGGCAAAGAGACTTGCATACCAAATTAAGCCAGACCCTAAATCCAATGACTAATATCCTAATAAAAAGAGGAAAATCCCTACTAAGGCACTAAAAAAGAAAAAATGGAGACGAGGAGGAGAGAACAGAGATACACCCAGAGGAGAAGGCCACATGGAGAGGGAGGCCAGGATTGGAGTGATGCAGCCACAGCCAAGGAATGCCGATGATGGTCAGAAACCACCAGAAGCTAGGAAAGATGTGGGCAGACTCACTCCAAGCCTCCAGGAAGAGCCAGTCTTGTTGTCACCTTGACTTCTGACTTCTAGCCTCCAGCACTGTGAAAGAATAAATTTCTCCAGGCTGGGCGCGGTGGCTCACACCTGTAATCCCAGCACTTTGGGAGGCCGAGGCGGGCGGATCACGAGGTCAGGAGATTGAGACCATCCTGGCTAACATGGTGAAACCCCGTCTCTACTAAAAATATAAAAAAAATTAGCCGGGCGTGGTGGCACGCGCCTGTAGTCCCAGCTACTTGGGAGGCTGAGGCAGGAGAATGGCGTGAACCTGGGAGGCGGAGCTTGCAGTGAGCTGAGATGGCACCACTGCACTCCAGCCTGGGCAACAGAGCAAGACTCCGTCTCAAAAAAATAAATAAATAAAAATAAATTTCTGTTGTTTGAAGTGCCTTTCCAGCTCATCCTCACCCCCACTGGTTGGTTGTGGTTCTGGTTGCATAACTCTGTGAATGGTACAGTTTGTATTTTTTGAGACAGGGTCTCACTCTGTTGCCCAGGCTGGAGTGCAGTGGTGCAATCGTGGCTCACTGCAGCCTTGACATCCCAGCTCAAGCAGTGCTCCCACCTCACTCTCCCAAGTAGCTGGAACCACAGGTTGTGGAATTTTTTGTAGAGACAGGGCCTCCCTATGTTGCCCAGTCGGATCTTGAGCTCCTGTGCTCAAGTGATCCTCCTGCCTCAGCCTCCCAAATGTACAATAGTACATTTTAAATGAGTAAATTAATATGATATATAAATGATATTCAATAAAGCTCTTGTTTAAAAAAATTTTGTCCTGACCTGCCGGTGGCCTCATTTCCTCCCACTTTCAGGAGCAGCTGCAGAGGCTTCTCTGCACATTCCTTGTAGCTGTGTTTTCCCTACTCTGCTTTTCCAGCGTCTCTCCTACATTGATCCCAGCCCTGGGGCCTGCCCACCACCCTACCACCCTGCCAGATCCAGACAGAGAGGGAGAGAGAGAGAGGGAAAGGAAGAGGGAGAGTGGGGGAGACAGAGGGGATAAAATGCTTCAAACAAGAGAAAGTACCATAGAAAATCATAGCATGGACCTACTGAAGGGCATTTTAGGTTACTTCCACTTTTTCCCCTACAAAGAAACTGTCATTTGCTGTTACTTGTGCACTAGTGTGAGAGTTTCTCTAGGATATAGATGAGAGTGGAATTCCTGGGTTATAAGGTACATGTTCAACTCCCCTAGATAGCAATAGTTTATTCTCCAAAAAAGGTTGAAATAATTTACAATCCTACCAGCAATGTGTAAGAGTTCTCATTTTCCCACATCCTCCCCAGCCCTTGGTGTATCAGACTTGATGTTTTTTTCAGCACGATGATTATAAAATATTATCTCATTACTTAAAGGGGCATTTCTTTCTCTGATTATCACTTGAACGTCTGTTCATAGGTTTATAAATATACAGGTTCTTTCTCTATGAATCACCCATTCATATCCATTGTTAATTTTCTAGGGGTCATCTTTTACTTTTTGGCTTGTAAGTCTACATATATCCTGGGTAATAATCACTTCCCAGTTATGTGCATAGCAAACATCTTCACTCGGTCTGTGCCTTGTCTTTTTACTTCGGTTATGATATCTTTTATTATTTGACAAGTTTCGGGGTTTTTCTGGGTTTTTTTCGAGATGGTGTTTTGCTCTTGTTGTCCAGGCTGGAATACAATGGCGCGATCTCGGCTCATTGCAACCTCCGCCTCCCAGGTTCAAGCCTGCCTCAGCCTCCTGAGTAGCTGGGACTATAGGCATGCACCACAATGCCCAGCTAATTTTGTATTTTTAGTAGAGACAGGGTTTCGCCATGTTGACCAGACTGGTCTCAAATTCCTGACCTTAGGTGATCTGCCCACCTCGGCCTCCCAAGGTGCTGGGATTACAGACATGAGCCACTGCACCTGGCCTATTTGACAAGTTTTAATTTTTAATATTGTCAAGTATTCCTCTGGGGTTCATGGGAATTTTTTTCTTTCTTTGACAAATCCATCTCTACTTCATAAAAATATTCTTCTGTGTGTTTCTTTTTAAAGTTCTATACTCTTTTCCACACTTGGGCTTTAATCCATATGGGATTTATTTTATGTGTGCTCTGAGGTAGGAATTCAACTTTTTCTCCATAGATCTCCATAGATATGGTTTCAGCATATTTATTGAATAGTCCTTTGTTCCCCTATAATTTATAGTGGCTCTACTATTAAATCCAAGTTCTCACATACAAATGGAGACTTCAGAAATTCATCCTCCTTGACAAAAGTGCCAACAACACACAATGGGGAAAGGATAATGTCTTTAATAAATAGCATTGGGAAAATTGGATATCCACATGCAGAAGAATGAAATTTGACCCTTATCTCACACCATCTACAAAAGTCAACTCAAAATGGATTAAAAACTTAGACATAAGACTGGAAGTTGTAAAACTACTAGAAGAAAACATAGGAAAAAAGGTATTTGTCATTGGTCTAGGCAATGATTTTTTTGTGTATGACATGAAAAGCACAAGAAAGAAAAGCAAAAATAGACAAATGGGATGGCATCCAACTAAAAAGCTTCCACACAGCCAAGGAAACAATCAACAGAATGAAAAAACAACCTATGGAATGGGGGGAAAATATTTTCAAACCTTGTGTCTGATAAGGGGCTAATATTCAAAATATATAAAGAACCCATGTACCTCAGTAGCCAAAAAAAAAAACCCGAATTTTGAAATGAACAAAGGACCTGAATAGACATTTCTCAAAAGAAGATATACAAATGGCCAGTAGGAGCCAGGCACGGTGGAACTCACCTGTAGTCCCAGCTACTCGGGAGGTCGAGGTGGGAGAATCACTTGAGCCCAGGAGTTCAAGTCTAGCCTGGGAAACACAGACTCCATCTTGTAAGAAAGAAAAGAAAAGAAAAATACAAATGGCCAACAGGTATATGGAAAGGTGTGCTCAGCTTCACTAATCACCAGGAAAATGCAAAGCAAAAACAGTGGGATATTACCTCACACCTGTTAGAATGGCTATTATCAAAGAGGAAAAAATAAGTGTTAAGATGTGTAGAAATGAGAACCCTGGTATGCTGTTGGTGGGGATATCAAGGTGGGTACAGCCATTATAGAAAACATTGTGGAGCTTCATCCAAAAAATAAAAATAGGACTACCTTAGGATCCAGCAATCTCACTCCTGGGTATGCATCCAAAAGATACGAAATTAGTATCTTGAAGGAATACCTGCACTCTCATGTTCATTTCGTCATTATTCACAATAGCCAAGACATGGAAACAACCTAATTGTCTATTGATGGATGACAGGATAAATAAAATATGAGATAGATAGATATCACACACACACATGCTGGAACACTATTCAGCCTTTAAAAAGGAAGGAAATCCTGTCATTTGGAACAACACAGATAAACTTAGAGGACTTTATGATAAGTGAAATAAGCCAGACACGGAAAGAAAAATATTGTTTGATTTCACTTATATGTAGAATCTAAAAATGTCAAACTCATAGAAACAGAATGGCAGAATGGTGATTACCAGGGGCTGGGAGTATGAGGACTGGGGAGGTATTGGTCAAAGGATACAAATCTTTTGTTTATACAGGAGGAATAAGTTCAGGGGAGCTATTGTATAGCAAGGTGACTATATTTAACAATATCATGTTGTATACTACCCTCTCTGCTGAAAGGGTAGATCTTAAGTGTTCTCACCATACATACACACACACACACGTACACACACACACACACAAAGGTAACTGTGTGAGGTAATTGATATGTTAATTAGCTTGTGGTATTTCACAATGTTTACATATACCAAATCATCAAGTTGTACAACTTAAATATATGCAATGTTTAACTGTCAACTATACCTCAGTAAAGTTGGGGGGAATGGGAATTCATCCTTCTGCAAAAGTTATACAGTTTTAATTCCTATAGTTTTATGATGTCTTCATAACTTAAGGGCAAATATCCTCATCATACTCATCTTCAATATTGTCTTAGCTCTTCTTTAACCTTTTTAATACTAATTTTGTCAAGTTTCATGAAACCTCCTACTGAAAGTTTTAGTTGAATTACATTAAATTTATAATTTCGGGGAGAATTGTTACCATTTATGACTATAGTATATCTCTCTGTATTAGTCTACAGTCTCCAGAAAAACAGAACCAATACAGGGTGTGTGTGTGTGTGTGTGTGTGTGTGTGTGCGTGTGTGTGTGTGTGGGTGTAGAGAGAGAGATTTTAAAGAATTGGCTCACACAGTTGTGGGGCTTGCAAGTCCAAAATCTGTAGGGCAGGCCAGCAGCCTGGAAATTTCAGCAGAAATTGATGTTGCAGTCTTGAATCCTGAGGTAGTCTGGAAGCAGAATTCCTTCCTCTCACAGAGACGGCCATCTTTTCTCTGAGGCCACCCACAGTATGGAGAATAATCTGCTTTCCTCAATATCTCCTGATTTCAGTGTTAACCTAATATGAAAAAATACCTTCCTAGCAACATCTAGATCACTGTTTGAGCCAATAACTGGGTACCATAGCCCAGCCAGGTTGACACTTTAAATTAACTACCACGTTCTCCATGTTTTTAGGTCTTCTTTGATGTCTTCCATAAAGGTTTTGCATATCTGCTTGTTAGACTTATTACTGGATTCATAGTTTTTGTTGCTGTTGGAAATAGTATACATATATTTCTAACTTTATATTGAGGTATAGCATTCATATGGCAAAGTGCACAAATCACAAATGTCCAACTTGATGAATTTTTGCAAACCTAACACATCCATAAAACTAGCAAACAGAAACACAGAACCTTACTAACATCCCAGAAGCCCACTTGTACCTTCCTCCAGTAGCTGTTCACCACCTTTCCCCCTCATCAAGAGTAACTGCCCTGACTTCTAACACCATGATTGGTTTTCCCTGGTTTGGGATTTGATATAAATCATAGAAAATGTGCTTTTTTTTTTAAAGCTGATCTCTTAACATTCTGTTTGATATTTTTTCATATTGGATGCAGTTGTTGGTTCGTTCTCACTGCTGTTTTGAATTCCATTGATTACACCAGTCTTCTGTCAGTTTATCCATTCTACCATTGGTGGGCATTTGGGAAGCTGTTTGGGGCTAATGCAAATGGTGTTACTCTGAATATGTTTTTGGTGAACATAAAGATATAGGAAATGATTGTACATATCATTTGGTGAAAGTAGAATATAGGAAATGATGTATTTTTAATTATAATTCTGTTATTTAAGATGTTTAGGACCACTACTGAGTTTTCTAAGTCAATCTTAATTTGTCATCTGAAGACTTTTTTGGAACATATATGTAGAGAGTCGTAACACCTGGGCAATATTTCCAAGCTTTGCTGTGGCATTTGACATTCGTCCCAGGTCACCAGAGAGGCAAAAGCACCACCGCCCAGAAAGGACTCCTTCTGATAGAGGAAAAACCCTTTAAACTCCTTTGTCCTCTGGCTGGCAGCTCTCTTTGACTCAAGGCAATCTTATGAAGAGGGAGTTCTAGTCAAATAGACATAACAATTCCTACACCTGTGTCCCAACCACACACTCTTCACCTTCTGAATTTGGCCTTTGTGGTAGGCAGAATAAGACTTTCCAAAAATGTCCATGTCCTAATCCTCAGAACCTGTGAATATGTTATCGTACCTGGTAAAAGGGACTTTGTGGACGTGAATAAATTAAGGATTTTGAGATGGGGAGGTTATCCTGGATTATCTGGGTGGGCCCAAAATAATCATAAGGTTCTTTATAAGACAAAGGCAGGAAGGTCAGAGTCATAGAAGAACATGTGATTATGGAAGCAGAAGTCATATTGGCAGATGCTACCTTTGCTGGCTTTGACAATGGAGGAAGGGAGCATGGGCCAAGGAATGCAGGTGGCCTCCAGCAGCTGTAAAAACAAGGAAAAAGATCCCCTAGAGCCTCCAGAAGGAATCAGCCCTTTTGTCCCTTGACATTAGCCCAGTGAGATTGATTTTAGACTTCTGATCTTCAGAACTGTAAGATAATAAATTTGTGTTGTTTTAAACTACTAAATTTACAGTAATTTATTATAGCAGCAATACAGACTTCATCCCCAGCTCCCCTGCCCCCAGGTAACTGGAGAGGGTGATTTCCTGCTTCCTGCAGAGCACCACTCCCAACCCCACCCCTGGTCCTCACTGCAGGACTTGGTAGATGAACAGGGCTCTCTACTAACTTTCTTTCACATATAGATGCACCTTGATTTACAATGGGGTTACATCCTGATAAACCCACCATAAGTTGAAAGTACTAAAAATCCAAAATGCATTGAATATGCCTAACCTACTGAACATCAGAGCTTAGCCTAGTCTACCTTAAAAGTCCTCAGAACACTTACATTACTCTACAGTTGAGCAAATCATTGAACACAAAGCTTATTTTATAATAGTGTTAAATATCTCATGTAATTTATTGAATACTATACTGAAGTTGGAAAACAGAATGGTTGTGTTAAACTAAACTAAAACTTAAAGCCCTTGGCATAAGCATTCTAGGATTTACAGTAGCAGTGGAACTTAATCTTATGACTAATAATCTCAAACTTGAATCCCCTTCACACACATATAAATTCTTCAACATATTAGGTTTCTTCCCATTACAATACACCACATGATATCATATTCAAACCTCACTGCAACCAAAATATAACATCTCTTCTATTAGACTTAATTGCAATAGAAAAAACAATATCAACAAATGTAGCCCAATTCCAAAAACTCAAAGTACAGTTTCTGCTGAATGTGTATCACTTTTGTACCATCTAAAGTCAAAAAATCCTAAATCAAACAATCCTAAGTCAGGGACCATCCACACAGTCTTCAAGAGGTCCCTGGTACAGGCAGGGCTGCCTGTCTCTCTTCTCTGTTCCCATGCTGGGGCCTCCCTGGTTGTTCCCTGCCCTCCCTCAGGTGCTGTCAGTCCACAGAGAGAAGAGAAGCCATGTTCAGAGGCATGGCCAGGTTCTAACAAAAGGGGAAGCCAGTAGCAGTGCCCAGGCTCAAAACCTTCCTCTAAAATCTCATCAGCACCCCCTCACCACCACCCCACACAAGCCACCTCCTAAAACACTCGGTGCAAAACCCTGCAATTGCAGCTTCAAGACAAGTTCCCTAACTCTGTTCCACTCTCTTCCAGCTGGATTGCATCCCCTAAATCCAGTGATCCAGAAATTCTGGAGCCTCCACCAGGAAGAGAGAGCATAGGGTTGGATAACAGGGCAGGTCCCAGGCATTGTTTTGATTCTTGTTCTAAAGGGGCTTGGGCCCTCAGAACAAACTGGAAAACCCACCACCTTTTCATACCAGAGCATATCCCTGGTTTGCTTGAGAAGGACTCTCTAATGGCAGAGTTTTAGAGCCTCTAGGGGGAAAGGGTGAAGGTTGCATAATTGCTTACAAAACCTAGGCTAGGCACGGTGGCCCACACCTGTAATCTCAGCACTTTGGAAAGCAGAGGTGAGAGAATCGCTTGAGCTCAGGAGTTGGAGACCAGCCTGGTAACATAGTGAGACCCCGTCTCTACAAAAATTAAAAATTAGCCAGGCGTGGTCCCAGCTGCGCGGTAGGCTGAGGTGGAAGGATTGCTTGAGCCCAGGAGACCGAGGCTGCAGTGAGATGTGATTGTGCCACTTCACTCCACTCTGAGCAAGAGAGCAAGACCTTGTCTCAAACAGGTCTCTAAGGAGTTCTTAGAGAACCCAGCAACACCTGAGGGACCCTTAAGGTCTCCTACAGGTAGCCAAGACTCTTAAAACTAGGACTAGGGCACAAAGGACTCAAAGGAAGAGTCTGAACTGAAATGAGGACACACTTAGCATGATTGAAGAGAGTTTAATAAAGAGATCAGTCGCATGGTGGGAACCAGATTAAGGGCAACAATCCTGTGATTTATCCTGAAACTAGCAACAGTGGGGAGCTGTTGCTATCTCTAGACCTGAGGGGCAAGGGAGGGAGTGGACACACAGAGAGACCCATGGCCATGGGAGCGAGCTGTTTAAAGGGAGTCACAGCCTTCAGCAGAGAGAGGCAGCCATCGCCAGCCCAAGCCCTTAATGAGACACATTAAGCCTCAAGCACCTTTAACCGCTTTTGCACTTAAAGCAGAGGCCCATTGGTGAAGCAAAGGAGAAATCACAGAGTGGCCCTCTGCTTCTTACTCTCATTCCTTGGCCCTAGAGTTGGGTACTTCTTACAGCCAGGGGACCTGCAGGCTCCTGTTCATTGCCCCCATAGCAGGAAGACAAGGGAGAGCTGGGTTGGATCTTACCTTGGTGGTCCTGGGCCAGATGAAGGATGCCACCTAAACCTCTCTCACACCACCACCCACGTGCACACATACACTTGTACATCTCTATGCATATGTATTAAGAGCTATCAAGGGGCCGGGCATGGTGGCTCACGTCTGTAATCCCAGCACTTTGGGAGGCCAAGGTGGGCAGATCACCTGAGGTTGGGAGTTCAAAACCAGCCTGACCAACATGCAGAAGCCCTGTCTCTACTAAAAATACAAAAAATTAGCCGGGCATGGTGGTGCATGCCTGTAATCCCAACTACTCGGGAGGCTGAGGCGGAGAATCACTTGAACCTTGGAGGCGGAGGTTGCGGTGAGCCGAGATCATGCCATTGTACTCCAGCCTGGGCAACAAGATCGAAACTCTGTCTCAAAAAAAAAAAAAAAAAAAAAAAAAGGCTGTAAGTACTCTGCAGTTGTTAGTTATTTTATTATCAGGGATGCTCTTGGTGGGGTAAATTGGTCTTTAAAATACAAAGAGATTTTGAAGGTCCTGAAAGCAACCTGGAGTGGAAGCGATGAGAAGAAGAAAAAGAGGAGGGCAAACAAGTAAAGAGAAGATCATAAGATGGCTTAAGATTGGAGTCCACTGTAATAAAACAACCAACAAGACATCTCTAGTGGTGGGATGTCAAAGGATTGTAAGAATACATTTAATTTGGAACTGCTGCGTTGTCATGATGTAAACTCCTCCTCTGCCCCAACCCCTAGTACCACAGTGAAGTCTGATCCACACACAACTTGCCTTGTTTGGCGGGAGTGTGGATCATGTGGAAAAAGGAAGAGATTGTACTGCACACATAGGAGAAGGCAGAGTTGGATGGAGACAGTCTTTAAACTGAGGAAGCAGAAGTTTAGAACCAGTGGAAACCATAAGCCTCTCTCCCACTATTTCTCCATCCACACCCTAGCCCACAGCCCTAAGAACCCACAGAAATGTTAGGGAGACCTCTGGATTTCCCATTTGTGAAATAGATGGCTCAAAGGAAGTTTATCTAATTCTTAAGGAATTAGGTGACCCTAACTGACACTTGGGCAACACTTCAATAGACTCAAAACAGGCTGAGACAAGGTTCTTGAATTTGCTTTATTCTGTTATTCAATGATTAGTCATTCATTCATTTATTCACTCATTCAGACATGCAGGCAGTCAATGAATCACATCTACAGAGGATTGGCCACAGGGAAGGCACTGAGCAGTAAGCACTGGAGATTCAACAGTGAACAAGTTCCTGTCCCCACCCTGAAGGCACTTCTGACTGATGAGTGACACAGGCAAGATGAGCACAGAGAGACAAGGAGGCACAGGACCCCGTGGTCATCCAGGCTCTAGGCAGTAGAAGTGGCACATTGGAGGGAAGTGGCAAGGAAGCCCTCCCTCTGGAAATGATTTGGCTGTGGCTGGCATCACCCAGGTCCCTCCAAATGCCTTCCTTTCAGCTGTACCCCAAGACCCATCTTGGCTACTTACAGTCCCCTTCCTCTAAGCAGCAAGTTCTTCTCCATCTCAGCTGCAGCCACTCTGACTTCTGGATTCTCCTCACTCCAGTCCAAGCAGTGAAGTAAGACAGTCTTCCCGGCTCCCTTTTTCTGTTACTTCTCAAAAAATAAAGTACCCAGGCATCTCAGTTTTAAGGATTTGACTGCTAATTACTATAAGGTCATAGGGGACATAAAAAGTGATAAAATGGGTCTGTGTTAGTTACAAAGATTCCAAAATCTTACCACATTCTTAAAGTCCTGATCTTGAGTCAGGAGTTCCTGACTTTCTCTGAGATAGTAAATGAAATGATGATGATGATAATAATAATAGGAGGGGCCAGGCGTGGTGTCTCATGCCTGTAATCCTAGCACTTTGGGAAGCTGAGGCGAGTGGATCACTTGAGTTCAAAACCAGCCTGGCCAACATGGTGAAACCCCATCTCTACCAAAAATATTAAAAATTAGATGGGTGTGGTGGCACGCACCTGTAATCCCAGCTACTCAGGAGGCTGAGGCAGGAGAATCACTTGAACCCAGGAGGCAGAGGTTGCAGTGAGCCGAGATTGTGCCACTGCACTCCAGCCTGGGCAACAGAGTAAGACTCCACCTCAAAAAAATAATAACAGCAGGTATTGGGTGTCTAGGATTTCCAGGTACTTTGCATTCCACAGATATACAAATTTAATAGAATTATCCCCTTTTTGCAGATGAAGAAACAAAGGCTTATACAAAGTGGCTTGTCCAGGGGTGCAAAGCTAGAAAGACATGGATGGTAGGGCCCTGCTATTTGCACTGCACCCCACTCCACGTGTATTCCTGAAGGCAGAGTTCACCACCTCCCCCTCCTCCCTTTGACTAGACCTTGGGCAAAGGTCTGAGGGACCCATTCCCCCATGCTAGCCCCTCTTCCCAGACTCAAAACAGAATCATGGTTGCTTTCCCTTGTTTCAAGTAGGCAACCAGCCTCATCAAGGGTCCCTGGGCTAGGCGATGCCAGGCTGCTCTGAGCTTCAGGACTGACCTGGATTCCTTACCTTCCTTTTCCTCACAAGCACATTCTTATGCTCAGGTAAGCAAGGAACTCACTCAACAAGGAAGAGGTTGGAGCCTGCAAATAAGGATGTTTTCTGTTTCACATACTGTTGTAAGGATAAAATCATTTTTGTGAAAACATGTGACACAGAGTAGGTACTAGATATGTGTGAGTTGATGCTAAACAGGCTTTTCACTCATCTCTAACAAACTCTTCTCAAGCCATCTACCCAATCCTCACTGCTCACTTGAACTAGCTCAGCAGACCACCCCCTCTCCCTAAATCTTCATCTCTTCCTGGTTTTATTAGTTCCCATCTCTCTCAGAAGGAACACCCACCTTACCCCTCTAAGGCTGACCCCTCCATCTGGATGCTGGACCCCATGCCTCACACCAGGCCGTATCAGTTATTCCTCTTTTTTTGTTCGCTTTTTTTTTTTTTTTTTTTTTTTTGAGACGGAGTCTCACTCTGTCTCCCAGGCTGGAGTGTAGTGGTGCGATCTCCTGTATTCAAGCAATTCAGCCTCCTGTGTTCAAGCAATTGTCATGCCTCAGCTTCCGAGTAGCTGGGATTACAGGCATGCGCCACCACACCCAGCTAATTTTTGTATGTTTAGTAGAGATGGGCTTTCGCCATGTTGGCCAGGCTGGTCTCAAACTCCTGGTCTCAAGTGATCCGCCGGCTTTGGCCTCCTGAAGTACTGGGATTACAGGCATGAGCCACCACGCCCAGCCCAGTTATTCCCTTTTAGTCTTTGGTTTCTCATTCCATCTCCTTTCCCTTGCCTATGTGCCAGCTTAGTCTCACCCAAGATTTAAAAAACAAAAACCTCATGACCCTTCCCTCTTCTCAAGTTATAGCCCTTCACTCCTCCCTCCCATCTCTACTGCACTCCCTAAATGCCCTGCCTACCTGGTTTCCTGCAAATGGCATCATAAAAGTCACCAGGGACCTCCTCATTGCCACATCTGATGGTTCCCTTTTTTCTTGATTTTGCAGCTGCACTTGACCCTGAGGGCCACTGCCTCCTAGAAACCATCCCAGCCCATGCCACCATCTCACTGGGTTTGCTCCTGCATCTCTGACCGTGCCTTCCCAGCCTCCTCTGCCACCTCTTTTTCTCTTTAAATGTGGAAGCCCCAGTTTTCTTTCCTTGGCCCCTTTCTCCTTATTTATCACTCTTCCTGGACAATCACATCCACTCATACATCTGCATCAGTCTTCCAAGTCATCATTGCCAGCACCCAAGCACCAGAAGTATGGAGCCAGCCATGCTTTGGTGGAAATTGTGGGTACTGTGAGGGTGCTAGGCTTGGTGCTATCCTTCCCAAAGCTCAGACTTCTGCCTGGTGACCCATGGACACTTTATTCTTAGCTGTCAAATTGATCCATGGGCAAGGACTTCTGCTAGGCACTGGGGAGAATGCACAGAGGCTTAAAGCCCTGCAAGCTGGTCACTAGCCCCCCTTCTCCTTTGCTGGGTTCCCCTCCCTTAGGACATCCACATGGCCACACCCCCCCATCACTGCCATCACAAGTTCTATGCAACAGAAGGAATGATCAATTCAAAAAGGATAAGCCGCCCCTTTGCCAACACCCAAATTCCTTATTCTGTCTCCCCAACACACTTCCCATCACTCCACCCCATTCCCCAGTCAAATGGATCCAGCGTCACATGACAACAGTGCCCTCTAGAGGAGTACTTTTCAAATTGCAGTGGTGCTCTCGATGTGGCTAATTCATTTTCCAAAGGTGACTCGTATGTCCCATCCCACCTGCTGTTCTTACAATGGGACTTTGACACTCCACCCATTATGAAGTAGAGTCTATGTTCCCTTCGCTGCATTGGAGTGGGCTTGTGATTCTGGAGAAAATGATGCTATATGACTTCCACTTGGAGCTCTGAGGCACCTTAATCAGTTCAACTGCCCTGAGGCTGCCATGCACAAGGAAGCCCACACTGAGACCACACGGGGATGCTACCTGGAGAGAGAGATAGCTAATTCAGTCTGTCACTTCCAGCCCCAGCTACTGACCACAGTCACATGAGACACCTAAATCAGAACGGCCCTACTGAGCCCTTCCCAAATTGCTGCCCCAAAGAAACCATGAAAGATACTGAAATAATTACTGTTGCTTTAGGTCATCATGTTGGAATGATTTGTTATGCAGCAATAGATAACTAGATCAGTGGGTCATGAAATCATTCAAGTGTGTCATGACCAGCATTGATTTTTAAGAATTAACTGGTAGAGAACAGAATAGAATGGAAAATGTAATAACAAAAGTTTTGTGGAGAAACTTTTTTCAATAAATGTGTGTGTTTGCATATGTGTATACTGGATCAAGTAATAAAATGTATTTGTTTCTGTGCATCATGTAAAGTTTTTAAAGTTTTAAGAAGCTAGATTATTGTTGCAATTCCAGAAACTACAAAAACCAAACTCCACTAGGATCATCTCAGTGAGTCAAAGAGGCTGGAAATTATAGTACCTTATAAGCAAGTTACAGGTGCACCCATTTAGCTTTGTCATCTAAAGCAGAGGAACAGAAATGCCTTCTGCTTGTGAGAACAAGAAGGGAGGCAACTCCTAGAAAAGCGGTGTTCTAGATGGTTCTTGGATACTTTTACTATAATACTTGGTGCCTTGATCCTCTCAGTAATTAATGGAATTTCTGAGACAGTTTGATGGTATGTTTCTCCATAAAACTCCTGCATCAGCATCACATGGGGGCTTGTAAAAACACAGATCCCTTGGCCACAGTTCAAACGTAAGGCAGGGGGCCCAAGACTCTGTATCTTAACCCAGCCCCCCAAAGGAATTATAAACGCACTAAAGTTTGAGATCTACTGAGTCATAGGGAGGATTGTATGAGTATTGAAACTTAGGGCTGGGCATGGTGGCTCACGCCCATAATCCCAGTGCTTTGGGAGAACATGGAAGGAGGATTACTTGAGCCAGGAGGTCAAGACCAGCCTGGGCAACATAGCGAGACCCCATCTCTTTAAAAAAAAATTTTAGGTTAACTGTCATGCAAAGGCCTGCACTCCAGCCTGGGTGACAGGAGACCCTGTCTTTAAAAAAAAAAAAAAAAAGTTAACTCATCCAAAGACCTAATTGGTCAGAATCCTGAGACATCTTCACTGCACCACGGATGTAACCGGAAATAGCCCTGATTGTCAAGAAAGCTCATCCAGGCCTCCTGTAAAGTAAAAAGCAAGGCTGGAAATGCCTTCATTTCTTTAAAAAGAGGTTGTATTTCTGAGGAGTGTGTGTGTGTGTGCATGCACATGTGTGTATGTCTGTGTCTGTGTCTGGCTGTATGTGTCTGTGTATCTGGGTATGTGTGTGGCTGTGGCAGAAGTCCTGAAAAGGTTCGTTAGACAAGGCGTTTCCTGATAAGCTCCAGGACAGGCCTATCTATTCAGAATACTTTAAGCCTTGTCATACCTGCATGTTTTTCTCGTTCACTCACTGCACACACAGGTACACACACATGCATGCTCAGACTTTACTTTGATTGGTAGGTAACTAAATTCCTACTAGATAAAGTCTCTGCCTCTTTCTTCTTTTTTCTTTCCCAGAATTACATCCATATTAGTATAAATTCACTGGCCTAAAAGAAACGTTAGAGATCCTAAAATTCAGTGCTTTCTTAAGAAATTTGACAAGAACACTTTGTTAAAATCATCATCATGCCTTGACAGAATGCTGGTAGGTCACTTGGATTCAATTAAGCAGACAAAATTGTCTCATAGGAGAGTTAAATGCTCAACAAGATGCAAAGTTTATTTACATGTTGTTTTATCTCATAATAAAGTGAAAATATTAGATTAAATCATTTTATTGCATTAAGAATGAAAAGCACAATTTATGACAAAAAAAGTGTAATAATTACAAGACAAGAGACCTAACATAGAGCAGTACCATCAACCCCACTATCAGTTGGTAATCAGTGCCTATCTCTGCCTAGCAAGCTCAACCTCATGTTTCCAGGCCTGGGTCACTGTTCCTTAAGGATAGTTTATTATGTAAAAAAATATACACACACAATATATATATGTCTTTCTATTTTATTACATGTTCTTCAATACATGTAAGAAAAAATACTGTCTGGATTGCTTTGAGAGTTTGGTTTTGGTTTTAGAATGTTTGAGTTGGTTTTAGGATGTTTAGGATCACTTCACAGATGAGAGATTTAGAAACACTGATTTAACCTCATCTTCAGTGGGGAAAACTGAAGCCAAGAAGGGGAAATAACCTGCCCAAGATGGTAAGTCATTCTTTGCTTCAGGTTTTCAGGAAGAAAACACTTAGAGAAGATTCACGGGCATGCTAAGTACCTGCTGGTCTCTGATCCCGAGGGGAGTCTGGGGCCCACGAGGGGCCAGTGGCTGCTGGGAGTCACAGGCAGAATCAGAAGAAATTCCTGGAATTTGTATATATATATATATATATTTTTTTTTTTCCTTTTTTGTAGAGATGGAGTCTCACTGTGTTAGCCAGGCTGGTCTCAAACTCCTGGCCTCAAGCAATCCTCTGGCCTCGGCCTCCCAAAGTGCTGGGACTACAGACATAAGCCACCATGCTGGAATTTTTAAGATGTTGAGTATTTAAAACAGAGATCACGGCCGGTTGCAGTGGCTCATGCCTGTAATCCCAACACTCTGGGAGGCCAAGGTGGGCAAATCATCTGAGGTCAGGAGTTCAAGACCAGCCTGGCCAACATGGCGAAACCCCATCTCTACTAAAAATAAAGAAGCTAGCCGGGCATGATGGTGTGTGCCTGTAGTCCCAGCTACTTGGGAGGCCAAGCCACGAGAATGGCTTGAACCCAGGAAGCAGAGGTTGCAGTGAGCAGAGATCGCACCACTGCACTCCAGCCTGAGTGACAGAGTGAGACCCTGTCTCAAAAAATAATAATAATAATTAAATTTTTAAAAACAGAGATCAGGTCCTTGGCCATTATTTAGAGATTTGATTATTAATATGCATAACCATCTAGGGAGTTTATAAATAACCTTCAGTCTAATTGGGTGGGCCTAAATTGCCTCAATGTGTCCTTAGTCCCAGCAAGCAATAGACTCAAAGTGTGGGCAGGCTCCCACTTGCTGTGACGAAGCTGGCAGAAGCCACAACAAAGTCAGATCCATTCAGCTCGACTAGGCATAGCTCCATTGAGCAAATATTTTAAAATATTTTCTTAGTTTGTTTTGGGGGTTTTTTGGTTATTGTTTTTGTTTTTTGAGACAGGGTCTTGCTCTGTCACCCAGCCTGGAGTGCAGAGGCACAATCACATCTCACTGCAGCCTTGACCTCCCTGGGATCAGCTGATCCTCCCGCCTCAGCCTTCCAAGTAGCTGAGACTACAAGCATGTGCCAATATGCCTGACTAATTTGGGGCAGGAGGGTTGGTGTGGTTGTTTTTTTGTTTGTCTGTTTGTTTGTTTGTTTTGTAGAGATGGGATTTCACCATGTTGCCCAGGCTGGTCTCAAACTCCTAGGCTCAAGCGATCCACCCGCCTCAGTCTCCCAAAGTGCAGGGCTTACAGGCGTTGAGCTACCATGCCTGGCCCAAAATATTTTTTAAATTAAAAAAATTCCAGGCTGGACACGGTGGCTCATGCCTGTAATCCCAGCACTTTGGGAGGCCAAGGCAGGTGAATCACCTGAGGTCAGGAGTCAAGACCATCCTGGCCAACATGGCGAAAACTGTCTCTACTAAAAATACAAAAATTAGCTAGGCACGGTGGCGCATGCCTGTAACCCCAGCTACTAGGGGGGTTGAGGCAGGAGGATCACTTGAACCTGGGAGATGGAGGCTGCAGTGAGCCGAGATCGTGCCACTGCAATCCAGCCTGGGCAACAGAGCGAGACTCGGTCTAAAAAAAAAAATTCCAGGAATAGCTTTAGTACTTCTGATTCTACCTGTGACTCCCATCAGCCCACTGGTCCCTCATGGGCGCCAAGCCACCCCGATTTCCCTGCACTAACACCAGGAAGCTGGTGAAAAGCTGGCACCCTGGTTATAACCTTACATACAGTGACCCCTGCTACTGGGACCTGGAGACACATGCAAAACTATGGTGCCAACTTCAGGTTCATTCATTCTCCCTGTGCCCAAGGGACTTGCCTAAGCCCTCACTCACCCACCAGCAAAGCCCACAGGTTGGCATTGGTTGGTTGTCAGATTCCAATTGTGGATTAGAAGGTGTGACACAGTAGAGAAGTCTAGAAAGCAAGGGATGGTTGGAAAGGCATGGTAGTGAGCACAGAAACCCAAAGGGACCCCCCCACCCCGCCCGCCACCAGCAGAGGGTGTAGTCTCCGATAGTGCAGCCTAGAGCAGGTATATTCAAACTTAAGGAATGTGTAGAATTTTTTTTTTTTTTTTTTTAGAAAGGGTCTTGCTTTATTGCCTAGGCTGGAGTGCAGAGGCACGATGATGGCTCACTGCAGCCTCAAACTCCCACACCCAAGCAATCCTCCTACCTCCTACCTCAGCAGCAGCCCCTTCAGCCTCCAGTAGCTGGGACTACAGGTGCATGCCACAATGCCTGGCTAATTTTTAAAAAATTTTTTGTAGAACCAGAGTCTCACAAATCTATATATTACCTATATTCCAATAACAGATTCCTTCTTAGACCCTTCAAAAAAAAAAGAACGATTCAGTATCATAAAGATATCACTTTTTCTTAAATTATTATCCGTAAACTTGGTGTAATACTAATCAAAATCACAATTTTCATAAAACTTCATAACTGATTTTTAAAACTCCATCTAGGTCAGGTGCGGTGGCTCACACCTATAATCCCAGCAGTTCAGGAGGCCAAGGCAGGTGGATAACTTGAGGTCAGGGGTTCAAGACCAGCCTAGCCAACATGGTAAAACCCCATCTCTACTAAAAATATAAAAATTAGCTGGACATGGTCATGGATACCTGTAATCTCAGCTACTCAGGAGGCTGAGGCAGGAGAATCACTTGAACCCAGGAGGTGGAGGTTGCAGTAAGCTGAGATCGCGCCACTGCTCTCCAGCCTGGGCAACAGAGTGAGACTCTGTCTTAAAATAAATAGGCCGGGCGCGGTGGCTCACGCCTGTAATCCCAGCACTTTGGGAGGCTGAGGCGGGCGGATCACAGGGTCAGGAGATCGAGACCATCCTGGCTAACACGGTGAAACCCCATCTCTACCAAAAATACAAAAATTAGCCAGGCGTGGTGGCGGGCGCCTATAGTCCCAGCTGCTGGGGAGGCTGAGGCAGCAGAATGGCGTGAACCCAGGAGGCAGAGCTTGCATGAGCCGAGATCGCGCCACTGCACTCCAGCCTGGGTGACAGAGTGAGACTCCCTCTCAAAATAAATAAATAAATAAATAAATAAATAAATAAATAAATAAATAAAATCCATCACAAGAGAATATATACAATCGCCACGATTCTTTTTTAAAATGAGGGACAATGTAGGTAGAGTTGTCCTCTTGGCTATCAAATTATCCTGTAAAGCTATGACAATGGTAGTATTGGTATATAAATAAACAAATAGAACTGACTAATGTATAAATGGAAATTTAGTATATGATAAAGGAGCACTTCAAAATGTTAGGAAAAGGGGCAGGGGGCAGTGGCTCATGCCTGTAATCCCAGCATTTTGGGAGGCCGAGGTAGGCAGATCACCTGAGGTCAGGAGTTCAAGACCAGCCTGGCCAACATGGCAAAACCCTGTCTCTACTAAAAATACAAAAATTAGCCAGGCATGGTGACACATGCCTGTAGTCCCAGCTACTTGGCAGACCGAGGCAGGAGAATCGCTTGACCTCAGGAGGCAGAGGTTGCAATAAGCCAAGATCACACCACTGTACTCCAGCCTAGATGACAGAGTGAGACTCTGTCTCAAAAAAAAAAAAAAAAAAGACAAAATGGTAGGAGAAGAGTGGCCAGTTGAATAAATGGTGTTGGGCTATCTAGTTGGAAAAAAGTAAAGCTACATTTCAACCTCACATCATACCCTCTAAGATAAATATTTTTTAACTGTAAAAGTATTAGCAGAAGGCTGGGCACGGTGGCTCACATCTGTAATCCCAGCACTTTGGGAGGCCGAGGCGGGTGGATCAAAAGGTCAAGAGATCAAGACCATCCTGGCCAACATGGTGAAACCCTGTCTCTACTAAAAATAAAAAAATTAGCTGGACGTGGTGGCGCACACCTATAGTCCCAGCTACTCAGGAGGCTGAGGCAGGAGGATCGCTTAAACCCAGGAGGCGGAGGTTGCAGTGAGCTGAGATCGTGCCACTGCACTCCAGCATGGGGACACAGCAAGCCTCCATCTCAAAAAAGAAAAAAGAGTATTAGCAGAAAGTATGCAAAATGGGTTTAAACCATCCATTGAGGAAAAGAAAGGCTTTCTCAAGCAAAACACAAAATATATGAGTCATAAAGGGAGTGTCTTAGTCTGTTCTGACTGCTATAACAAAATACCGTAATTTGGGTAACTTATAAACAGTATTTCTCACAGTTCTAGAGTGTGGGAAGTCCAAGAGACTCCAAGATCCAGGTGCCAATAGATCCAGTGTCTGGTGAGGGCCTGCTTCCTATTTCATAAATGACTATCTTCTCCCTGTATCATCACATGGTGGAAGAGACAAGGGTCTCTTTCGCAAGGGCACTAATCCCATTCATGAGGGATCTACCCTCATGACCTAATTACCTCCCAAAGGTCTCACCTCCTAACATCACATTGGTAGATTACATTTCAACATATGAATTTCCGGGGACACAAACATTCAGTCTACAGAAGGGAAAAAATAATAAATGTAACCACTTGAAAAGGAAAATAAGGCTGGGTGCAATGGCTCACACCTGTAATACCAGCACTTCGAGAGGCCAAGGCAGGCGGATTGCTTGACATCAGGAGTTCAAGACCAGCCTGAACAACATGGTGAAACCCATCTCTACAAAATATACAAAAATTAGTCGGGCATGTTGGCACTCAACTATAGTCCCAGCTACTTGGGAGGCTGAAGCAGGAGGATCACTTGAACCCAGGAGGTTGAGGCTGCAGTGAGCAGAGATCGCGCTACTGTACTCCAGCCTGGGTGACAAAGTGAGACCCCATCTCAGAAAAAAAAGAGAGAGCCCTTCCCAACTCCCTTTTATTGTGAATCATCTGGGGTGTGTTCTCCCTCCCTGCAGCAAACTAAATAACCTACCTTTTTTTACTGCTGGTATGTTCCTGGTAGTCTCTGGTCGGTGAATATTGACAATACTGACAATACTATTTTATTATTAATTGTTTTTATTTTATTTTATATGTTTTTTGTTTGTTTATATGTTTTATATGTTTATTTTATATATTTATGTTTTATATGATAGGACATGATATTGATTTCTGCATGAGTTATATTATCCATAACTTCATTTCATTAAGGTAAAGGTGGAACTATAAGATATTTGTTTGAAAAGGGGGCACCAAGTCCAGCAGAATTGAGAAACACCAGGAGAAATAGCTCTTTGCCAGAATGCAAGACAAATTTGAATATGGCCACCCCAACCTGAGCAGGATCTCTGGACTCCCGTAGTTGGACATTTCCCCACATCCTGGTGGCTGTCAGCTAGGACTGCATGAGGACTCCATCAGCAGAAAGGAGGTTCTCCCATAAACAGTTCTACAAGAGCCTGCCCACACACTCCAGAGGCTACACCTGTACCAGATGACAGCTGCAAACCCTCAATGGCCTATGAGGGAGACCAAACTCTTCACATGGAGGATGGTTAGGAAATGTGCATATGACATGCAAAAATGCAAGAAGCTGGGATAAAGGAATAACAGGTAAACCTCTAGACCAGCCTGTAGTCAAGGAAGCATTGCTGGAACAGGGAAAGGCTGGCATTGAAGTGGAGAAAACCCTTCTATGCCCACCAGAAAGGTGGGAGCATCCCTGGAGGGAATCTTCTCCAACTGCCCTTTGCCCCATTGAAAATTCAGATGAGAAGAGGAGGCACAACGTGTCCTAGCTGCACACCTCCTGAGGTGAAGAAGAGAGACAGAATTATGGAGAGTGAGATGCTGAGGCCTCTGTACCACACCTGTCTCCCTAGGTGCAGGGCAGATGACCAGGGGCCTCATGCAAGGGACACTGGGCGCCACGAGAATCACGAACACAAACCATTAGCCCATAATCTACCTTTACCTTATTAAAATGATTCCCCCACTCCTACATTTCACGTTGTTTTCCTCCCTCCAGGAAGACTATCAACCCCAAATGATTACGCTTCCCTCCCTTCACACTCCCACCCCACCCATCCCACACTTGGTGCTGCTATGAATACCCCCATTAAAGCTCATTCCTCTGAACTCAGGCTCTGCCCTCTGTTAACAGGTGGCTTTTCTGCAGAAAGAAGTACCCATGGGCCAGGGGCGGTGTTCACACCTGTAATCCCAGCACTTTGGGAGGCTGAGGCGGGTGGATCACCTGAGGTCAGGAGTTCGAGACCAGCCTGACCAATATGGCAAAACCCCGTCTCTACTGAAAATACAAAAAAGTATCCCAGCATGGTGGTGGGTGCCTGTAATCCCAGCTACTGGGGAGGCTGAGGCAGGAAAATCACTTGAACCCAGGAGGCAGGGTTGCAGTGAGCCAAGATCGTGCCACTGCACTACAGCCTGGGCAACAAAGAGCAAAACTCGGCCTCAAAAAAAAAAAAAAAAAAAAAACCCAGGAAGCTGATCCTGTCAAACTAGGCAGAAGGCAAATAGAAACTGTCCCCAGCTCTGGGTGTGGGGCCCTCAGCTGGCAGGACTAGGGGGTCAGTGATGGGTGACCTCACAAGCTAAATCACCTGGGTCAGGGCTGAGTGACCTTGATAAAAGGTACTATGATAGCTCACTTCAGCCTTGAACTCCCAGGTTCAAGCAATCCTCCCACCTCAGCACCAACCCCTGACGGCCAGGTAGCTGGGACTACATGCACATGCCACCATGTTTGGCTAATTTTTATCATAAAGATAACACTTTTTCTTAAAAAAAATGTTCTTTTTGAGACAAAGTCTCACTCTGTTGTCCAGGCTGGAGTGCAGTGGCGCAATCTCAGCTCACTGCAACCTCTGCCTCCTGGGTTCAAGTGATTCTCATGCCTCAGCCTCTCAAGTAGCTGAGATTACACGTGCATACCACCTCGCCTGGCTAATTTTTGCGTTTTTAGCAGAGATGGGGTTTCACCATCTTGGCCAGGCTGGGCTCAAACATCTGACCTCAAGTGATCTCCCCACCTCGGCCTCCCAAAGTGCTGGGATTACAGGCATGAGCCACTGCCCCCAGCCTCTTTTTCTTAAATTATATTATCCATAAATTCAGTGCAATCCCAATCAAAATCACAATTTTTATAAAACTTCATGAACATAAAGCATTAGCCCAGAATCTACCCCATGGGACCCAGGGACTTCAGCCATCAGCACAGGGGGCTCTTTTTCCCATAATGTTCACATTTATCAAAGTAATGCAGTCGTTAAGAAAATAAGGCAAAATATTTTAAAAGTAGAAAGAGGAACACAGTTTCACCCACTTCCACCTTCAAAACAACTTTGCAAACGTGGCAGTGTATCTCCCTTCAAATGTTTATAAAATCTGCAAGTTTGCTCTAACATAGAACAATGCCATCAAATATATTTGGTGGTCCTAAAAGTCACACCGTGAGGACAGGCACCCAGAGCACAGTTGCATTTAGAATAAACTCCAAGCTCCTTCACGCAGCCTGCAGGCCGGTATGGTCTGGCCCTGCCTCTGTTCCCGGTCTCATCTCCCGACCCCACTGGCCTCTCTGCCCCTCAGGCAGACGGTTTTTTCAGTCCTGGAAGGCACCCAGCCCTGTCCATCTTGGTGACCCCAGGTGGGCCATTCTGCTCCTAATGTGCTTTGGGCGCCCCTGCAGCCTGGTTCACATCCTTTCACAATTCAAAGCTTGGTTCTGGGGCCTCTCCTGGCTTCCCCCATCCCCATCTCAGTTAAAGCCCCTCTGTTATTCTCTTTCACAGCCCTCTACCTTTTCTGAATAATACGTCCCCCAATTTATAATGATACACTTTGCTTATCTATTTGGCATCTGTGTCCCCCACTGGAGGGATATGGGCAGGGTGACATGTGTTTTGCTCCTCTCTGGTGCTCCCCTCCTTGGTGTTCTTTTGTTCACATCTCCCTGTTTCATCTGCTCCAGCCCAACTTGTTCCCAGTCCCATCAGCTTCCAACCTCATGGTTCAAATCCAATGTATAGTCTCTCTTTGCAACCCCCAAATAGTGTCTCCAGCTGTGAATTCTGTTTCTCTCCTCTAATAGGGGGCAGTCTCCTCCCTGCTTTTTTTTTTTTTTTTTTTTGCTTCAGCTGGGAGGTGAGCAGCCCCATCTGTTCCCACCCAGGCTGGCCCTAAGCAGCAGTCTCTACACTGCCGCCGAAGAAGTTCCTGCAGACTTCTCCCCGCCCCTAGAATCAAACACATCCACTAACATCAAGCTTGAGCCACAAAGTTCCAGAGGTACCTCTGGGTTGCTGGGAGGAGCAGCAGTAACTTAATGCTGGTGTCTGGGGTGCAGAGGAGAGAGGGCCCCACTCTGAGCTCACAGAGTGCTGGAGGTTCAGGCTGTGGAACACCGGAACACAGATGTTCCCCAGGAGCCTAGATGCCCACTCAAACCTTCTTAGGCACTTTTGAATCTTCTTTTTTTTTTTTCTTTTTGAGACGGAGTCTCGCTCTGTCAACCAGGCTGGAGTGCAGTGGCGCTATCTCGGATCACTGCAAGCTCCGCCTCCCAGGTTCACGCCATTCTCCTGCCTCTGCCTCCCGAGTAGATGGGACTACAGGCGCTCACCACCACGCCCGGCTATTTTTTGTATTTTTAGTAGACACAGAGTTTCACCGTGTTAGCCAGGATGGTCTCGATCTCCTGACCTCGTGATCCGCCCGCCTCGGCCTCCCAAAGTGCTGGGATTACAGGCGTGAGCCACCGCGCCCAGCCGGCACTTTTGAATCTTTACAGGTCCCACCATCTTGGGTGAGGCAAAGTACAGTTTACCTTCATTATTCACAGTAGTTATGTTCTATAAAGCTGGCTGGAGGCCAAGGGCAGTGGCTCACGCCTATAATAGCAGTACTTTGGAAGGCTGAAGTGGAAGGATCATTTGAGGCCGGGAATTTGAAAGCAGCCTGGGCAACATATTGAGACCGCATCTACACAAAAGAAAATTTGTTTTAATTGGGCAGGCATAGTGGCCCATGCCAGTAGTCACAGCTGCTCAGGAAGCTGAAGCAGGAGGATCTCTTGAGCCCAGGAGTTCAAGGTTACCGTGAGCTATGATCACACCACTGCACTCTAGCCTGGGCAACAGAACAAGACTGTCTCTAAAAAAAACAAAAGCTCAACCAAGAGCGTCTCTGATATTTAAATAACGATTGTAGAGAACTTTATAGTTCTTAACACATTTGCATGCATGTGTGTGTGTGTGTGTACACATATATGGCTAAATTAACAGCAGATCCTCAAGACTAACCACAGTAAACAAATTGCCATGATGCCTTTTCCATGAGAACTGCTTTGTACACCCTGGCAATCCATCAGAACAGAAGCCAAAGCCCCAGTGTGCCCTTTTGTACTCTGTACTCCAGCTCACCTGCTGCTTCCCAGCTCACCTGTTTTCCCAAAGTTACAGACAGAGGACAGACAACATTGTTAAACTCTAGAGTGATTCCCATGGGCAGGGCAGGGCAGCGGGAGTGAGTAGGAGGGTGTTTTCTTCAAGTTGAAGGAGAGGAAAGAAAAAATATCCAGCTGTAGCAATCAGATTGTCGGCACCAAAGACAGAGTGACTCAGGGCAGGTCCTTGGCAAGCAGGCACTGAGCCAGGCTGGGCCCACACCCTGGAGAATGAGAATAGCATTCTGTGATCAAAGTGGGAAGGAATGCATCCATTCCGGAAACCAGGTGAGGCAGGGTTGTCATTAAGACAATCTGGGCAGAGCTGTGATTACAGAGGGAGCAAGCTGACGGGATGAAAACGGAAATCCACAGCGCCTGCTCCCTGCTGAGCAGCCCAGCTTGCCCATGCTGCCCTTTGGTCCAGCTAATGTCTCTGGGCAGTGATAAGGCCTTAAGTATCTGTGGATAAAGCACCTGATAGTTAACTAAAAATAATAATAATTTCAAAGTTTTGTTGAGTGAGCTTTAGTATTATATGAACTATCAGTCCTCATTCTTTTTCTCATTAATTAGGATGGATGTTCTAACAAGAGAAATTTTATATAACTAAAGAAGACACTTTTTTTTTTTTTTGAGATGGAGCCTATGTCACCCAGGCTGGAGGGCAATGGCGCGATCTTGGCTCACTGCAACCTCTGCCTCCCGGGTTCAAGCGATTCTCCTGGCTCAGCCTCCCAAGTAGCTGGGACTACAGGCATGCGCCACCACACCTAGCTAATTTTTTTTATTTTTTATTTTTTATTTTTTGAGACCGAGTCTCGCTCTGTCGCCCAGGCTAGAGTGCAGTGGCGCGATCTCGGCTCACTGCAAGCTCCGCCTCCCGGGTTCACGCCATTCTCCTGCCTCAGCCTCCCGAGTAGCTGGGACTACAGGCGCCTGCCACCACACCCAGCTAATTTTTTTGTATTTTTAGTAGAGATGGGTTTCACCGTGTTAGCCAGGATGGTCTCCATCTCCTGACCTCGTGATCCGCCCGCCTCGGCCTCCCAAAGTGGTGGGATTACAGGCGTGAGCCACCGTGCCCGGACTAATTTTTGTATTTTTAATAGAGACGGGGTTTCACCATGTTGGCCAGGCTGGTGTCAAACTCCTGACCTCAAATGATCCGACCACCTCGGCCTCCCAAAGTGCTGGGATTACAGCTGTGAGCAAGAAGACACATTTATTAAAGAAAACTTAGAAACCCCTGTAAACATTCAGAAGAAAATTATAGTCATTTCTAATCCAATCACTCCTATGTGATGACCCTTAACAGTTGTGCTGTGATTCTTCAGATTTTCTTCTAGGCATGTATATATAACATTTGTTTCTTATTTTAAAAATAAATCATGATGCATAAACTATTTTGTTACTTGAGTTTTTTCACTCAATCAAATGTAACATACTTCTTTCTTACCAAAAAAAATTCTCCTACAGTGTGGTTCTTTGTGTCTGTGGGGTACTTCATTGCACGGTCCTTTTGTTAGTTATTTAATCTGTTTCCTGTTCTTACACGTTTAGTTGCTTCCAAACGTGGAATATTATAAATGCTGTACTATACATCCTAGTTCACATATCTTTCCAAACATGTCTGCTTATCTCCCTCCTTCAAGATGAATTGTTGGGTCAAGGAGTTTTCATGTATTTGTGGCTTATGATATTCACTGCTAAATGACCTTGCTCTACAGGCTAGTCGTACCATTTACATCACCACCGTGTAAACGGTCCTTTTTCCTCTCATCCTCGCCTGCAAAAGGTTTTGCCCTGCTAGCCAACGAGTTGAACTGTGTGATAGGAAGAACCGTGATTTGTTTTCTTTTTGATTTCTTAAATGTTTAGTGAAACTGAATATGATTTCATACATGCATTAGTTTCCTCAGGCTGCTCTAACAAAGTGTGACAAGCTGCGTGGCCTAAAACAACAGATATTGATGGTCTCACCTCTGAAGATGGTAGGGAAGGATCTGCTCCCGCCTCTCTCCTGGCTGCAGGTAGCCTCAGCTGTCCCTTGGCTTGCAGGGCTGTCTTCTCTCTGTGCCTCTTCACGTGTCTTCCCTCTGTGCCTGTCTGCCTCTGTCCAAATGTCCCCACTCTATAAGGACACCCAGTCACAATGGATTAGAGACCACTCTATGACCTCAGTTTAACTAGAATATAAATTAATCCAAGTGTACAGGCCCTATTTCCAAATAAGATCACAGTCTGAAGTACTAGGGGTTGGGACTTCAACATATCTTTTTAGGAGGACAAAGCCTTCTCCAACGATATGCTTATTAGCCATTCCTATTTCTTTTTCCTTTGGTGAATTGCCCACTTCTCTTTTTTTTTTTTTTTTCTTTGAGACTGAGTCTTGCTCTGTCACCAGGCTGGAGTGCAGTGGCTCGATCTCTGTTCACTGCAACCCTGCAACCTCCACCTTCAGGTTCAAGCAATTCTCCTGCCTTGGCCTCTCAAGTAGCTGGGACTTCAGGCTCATGCCAGCACGCCCAGCTAATTTTTTTTTTTTTTTTTTTTTTTGTATTTTTAGTAGAGACGGGGTTTCACCATGTTAGCCAGGATGGTCTTGATCTCTTGACCTGGTGATCCGCCCGCCTCAGCCTCCCAAAGTGCTGGGATTACAGGTGTGAGCCACCTTGCCCGGCTAAATTGCCCACTTTTCTATTGAGTTTTTTGCCTTTTTCTTTAATTGGTAGAAACACTTTGTTATCATTCTTTTATCAGACACATATGTTACAAATGTTTTCCCAGTTTGTGAAGAACAAGGGTTTTTTAATTTTTGCATATCCATATTTTTCTGTTTTATTTCTCTCCTTTATGTCCTACTTAGAATCATCCTGCCTCAAGATTATAAGAACAGTTTTGCCTGTGTTTCCCCTAGCACTTTTTTGTTATGTTTCTAAATTTCAAATCTGGAGTTTATTTTGACATGAGACTTAGATCACTTTTTCCCCAAATGGCCAGCCAGTTGTTCTAATATGTTGATTGAGTGACTCCTCTTTTTCCTTGGTGATTTGAAGCCATCTTTATCTTTTATTAAATCCCTATATATATATTTGAATCTATTGTGAGCTCGTTATTCATTTGTAAATATTTTTCTCTATGTCTATTGCCATACTATACTTTATAATACATTTTAATATTTAAGGTAGATATTCTTTATCATATTCAAGGAAAACTTTCCATCCTTAATTTATTAGGTAATTTCGCCAAAACACATTTGTATCAAATGCCTTCTTACCATATCTGTAGATAATGACGTCATTTTTCTCATTTATTTATTCAACAAATATGTCTTGAACACCAACTATGTACCAGGCCCTACGCTGAGTACTAAATACAACAGTGAGCAAAATAGACATGGTCCCTGCCTTCATGATGCTTATTGCAATCTAGTGGAGGACACAGATGTTAGTCAAATAATCCCATAAAAAAGGTAAAAGTACGGCCGGGCGTGGTGGCTCACGCCTGTAATCCCAGCACTTTGGGAGGCCAAGGCGGGTAGATCACCTGAGGTCAGGAGTTCAAGACCAGCCTGACAACATGGAGAAACCCCGTCTTTACTAAAAATATAAAATCAGCCGGGCGTGGTGGCTCACACCTGTAATCCCAGCAGTTTGGGCAGCCAAGGCAGGCAGATCACTAAGTCAAGAGATCGAGACCATCCTGGCCAACATGGTGAAACCCTGTCTCTACTAAAAATACAAAAATTAGCTGGGCATGGTGGTGTGCGCCTGTAGTCCCAGCTACTCAGGAGTCTGAGGCAGGAGAATTGCTTGAACCCAGGAGGCAGAGGTTACAGTGAGCCGAGATCATAACACTGCAATCCAGCCTGGCGACAGAGCAAGACTCCATCTAAAATATATATATATATATATATATATATATATATATAAATCAGCTGGGCATGGTGGTGCATGCCTGTAATCCCAGCTACTCGAGAGGCTGAGGCAGAAGAATCGCTTGAACCCAGGAGGCAGAGGTTGCAGTGAGCCGAGATCGCACCATTGCACTCCAGCCCGGGCAACAAAAGGGAAACTCCATCTCAAAAAAATAAATAAATAAAAAATAAAAGTACACCACAACTGGTGCTGGGAAGAAAAGGATTACAATACTTAATCTGTGGTCCATGCACCAGCAGCCTGGGCTCCACCTGGGAGCTTGTTAGAAACACAGCATCTCCAGACCTTCTGAACCAGAATCTGCACCTTACCAGGATGCTTCATAGTTTGAGTAGCCCAGGAGTAGGGAGGATTTGACTGATTACAGAGGTAAGGAAAGGTTCCTGAAGGAAGCAATGAGTAAACTTAGATCTGAAAGGAGAGAAGGCACTAAGTCAAAAAGGGAGGGAAGAGTTGCAGGTGGAGGAAAGAGCGTATGCAAAGCCTTTGTGGTCCTGGAAGCCTGGTGCACATGAAGAAATAAAAAGGCCAGTACACATGTTTAACACAGAGTGCCAGGCAGAGCATGGGGGAGGTAAGCTCAGAGAGAGAGGAGGGCCCAACATACAGGGCTTTGTGTACTAAGGCATTTTGCCTTTATATAGGAAATTATGTTGTGTTTTCAACATGGACATCACTGAATTATATGTGAACAATGAAGTGATTGCTTTTGCTGCCTTTGACCTGTGATGAAATGAATAGTTTATACTGATATATCACTTTATATTGAACTATATCAGCATTCCTGGAATAAACCCTACCTGAGTGTGATGTTTATTCGTTGGATTTTATTTGGAAGTACATTATCATTTTGCATCCACATTCATTCGTTAAATCAGTCTACATGTTTTGTATGCTTGTCAGGAGGATGTTTTTGGGTTTTTTGGTTTTTTCCAGACAGACTCTCATTCTGTCACCCAGGCTGGAGTGCAGTGGTGCAACCTTGGCTTACTGCAACCTCCACCTCCCAGGTTCAAGCGATTCTCCTGCCTCAACCTCCTGAGTAGCTGAGATTACAGGTGTGCACTACCGCACTGGCTAATTTTGGTATATTTTGTAGAGATGGGGTTTTGTCACATTGCCCAGGCTGGTCTTGAACTCCTGAGCTCAAGCAATCCTCCTGCCTCGGCCTCCCAAAGTGCTGGGATTACAGGCATGAGCCACCTTGCCCAGCCTGTTGAGGGGATGTTTTGTTCTCTTTATGTTTCATGCTAGCTTTGTAAAATAAAATTCTCTACTATCCAATAATTTATGTATCACAGGAATTCTTTTCTTTTTTTTCTTTTTTTGAGACAGAGTCTCACTCTTGTCACCCAGTCTGGAGTGCAATGGCGCAATATCGGCTCACTGAAACCTTCACCTCCCAGGTTCAAGTGATTCTCCTGCCTCAGCCTCCTGAGTAGCTAGGGTTACAGGTGCCTGCCACCACGTCTGGCCAATTTTTGTACTTTTAGTAGAGATGGGGTTTTGCCATGTTGGCCAGGCCGGTCTCGAACTCCTGACCTCAAGTGATCCGCCTGCGTTGGCCTCCCAAAGTGCTGGGATTACAGGCATGAGCCACCACTCCCAGCCAGGAATTCTTTCCTTTGAAGACTTGAAAAAACTCTGTATGCAAGAAGCGTCTTGAACATATATTGATAATTTATATTATCTTTAAAAAGAATCCCATGAGATCTAAAAACATATTAGCATAGCATTATGCATTACATTATTCTAATAATTTTTGTTCACCGTGGTATCTATGTTCCTTTTCTGATTACTCATTTTGTCTTTATTATATTAGGTGTGGTATCCATTTTATAGTTGCTTTGTTTTTAATAACAATGTGTTGAATCTGCTTATCTACTTATGGTAGTGGCTATATTTTGCAAAGCTATCTGTTAATCCTCTCCCCAACCCCTTCTCCATTAAGAGACCCTGCAGCCTTGACCTCAGAAGTACACACATGTGAGGTTGAGCCAATCAGGTACCAATCAGGTACCTCATAATTGCTGTTTCCAGGGTATATATGGGACCCAAGCCAGGCCAATCAGAGGTCTTTCCCGGGCTTTTTCTTGTAAAAGCTAGCAGTAAGAGCTGCCTTCTTTTCCTCTCTGGGTACAAGCTGAAAGGATGTGACCCTCAAGCTGCCAAGATCCACGTTCTTCTCCATGTGAAGGATAAAACAGAGCCAACACACAGAGAAATGCAGAAATGAAAAACCAAAAACCACTCCAACTGCCCTGGAGTCCTTTGGTTTGGCCAAAGCCAGCTCTGTCTCTGCTCTGTCTTTGATTTGATGAGTTACACCAATAAATTCCTTTATTAATTTCACTTAGTCAGTGTTGGATTTATTAAACCTGGGACTCATCTTTTTCCTTGAAGGCCTAAAAGAACTTCAGCATGTTTTTATCTTGGATTCATTTATCCTGATACTGATGCTGCAATCCCTGATTTCTTTGGGTCTGCCTTTGCAAGGCTGCCCTCTTATTTGTAGCCTTTCTGGGTTGCTTTTGTTTTGAGTGTCTCTTAACAATGGCTGTACTTTGCTGCACACACACCAGCGGGATATGTTCCTGGTGAAAAGTGCATGTGTACTTCCAGAGCCTTAGCTGGTTTGTGTCCTACCTGAGTAGCCAATTAAACTCACCCTGCCCCACACACATGACTCTGTAACACAAGGCTCTCTGGCCGTCTACCACCTCTGGTATTTTCATCATCATAGCACTCAGGGTTTCCATGCCCTGACTCAACTTCCTTCTGTTTCTGTCTCAAGCTTTTCCACCATGCCCACCAGAATTAGTTTTGAGTGTAATAAATGCCCCCATACTGCCAACCTTTCTACTAAGGTTTCCTTCACCTCCTTGTCTTAACTGAAACCTAGATTTTCCCATAAGATCCCCACTTCTAAAACATTAAGTACTATGGAAACCACTACCACATTTCATTTCAAAGTGTTCTTTCCTTTTTATTTCATCTTCCTTCCTCTTTATGTACTCCATTAGGCAGATCCATCTTCATTTCTATTATCTCATTATCTTTTTTTTCCATTTCCTAGAAACTATGTTTTCTTGACTTTAAAGAACAAGGCAAGCCTCCTCACACCTGTGATCCCACCACTTTGGGAGGCCAAGATGGGTGGATCACCCAAAGTCAGGAGTTCAAGACCAGCCTGGCCAACGTGGCAAAACCCCATCTCTACTGAAAATAACAAAAATTAGCCAGGCATGGTGGCACACACCTATAATCCCAGCTACTTGGGAGGTTGAGGCCAGAGAATCGCTTAAACCTGGAAGGTGGAGGTTGCAGTGAGCAGAGATGGTGCCACTGCTCTCCAGCCTGGGTGACAGAACAAGACTCTGTCTCAAAAAAAAAAAAAAAGAAAAAAAGAAAAAAGAACAATGCAATGCAAGCCTGGACAACGAGGTGAGACCCTGTCTCTACAAAAAAATTAAAAATTAGCTGAGCATAGTGGTATGTGTCTGTAGTCCTAGCTACTAGGGAGGCTGTGCCTGGAGGATCACTTGAGCCCAGGAGTTTAAGGTTATCGTGAGCTTTTTTTTTTTTTTTTAAGAGACAGGGTCTCACTCTGTTGCCCAGGCTTCAGTGCAGTGGCACAATCATAGCTCACTGCAGCCTCAAGCTCCTGGGCTCAAGTGATCCTTCTGCCTCAACCTCCCAAAGTGCTGAGGATTACAGAGATGAGCCACTGAACCCAGCCTACAGTGAGCTATGATCACCTAGTGGCTCTTTAGCCCTTCTTAACATCCATAACAAATCTCACAACCTCCACTGTGTCTGCTGCCACAGTCAAGATGTTACGCAAGCAGCCCTCAGCCACCCGCCACCTCTTGCCTTCCTCTCTACCTCCCTCATCCAGCCGGATTACATCAGCTAACAACTCTTGGATCTGTGAAGAACTTTGCTGACACTCTAAACTGCTCCTCAAAAACTACTAAGAGATGGGGCATGGTGGCTCACGCCTGTAATCCCAGCACTTTGCAGGCTGAGGCAGGCAGATCACTTGAGGACGGGAGTTCGAGACCAGCCTAGCCAACATGGTGAAACCTCGTCTCTACTAAAAATACAAAAATTGGCCAGGCGCGGTGGCTCACACCTGTAATCCCAGCACTTCGGGAGGCCGAGGCGGGCAGATCACGAGGTCAGGAGATCGAGACCATCCTGACCACAGTGAAACCCCATCTCTACTAAAAATACAAAAAAGTAGGTGGGCGTGGTGGCGGGCGCCTGTAGTCCCAGCTACTCAGGAGGCTGAGGCAGGAGAATGGCGTGAACCCGGGAGGCAGAGCTTGCACTGAGCCGAGACTGCGCCACGGCACTCCAGCCTGGGCGACAGAGCAAGACCCCATCTCAAAAAACAAAACAAAACAAAAAATTAGCCGGACATGGTGGCAGTTGCCTGTAATCCCTGCTACTAGGGAGGCTGAGGCATGAGAATCACTTGAACCCGGGAGGTGGAGGTTGCAGTGAGCCTAGATCGTGCCACTGCACTCCAGCCTGGGTGACAGAGTGTGCCCTGTCTCAAAAAAAAAAAAAAAAAGTTACTAAGAGCTTGCTGCTTTGTTACTGCCCCCTGAGTCCCCACTGCCCTTGAATCCCACTGGCCTACAAGGGACACTTGTCAAGAAGCAGGAAGGCATGGTGGTTACAGGTATGGCCTCTGGAGCCAGACAGCCTGGGTTTGAATCCTGGCTTTACTACTTGCAAACACATGACCTTGTGTAAGGTGCTTAACTTTTCTGTTTCCTCATCTGTAAAATGCAGACAATAATAATAATACCATAGGATTAGAATGAGGATTTGAAGACATATTTCCAAAGCACCTAGAATAATGCCCGGCACATCGTAAGCCAGACGTTTGTAAATAAATAAATGAGACTCTGTGTACCAACGGAGCTATTTCCCCTATGTCCAGCATTGATCATGACATCCCCAGTCTTCTCCATTCATTTTCCTTTTAATTTTTTATTTTGAAATATTTTCGAGCACACAGGAAAGTAAACACAGAGACTAATACAGCCAATGCCTATGTGCTTATCAGGCAGACTAATTTTTAAAACATTTGTGTAGCAGAGAGAGAAATATGTGTATTTGTGTGTACATGTGTATTATTCTAAGATATAGAGACAGAGTTCTGCCTGAGGAGAAATGAGTTCTTTTACTTAACTTGAATATAAAAGTGAAGCTTCTAGGACTTGGGCTGGACAGGTGAAAGGAAAACACACAAAGAAGCCTGGGAGACTGGATCCAGAAAGGAAGATACGATAAGGGTGGAGGAAAGAAAGGCCAAACCTCATAGTGAGTAGAATGTTCTTCTCCACAGAAGCAGGAATCGCTGAGGCCTTTCTGAACCACACAATCCTATGTTCAAGTTAAAGCTGTTTGCTGTGCCGTGATGCTGTATGACTTCTCTTGTTGCCTCAAACTTTCCATCAACAACCGCCACTCACACTCGCTCCATTGAGTGTGCGGTACTGAGAGGGCATGAAGCAACCAGGGAAGTACCTAGTGTAGGTTGACAAGGTCCAAAAATGGAATAGCACATATGGGAGATGAGATGCCACCCTGCAACCGGCAGCAGCCCGCCGGGAAACCAACCCCTTCATCCACAATAAACAAGCTAGGAGACCAGACCACTACAAATCAGACTTGCAGCAAGCCTGCCTGCTGTCTCTAAGTGACAATCCAGGATGCAGCTTCCCTCATTTTTGTCCCCACATCCAATTTATTTAATTTTTTTTATTTATTATTTTTTAGATGGAGTCTCACTCTGTTGGCCAGGCTGGAGTGCAGTGGCACGATCCTGGCTCACTGCAACCACCGCCTCCCAGGTTCAAGTGATTCTCCTGCCTCAGCCACCCTAACAGCTGAGAATACAGGTGCCTGCCACCACACCTGGCTAGTTTTTGCATTTTTAGTAGAGACAGGTTTTCACCATGTTGGCCAGTCTGGTCTCAAACTCCTGGACTCAAGCGATCCACCGGCCTCGGCCTCCCAAAGTGCTGGGATTACAGGCATAAGCCACCATGCCCAGCCCCCACATCCAATTTAAAACAAACCAGAGAAAGCCAAATATGCCCCTCTAATGAATCACAGAGGATTAATCACATTCGCTTTGCCTTCATGGCCCCTACAGCTTCTCCATGCTAACTGCCTTGCACCAGCACACCTGATGCCTTCGCTTTCTTCCACTGTGAAGCTTTCCCACTCTGCTTGCCTTTGAGCCTTCACTAAACACAAGTGATGGTGGCTGACTCCCTTGCTATAGCAAGTTCACAATAAATAGCCTTTGCTTTTCTCATTCAGCTGGTCTTTGTTTATCTCCACTGTCCCAAGGGATGACCACTCCAAATGCTGTCCACCTCTCCAGGTTGCAGAGGCCCAGGGTGCCCTCAGGAGATGGCAGCTTCAGTGGAGTAGTGATGGGGACAACCAGGTATGAAGAATCTGGTGCTAAAATATACTTGAGGTTCATGTACATACAACCTGCCTGCACTCCAGGCAACTCTCTGGATACCAACTCGCTGGTTCCTTCCTTTTCCCACACCTCCCACCCACAGCTCACCCCTTTGCAGTTGTCCAGATACAGTATCTTGTTTCCTTCATATCTGCCCGTTGAATACATTTAAGCATTATTCTTCCTGTGCACAAAGGATGCAGAAACCCAACCTTGGCCATGCCCTGTGTCTCGCTCCTCTGAAGAACACACAGTTCTGCCCTGGGTGGCTTGAGGTCTTCCCATGTAGGGGTTCCACTAGCACAGGTAGACCAAGGGCATTTACTCCTCCCCTCTGCCCTTCCATTAAGAATGTGCTCAGCTGGCCCTCTGCTAAGCTACTCTCCATGCTTCTAACAGGGAAGAGAGAAAATCCCACTAATGTTCTTTCTGGTCATGGCCAGCATAACCTCAAGTCAGGAGAAGAAATGCGTCCCACCTCCTTTGGTGTTCGGTGGAGCCACCCCGCATGTCTGCTAAAAGTTCAGCTGGAACCTGATGGTCTTGCCTCTCTTGGGTTCCTGACCAGGAGCCACAAGCCATGGCTAGAGGTCCCAAGCCCAGCGGTGCTGCTGGTATAATGACAGCCCCTCCCTCATTCCCTGAAGCATCTCTCACCCCCTCTCAGCACAGACCACCTAAATGGCAACTATCCCTTCTCAGCCCACCATCACCCTCCCCACACCCCACTAAGTTACATTGACTTAATGACAAAAATAAGTGTACAGATCTTGTCTTTAAAGGTTGAAGGCAAGCTGGGGCTGGTAGCTCACGCCTGTAATCCCAGCACTTTGGTGGGGCCAAAGTGGAAGGATTGCTTGAGCTCAGGATTTCGAGATCAGCCTAGGCAACACAGTAAGACCCCGTCTCTACAGAAAGTAAAATATTAGCTGGGCATGGTGGAGCACAACTGTAGTCCCAGCTACTCAGGAGGCCGAGGTGAAAGGATCACTTGAGCTGTGATCCTGCCACTGCCCTCCAGCCTAAGTAAGACCCTGCCAAAAAAAAGAAGAAAAGTTGACGGCAACCTTTTCATTTCTCCAGGATTAAATGACCCACAGTGGTCCTGGGCCAGATGCTTGTCCTGTCAGAACTGAGATGTCTGACTTTATGTAAAGTGCCACTGATGTTCTAATATCACCAAGAGAACCTAGGTCCAGCCATTAGTATCACTCTTCTTGTTGAGCTTGGATATATTTTGAATATCTGTGTGGCATGGTGTTTACACGGGTAAAGTATTCAGTATTTACAGTAGATGAAATAAGTCTTTGGCAACTCTGGATCCCCTCTTAAAACTTCTGTCCTAATCCCTTGTCCTTTCAGGAGCCTAGTGTCCACATTCAGCCCTCTAACTGTCCACAACTTTGACAATATCTCCTCAAATCCCACCACCCCACCCAGTCTTGACAATGCCTCAGAATGGATCTCTCCTCTCTTCTTACTCTTCACAATTTGGAGCCAGGGATGTTGCCTGATTAAGAAGGGACTCTTGGCCTCTTTGGTAAGGAACCAGAGAGATGGTTTAATCCAGTCAAGCTCATTTTACAGATAAAGAAATTGAATCCCAGAGAAAGGAATACCTAAGACCAACCCAGATCCAAAGATTTCAACCAAAGTTCCCTGAATGGACTTTTACTGTAAGGAGAAGCAGAGCCCTTTGGGTTGAGTGTGTGTGACAGGCCTGAGGTCGCCTCCTGTGGTGGAACAGAGCCCAGCCCCACAAGAGACCTTCCTTAAGGGGCTCCTCAGCACTTCTGCTCCCAAGGCCTGGACCACAACAGGTTCCACAAATTATTATTATTATCACCATTGTTGTTTTGCTATAACAACCACAGTAATAAGAGGGGGAGAAAGGGAAATACAGGATTCCCAGGAACAATAATAATTATTTACCTCATACCTCAGAGACACTAACTGCCTGCCACCACACCCCTGAGAGTTAATAGTATTGTCACAATTTATAAAAGGGAGAAGGAAGGAAGAGAAAAGGGAGTGGCTCTATCACTGAGTTAGCTGAAGGACAAGTTGGCAGAAGTAGGCTAAGAACACAGAAGAGTTTGATGCTCAGCCCAAGATTGAATCTGTAAACCAATGTTTTCAACAGAAACTAGATCTGCAACCTACACAGTACTTCAGCTCAGGACTTTCCAAACTCTTTTGATCATTATCCACAGTAGGAAATATAATTTCACATTTACACCCATGCATATAGCACTTTAAGAGGCAAAAGTGGGCAGATTGCTTGAGCCCAGGAGTTCGAGACCAACCTGGGTAACAGAGCAAGACCTTGTCTCTAAAAAAAATACGAAACTTAGCTGGGCATGATGGCGCATGCCTGTGGTCCCACTTACTTGAGAGGCTGAGGTGGGAGGTTGCAGTAAGACATGATTATGCCACTGCACTCTAGCCTTGGCAACAGAGCAAGACCCTATCTCAAAAAAAAAAAAAAAGATATAATAGCTATGAACCAACCCACACATTCTCACATTCTCACCCTACCCTCACCACCCTGGAAAAATGGGACAGTTCAACTCAATAAGTATTTACCAGGTACATCTGACCAGCACTCCACCAGATGCTGTGAGAAATGCTCTGATTGACAATACAATTTTAGACTTGCAAGGTCAGCAGGAGCAGGGGAGAAGATGTGAGTTTTGGAGTCCATCAGATCTCATTTGAGTCCCTTTTCCACTGTGTCTTAGCAGTGTGACCTTAAACAATGTACTTGACCTCTAAAAGCACTTTCTCCTGACAATGTTGAATTTTACCTGAGCCCAGTGATTCTGAAGAACAGTGAAGGTTAAGAAATCCCTAACTCTTTGTGTTCTGGAAAACGCTTACTGCAAGGACTCATACTTCTCCATATGACTTAGAGAAAACTCACACATGCCTCCCTTGTTTACTTATGACCAGGCCAGACACAGATTCCAAATTCCCATTCTTTACCTTATAAATAATTACCTGAATTGCTTGCTCCCATTGATCAATAGGAACAAGATGTCGGTTAACCAAACTTTGGGTTGAGAGCTTTCCTCCTCTCTCCAGACCTCTGAGGTTTGGCCACCCTGAGCCTGAGCCACACAACACTCTTGAGAGTTTCCTCCCAGAAAATATGCTAGCCTCACAGTAAAACATTCTCTGATCTACTATCTCATTGGTCACATCATCCTCTTCTCCTGCTTCCCAACACCTGGTTCTTTTCTAGCTTTTTTACTCCTTTAAAAAAACTCTTGGCCAGGCACAGTGGCTCACATTTGTAATCCCAGTACTTTGGGAGGCTGAGGAGGGCAGATCACTTGAGGTCAGGAGGTCACCTGAGGTCTCAGCCAGCCTGGCCAACGTGGCAAAACCCCATCTCTACTAAAAATAAAAAATGTAGATGGGTGTGGTGGCACATGCCTGTAATCCCAGCTACTCGGGAGGCTGAGATATGAGAATCACTTGAACCCGGGAGGCAGAGGTTGCAGTGAGCAGAGATCACACTGCTGCACTCCAACCTGGGTGACAAAGTAAGACTCTGTCTCAAAAAAAAAAAAAAAAAAAAGAAAAAGAAAAAACTCTTCTTCTCTTCTTTGTCTAACTCTCAAGATCTTTGCAGATGTTAAGGTCACAAGGTGCTCCCTACTGACGTAGTCCCTTCCCCCACTGCATTAGTCCCCTCCACTATTACAATATTCTCTCTCCCCCATTGCAACAGTCCCCTACCCCAGTGCGATACTCCCCTCCTCCTACTCAATTGTACCCTCCCCCTAATGCAACAGTCCTTCTCCCTCTATTGCAATAGTCCCCTCCCCTATTGCAGCAATCTTCTTTTTTTAAAGATGGGATCCGGCTGTGTTGTCCAAGCTGAACTAGAATTCCTGAGCTCAAGTGATCCTCCTGCTTCCCAAATAGCCCTCCAGAGTAGCTGACACTGCAGTTGTACAGCACCATGTCCGGCTGCAACAATCCTTTTGAATTAAAGTGTCTTCTTACTAAGTCTGAATGTGGTTTTGACACTTGTCTGCCAAATAAGGATAACAGTAACATCTGCAAAGCTGTGGAGAGGGTTAGAAGTCCTATCTTTATGTGCCTGGTATATCTGGTGCACAATGGGTGCTCAGTAAACAGAAGCTACTGTTATTATCTTTGAAGGTAAAATCCCAGATGAGAAAAGTGAGGCCCCACTCAGCCCCCACTTGCACTCAGCTCCATGGCCTACCTTGCAACAAGGAGTGTTATCATGAAGTGGCTTCAAGAGAATGTGACCCAGAGGATGGGGAGGACAGAGGCCGGGGTATTCAAGCCATGTCATTTCAGAGGTGTATAGAAAACACACTGGGATGACAGTCAGAGATATCCATGTGTATTCTAATTTCTGACACCCACTGTGATGACATGAAACCCATGTCTTTCTAGGGCCCAGTTTCATGAGAAGGTTGATTTGGATCAAGAATTCTCAAACTCAGGCCTGGCACGGTGGCTTACGCCTATAATCTTTTTAACAGTGGAGGGTGTCCAGGTTCTTGGCATCTTGAACAAAGAATTGGACAAAGCACACAAACAAAACAAGGAAGGAATGAAGGGATTTATTGAAAATAAAAGTACACTCCACAGTGTAGGAGCAGACCTGAGCATAGGGACCCAAGGGTCCTGTTACAGAGTTTTCGTGAGTTTAAATACCCTCTACTTGGGGTACACCCGATGTAAATGAAGAGGATGAAGTAGTTACAAAGTCATTTACTTGGTGTATGCCCTATGTAGAGAATATTTCTTCTCATAGCTGAAGTCTGAATCAGCCTTATGTTCCCAGCCTCCAGACCCTATTTTCCTGCCTCAATCTCAGCATTTTGGGAGATCAAGGCAAGAGGATCTCTTGAGGCCAGGAGCCTAAGGCCAACATGGGCAGCATAGGAAGACCTTGTTTCTACTAAAAATAAATATTTTCTTTTTTTTTTTTTTTTTTTTTTTGAGGCAGAGTCTCACTCTGTCACCCAGGCTGGAGTGCAGTGGCACGATCTCAGCTCACTGCAACCTCCGCCGCCCGGGTTCAAGCGATTCTCCTGCCTCAGCCTCCCAAGTAGCTGGGATTATAGGTACCTGCCACTACGCCCAGCTAATTTTTTGTAATTTTAGTAGAGATGAGGTTTCACCATGTTGGCTAGGCTGGTCTCAAACTCCTAACCTCGTGATTCACTTGCCTCAGCCTCCCAAAGTGCTGGGATGACAGGCGTGAGCCACCGCACCCAGCCAAAATAAGTATTTTCTATTTTATTTATTTATTTTGAGATGGAGTCTCACTCTGTCACCCAGGCTGGAGTACAACGGCGCCATCATGGCTCACTGCAACCTCCACCTCCCAGGTTCAAGCAATTCTCCTGCCTCGGCCTCCCAAGTAGCTAGGATTACAGGCATGTGCCACCATGCCCGGTTAATTTTTTTTTTTTTCCCCAGAGATGGAGTCTTGCTCTGTCGCCCAGGCTGGAGTGCAGTGGGGAGATCTCGGCTCACTGAAACTTCTGCCTCTCAGGTTTTTTAAGCAATTATCTTGCCTCATCCACCAGAGTAGCTGGGATTACAAGCATGTGACACCACACCCAGCTAATTTTTGTATTTTTAGTAGAGATGGGGTTTTACCATGTTGTCCAGGCTGGTCTCGAACTCCTGACCTCCTGATCCGCCCGCCTTGGCCTCCCAAAGTGCTGGGATTACAGGCATGAGCCACTGCGCCCGGCCCTAATTTGTTTGTATTTTTAGTAGAGACGGAGTCTTATCATGTTGGTCAGTCTGGTCTCAAACTCTTGACCTCGTGATCTGCCCTCCACGGCCTCCCAAAGTGCTGGGATTACAGGCATGAGCCACCACACCCGGCAAATTATTTTTTTAAAGAGTTTTCAAGCTGTGCCCCACATCACTCTGGGGCTCCATAGAGATGCATTCAGGATTCCACAAGATATCTGAGAATTTTAATTTTTTAAATGTTTTAAAATTCTTTTTTATCTGCCCTTCAAAAAACACCTGCTCAAGTATATTATATGCCATGTTTTAGCCTAGAAGACATCATTGGGGAATTTTCTTGTGCTACCAGGTTAACTTGCTTTAGTCCAGGCTTAGACTGAAGCTTCTCCTGCCACTTCTGCTTCGTAAAGAGTATCTCAAGACTGAAAAAGGAAGTGGTGGGAAGAGGCCACCATATGCAACTACTTACCTGGTAAAATCAAGGTTGTCTTGATTCTGTGTAAATAAAGCAAAACTGAGATGTACAATGGAAGCTGAGACTGTCCTAGAATTGGTATGTCATTCATAACCCAATTTCAATTTTTTTGTGTTGATTGAAACAACCTTGTTGTTCTAGAGCTATACTGGCCAATAGAACTTTCTGCAATTATGGAAATGCTATGTATCTACATATAGTAGCCACATGCCACATATCCTAGTGAGCATTTAAAATGTGGCTAGTGTAACTAAGCTGAATTCTTTAATTTTGTTATATTAAAATTTTTATTTTATTTTATTTTATTTTTTGAGATGGAGTCTCACTCTGTCACCCAGGCTGGAGTGCAATAGCACGATCTCAGCTCACTGCAACCTCCGCCTCCCGGATTCAAGCGATTCTTCTGCCTCAGCCTCCCGAGTAGCTGGGACCACAGGCGTGTGCACCACGCCTGGCCAATTTTTGTATTTTTAAGAGACAGGGTTTCACCATATTGGCCAGGCTGGTCTCAAACTCCTGACTTCATGATCCGCCCACCTCGGCCTCCCAAAATGCTGGGATTACATGCGTGAGCCATTGTGCCCGGCCCCCTTTTTTTTTTTTTTTTTTTTGAAATGGAGTCTTGCTCTGTCACCCAGGCTGGAGTGCAGTGGTGCAATCTCAGTTCACTACAACCTCCACCTCCTGGTTTCCAACAATTCTCCTGCCTCAGCCTCCTGAATAGCTGGGTTTACAGGCAAGCACCACCATACCTGCCTAATTTTTGTATTTTCAGTAGAGACAGGGTTTCACCATGTTGGCCAGGCTGGTCTCGAACTCCTGACCTCAAGTGATCCACCCACCTCAGCCTCCCAAAGTGCTGGGATTACAGTCATAAGCCATTGCACCCAGCCAAAAACTTTTTATATTTAAAATACAGATGGGGTCTCACTATGTTGCCCAGGCTGGTCTTAAACTCCCAAGCTCAATGGATCCTCTCACTTCAGCCTCCCAAAGCGCTACGATTATAGGCATGAGCCGCCATGTCTGCCTTTACTTTTCATTTAAATTTAAGTAACAACATGTAGTTAAGTGGCTGCCATCCTGGATGGCACAGTAGATAGTCTATCTACAATAAATCTTTGAAATGTAAACTTACAAAATTAATCGAGATAGTTAAAATAACATCATCCATTCTTTATATTGGAGTTGCCCCCCCAACCCCTCTGCACACCTAGTTGTTAAGTTTGAAAACTAACCAAAAAGAGGGGAAAGAATTTCTAATGTGAGCTCCCTTCTGCTGGGTAGCAAGGACATAATCTCAATCAATTTGAGAGTTCATCCTCGAGTTTCATCTGGTGGGAAGGTGGGTAGGATCATCTGTCCACACTGGCATCTGTGAGGGAAAAGGTCTCCATTCTTGGTTCACACCAGCTGCCTCAGAGTCATTCCTCTTCCCAATGACAATATTTCTCCAGATCCAGTTCTCTCAGGTACTTCTGGGCTCTGGGCTCCTCTCAGCTGCCTGGAGATCATTAGGCAGTTCCCATTCTGGGCCATGGGAAAGAGATACCGTCAGGCTGTCCGTGGCCCTATCTAGTTTCATGCTACTCTAGGGCAGCTCCTACTCACACTGAGCCTTGGAGAACCCTGTGGACTGCCTAAGGCCCTCTCTGCCTAGACCCCCTGCAGACATCACCCCTCTGGAGCCTGGCCAACTCCCTGGGACTCTACAAAGGCAGACATGACCCCTTTGCTCCTGGATTGCTCAGCCTACCTGGGGGATTCTATCAACCGCCATCCCAGGACTTACTCAAATCTCTACACTTGAATTATAATTTCAGTCCTTTTCTGCTTAACATTGGTCACTGGCTGTATGCAATGTTTCCTCTTATTTGTATATGACATGGAAACATTTGTAATATAATTGTAAAAGCAAGATACCAAAGTATATATATTTTATTACTACAATTTTCATTTATTTATTTTTTGAGACGGAGTCTTGCCCTGTCACCAGGCTGGAGTGCAGTGGTGCGATCTTGGCTCACTGCAACCTCCGCCTCCCGGGTTCAAGCAATTCCCCTGCCTTAACCTCCCGAGTAGCTGGGACTACAAGCGCGTGCCACCACGCCCGGCTAATTTTCTGTATTTTACTAGAGATGGGGTTTCACCACGTTGGCCAGGATGGTCTCAATCTCCCGACCTCATGATCCGCCCGCCTCGGCCTCCCAAAGTGCTGGGATTACAGGCGTGAGCCACCACGCCTGGCCTACAACAATGTTTTTAAAAACCCATATAGAAAAAAAAAGACTGGAAAGAAATAAATCAAGACCATATAGATGAAAGTGTGACCCTGGAGATGACAGAACACCTAGAAAAAAGAGACATGGAGCTGCCATATGAGCTCTAGAATGCTTACCTTCAGATGATATCTGAGAAACAAACATTTGTCATGTTTCAACAAAAGAAAGAAATCAAAAATTTAACAGTGGTATTTGAAGTAGTAGGGTAGCCAGGTATGGTGGCACATGCCTATAATCCCAGCTACTAGGGAAGCTGAGGCAGGAGAATTGCTTGAACCCAGGAGGTGGAGGATGCAGTGAGCCAAGATCGCCCCACTGCACTACAGCCAGGACAACAGAGTGAGGCTCCGTATAAAAAAATCAATCAATCAATCAATCAAAGTACATAAATAAATAAAGTTGTAGGGTAGTATTATGGATTTTTACATTTTTATCTATTCATTGTTGCTTTTCTCTGGTTTCCAAATATTTCTAGTAATCTGATTACCTGTATAATGAAATTAATGAGGGGTTAGTATGTGCCAGACACTAGGCAAAGAATTGGTGAAAAGCAATGACCAAAACAGACGTGGTCCCTCTCCTCATAGAGTTTTTAATCTAGCAAAGAAAATAAACATGGGACAAGTAATGAACAATAGTGATGGGCATCATCACAGACAAGTACAGAGGGCCAAGAAAATGACAGAGGAGCATACAGAGTGGGAAGGAGGCAATCAGAGAAGTCTTTTTAAAAAAAAACATTATGCCGGCCAGGCATGGTGGCTCACACCTATAATCCCAGCACTTTGGGAGGCAGAGGCGGACAGATCACAAGGTTAGGAGTTAGAGACCAACCTGACCAACATAGTGAAACCCCATCTCTACTAAAAATACAAAAATTAGCTGAGCATGGTGGTGCACACCTGTAGTCCCAGCTACTCAGGAGGCTGAGGCAGGAGAAGTGCTTAAACCAGGGAGGCAGAGGTTGCGGTGAGATGAGATCACCCACTGCACTCCAGCCTGGGCAACAGAGTGAGACTCCGTCTCAAAAAAAAAAAAAATTATGCCATAAGAAAAGTCTTTTTGATTCCATATAGCAAGTTCCCACTAATCAAAAGATTGAAATTATAGAGTGCGTTTACTGACCATAATGCAATCACGCCTGCAATTGATAAAAAGTTACCTAAAAATACCCATATGTTTAGAAATTAAGAAATATATTTTGGTCTGGCACAATAGCTCGCGCCTGTAATTCCAGCACTTTGGGAGGCCAAGGTGGGAGGATCACGTGAGCCCAGGAAGAGACCAGCCAGGACAACATGGCAAGACCCCATCTCTACCAAAAGAAATACAAAAATTAGCCAACTGTGGTGGCATGTGCCTGTAGTCCCAACTACTTGGGAGGCTGGGGTGGGAGGATCGCTTGAGCCCAGGAGGCAGAGGCTGCAGTGAGCTGAGATTGTGCCAGTACACCCCAGCCTGGGAGAAAAGCCAGACCCTATCTCAAAAAATATATATGTGTGTGTGTGTATATATGTGTGTGTGTGTGTCTGTATGTGTGTGTGTGTATTTCAAAAAATCCCATGGGTCAAATAATTCATATGGAAATTAGAAAACATTTGAACTAAAAAACTACATGTCAAAACTTGTGGCAGTGTAAAGCTAAAGCAGTACTAAAAGGAACACTTATAACCATAAAATGCAAATAACTAGAAGAAAGGCTGAATAAAAATAAATAAATATAATTTTTGTTTGTTTGTTTGTGTTTTGTTTTTTTGAGATGGAGCCTTGCTCTATCGCCCAGGCTGGAGTGCAGTGGCACAAGCTCAGCTCGCTGAAACCTCCGTCTCCCAGGTTCAAGCAATTCGCCTGCCTCAGCCTCCCAAGTAGCTGGGATTACAGGCACCAGCCACCACATCTGGCTAATTTTTGTATTTTAGTAGAGATGGGGTTTCACCATATTAGCCAGGTTGGTCTCGAACTCCTGACCTCAGGTGATCTACCCACCTCAGCCTCCCAAAGTGCTGGGATTAACAGGCATGAGCCACCGCGCCCAGCCAGCTTTTTTTTTTGTTTTTTTGTTTTGTTTTGTTTTTGAGACAGAGTCTCACTCTGTCACCCAGGCTGGAGTGCAATGGCGCGATCTCGGCTCACTGCAACCTCCACCTCCCGGGTTCAAGCAATTCTCCTGCCTCAGCCTCTCAAGTAGCTGGGATTACAGGCGCCCGCCACCATGCCCAGCTAATTTTTGTATTTTTAGTAGAGACAGGGTTTCGCCTCCTTGGCCAGGCTAGTCTCAAACTCCTAAACTCAGGTAATCCGCCCACCTCGGCCTCCCAAAGTGCTAAGATTACAGGCATGAGCCATCGCACCCGGCCAAATATAATTTTTTAACATCTCAAGAATACTTTCAAATCTTAGAGTTAAGAAACTTGTATTTTGTTTTTTGAGACAGGGTCTCACTTTGTCACCCAGGCTGGAGTGCTGGGGCACAATCATAGCTCACTGGAGCCTCCATCTCCTGGGCTCAAGCAATCTTCCCACCTCAGCCTCCTGAGTAGCTGAGACGACAGATATGCACCACCATGCCCGGCTAAATTTTTTATTTTTTGTTCAGACAGGATCTCCCTATATTGCCCAGGTTGGTCTCAAATTCCTGGCCTCAAGTGATCCTCCCTCCTCGGCCTCCCAAAGTGCTAGGATTGCAGCTATGAGCCATCCTGCCCAGCCAGAATGATTTTTTTTAAAAAAACACAAAAAGAATTAACCATAAAGGGAAAAAATATAAATAGGATTACATTTAAATTAAGGACTTCTTTCATTAATACTGTTTAAAAACTGAAACGTCCACAAAGTAGGAGAAAATATTGTAACACATATAACTGACAAAGAGCCATTACAAGACTATATAAATATATTCGACAGGCCGGGCTCAGTGGTGCAAGCCTGTAATCCCAGCACTTTGGGAGGCCGAGGCGGGTGGATCACAAGGTCAGGAGTTCAAGACCAGCCTGGCCAACATGGTGAAACCCAGTCTCTACTAAAAATACAAAAAATTAGCCAGGCAGGTGGTGCGTGCCTGTGATCCCAGCTACTCGGGAGGCTGGGGCAGAGAGTTGCTTGAACCCGGGAGGTGGAGGTTGCAGTGAGCCAAGATCTCGCCACTGCACTCCAGACTGGGCAACAGAGCGAGACTCTATCTCAAAAAAATTTAATTTAATTTAATTTAATTTAATTTAAAAAAAAAATATATATATATATATATATATATACACAGTCAACAAGCCAGCAAGTAAATGACCACTCCATAAGAAGATTTTTTTTTTTTTTGAGATGGAATTTTGCTCTGTCACCCAGGCTGGAGTGCAGTGGAGCAATCTCAGCTCACTGCAACCTCTGCCTCCCAGGTTTAAGCGATTCTCCTGCCTCAGCCTCCTGAGTAGTTGGGATTACAGTCCCATGCCACCGTGCCTGGCTAATTTTTGTATTTTTAGTAGAGACGGGGTTACACCATGTTGGTCAGGCCAGTCTCAAAATCCTGGCTTCAAGTGATCCATCTGCCTCGGCCTCCCAGAGTTCTGGGATTATAGGCATGAGCCACCACCTAGCCACAATAGGAAGATTTAAACAGGATCAACTGTAGTAGGCCAGGCAATAATAATAATAATAGTGGCTTTAGGGTGATAACAGTAAGCTAGAGAGATGTGAATAGATTCAAGAGATATTTACATAATTGGATATTTATAATCATAAAACATTTGCTTTATTTTATATTTAATAATATACATATATAAAATAATTATTCAACCAAAGTTTTGAATATATATGTATTTTTTTGGCAGAGAGCTCTGAAGCAATTGTGTGGGGGGGTGTGTGTGTGTGTACATATATATATATTTTTTTTTTTTTTTTAACCTGAGACAAGGTCTCTATCGCACAGGCTGGAGTGCAGTGGCGTGATCTCGGTTCACTGCAATCTCTGCCTCTCGGGTTCAAGTGATTCTCATGTCTCAGCCTCCTGAGTACCTGGTATTACAGGCATTCGCCACCACGCCCAGCTAATTTTTGTATTCTTAGTAGAGGCGGGGTTTCGCCATGTTGGCCAGGCTGGTCTCGAACTCCTGGCCTCAAGTGATCCACCCGCCTTGGCCTCCCAAAGTGCTGGGAATACAGGCGTGAGTCATCATGCCCGGCCAGCAATTGAATATATTTTTAAAAAGTACTTGTGACTTCCAAAAAGTTGACTGAATTCTTCATTCTGCAGAAGACAGTGTTCTTTGCTTGTGAGTTTTCTTTTCCCCAGCAAGGCATCATAATCGACCAAGGAGTGTCATGACTAGAGAGTGATAACACTTCAATCTCATTCTTGTTGGCATTAATTTAAAAACAAGTGATAACATGAGAATTGCTTTCTAAATTATCAGTTTGATTGATAAAGTTTCATCTGGAAGTCTTTAACCAAGGTTGGCCATAGCTGGGTTTCTGGCTACCACCCATTGCTAACCTGAGGGTTAGAAAAGGTAGCAGCATCTAGCAAAATTCACTTCCTCCCCTCATCCCGGGCCTCCTGGCCCCCATTTATCTCACCCACATCCTGAACATGAGAAAATAGGAAAGAGCCCTAGTCCCTCTTGTGCCACCATTTGTCTCTGGCACTGCGGGGCCTGCGTTCACAGGATGGCATGCAGGAGAGGTGGGAAAGGAATCAAGATGACAGAACTGACTACCCAGGATCCTGAAAGAGCTGTGACTTGTTTCCAGTGAGTCAGCCCAGGCTTGAGCCAGATAATCCTGAAACCTCATTTCCCACCCTCAAAGCACCAGGGTAATAGCACAGACAGGTATCTGAGCTTCCTAACATGAGATTAAACTCTGCTTCCACCATGACTCCCATGGGATTTCCACAGCCAACTAACTGGAAGTCAGGAATCATTTTTCTTTTTTTTTTTTCTGGGTTTTTTTTTTTCTGTTTTTTTGTTTTTTTGTTTTTTTTTTTTGAGGGAGAGTCTCGCTCTGTCACCCATGCTGGAGTGCAGTGGCACCATCTCAGCTCACTGCAACCTCCACCTCCTGAGTGCAAGTGATTCTCCCACCTCAGCCTCTGAGTAGCTGTGATTGCAGGTGTGTGCCGCTATGCCCAGCTAATGTTTTTATATTTTTAGTAGAGATGGGGGTTTCACCACGTTGGCCAGGCTGGTCTCAAGCTCCCAGCCCCAAGTGATCTGCCCGCCTCGGCCTCCCAATGTGCTGGAATTACAGATGTGAGCCACCGCCCCAGCCAAGAATCATTTTTCGTAAATACTAAAAGTACCATTCAATTTGTGTATAGAAACTAACAAGGCTGCATTACTCAAGGACTTTTAAACTCATTTTAGCATGATTAACTTGGCTCCTACAAGTAGGAGCTGTTGGAGAGGTTCTGTCTGGCATTTTAGGAATAAGAGGGAGAAGTGAGTAGTTTCAGATTGTGCTATAAAGAAGAAAGAAAGAACTTTCTGTGGAATATGGGACATAAGTATAAACATTAAGTCAGTCACAATAGAGATTTCCTACTTTTTCTAGTCTGGAGTTAGCCCATCAGGATTGGAATTCCAGCTCCACCAGTTTATAAATGTGCAATCTCTGGCAAGTGGTTTCATCTCCCTAGGCCTCAGTTTTCTGCCCTGAGTGAGAGAAGAGAGGAGAGTAAAGTACCCACCTCATAGGGTGCTTTGTCATGGAAATTAAATGAGATCATCCCGTGGAAGGCACTTAAAACACTGTCTGGCACATTATTTAATAGTTGGTGTCGCCCTGATTCCAGCTGCTGCTGGGAGCCACTTGTAGTCGAGCTTGAAGTGAACAGGCTGTCTCAAGACCCTGAACTGTGATTTATGGGGAGATACTCACACTTGTACTCACTAGAGAGGGCCTGGCGCTGGAAGAACACAGCTTGTTTGGTTGCTTGCTTGCTTGCTTGCTTGCTTGCTTGCTTGCTTTTATTTTTTATTTTATTTTTTTTGAGACAGAGTCTCACTTTGTTGCCCAAGCTGGAGTGCAGTGACGTGATCTCAGCTCGCTGCAACCTCTACCTCCCGGATTCAAGCGATTCTCCTGTCTCAGCCTCCCAAAGTAGCCAAGACTACAAGTGCCTGCCACCACGCCCGGCTAATTTTTGTGCTTTTAGTAGAGATGGGGTTTCACCATGTTGGCCAGGCTGGTCTCAAACTCCTGAACTCCTGACCTCAGGTGATCCACCTGCCTCAGCTCCCCAAAGTGCTGGGATTACAGGCGTGAGCCACCGTGCCCAATCAAAACATAGCTTTCTTCAAAGAAGCTTGGGTTGAGTCAAACTCCCCACTGCCCTAAACTAGAGTTCTCCTGCCATCTAGCGCCCAATGGCAGAAAATCGTTAAATTCTAATGACGGCCCCATTCCTTTGTTCCTCCCCCACCCCCACCTTGCACCCCCATGCCTGACATGGCTTTCTCTTCAGCCCCATATGCCAAGCAAACACCCACTCATTTCAATTCAATTCAAAGCCTCAATTCAAGCCTTATCTCCTCTAAGAAAACTTTCCTGAGGAACCCGGATGGCTCACTCCCTCCTTGCCAGCCTGGACCACCTCCTCCAGCACACCTCTTCCAACACTGCCCCTTCCCCTTCTCCACGGAGTGTGTTTCCCTTCTCCACTGACACTCCCCTCTGGACCCGCACCCCTAGCTAATGTATTCGATAAATGAATGCACACGACAGTACTGTTATGGGTGGGACAGTGAGGCATTCCAAAAAAAAAACTGCTCCAGGAATTCAGAAACAGTTTCATGTTGCTGGCATGTAAGTGCTTCATTGATGACTGCTTCATTGATGATCTGTAGCCCCTGCTTTGTCTCTGAAGTTCATTTTTTATGAGAAATAAATGCATAAACATACATCTACCCTGTGATCCAACAATCCCATTTCTAGATATTTACCCAAAAGAAAAGAAAATCTGTGTCTACAAAAGACTTGGTCCAGGACTGGGTGGTGGTGCATACCCGTAATCCCTTTGATAGGCAGAGGCAGGAGGATAGCTTGAGGCCTGGAGTTTGAGACCAGCCTGGACAACATAGCAAGATCCCATCTCCAAAAGAAAAAAAAAATGGTCAAGGATGTTCATAGTCACCACTTTATTCATAATAGCTACTAAGTGGAAAAGACCCAAACACCCATCAGCAGGGGAATGGATCAACAAATGTGGGCCGGGACCGATGCCTCATGCCTGCAATCTCAGCACTTTGGGAGGCCGAGGTGTGTGGATCCCTTGAGCTCAGGAGTTGGAGACCAGCTTGGCTAACATGGTGAAACCCCGTGTCTACAAAAAAAAAAAAAAAATTAGCCAGACGTGGTGGCACATGCCTGTAATCCCAGCTACTCGGGAGGCTGAGGCATGAGAATCACTTGAACCAGGGAGGTGGAGGCTGCATGAGCCGAGACCACATCACTGCACTCCAGCCTGGGTGACAGAGTAAGACCCTGTCTCAAAAAACAACAACGACAAATGTGGTATGTCCATTCAATAGAATACTACTCAGCAGCAAAAAAGAACCAACAACACAGCTCAATCTCGAAAGCATTAGGCTAAGTATTTTTCAGCAATATGCTAAAAAAGCCAGACAGAAAAGGAGTACTTATTGGATAATAACATACATATGACATTCTAGAAAGAGAAAATGTAATCTACAGTGACAGAAGCAGACCAGTTAGGGCAGGGGTGGGGAGATGGGGTAGAAAGGACGGAGATTGGGACAAGACAGAGTTTGGGTTTTTATTGTTGTTTAGAGACAGAGTCTCACTCTGTCGTCCAGGCTGGAGTGCAATGGCGTGATTTCGGCTCACTGCAACCTCTCCCTCCCGGGTTCAAGCAATTCTCCTGCCTCAGCCTCCCAAATAGCTGGGACTACAGGCATGTGCCACCACACCCGGCTAATTTTTGTATTTTTAGTAGGGACGGGGTTTCGCCAGGTTGGCCAGGCTGGTCTCAAATTCCTGAGCTCAGGTCATCCACCTGCCCACGGCCTCCCAAAGTGCTGGGATTACAGGCGTAAGCCACTGCGCCCGGCGGACAGGGTTTGTTAAAACTCATCAAGCAGCACGCCTAAGATCTGGGCATTTATCTGTATGTAAATTACATTAAATAATTTTAAAGAATGTAAAGGGAGGGACATGGGAGGGAGGAGGAAAGGCAGGCAGCAGCCGCAGGGCAGGTGTCCCAGTGACCGGTTCCCAAGCGGGAGGAGGGCGGTGGGCTCGCGGACACCAGCATGCAGTGGCTCCGTTCGGCCGCCAGGGGGGGGCGTGGGCCCTGGAAGGGCAGGCGGCGAAGGGCGGCGAAGGGCGGTGAGGGGGCGGGCCCGTACGCCGATTCCATATGGGCGCCGGCGCGGAGCGCCGCGGGGCAGCGCGGGGTCGCCATGGCTGAGCTGCAGCAGCTCCGGGTGCAGGAGGCGGTGGAGTCCATGGTGAAGAGTCTGGAAAGAGAGAACATCCGGAAGATGCAGGTAGCGGGGCTGGGGCCGAACCAGGACCCCCTTCTCAGCGGGTGGGTTCCGGGCCCTTCCCTCAGCCACCACGCGACGCCTTGCACTGCAGCCGCGTCCCCGCAGACCGGGTGTGGGCGGCCCTGGGGTCGCCGGGGCGGCCTCGGACAGGACTTCGGAAGCTTTGGCGGATCGGATGAAATCCGTGTGCCCTTGCCGTGCGCGAGGCTGTTTTCCGCCCCTTCCAGCCCGGGGCAGGAGCGTCCTCGGCGGCAGGTGGGAAGCCCCTGGTGGCAGGCGCTCGCCCCACCACCTTCCCCTCTTACGCGGCCCCTTCCGCAGGTGAGCGGCCCGAGGCCCAGCAGAGGCGCTGCCAACGTGAAAGACCAGAAAGGCGAGGACTTCCGGCCTCCCCGTTGGCCAGGTCATGCCTGCTTCTCTTGCGCCCAACCTCGCTTCACACAGCGCGGGTTTCTACACTGTTCTTCTCTGAGCCCCGCAATGCCTCTGTGTGTTTCGGTCCTGCTTCTCTCACGGAGTATGCGTTTCCCAGATAGTGCCCCTTGAGTCATTGATTAGTGGGTCGGCTGCCCTCTGGTGGAATTTGTATTGCTAGGTTGCTGACCTCTGAACCCCATGGAAGAGGCTCCTGGTTTTCAGAATTTGGCTTCGTCAGACCACCCTACCCTCACCCACTCGGGCGAACCTCTGTTCACCCAACCATCGGTGCAACAGGTGCCGATGAGCTAGCAGCAAGGACACCATGAAACACTACACTAGACATTGAGGATAATTTTCCCCAGTGGTGGTTTTAAGGTCCTGGTGTCTATTCTCAGGGAAGGTGAAAGCAGAAGGTGGAGAGAGAGGTGCAAATATCCACGTGGCCTTCTAACTCCTGTAGTGCTCCATAGTCATCTCTGTCCCCAGAGACTTTCCTACCTAACCTCTCTGCCCTTTCTCCCCAGGGTCTCATGTTCCGGTGCAGCGCCAGCTGTTGTGAGGACAGCCAGGCCTCCATGAAGCAGGTGCACCAGTGCATCGAGCGCTGCCATGTGCCTCTGGCTCAAGCCCAGGCTTTGGTCACCAGTGAGCTGGAGAAGTTCCAGGTGAGAAATATCCTAGACAGAGCACTGTAGTCCTTGATACAGACTTTTGCAGGAGATGACAAGCATTTGTTCAAAACTCTTGGCTTTAGTGTCTTGGTTCTGTTAACAGTTGTGATACTGATGGCCAACCAGTTTTCACAGGGTTTGAAATTTTGGAAAAAGTCTTGGCGGTCGAGTGCCTTAAGTTGAACATCATTTCCTATAGAAATGATGTAGGCCGAGCGCGGAGGCTCATGCCTGTAATCCCAGCACTTTAGGAGGCTGAGGCAGGTGGATCATGAGAGCAGGAGATCAAGACCATCCTGGCCAACATGGTGAAACCCCGTCTCTACTAAAATACAAAAAATTAGCCAGGCGTGGTGGCACGCACCTGTAGTCCCAGATACTAGGGAGGCTGAGGCAGGGGAATCTCTTGAACCCAGGAGGTGTAGTTGCAGTGAGCCAAGATCGCGCCACTGCACTTCAGCCTGGCAACAGAGCGAGACTCTGTCTCAAAAAAAAAGAAATGATGTAATGGGGAGTTACCAGGGGAGTTCATGACCAAGAGCCCTTATGCAGTTTGTTGGGGAGGAGGCGTTTGTTTGTTCCTTTTGACATAACCACCAAATACAGAATGTATACTGTGTAGTATAAAGTTTCCTGGCTGGACGCGTAGCTCGCGCCTGTAATCCCAACATTTTGGGAGGCCGAGGCGGGTGGATCACGAGGTCAGGAGTTTGAGACCGTCCTGGCCAACATGGTGAAACCCCATCTCTACTAAAAATACAGAAATTATCTGGGCATGGTGGCAGGTGCCTGTAATCCCAGCTACTCGGGAGGCTGAGGCAGGAGAATCGCTTGAAACTGGAAGGCGCAGGTTGCAGTGAGCCAAGATCGCATGCCATTGCGCTCCAGCCTGGACAACAAGAGCGAAACTCCGTCTCAAAAAAAAATAAATAATGTTCAGGCACGGTGGCTCACACCTGTAATCCCAGCACTTTGGGAGGCCGAGGCAGGCAGATCACGAGGTCAGGAGATCCAGACCATCCTGGCTAACACAGTGAAACCCCGTCTCTACTAAAAATACAAAAAATTGGCCAGGTGTGGTGGTGGGCGCCTGTAGTCCCAGCTACTCGGGAAGCTGAGGCAGGAGAATGGCGTGAATCCGGGAGGCAGAGCTTGCAGTGAGCCAAGATCACGTCACTGCACTCCAGCCTGGGTGACAGAGCGAGACTCCGTCTCAAAAAATAAATAAAATAAAAATAAAAAAATAAAGTTTCCTAAAACATATATTATTTTTAAAACAGCAGAATCTCTAGAAAGGTAGGATAGCCTTGAAAAGGTACAGATTCGAGGAACACCCTTCCACCATTTTGTGGACTTATACACCCACCCAGGACTGCCCCTAGTTGCTATACCCAGAGGGCAGCCCCTCTGTCACTAAGGAGCAGTCATTTATGTGAATCATTATTACTGTTGACTCACTGATTCCTGGCTCACAAGCCCCTCTGAGGTTACCAAAAGAGCTCCCTGTTTCCCTCTCTGGAGCAAAGAGTATCCACAACTTCATTTTACTCCCATCTTCTAAGTATATTTTTCTGGAACCTGGGGGAAGCAAGCCTACTTCCAAGCCAGCCTTTCATAGCCTGAGGTTCCATCCACATGGAAACTTATACATAATGTGACACATCTTTACATTCTTCCATTCAAAACGCTTCAAAGTTACTGCCATTATGAAGGAATAACTTCTTCAAGATCATGGAACCCCAAAGGGTTTCTTTGTGTTCTTTTTGACAGCTAATTTTATAGATGGGGTCTTTGAAAATGTGATTCTTGGATTGCTCTATAACTTCCCTTGCATTATCTTTTTAGTCCTCTCCAAGTGGACTTTCACTCTTCACTGGGCCAGAACCACTCCTGCCACTCACCCCCATGGGGCCGAATCCGGGGGTCATTTCTCAGTCTTCATCTTACTCTGTCTGCATCATTGACACAGTGGATCCCTCTCCTTCTTAAAGCACTTTATTCAGTTGGTCACCAGGACATCTCACTCTCCTGGTTTTCTGCCTCCTTCCTTGGCCTCCTTTGCTCTCTCTTCCCCACTCCAGCCTCTGAGCATCAGAGTGCCTGGGGCTGTCCTTGTTTCTTTTCTCCTTTCTGCCTACTTCTCTAGTCTCCTCTAGCCTCATAGCTGTAAATATAATCTCTATGCTGACAGCTCCTGCATTTATATCTGTAGGCCAGAGCTCACTGATAAACTCCACATTCACATATCCAACTAATTCCTCCACATCTCCATTTACTTTGTTTGTCTCTTTCCTCTCACTGGAATGTAAGTTCTGTAAGGGTAAGAACTTTGTTTTACTCATTGCTATATTCCCTAACATTAAAAGAGTGCCTGGCACATAGTAGATGCTCAATAAATATTTGTTGAATTGAATGTTTTCCTGTAGAAAGAACAGACTTTAAAGAATCAGTGGCTCACACCTATAATCCCAGCACTTTGGGAGGCTGACGCGGGTGGATCACCTGAGGTTGGGAGTTTGAGACCAGCCTGACCAACATGGAGAAACCCCGTCTCTACTAAAAATACAAAAAAAGTTAGCCAGGCATGGTGGCGCATGCCTGTAATCCTAGCTACTCAGGAGGCTGAGGCAGGAGAATCACTTGAACCCGGGAGGTGGAGGTTGTGGTGAGCCGAGATTGTGCCATTGCACTCCAGCTTAGGCAACAAGAGCGAAACTCCGTCTCAAAAAAAAAAAAAGAATCAAGATGTTTGTACATCTTACAATAACCTCTAGGGACCTCTCATTTCCTGGAAGAATGTTCTGCCCAATTTATTCTGTCATTCACCTGCTTTCTAGTAATAGTTTGAGCCCTCCTGGTGCCATCTTCTGTTTGAGTCAAGACAGTCTTGGAAAGCCAAACACAGTGGCTCACACCTCTAATCCCAACACTTTGGGAAGCCAAGGAGGGAGGATCACTTGAGCCCAGGAGTTCAAGACCAGCCTGGGCAACATAGGGAGATCCCATCTCTACAAAAATAATTTTTAAGAAAGTATTAGCCAAGAGTGGTGGCGTGTGCCTGTGGTCCTAGCTACTTGAGAGCAGAGGTGGAAAGATAGCGTGAGCCTGGGACGTTGAGGCTGCAGTAAGCCATAATTGTGCCACTGCAGCGCAGCGCTCCAGCCTGGGCAACAGAGTGAGACTCTGCTCAAAAAAAAAAAAAAAAAAAAAAACTTGGCCAATCACACTACCATGTCCCTTTAATTGACCAAGATAATACATATTAAACCTGTAGCACAGGGCCTAACACATAATGAGCACGCAGTAAATGGAGGCCTTACTCTCAGCTTTTTCTACGTTCTTCCTTCTTGCCACAGGACCGCCTGGCCCGGTGCACCATGCATTGCAACGACAAAGCCAAAGATTCAATAGATGCTGGGAGTAAGGAGCTTCAGGTGAAGCAGCAGCTGGACAGTTGTGTGACCAAGTGTGTGGATGACCACATGCACCTCATCCCAACTATGACCAAGAAGATGAAGGAGGCTCTCTTATCAATTGGAAAATAAAAGTATTTGCCAGTGGCCATCAGGGCTGAGGGCAAGAATATATTTTTTATAAGGAATTGGGAATTTTAGTCTTTTAAGCAAAGTTTACGAATGAAGAAATGAAGGATGGCCACAAGCGTAAGGCATATGTCACTTGCCTCTGGACACTGGTTATTTTATGTTTCAGTCCCTAAAAAATGAAATGGAAAAAAGTGGTGCTAAATCGAGTCAGAGATATTACAGGAGAGTTTTAGAGCTTATTATTTCCTGTGGCCAGTGCTTGTCCTGGCAGTAAGGCTTTCCCCTGTAACAAGCCAGAGCCCTCCAAGGTACCAGACTCTTCTTACTACACAGGTACTAACAGGCTGGCAGGTTAGAGTTGGTGGAGTCTGAGGAGAGATATTTTCTCTTTGTTGCCAACATCCTGTTTACCAAAAGTGTCACCCCACCATCTTCCATAAGCTGTGAAACAAAATCAATGAGGTCACTAACTTAGAAGGGAAAGAAAGTTTTCTGGGTCTTTGTTTTCTTGATTTGGGGTAATTTATACAAGGGCATACAAGTTGATTTTAAGATGTGGAACTGGGAGGTAGACTAGTTTGGATAAGAACTTTGAAATGTTCCTTGTGGATCCCCATTTCTGGTCATCAAGATGTGGATGTACATTTCTTAAAATTATTACATGCTGCATCTTTCAGCCTGGAGACTGTGCAGAAACATGAGAGGTGATGACACACTAATTATGGGAAGCAGAATTACTGGCTGATGGCCCCTGAGGCTGTGTGTAACAAAATGACAGGACAATCTTGCAGTAACACTTTCCCCTTGAAGAGAAGGGGGTTTTGATTGTGATATATACTAGTATCTAGGAATGAACAGTAAAAGAGGAGCAGTTGGCTACTTGATTACAACAGAGTAAATGAAGTACTGGATTTGGGAAAACCTGGTTTTATTAGAACATATGGAATGAAAGCCTACACCTAGCATTGCCTACTTAGCCCCCTGAATTAACAGAGCCCAATTGAGACAAACCCCTGGCAACAGGAAATTCAAGGGAGAAAAAGTAAGCAACTTGGGCTAGGATGAGCTGACTCCCTTAGAGCAAAGGAGAGACAGCCCCCATTACCAAATACCATTTTTGCCTGGGGCTTGTGCAGCTGGCAGTGTTCCTGCCCCAGCATGGCACCTTATTGTTTTGATAGCAACTTCGTTGAATTTTCACCAACTTATTACTTGAAATTATAATATAGCCTGTCCGTTTGCTGTTTCCAGGCTGTGATATATTTTCCTAGTGGTTTGACTTTAAAAATAAATAAGGTTTAATTTTCTCCCCACTATTGAGTCTTCTTTCCTTATATCTGGGTGGTGAATATGTAACTTTCTCAGGATGCTTCTCCTTTTAACAGGTTAAATGAGTTAAAATGTCCAGAAGAGTGGAAATTAGTTGTTATGGTTCAGATGCAGAACTGGTTCACTGTAAATGGGAAAAACTTTGAGAGGAGACTAGGACATTGTGACTTGAAGTTCATTAATGTAGAAAAGAAACTGTCTATGAGGCTAAAAAGAGAAATTCATTATCTATGTCAGGTCTCTAGCTTCAACTAAACACTAATAGCAAGTGGTAGTAAAGGTACAAAGCTATGACCCTGCTAGAAAAAATTCAGTGTCTAGGATTTTGAGTACTAAGAGAGTGCAAAATATGTGATGAGTTTAAGTCTTTACTATCATTGATATTTATATAGAGCCATTCCAGAATATCAGGAATTAACTGAATTTTTGAGAACTATCCCCTATTTAAACACAAGGTATTCTATTTTGGTTTAGTCTTCTATAATTTTGGGGTAACAACTGGGAACAAGTCCGAGACCACTTTTTACACATCTTGACATGAAAAAAGAACACCTTATATTAGAAAATGTTTGTGTGCTGCACTTCACATTTTATATACAGGGGCAATAGCACATCAGTGAGTTCTGGAGGTAGTGTTTGAAAAATTTCAGAATTCCCAGGCATGCTGGCTAACCCCTGTAATCTCAGCACTTTGGGAGCCGGAGGCAGGCAGATCTCTTGAGGCCAGGAATTTGAGAACAGCCTGGGCAACAAAGCAAGACCTCGTCTCTACAAAAAAAAATTAGCTGGGTGCAGTGGCGTGCGCCTGTAGTCTCAACAACTCAGGAGGCTGAGGTGGAAGGATTGCTTGAGGCCAGGAGTTCGAGGTTGCAGTGAGCCATGATCACACCATGCTCCCCAGCCTAGGCGACAGAGCAAGAACTCATCTCAAAAAAAATTTTTTTTGCAAGACCCCTCAGTCAGAAATAGATTCAAATTCTTGGAGACAGACCCAGTCACCTTACTCTACAATGGTTCAGAGGCTGCTAATTTACATGTTACGGGAACCCTACTTGGTCTGACAGTATGCTGTAGGGTTACCTGCCAAAAAAATATAGAGGCCCAGCCGGGAGCGGGGGCTCACGCCTGTAATCCCAGCACTTTGGGAGGCCGAGGCCAGCGGATCACGAGGTCAGGAGATCAAGACCATCCTGGCTAACACAGTGAAATACGGTGTCTACTAAAAATACAAAAAATCAGCCCGGCGTGGTGGCGGGCACCTGTTGTCCCAGCTACTCGGGAGGCTGAGGCAGGAGAATGGCGTGAACCCGGGAGGCAGAGCTTGCAGTGAGCCGAGATCGCGCCACTGCACTCCAGCCTGGGCGACAGAGCAAGACTCCGTCTCAAAAAAATATACATATATAGAGAGAGGCCCATTCCTCCAGGGATCATTATCATTTGGTATATTGGTATATATGAAGAAAATAAGCGATACGATCCACAGACATGCGGGATTGGCCGGGTTTGCCCAGGAGCTAGAGACGGGACCGTTATCTCAATATCTCAATTTTATTTTTTAAATAGAGAAGGGGTCTCGCTATGTTGCACAGGCTGGTCTCGAACTCCTGGGCTCAAGAGATCCAAAGTTCTGGGATTTACGGCGCCCGGCTTTTTTTATTTATTTATTTATTTTTATTTATTTTGGCTGTTCCATAGACAAGAGCAGGGATAACCGGCTGGGCGCGGTAGCTCACGCCTGTAATCCTAGCACTTTGGGAGGCCGAGGCGGGCGGATAACGAGGTCAGGAGATCGAGACCATCCTGGCTAACACGGCGAAACCCCGTCTCTACTAAAAAATACACAAAATTAGCCGGGCATGGTGGCGGGCGCCTGTAGTCCCAGCTATTCGGGTGGCTGAGGCAGGAGAATGGCGTGAGGCCGGGAGGCGGAGCTTGCAGTGAGCCGAGATCGCGCCACTGCACTCCAGCCTGGGCGACAGAGCTAGACTCCGTCTCAAAAAGAAAAGAAAAAGAGCAGGGATACCCACCGGTGGAATACCCGTTATCTCAATTTTGTACAAGGAAAACGGAATTCAGAAAGGTGCCTAGAGGACGCACCCCTCCGTCCTGGCCAATCGCTGAGGACATAACCGGAAGCTCAACGATGACCGAGGCGCTGAGATATCGCGAGGTGAAATGTAAAAACTGCCAACAATCCATTGGCTAACGAGGTCGATGACGCCAGACGCAAGACGCCGGGCCTACAGCGGGAGCGTGAGGAAAGCCGTGCGTTGCGTTCCAAGGCATCTGTGAGCCCGCGGAGTATACACCATGAGCAAAGCTCACCCTCCCGAGTTGAAAAAGTAAGTATGTGTGAGAGCCAAACCGAAGTGGTCAGTTATTTGCGTCCTGCGAGTCCCTTGGTTCCCTCTCCGTTAGCCGAATGTCTTGAGCCGCTTCACTTCATTTCTTCTTCCGGTCCGAGGTCGCCGGGATCCCGGCCAGGCTCCCGCGCATGAGACGTGAAGCCCGCGCAGAGCTCGCGCGTCGGTGTGGTTACAGCCGGCAGCCACGGCACCTCCTTCCGGCCGACTAGTCTCCAGGTCCCGCGGTCTGGCCCCTGGTCACCCGGCGCTGTCCCTCGTTCCTTGAAGATCTCCAGTGCTACCTTTTGTTGAACATCTCGAATAGTATCATGTTCTAGATAGACGGCTAGAGGGGGAAATTCTCTGAAGGAACTAAGGAGGGGCTGGAAGGGAAGGAAGTGTTTTTAAAACTACGTGAGGCATCAGAATCCGAAAGCCACTTTAGTCTTAGCAAATGTGTTTGTAGGTGTTTGAGCTTTTACTTAGAAACCTCATTCCTTTTTCTTGCCTTCTTTTACGTTAAGCTTGAATGTCATGTGTTATCTTGCTCTGATGTTGAAACTATATAAGAACATTCATTTTTCTTTTTTTTTAAGAACATTAATTTTTTCTAGTCAGAGAAGGCTAATTTTTTGAAGTTTTTTCTACACACCCAGTAAAGTCAAACAACTTTAAGTAGGAGAGCCTTACTTTAGGTAGGACTCAACGTAAAGCTTTGAATTCCTCAAATACTTTTTGAGTGGACTTAACAGGTTATGTGTTTCCTGACTACGTTTCTGTTTTGCTTATACTTCCTGATGCTGGAATTCTACATGTATTAGTTGGATTGCACAAAGGATGCAAAATTTTTACAGGGATCAGTTTTTTCTGGCGTAGCATGTGGTTGGCTTTGTGTATAGTTAGTTCATTTATTACCAGGCCCATGGAAGTCAGACAAAAGGTAAAGTTCCTATTTAATAATTTTGCGGCCGGGCACAGTGGCTCACGCCTGTAATCCCAGCACTTTGGGAGGCTGAGGCGGGAGGATCACCTGAGGTCAGGAGTTCGAGACCAGCCTGGCCAACATGGTGAAACCCCCGTCTCTACTAAAAATACAAAAAATTAGCCAGGCAGGTGGTGTGCGCCTGTAGTCTCAGCTATTCCGGAGGTTGAGGCAGGAGAATCGCTTGAACCCGGGAAGCGGAGGTTGCAGTGAGTCAAGATCGCGCCATTGCCCTCCAGCCTGGGTAACAAGACCGAAACTCTGTTTCAAAAAATAATAATATTTTTGCATTTAAAGGTCCATTTGTATCAAAGCCATCTTTTGTATGAAAACTACTTCTATGTATATTTTAGTTAGGTCTGTTAAGGAATTAATTATTAAAACATAAGCCCAACGCGGTGGCTCACGCCTGTAATCCCAGCACTTTGGGAGGCCGAGGCGGGCGGATCACGAGGTCAGGAGATGGAGATCATCATGGCTAAAACGGTGAAACCCCGTGTCTATAAAAATACAAAAAATTACGTGGGCTTGGTGGCGGGCGCTTGTAGTCCCAGCTACTCGGGAGGCTGAGGCAGGAGAATGGCGTGAACCCGGGAGGCGGAGCTTGCAGTGAGCCGAGATCGCGCCACTGCACTCCAGCCTGGGCAACAGAGCGAGACTCCGTCTCAAAAAAAAAAAAAAAAATAGAAGTTACTCAGAAATTATTGTGAAAATTACTCTTTTTATCTGAAAGTTATTTTTGGTGATGTAAGTATCCTCTGGATTCATCAGGGACTGGTGAAATGGTGATTTTTTTTTTTTTAACAAAAAGACCATTCTCTACTTGTAATCTAAGATTTTCTTTCTGATTCATAACATAGTTTTTGAAAATTTCAGAGAAGGAAGCTAGTTTTAATACCTTTCTCTTCCTCGTAGGTTTCATGAATTGTGAAATCCGGTCAGATCTGCCGCCAAAATGACTTAAAAATTTTTTCTTCCTCTGCTTTCTCACAGATAGCATCTTCTTTTACACCATTATGCCCTCCTTCTGGTGTAGCATAACTCAGGTGTTCTTAAATGGGGAGTAGGGAATCTGGTGCTACCGGCTTCTAGTGAGTAGACACCAGGGTGCTGCTAAACATCCTACTGCTTATTCGACTGCCCCCAACAATACAAAATTAACTGGTCCCAAATGTCAGTAGTATAGAAGTTGAGATACACTGGCTTAACTGAATTCTTCCTTCCACTTCTTAAAATTTGCTGCCACGGTAGTCTTGCCAGTGACTGCTTTAATAATTTATCACAGTATGCAAAATCGAGTCTGTACTTAACCCAGCATTCAAGCACCAAACCTTCTAGCTGCTAATACTCAGGTATTCCGTTCTCCAGTCACACTGAACTATTTGTGTTTGCTCTCACTTGCTGTGTGACTTTGAAAAATTGCTTTAGCTTTTCCAAGCCTAGTTCTCCATCTGTAAAAACGGTGGAAATGATAGACCATAATTGCAAAGTCGTTGTAAAGATTGTATAAGATCTTGTGTGTTATATTTGATACGTTTTATGTATCTTATTAAAATATAGTTTACTTCATATATGTGTGTGTGTGTGTGTGTGTGTGTGTGTGTGTGTGTGTGTGTGTTTTGAGATGGAGTTTCACTCTTATTGCCCAGGCTGGAGTGCAGTGGCGCGATCTTGGCTCACCGCAACCTGTGCCTCCCGGGTTCAAGCGATTCTCCTGCCTCAGCCTCCCGAGTAGCTGGGATTACAAGCATGCACCAACACACCCGACTAATTTTTTTTTTTTTTTTTTTTTTTTTTTTTTTTTTTTTTAGTAGAGACGGGTTTTCTCCATGTTGATCAGGCTGGTCTCGAACTCCCGACCTCAGGTGATCCGCCCGCCTTGGCCTCCCAAAGTGCTGGGATTACAAGCATGAGCCACCGCGCCCAGCCCATAAATATATTTTTACTTGTAAATGTATCTACTCCCTCCTTCAGTCATGCTCCTTGTTTTATATTTACATTTTCCCATGATAATCCTATACATTAAAATTGAATAAGTGCCCCACTTCGTGGCCCATATACTAAACATCTTTTTTTCATTTTTTTATATTTTAAAATTTGAATGAAATTTTTAAAATTGAATGAAATTTTATGTTTTCTGGCCTATATGGAAGAAATTAAAAACTGATTTGACTGCATGGCTTAATCTCGTATTCCACTAAAATGGAATTTTTTTTTAATTCATATCGTTTGAAGTTTCAAATGTGCATTTATTATTCTAAAATATACTTAAATGTTGAGGACTACCCTGAACATTTATGCTTGATGCTTTAATATTAAATAAAAGAACACTACTTATTTCAAATATAAAATACCTATTGAATTGGATATGATTTGATTACTGTTTGCTGTCTTTACAACTTAGTTTTGGAAATAACCAAACATAGGCAAGTCTTTGTTTTTCTCTTGTGACTATAAAATCCAGTCATTGAAAATTAGGTCAATGAGACCAGATGTGGTAGCTCATGCCTGTGTAATCCCAGCGGCACTTTGGGAGGCTGAGGGGGAGTATATTTTTCGAGGCCAGGAATTCAGGACCAGCCTGGGCAACATAATGAGACTCCCATCTCTTAAAAAAAAAAAAAAAAAGAAAGAAATTTAGGTCAATGAAACAACGTAGTATTGAACAATAAGAATGTAATTCACATTAGTATACTCTACTTAATGTAAATTAATATAGTCTAAATATGTTTCATTTTTATTGCCTTTCCTCTTCCCAAATTACTTTGCTTCCTAGAATGTCTAATTTAGGTAACCCTTTACGCCCCCACTCTTTTTTTCCCCTGAGACAGTTTCGCTCTATTGCCCAAGCTGGAGTGCAGTGGCGCAATCATGGCTCACTGCAGCCTCAACGTGGCAGGCTCCAGTGATTCTCCGACCTCAGCCTCCCAAGTAGCTGGAACCATAGGCATGTGCCACCACCCCCAGCTAATTTTTGTATTTTTGGTAGAGATGGGGTTTCACCATGTTGCCCAGGCTGGTCTCAACTCCTGAGCTCAAGCAGTCCACCCGCCTCAGCCCCCTAAAGTGCTGGGATTACAGGCGTGAGCTACCTCGCCCTACTCCCTCACTCTTTACAGCAATACATTATTTTTACTATTTTAGATTTCATTATTCCCATTGTATAAATTTTAGCAAATTATCTTAACTATACCTATTTACTTGTTTATGCTTAAATTTTTTTAATTGGTTATATAATCTTTACCCTTTTCCTTTTTCAGATTTATGGACAAGAAGTTATCATGTAAGTTTGTTGTTGTTTTGGGGTTTTTTTTAATTATTTAATTGCTTTTTACATGTGTCTTAGCAATGTTTGGAGCAACTTTATAAAAATTTAAAGCAGCCAGGCGCGATGGCTCACGGCTGTAATCCCAGCACTTTGGGAGGCCGAGGCAGGCGGATCGTGAGATCAGGAGATCAAGACCATCCTGGCTAACACGGTGAAACCCCGTCTCTACTAAAAATACAAAAAAAAATTAGCCGGGTGCAGTGGCGGGCGCCTGTAGTCCCAGTTACTCGGGAGGCTGAGTCAGGAGAATGGCATGAACCCAGGAGGCGGAGTTTGCAGTGAGCCAAGATGGCGGTACTGCACTCCAGCCTGGGCTATAGAGCTAGACTCCGTCTCAAAAAAAAAAAATTTAAAGCACACAGGACCTCTAATTCACATCCGTTAGTTAAGCAGATTACTTAATCCTAACTAGACAATTTTATTTACCTAATTTCTGATAATTAATTTAACAGCACTTCAGACTTTATCTTATGTAAGCCCTTCCTCACTTTGGCAAAATTAACAGGATTTATCAACCTTTTTTCTTTAAACAAGCTACAAAGGACTTAGACAAGGAACAGTTATCTTGTTTCTTGGGAATATGTAGGAATAACATTTGTTCAATTTATCTAAAAATCTGACCCACACAGTACTTGAAATATATGTAGGGGAAAAAACCATGAGCGTTAGAGGTAAGCAGCCTTCAGCTTGAATCTCACTTCTGTCGTACAGTAGCTGTATAACCATGAACCCAGTTACTTAAAAGCTCGGGCACGGTGGTTTACACCTATAATCCCCCAGCACTTTGGGAGGCCAAAGCGGGAGGATCCCTTGAGCCCAGGAGTTCGAGACCAGCCTGGGCAACATAGGGAGCCCCCATCTTTATAAAAATTTTAAAAAAGCTCTGAAGTTTAGTTCTGTCCTATAAAGTAAGGATAATACTACTTTTTAGGATTCTTATAAATTAAAATGTGGAAGTAAATACAAAAATGTTTAACCCAGTTCTTGTCATACAGTAAGGATAGTGGGTTTCAGACATCTCAAATACTTGTGTTTTATCCCACCTGATTTTTAGTGAATGCTTGGTAGCTAATGGAATGTTTTTCTAAAACTTCTTTTTCTCTTTTTAATAGTGAAATTAAATGGTGGCAGACATGTCCAAGGAATATTGCGGGGATTTGATCCCTTTATGAACCTTGTGATAGATGAATGTGTGGAGATGGCGACTAGTGGACAACAGAACAATATTGGAATGGTGGTAAGTAAAGATACAAGAGTTCTCTTGGAGATTTCATTTTTCTTTTGGAATGTGTATTAACTTTCCTGGTTAGTAACCCCCAGAAATGGCAAATAACAGGCAAGATTAGACTTTCCATCTCCTTTTTAGTTGCATACGGCAGTTACTCAGCTGTAGTAATATCCTGGTTACCTGTAGGTAAGATCTCAACTATACAGAACCTAAGGTCCTAGCGCTTGAAATAGCTGTTGGAAATCCTTTTTGAGCTTTATTCTGCAATAGAGGCTCATAGTTGGTCCTTCATTAGAGCAGTAGTTCTGAAACCTTAATGTGTATATGAATCCCCAGGGAATCTTCTTAAAATGAAGATTCTACTTCAGTAGGTATGGGGCAGAACTTAACTAAGGTTTTGCATTTCTACTAATGCCTAATGCAGATCTGCCAGTTCACAGGTAACACTTTCTGATTTTACTTGTATACATAGTTAACCTGGATTTTCTGGTTTACCACACCCAAAATTTTAAGGTAGCCAAGGTAAAAGTTACAAGGGATAATCACAATGACAGTTATTCACATGAGAGAAAAAGCAGGAAAAAATAAGCACATACTGAGCCCTCATAGGATTAAACATTCCTACATTCATTGGGCCGTAGTTTTAGTGATTGCTGAAGAAGAGTTTTGATACCCAGACTTTGAGTCCCTCTTTGTCTAACACAGGACAACATACCTAATAAAGCGGTAAGCCCAAAGTTCTTGAAAAAGGTGAACCAAAAAGGACAACTTACTTTTAGCAAATTATTAAGCATAAAGACCTCCAAGGAGTGGTAAGAGTTGCTAATTATTAGCCTTGATTTATTAACCTTGATTTTTAAGTTTGAGCAGTAAAGTTGAAGATAGACCTATTTTGACATCTCTGCCTGTTTAATTTTTTTACATACCATTCTTTCCAAGGTTTGTGTTATTACTTATTTCAGATACTTTTTCATTACTGTATTTTGAAAAGCAAATCAATAGTTATGACTGAAAAAACAGTTTAGAGTCTCCAGATACCACACTGTACCCCCAAGTTTCATGTAAATTGACTTGTCTTTCAGGTATATTCCCTTGTGAGCTTCTGTTGAATAAGGCTGCCAGCATGATTAGTAGCCAAGTCCTTTTAAAAACATTTTCTAGATACCCCAAGATTTTCCTCTCAGCCCTTATTTTTACAAATAAATTTTCATTCTAATAGAAGGTAGATTAGGTTTTTAGTTCCTTGCAAAAAATTTGCTGAAAAGGATTCAGGAAGAACTTGGCACCTAATTGTCAATTCTGCTTTGAGAAGATTAGAGAATTATGTAACACACTGCTCATTGGAATTTTATCAGAGAAGGAATAGAGCATCCCTCTGGCAATTTTCCCCCTAAACTTTATGGACTTTATTTTCTTTGCACAGAAATTGGTTGAAAGCACTGCCATCCCAAGTCATTTAAGTAATGATTACCTACTTAGTGTGTTGGGCAGCCTCCTGTTCCATCTCTGAGGTTTATGTGACACACACGCCCCCCAACCCCCAGCCAAAGAAAAAAAAAAGTTTTTATCAGCAGACAGTAATTCTTGCTGCTGAGTCTTCACTTTGAAAAAGAAATAATAACACATCAGACTTCTTTAATAAAAGACATTTTAAAAGGCAAGAACAGAGATGAACTTTTTGACTTTTCTAAAGTTGGAAGAAGGGAAACAAATAGGTTAAGGTTTTGTTATTTTGTTAGAAGTTGTTTAACAAAGGACAGTTGGCTTCATTATTACCTTGTCCAAGTCAGTGATCCATTGAGGCCATTGAAATTACTTAATACTGTTTTATTGCAGTTATGTGTGTGTTGGCTGGGCACAGTAGCTCACATCTATAATCCCAGCACTTCGAGAGGCTGAAGCAGGAGGATCACTTGAGCCCAGGAGTTTGAGATCAGCCTGGGCAACATAGTGAGACCTCATCTCTACAAAAAAATTAGAAAATTAGCCGGGCATGGTGGTGTGCACCTGTAGTCCCAGCTACTCAGGAGGCTGAGGCAGGAAGTCAAAGCTGCAGTGAGCTGAGATCACACTACTGCACTCCAATCTTTGTGACAAAGCGAGATCCTGTCTCAAAAAGGATGTGTTTGTTTTCAGGAGTGAGTTTGTTTTTAACCTGTCAGTTGGATCGTTACCTAATGATAAATCTCAACTATCTTCTGAGACATCCCCAGAGTTGTCAGTGGCATCGCCTCTATCTTACTTTTTATTATGTTACATAGTTCAGGCACTCTTGCTAGGGTTGTCCTTCTGTAGCATCATTGAAGCACAAAAAAGGGAGCAGTATGTAATTCTGGACCTGATGGTTCAAGTTTGATTTGGAGAATTAGGCCTCAAACACAGTGGCAAAAGAGGAAGAGCACTACAATAGGCCTCCTTTATCCTCAGAGTAGGTACCAGAAACCACAGATAGTAGTGAACCCTATGCACAAATTTCTGTGTGTGTGTGTGTGCACGCGCGTGTGTATGACAGAGTCTCACTGTGTCACCGAGGCTGGAGTGCAATGGTGTGGTCTCGGGTCACTGCAACCTCCGCCTCCTGGGTTCAAGCAGTTCTCCTGCCTCAGCTTCCCGAGTAGCTGGGACTACAGGCGCACACCACCACGCCAAGCTAATTTTTGTATTTTTAGTAGAGACAGGGTTTCACTATGTTGGCCAGGCTGGTCTCAAACTCCTGACCGCATGAGCCACCTGCCTTAGCCTCCCAAAGTGCTGGGATTACAGGCGTGAGCCACCGCGCCTGGCCAGCACGAACTTCTTTTTACTTCTTCACAATCTCACAGATAGAAGATTCGTCCTTACCATAAATCTTGGCAGTCTCAACATATGATTCTTTTTCTTATTAAGTCAAGAACTTGTACCTTTTCACTTAAAGGAAGCACTTTACAGCTTCTCTTTGGCATATCCATATTGCCAGCATCACTGCTCTTATACTTTCAGGCTAGTATTAAGTTAAAAAAAGGGTTACTTGAACACAAGTAACCCTTTGATACCACAACAGTCAATCATAAAACTGAGATAACTGATTAATGGGCAGCATGGAGATGCTAGACAAAGGATAATCCACATCCAGGGACAGTATGAGGTATCATCACACTGCTAAGAACAGCATGCAGTGTAAAACTTACGGATGTCTGTTGCTGGGACTATGCATTTAATGTTTTTGGACCACAGATAAGGTGGGACAAAGTTCACCATTTAGCCTTATTTTCTAAATATTATGTGACAAGACAAATATGTAAATTTAGCAGGGAGCTAGGCAGGAAGGCTAGCTTTTCTTGCTTTGGTCAATGAGATGTGATGTTCAATATCTGTTGCCAAAAAAAAAATTGAGAATTTAAAATTCTGATAACTGGCCAGGTACAGTGGCTCACACCTGTAATCCCAGCACTTTGGGAGGCCAAGGCAGGAGGATCACTTGAGACTAGGAGTTTGAGATAAGCCTGGGCAACATGGTGAGACCCTGTCTCTACAGAAAATTTTAAAATTAGCCCAGCTTGGTGGCTCATGCCTCTGGTCCCAGCTACTTGAGAGGCTGAAGTGGGAGGATCACTTGAGCCCAGGAGGTCAAGGCTGCAGTTAGCTGTGATTGAACCACTGCATTCCAGCTTGGGTGACAGAGCAAGACCCTGTTTCAAAAAAAATAATAATTAAAATGAAAATAAAATTCTGATAACTAGGTAAGCATGTTTCTACTCCTGGCTTATGCTGGGCATGGTGATGTGCGCCTATAGTCCCAGCTACTCAGGAGGCAGAGGCAGGAGAACCACTTGAGCCTAGGAGTTCGAGGATGCAGTGTGCAGTGATTGTGCATGTGAATAGCCACTGCACTGCAGCCTGGTCAGCATAGCTAGTCCCAGTCTCAAAAAAATGGAGGGGAGCTCTGTTAACTTAGAAGAAGAGTGTCAATCTTTAGACTCTTTCAGTTCCCATTGTCATTTTCAGGGCACTGTGTTTACTGGTTTTTGTTGTTGGTTTGAGATAAGGTCTCACTCTGTCACCGAGGCCGGAGTGCAGTAGCATGGAGCTTGGTTCACTGTGGTCTCAACCTCCCTGGGCTCAGTTGATCCTTCCACCTCAGCCTCCCGAGTAGCTGGAACCACAGGTGTGCACCACCACCCTCAGCTAATTTTTGTATTTTTGTAGAGACAGGGTTTTACCATGTTGCCCAGGCTGGTCTCAAACTCCTGGGCTCAAGCTATCTGCCCACCTGGGCCTCTCAAAATGCTGAGATTATAGGCGTGAGCCACCATGCCCAGCCATTCTTTTTTAAATCTGCTCTTTACTACCTTATCATACTCATTGCTGATAATTGGCTGCCAGGTTCCAAGACACTTATCCTACCAATTGTGTTCCCTTCTATTCTGTCAGCTGCAGTAATCACATGTGAGTTCTTTTATTCATATTTACCAGGTTATTGAGCCCTCTGTGTGCCTGCTACTATTTTAGGCACTGGGGTTTTGCACCTAAGTCCCTGCCCTCATAAAATTTACATTTGTATGGAGAACACAATAAATCATAGCGTATGTGTAAATAAAACAAGCATGATACTGTGAGAAAAGAATAAGTTACAACTACTTTTACTCTAGCTGCCTATAAGCATAGCTCCACTTTGAATCTTTTTGGAATGCCTCCATTTCTAATAAACACCTCAAATTATTACATTACCTTTCTCTCCCCTACATTACCTATTCTTTCCCTCCCGTACCCCTCCATTCACCTATCCAATTCTACTTGACTGATGGGTGATCTATCGATTATGATGATCTCCAGTCTATTAGGGACTTACTGTTTTTAGTCCCCTAGCCTTCCAGTTTCGCTTATTTTTCTACCCCTCTTGAATTCATTTACCAGCTGATTCATCTATACTCTGATAAGTTTGTCTGTTGGTTTGTTTTGGTTTTGGTTTGTTGTTTTTTTTTTTTTTTTTTTTTTTTTTTTGACAAAAGACAGTTTCGCTCGTTGCCCAGGCTGGAGTGCAGTGGCGCTATCTTGGCTTACCGCAACCTCCGCCTCCCGGGTTCAAGTGATTTCTCCTGCCTCAGCCTCCTGAGTAGCTGGGATTACAGGCATGTGCCACCACACCCGGCTAATTTTTTATTTTTAGTAGAGATGGGGGTTTCTCCATGTTGGCCAGGATGGTCTCGAACTCCCAACCTCAGGTGATCCACCCGCCTTGGCCTCCCAAAGTGCTGGGATTATAGGCGTGAGCCACCACACCCCCGATAAATATTCTTATCTTCATTTATGGCTTATCTACTAGGTCAAGCACTGTTCTCCTAGGGCCTTTTTTTTATAACTTCTCTTTCTGCCTCTAGGTTCTGTCCTATTCAAACTTCGGCGTATTTATATAATATCTTGTTGCAGGGACACTTATGGTTGTCATTCCCCCAAGTGAAACTCTCACTGGCTCATTGTTAGTTTCTGATGTCCTCCAAACACTAAGATTGGCATTTGAAGCTTTCCAAGATTGAATGCCAACTATCTTTGTTTCCTGATTCTCTTCGTGAACTTTTTACTGCATTCAAATTAGATTACTTCCTTATCCTCTCATACTTTGTCTTCATCTTAGTTCTGTCTAGAATTTCCTACAATCTCCTTTTCAAAATTCTGCCCAATTTCCAAGACCCAGGTAAAATGTCATTTTCATAAAGCATGCCTTTCACAATTTCCCATCCTGGTTTCTTCCCTAAATGATCTCATACCTCCAAACTGTACCTAACATACTCTACTGTACATATTTTACTCATTAATTTTTGGATCCCATAGAGTCAGGGATGGGCATTTAAATTTGAGTCCTGCATTTTAGAAGGTGAAATTAGGGCCAGGCGTAGTAGCTCACGCCTGTAATCCCAGCACTTTGTGAGGCTGAGGCAAGCAGATTACTTGAGGTCAGGAGTTTGACACCAGCCTGGCCAACATGGTGAAACCCCGTCTCTACCAAAAATATAAAAATTAGCTGGGCGTGGTCAGGGCTCCTGTAATCCTAGCTACTTGGGAGGCTGAAGCAGGATTGCTTGAACCTGGGTGGCAGAGGCTGCAGTGAGCCGAGATTGCGCCACTACACTCTAGCCTGGGCAACAGAGTGAGACTGTCTCAAAAAAAAAGGTGAAATTAGTCATTGGAGACTTGGCATTAGAATCTCATAAAGCAAATTGTTAGCCTTAAATCCAAAAGATGTCTGTCGTATAAAGGGCTTAGAGTTGTTTGGTGTCCCTGTGGCTTGAACAAAGCTTTGCAAACCGACATGTAATATTAAAAAACCATTAATGATTTGGTGAAAATTCTTAAATCATCATAGTTATGTCTGTTACCTGAGTTGTTCTTTTCAAATTTATTTTTCTCTTTCTTAGGTAATACGAGGAAATAGTATCATCATGTTAGAAGCCTTGGAACGAGTATAAATAATGGCTGTTCAGCAGAGAAACCCATGTCCTCTCTCCATAGGGCCTGTTTTACTATGATGTAAAAATTAGGTCATGTACATTTTCATATTAGACTTTTTGTTAAATAAACTTTTGTAATAGTCAAAAATGCTTTCTCAGATGTTCTGAATATAGAATATCAGCTCTCATTCCAGTTTTTTCTAACATGAATTTTCCTGGTTGACATTGATTTCAAAGGGTTTTATGCATTAAAGTGAAAGAATCTTATTAAATGTGAAACATGGCAAGGATTCCTTCTGTCCATCATCTTTCAACACTGAACAGATAAAGAAGTTACAAACATGAGTGAGTTTCTTCTAAAACACTAATTTTCAAAACTTGTAAGAATAGTAACTTTGATCTAGCCTGACTTTCCCAAGTACATCTACATTCCAAATATAGTACAACAGAAGCAAAAGACAAGAAGTAATGATGTAGTTGTTTATTTTGAATATAATCATGAAGTGGGGAAAAATTTTAATACAAGAGTAGAAAGAGGATTCCAGAGAAAAACATTCCAGTGTATCATGGTTCTTTGTGAGTGAGTAGAGAGGGGTAGTGAGGATGCTGTCCACAATGTATTCATCTAGTTAATGAATTGTATGGCCCACAAGCTCAAACGAGAGATACATTACAGATGGTTGTATTATAAACCTAATCTTAAGAAACCTTACCAAGCAAATGCTTAAAGACTGATTTTTTTGTGATCTGATAAAAAGCCTGCAAATCGTGAATCACTTTTAAACTGTACAGAATGGACTACACACCAGTATGGTAAAGTTCTTGTAAAACACCAAACACAATGGCTCATAGATATATACCTCTCTCACTCTTAAATGGCATTTCCTAATTATAGAAAATGTTTACAACAAAAGAACAAGAGGGATCAAACTAACAATCAATAAGGAGAACTGATGTGAAGTCCCATACACTGTTACTCCATTTTTCAGCAACTCTTTATAACTCCTTCATTGACTTGACTCCTTTACAACATACAGCTGAATTGTAGAACTAGTTCTTCAAGTGTGGTTCCTATAGTAGAACAGCAGCATCACTGGGGAACTTAATAAAATGCATCTTCTTATATCCCATAACAAACTTATTGAATAAACAGGGTGGAGCCTAGCGATGTTTTAACAAGCCCTTAAGGTAACTGATGCATGCTCAACTCAGAGAGCCACTGGAGCAGAGCTGGCTTTCATTCAGCCCCTGCATCATTTTTACCAGTCTCTTCTATTAAAAAAAAAGGTCTGGAGCAGTAAGCTCTGACAGTGTTTTTTCTTCCAATAAAACTCTTAATACTATAGTTGCATAAAACTACCTAATGCGCCCAGAGTAGCAGGTTCTGCTAGGATTTTTCTCCCAGTAAAAAAGCACTCAACACTGTAGTTGCATTAAAACTACTTGATGTCCTTGGTGTATTGATAACCTGTTTTGCTTTTGCCAAAGCAATTTCAGATGCCCTACTGGAAAATTTATCCAGAGTAGGTTTGATGTAATACCAGCAACATTTTTAATTTTTTTTTTTTCCTTTTGAGACACAGTCTCACTCTTGCCCAGGCTGGAGTGCAGTGGTGCGATCTCTGCTCACTGCAACCTCCATCTCCAGGGTTCAAGCGATTCTCGCGCCTCAGCCTCCCAAGTAGCTGGGATTACTGGCACACGCCACCATGCCTGGCTAATTTTTGTATTTTTAGTAAAGACAGGGTTTCACCATGTTGGCCAGGCTGGTCTCAAACTCCCGACCTCAAGAGATCCACCTGCCTCAGCCTCCCAAAGTGCTGGTGAGCCACCATACCCAGCCTAAACTGGTTTTTGTTTTTTTTTTCTGAGACAGAGTCTCGCTCTGTTGCCAGGCTGGAGTGCAGTGGTGCGATCTTGGCTCACTGCAACCTCCGCCTCCCGGTTGAGGCAATTCTCCTGCCTCAGCCTCCCAAGTAGCTGAGATTACAGTAGCTGGGATTACAGACATGCGCCACCATGTCCAGCCAATTTTTGTGTATTCAGTAGAGATGGGGTTTCACCATGTTGGCCAGGATGGTCTTGATCTCCTGACCTCGTGATCCGTTTGCCTTGGCCTCCCAAAGTGCTGGGATTACAGGCGTGAGCCACTGCGCCCAGCCTAAATTGGTATTATAAGTAAAAATATATCCCATTGCAAAACAAGTCTACAAATGATGGAAATTAATTAGTATTTACCAACATTTAGCATATACATAACAGTATTACTTTACAAATTGTCTTCATTAAAACCACAAAAGGAAACAAATATGAATACCTCAACATATCTGTTAAGAATAAAACTAGAAAAAAACACTCTTTTGACAAACCATGAGTTTAATCCCCTACCTATCAAATATATCTTGGCAGTTTTATCAGCATATTAACATTCACAACTGTGGTAGGGAAGAAGTCATTTTTACTCAGAACCAAAGTTTACACTATTTTGCTAAAGTAGCTAATGCCATGATCTGATGAAGGACTTTGAAGTTTCTATTCAATGGAAGGATTTTTTTTTTTTAAGATGGTCTCTGTTGCCCAGGCTGGAGTACAGTGGCATGATCATGATTCACTGCAGCCTTGACCTCCAAGGCTCAAGTGATCCTCCCACCTCAGCCTCCCGAGCAGCTGGGACCACAGGCGCGCATTACCATGCCTGGCCAACTTTTTAAAAATTTTTTGTAGAGATGGGGTTTCACCATGTTGCCCAGGCTGGTCTAGGCCTTTGTAATTTTTTAATAACACTACATGTTAAATTGGTTGCATTTACTTTTGAACTCTTAATCTTTTGCTTGTTCTGTTCTACCAGTGTCTTGACAGTTAATCATGATCTTTGCACAGTAGATGCAGAACTAGTTCTGAAGTTTTGCTGCCTGTTAATTACCATTTGGATGCTTTAAAACCCTACAGGTGATTCCAATGTGCAGCCAAGGTTGAGACCACTGTCTTAAGATTTCAGCAACCAATTTCTCACCCAGAATGCTACAGTAAATGAAACACTTAACTCTTTGGACATATGCTGGACTTGGTTAACTTTGGTGTCATTCCAAGTATTCTGTTCTAGTGCCAACTGCTCAGGAGTTATTTAAGTTGCCTCTGCTGTTAGGCTGTCTGTGCTTATTATCAAGATTACTTCTAAAGTTCTTACTAAGAGAACTGAGAAAGTTCTAAAAGAAAGATCCTTGCAAAATGGATCTGCTTTGATACAGATTGGGCTTCTTAGGACTTCTAAGGCACTAAAACCCTTTGTAGGCATTTTCACACCCACATTGGTGATTCCCAACCCTGGGTGCACATTAGAAACTTTAAATAGCTACAATGCTAAGGTCCTATCCTCAGTCTTTGAATCTGAATCTCTGGTTATGGGGGGGTCTCAGTATTTTTAAAAGCTCCTGAAGTGAGGATTTAATACTAGAATGCCAGTTTCTTAATTCAGTAGCCCATATTTGCTTTTCATTTTACTTGAGATTTTTGTTTAACATCTTCAAGTTACATTACTAAGACTTCTAAATTTCACCCCTAATCAAATCAAGACAGAAGAATCAAAAGACAACATTCTGAAAGTCAAGGCTTTAGGCATGGGCACACGTACTTCAAACCGGTATGAAATTACTAAGAGTCAGGCATAAGACACCAGCTCCCATAAATTTTATCTGACTGAAGATTATATCTAGCTGTAAAATTCAAAAGGACTACTCCCCAACTAAGATGTCTTTAAGTTCTCCCTCAGGTACTCACCTTAAAATGCTCTACAATTTTGATCAAAATCCAGCGCGCCACTCCCAGACCTACTGAATCAGAATCTTCAAGAGAGGAGCTTGAGAATCCATATGGTTTAACAAACTCCAGGTGATTATTTTTATTTACTTTTGAGACGGAGTTTTGCTCGTGTTGCTCAGGCTGAAGTGCAATGGTGAGATTGGCTCACTGCAACCACCACCTCCTAACTCCAGGTGATTCTTATTATCAGACAAGTTTAAGAAAAACTCCTAATGGATAGTGAAAGAATACTTAAGAAATTTTGGAGATGGCATAAGTGCAATAGCTATACCTTCACACTTAATTAGAACCGTGTGTTTTCCTATGACCAGCAGGGATTACTTTTATTAAACAATGATAATGGCAAAATATCTGGTTCAAAATCATCTCTGCTCAGATTTTGTTCTTTTTTGCCACTGATAGTCATTTGGAACTAGGAGGGGAAAAAGGAGTGTGTCACTTCATAGTTCAGTTTTAAGTTTCTCATATAAGCCATCCTGATCAATCATGTCTGTGTGCCCGTTCCAGCGGTGATAGGCAAGGAGTGCAGCGTTGTGGGCTGCAATGGCACTCATCTCCATGGCACTTGCTGCACACTCTATGCCATTGAGGTAATAAAGTCGATCATGGAGAATGATAGAGGGGCATTTCTCCGGGGGCTTATAGTGAGGATATGCAAGCCATGGCTTCTTCACAGCATAATCATAGGACAGAAAGAGCTTTAAAATTTGTGCTTTAGTAAGAGTTTCTTGGGAAAAGATCTTCCAAACATATGTTCCATCTGTTGATGGCTCAGGATCTTCCTTTTCTCTCACAGAGGGCACAATCCCAATACTGTTAATGAACAAATCTGAATTATCAGTGGTTAAAACTGTATTAAGGCCAAATTTATCTATGGGTCTAGAGCTAAAGATAGATGTATTCAATTCCCCCTTAACTAAAGTTGTCACTATATGTTGATAATATTGATGGAATTCCTCAATTGGAGGATCAAAGTTGAGAAAAGTAATATTCGACATTTTTCGATTCAACGGAGTGGCCACCAAGACGATGTCATAGAAGTCTGAACGAGTCTCAGTTCCAATTTGGTAGACCACTTCATACATCTTTGTTGGATTTCCTAGAGGAAATAAGGAGGCATATATTTGTTTAGTGTTTCTAACATACCTTCTAAAAATAATTGTATACCTTCTTCATAATTTCTCTATAATTCTAAAGAATTGAAGAAGTTATATCCCTTAAGATAGTTGTCCCTTGCATTTTTATTACATTGAGGCCAATTTCTTATTCAGAATGTCAGTAAGTACAAAATACAGAATTTTTACTTTTGAAGGTAAGATTATCTTTCGGCCGGGCATGGTGGCTCACACCTGTAATCTCAGCACTTTGGGAGGCCGAGGTGGGTGGATCACGAGGTCAGGAGATCGAGACCATCCTGGCTAACATGGTGAAACCCCGTCTCTACTAAAAATACAAAAAATTAGCCGAGCGCGGTGGCAGGCGCCTATAGTCCCAGCTACTCGGGACGCTGAGGCAGGCGCCTATAGTCCCAGCTACTCGGGACGCTGAGGCAGGAGAATGGCGTGAACCCGGGAGGCGGAGCTTGCAGTGAGCCGAGATAGGCCACTACAGTCCGGCCTGGGCAAAAGAGCGAGACTCCATCTCAAAAAAAAAAAAGATTATTTTTCAAATCCAAGGAGTGATGCCACAGCACTTAACTACACTGGGGAATTTTTTTTTTTTTTTTTTTTTTTTAGATGGAGTCTCACTCCGTCACCCAGGCTAGAGTGCAGTGGTGTGATCTTGGCTCACTGCAACCTCTGCCCCCTGGGTTCATGTGATTCTCCTGCCTCAGCCTCCCGAGTAGCTGGGATTACAGGCACCTGCCACCACGCCCGGCTAATTTTTTGTATTTTTAGTAGAGACAGGGTTTAACTATGTTGGCCAGGCTAGTCTTGATCTCCTGACCTCAGGTGATCCACCCTCCTTGGCCTCCCAAAGTACAGGGATTACAGGCATGAGCCACCGTGCCTGGCCCATTGGGGAATATTTCTATATGGTACAATATATACAATTTCAAGTTTCATCATTTTAGAACTGAGTAAGAGATGACAGAAGAGAAGTGTTTCTCCCTGAGCAATCATTTTCTGCAGGGGATATCAGGAACAATAAGAAATTCAAGCTTACCTGTGTACTTGGTCTTTGTTTTCTCCTCGATGTACATTACTGAGCCAGATATAAGATTGCTTTTGGATGCCTGCAGAAGCCCTGAGCAAACAAGTTTATTGCCACCTTCTACTGCCCAAAGGCCAGAATCAGAACAGGACAGTGACACCGCCCCTGTCAATAGGAGGAAAAATGTGTTTTAATTCTGACTTTTTGTAAGAGGCTCTCTACCCACTCTCCCTTCCCAATTACATGTTCTACTCCAAATGTCTCTAGACATTGCTAAATGGCCCCTGGGAGCAAAATCTCCCCCAGTTAAGAATTACTGAACTAATGAAAGCTAAAGACCCTCTCCCCCTAAAAATGCACATCTACATACGCACAATTTTGCTAACAATGTCTGAGGTTCACAGAGAAAAGTAGCCTCCAATCCACAGCCTAAAGTCAGGAACCACCATAGCATCAGGTAAGCCCCTCTGTGAACTAATGTCCACCACTGTTTCAAGCCCTGGCTTACCCACAAAGGCATTGATGTCCGTGCTTTGGCCATAATTGACCCTCATAACAGGAGCAATCATTTCATTGAGGAACTTCTCAGAAAAGCCGGCCTTTTGCAAGGTTTCAAGAAGTGTTCGATTAAGCATTCCAAGGAAGTCATCTCCTCCTAGAGCATGAAGTAATTTTTCGACACTACTGAAGGCATAGTCATGAGACTGGTAGCGGTAGATCCTTTGGAAAAGAAGAGAAATCCATTAAATACCAAACAAGATGTGGGGAAGGGGATGTATAAAGAAGGGAAGTGGCGTCATAAGAATCAAACTGACATCTAGGTGCAGTGGCTCACGCCTATAATCCCCACACTTTGGGAGGCAGAGGTGGGCAGGTCACCTGAGGTCAGGAGTTCAAGACCAGCCTGGCCAACATGGCAAAACCCCAGCTTTACTAAAAATACAAAAATTAACCAGGCATAGTGGTGTATGCCTGTGGTCCCAGCTACTTGGGAGGCTGAGGCAGGAGGACTGCTTGAGCCCCGGAATTCAAGGCCGCAGTGAACTGTGATAATGCCGCTGCACTCCAGCCTGGGCCAGACAGTGACAGTGTCTCTTAAAAAAAAAAAAAGAAAAAAAAAAAGAAAAGAAACTAAGGAAGAAAGAAAGAAGAAGAAAAAGGAAAAATAAAAAGTAGAAGTAAGGCCAGGCGCGGTGGTTTCATGCCTGTAATCCTAGCTCTTTGGAAGGCCAAGGCAGGCAGATCACTAGGTCAGGAGTTTGAGACCAGCCTGACCAACATGGTGAAACCCCGTCTCTACTAAAAATACAAAAATTAGCTGGGCCTGGTGGCGCACGCCTGTAATCCCAGCTATTCAGGAGGCTGAGGCAGGAGAATCGCTTCAACCCAGAAAGCGGAGGTTGCAGTGAGCCGAGATCACACCGCTGCACTCCAGCCTGGGCAACAGAGCGAGACTCCATCTCAAAAAAAAAAAAAAAAAAAAGTAGAAGTAAAATACTTTGTCTAAAGGCCACATGGCAAGTATAAGGCTCAATCACAACTTGCCCACTCTGCTGTCAATCACCCACACATGCACAGTCTCCACTGGAGCACACCTGACCCATTCACTGGTCTCTAAATTTGCCCTACATGCTGTATCCCCACCAGTGCACAAGCTCTTCCCTCCAACCTGAATACACTTCCCATTCCTAACCATGGAACATCTATTCTTCCTTAACAGAACTTGAATCCCACCTTCTCTGAAAAGTCTTGCTCAACTTCCCAGTCCACAGTTATATCATCTCCAGAAGCCTCATAAAACTTAGCACCAATGCCACTCATTCAACAATTAGATGCTTTCTATTATTTTTTAGAAAACATCACTTGACCAAAAAGAAAAATATCACCCAACACTTCTCTGCATTTTATGGATTTAAAACAACATTCACATAAATTAGTGCATTCAGTAATTCAAACACAATTTTTCATGTTGCAAATAGTACAAAGATGGAAAACAGGCTTAAGTTTGGGATAAGTAATACGGGGTTTATCTCTTATTCCCTTAAGGGGCTTATAGTTAGGGATAAGTAATAAGGCACATGCAGAGATAAGTATATGAAAATAAGAAATTAAGAGCCAAGGAAAGATCCCTATCACTGATCATGGAAGGGAAACTTTCACATCAAGTTTTTCTCTCAAAATGTACTATATTTTTTTACAGAACAAGGGACAGTATTATAACCATTTCAGTATTACCTACTAAAAGCATAGTAGTAGTATAAGTGTACAAAATGTTAAACACATTTTTATTGGAAAAACTGATTCGATATCTATGCCAAAACTGAGAAACTAAATACCTTCTAACCATAGCATTTGGGTCCCAGTCTTTAGGAGACTGGAAAAAGTAGGATGGAAACACTGAATTCTTCAGAAAAATAATAGCCTGGATATCTCATATCCAAAGAAGAGTGATCTTTGGCTAATGGTCAACATGAGAAAATAACAGTCAATTAAATAAGCTACTAATGATGCTATAAAAAACATATTCCCCAACTGCTCCTGCCAGAGCTGCAACCTCACTCAAGCAAGTCTCCCTGGGAGGGGGCGGGGTGGCAGCGGTGAGATGAAACTATATACACAATATAAACAGAGAGCACTCTAATTGTTTCATGATACAACTAATCGTATTAGAATAAATACACTGCTGGGTATGGTGGCTCATGCCTGTAATCCTAGCACTTTGGGAGGCAAAGTGGGGCAGCATCACTTGAGGTCAGTAGTTTGAGACCGCCTGGCCAACATGGTGAAACCCCATCTCTACTAAAAATACAAAAATTATCCAGGTGTGGTGGTGCATGCCTGTAATCCCAGCTACTCAGGTGGCTGAGGCATGAGAATTGCTTGACCCAGGAGACAGAGGTTGCAGTAAGTCAAGATCACACCACTGCACTACACCCTGGATGACAGAGCAAGACTCCATCTCAAAAAAATAATAATAATAAATGAAAAAACAGAATAAATACTACTAAAAAACAGCACCCAGGTGAGGCAGCATGCACCTGTAGTCACAGCTACTCAAGAGGCTGAGGTGGGAGGATCACTTAAGCCCAGGGGCACAAGGCTGTAGTACATTATGGTTGCACCTGTGAACAGCCAGCCAATATACTCCAGCCTGGGTGACAGAGTAAGACAGGAGGATACCTTGAGGCCAGGAGTTCAAGACTAGCCTGGGCAACATAGCAAGACTCTGTCTGTACACAAAATGTAAAAATTAGCCAGGCGCAGTGGTTCATGCCTGTAATCCCAGCACTTTGGGAGGCTGAGGCGGGCAGATCGCTTGAGGTCAGGAGTTTGAGACCAGCCTGGCCAACATAGCGAAACCCCACCTCTACTAAAAATACAAAAATTAACTGGGCATGGTGGCGCATGCCTGTAATACCAGCTACTTGGGAGGTGGAGGCAGGAGAATCGCTTGAACCTGGGAGGTAGAGGTTGCAGTGAGCCGAGATCGTGCCACTGCACTCTAGCCTTGGTGACAGAGTGAAACTCCCTCTCAAAAAAAAAAAAAAAAAAATTAAAAATTAGCCAGGCTCCTATATAATAGATTGATCATGCACCATATCCACAGGAGGTTGGAAAAACCATGCCATTTTCTGGAATTTAAGGGTGTTGCATTATTTCATCAATCATTTGTTGACAAAAAAGAAAAACTAAAAAATAAATTTAAAATGTGAACCTTCAGGTATTGAGTAACACCTTTATCTTGGTATAGAACTGATACTTTTTTTTTATTTTGAAATATCTGATAATAATTTGGAATGAAGTAAGGTTCTGTTAAAGAAAATATATTTGAAGACCCTTTAAAGCAGTGAATCTGAAACAATTTTCACACCCTTAAGTGGTTGATACGTACCTATTTTTAGGTATTTTGAGGTATTTACCATAAACTAAATTTAGAAATTTTTTAGATTCACTTGAAGTAAACATTACAAACATTGGATACGGTGGGGTTTTCTTTAGATTTTACTTGAGAGAAGGTGAGTACAAAGCAATTTGCAGTTGTTGTAATGACAAGATTACTGCGCAAGTGTGAATCCAAACAGTATAGCTTTTAAATTTTAAAGCATTTGGTAAATTATCGCTGAGTTTTTTTCTGTTGCCAATAGCAAACTGCTTTTCCATTAATGGAGAATTCACGCCTTTCAAGCATTTTAAATATGACAATATTTATAAATGTATGGTTTGGAGGAATCGTTTAAATTCTCTTTCCTAATTTTCTTTCTTTTGAAGATAGATTCTTTCAACAAGTAATTTGTAGTAATGACTGTGTTGACTTCAATTTTGGAGCGCAGTAGCTATGTTAAAGATGAACTATTTGGTCTCATTGAAGCCAACACAGAACTTGCTGCTGTGTTTTTTCTTCAGTGATAAATAAAATACTTACAGAAAAAAAAAAAAAAAAAAATTAGCCAGGCATGGTGAGGCATGCCTGTAGTCCCAGCTATTCAGGAAGCTGAGGCATGAGGATCACTTCAGCCCCGCTGGTTGAGGCTGCAGTGAGCTGTGATCACACCACTGCACTCCATCCAGCTTGGGCAACAGAGTGAGACCTTGTCTTAAAAAAAACAAAAACAAAAACAAAAAAATAATAATTTTTAAAAAAATATAACTGGGGCCAGGCACAGTGGCTCACGCCTGTAATCCCAGCACTTTGGGAGGCCAAGACAGGTGGATCACCTGAGGTCAGGAGTTCGAGACCAGCCTGACCAACATGGAGAAACCCTGTCTCTACTAAAAATACAAAATTAGCCGGGCGTAGTGGTGCAGTGGCACAGTGAGCCAAGGTGAGCCGAGGAGAGCCAAGATCGTGCCACTGCACTCCAGCCTGGGCAACAGAGACAGACTCCATCTCAAAAGAAAAAAAAAAGGAGAAAATGGTCTGAAAAGAAGACTAGAAATACATGGGGTTAGGAGGGTTGAATTCTAAATAAGACTGTCCAAAAACAAGAGTGGTCAGGAAAAGCCTCACTGAGAAGATGATATAGACCAAAGACCCGAAGGAGATGAGGATGCAAACCAGGCAAACACCTGGGGGAAAATATTTCCGGTAGAGGTAAAAGCAATGCAAAGGTCACATGACAGAAGCTTGCCTGGCACATTCAAGAAACAATGAAGCCAGAGCAGCTGAAGCAGAGTGATATGGGAGAACCGGGAGTGGTACAGCCAGAAATGTTACTGGGGAGAGGAAACTTCCAGAATGGCAGAGGAAGGACCTCTGGAAATCTGCTCCTCCATAAAAGCTATGAGAATACTGCCAAAAATGATCAACATTGACTCTTTCAGAGCTCTGCAGATAAACCAAAGCCTTTCCAAGTCCAAGGAGTATTTATTCAAGAAAAATGTCTGGCAGGCATGGTGGCTCACACCTGTAATCCCAGCACTCTGGGAAGCTGAGCCAGGCGGATCACTTGAGGTCAGGAGTTCAAGACCAGCCTGCCCAACATGGTGAAACACCATCTGTACCAAAAATATAAAAAATTAGCCAGGTGTGGTGGCACACGCCTGTAATCCCAGCTATTCAGGAGGCTGAGGCAGGAGAATCGCTTGAACCCAGGAGATGGAGGTTGCAGTGAGCCAAGATCGCACCATTGCACTCCAGCCTGGGCGACAAGAGGGAGACTCCGTCGAAAGAAAGAAAGAAAGAGAAAAAGAGAGAGAGAAAAAAAAATAAAAAATAAAACCAGCACCCTTCCAACTGCAATGTGAAACTAGCAAGCTAGAAGCCACTGGAGAGAACACAACGAGTTTGTAGCTCCCAAAAAGCACTATCCTCAGAGAACTGTCAATATTTGACCTATCTGGCAGCTCCGAAAAAGCTCTATCCTGAAGGCTTGTCTTTATTCGACCTGATTCAAAGTTCACTCTATGCAACAGCCCCATCCTGAGGGCACGTGTCCACGTGTCAAAAAAAAAATCTGTGGCAATTGTTTAACATCACAGATGCCGGAGGCTATGACATCAATAGAGACTACAAGAGGCTGACCAAAAAAACTTTTTAAAAAAGGCCGGGTGCAGTGGCTCACGCCTGTAATCCCAGCACATTGGGAGGCACAGGCTGGAGGATCACTTGAGGTTAGGAGTTCGAGACCAGCCTGGCCATCATGGCGAAAACCCATCTCTACTAAAAACACAAAAAATTAGCCAGGGTTGGTGGTGCATGCCTGTAGTCCCACCTACTCAGGAGGCTGAGGCACAAGAATTGCTTGAACCCGGGAGGCAGAGGTTGCAGTGAGCCGAGATAGCGCCACTGAACTCCAGCCTGGGCAACAGAGCGAGACTCTGTCTCAAAAAAAAAAAAAAAAAAATTAGCTGGGCATGGTAGTGCACATCTGTAGTCCCAGCCACTCAAGGGGCCTGAGGTTGGAGAATTGCTTGAGCCTGGGAGGCAGAGGTTGCTGTGAACATACTACACTCTAGCCTGGGCAACAGAGTAAAACATCATCTGAAAAAAAAAAAAAAACAGACACACAGATCCTTGAAACAAATAAGAAAACCCAGAAATAAACCTTCATGAATATGATCAAATGATCTTGACAGAACTGAAATACATAGTTCAACAATAATGGAGACTTCAATATCCCATTTTCAATAATGGACAGTTACTGAAAATGACAACAGTGTATTAGTTCACCAAGACTGCCATAACACAGTACCAAAGACTGGATGGCTTAAACAAAAAAAGTTTTATTTCTTATAGTTCTGTAGGCCAAAAGTCCAAGATCAAGGTGTGGATGCATTCGGTTTCTTCTGAGGCCTATTTCCTTGGCTTGCAGATGGCCACCTTCTTGCTGTGTCCTCACATGGTCTTTGTGTGTTTCTTCTGTGTCCCAATTTTTTTTTTTTTTTTTCTGAGACAGAGTTTCACGCTTGTTGCCCAGGCTGGAGTGCAATGGCTCACTGCAACCTCTGCCGCCCAGGTTCAAGTGATTCTCTTGCCTCAGCCTTCCTGAGTAGCTGGGATTACAAGCATGCACCACCACGCCCAGCTAATTTTTTGTATTTTTAGTAGAGAAGGGGTTTCACCATGTTGGTCAGGCTGGTCTCGAACTCCCAACCTCAGGTGATCTGCCCGCCTTGGCCTCCTTTCTGTGTCCTAATCTTAAGGACACCCATCAAATTGTTTTAGGGTCTACGCTAAAGACCTCATTTTAACTTAATCACATATTTAAAGGCCCTACATACATATGCAGTCACATTCTGAGTACTGGGTGGCTAGTGTTTCAACCTATGAATTTTGGGGAAAACAAATTTAAAAGTAAGGGATGAGAGCACAGAATCCTGTCATGTCTTCTCAGTCACAAAACAGATTTTGGCTATAAATCTCTATTAATGAAATAGCCACTGAAGGTTTCTGAGTTAGTGGAGTGATGTGATGAGCCTTAGATTTTAAAGAACTACTTTGGCTGCTAACCTGAGAACAAATGGTAGCAATATAACAGTAATGGCAGATGATTTAGGAGGTGTCTTGGTTTTCCACTGCTGCTATAACAAATTACCACAAACTTAGTGGCTTAAAACAACACAAATTTACGGCCGGGTGCAGTGGCTCACACCTGTAATCCCAGCACTTTGGGAGGCTGAGGCGGGTGGATCACGAGGTCAGGAGTGCAAGACCTGCCTGGCCAAGATGGTGAAACCCCATCTCTACTAAAAATACAAAAATTAGCCGGGCATGGTGGTGGGCGCCTGTGATCCCAACTACTCGGGAGGCTGAGGCAGAGAACTGCTTGAACCCAGGAGGCGGAGGCTGCAGTGAGCCAAGATTGTGCCACTGCACTCCAGCCTGGGTGACAGAGCAAGACTCTGTCTCAAAACAAAAAACAGCTCTCCCTCTCCCCCTCCCCCTCCCCCTCTCCCTCTCCACGGTCTCCCTCTGATGCCGAGCCAAGGCTGGACTGTACTGCTGCCATCTCGACTCACTGCAACCTCCCTGCCTGATTCTCCTGCTTCAGCCTGCCAAGTGCCTGGGATTGCAGGCGCGCGCCGCCACGCCTGACTGGTTTTCGTATTTTTTGGTGGAGACGGGGTTTCACCGTGTTGGCCGGGCTGGTCTCCAGTTCCTGACCATGAGTGATCTGCCAGCCTCGGCCTCCCGAGGTGCCAGGATTGCAGACGGAGTGTCGCTCACTCAGTGCTCAATGTTGCCCAGGCTGGAGTGCAGTGGCGTGATCTCGGCTCGCTACAACCTCCACCTCCCAGCCGCCTGCCTTGACCTCCCAAAAGTGCTGAGATTGCAGCCTCTGCCCAGCCGCCACCCCGTCTAGGAAGTGAGGAGTGTCTTTGCCTGGCCGCCCATCGTCTGGGATGTGAGGAACTCCTCTGCCCGGCCGCCCAGTCTGGGAAGTGAGGAGCGCCTCTTCCCGGCCGTCATCCCGTCTAGGAAGTGAGGAGCGTCTCTGCCCGGCTGCCCATCGTCTGGGATGTGGGGAGCGCCTCTGCCCCGCCGCCCCGTCTGAGATGTGAAGAGCGCCTCTGCCCGGCCGCGACGCCGTCTGGGAACTGAGGAGTGTCTCTGCCCCGCCGCCATCCCGTCTGGGAGGTGAGGAGCCTCTCTGACCAGCCGCCCTCTCTGAGAAGTGAGGAGCCCCTCCGCCCAGCAGCCGCCCTGTCTGGGAAGTGAGGAGCCCCTCTGCCCAGCCGCCACCCCGTCTGGGAGGTGTACCCAATAGCTCATTGAGAACGGGCCATGATGACGATGGCAGTTTTGTCGAATAGAAGTGGGGGAAATGTGGGGAAAGGAAGGAGAGATCGGATTGTTACTGTGTCTGTGTAGAAAGAGGTGGACATAGGAGACTCCATTTTGTTCTGTAGTAAGAGAAATTCTTCTGCCTTGGAATGCTGTTTATCTATGACCTTACCCCCAACCCCATGCTCTCTGAAACATGTGCTGTGTCCACTAAGGGTTAAATGGATTAAGGGCGGTGCAAGATGTGCTTTGTTAAACAGATGCTTGAAGGCAGCATACTCGTTAAGAGTCATCACCACTCCCTAATCTCAAGTACCCAGGGACACAAACACTGCGGAAGGCGGCAGGGCCCTCTGCCTAGGAAAACCAGAGACCTTTGTTCACATGTTTATCCGCTGACCTTCCCTCCACTATTGTCCTATGACCCTGCCAAATCCCCCTCTCCGAAGAACACCCAAGAATGATTAATAAATACTAACAAAAAAAAAAAAAGTTATAATCTTACGGTTCTGTAAATTAGAAGACCAAAGTCAGTCTCTCCGGGCTAAAATCAAGGTGTGCACAAGGCTGGTTCCTTCTAGAAGCTCTGAGGGAAGACTGTCTTTTCCAGCCTCTACAGGCCACCTGCATTCCTTGGCTCGTGGACGCACACCCCTTCCTAGCATCACTCCAATCTCTTCCTTCCATCATCACATCTCCTACTACCTACCCTGATCCTCCTGCCTCTCTAAGGACCCTTGTGATTATATTGGGCCCACCTAGATAATCCAGAATAATCTACCCATCCTTAACCATATCTGCAACGTCTCTTTTACCTCAAAAGGTAACACATTCACAGGTTCCAGGAATTAAGACATGGACATCTTGTGGCAGACAGCAGGGGAGAGGATTATTCAGCCTATAATAGGAGGCTACTCTAGCAATCCAGACAAGAGACAGTGGTGGTGACTTGGAACAAAGTGGTAGCAGTAATCCTGGAGAGAAGTAGTGGAATACTGGATGTATTTTAAAGGCTGATGGGATTCAAGATAGAGTGGGTTTGGGAAATGAAAGAACAAAAATTGACTCAAAATATTTGGTAGGAGTAACTGGAAGGAAGAAAGGGTGTTTATAAAGCCTTTCCCTGTGAGTCTATCAGTCTCAGATCAAGAAGTGTTAAGGATCTTACAAGTCCCCAGAAATGCACTAACTTGAGAGAGAAGAATAAGCTTTAACCTAGTCTACAAGCCAAGATATCTCAACAGGAAGCCATCAGCAGACCAGAGATTTAAATTCCACAAACATCTGAGTAAACATCTACTACATTCTAGTTACTGTGCGTAGCATAGAACACAAGCACACAGTGTGCACCGTATAATAAGGGATGTTTGAAAAGAAAGATGAATGTTGATTGAAGCATTAAGGAAATGCTTTGCTGAAAAAGTGAGATAAGAGGTTGGACTTGGGAGTAAAGAATGGCATCCGGCTGAGCGCGGTGGCTCACGCCTGTAATCCCAACACTTTGGGAGGCCAAGGTGGGAGGATCACTTGAGCCCAGGAGTTCAAGATCAGCTTGGGCAACATGGCAACACCCTGTCTCTACAAAAATTTAAAAAATTAGCCAAGCATGATGGCACATGCCTATAGTCCCAGCTGAGGCTGGAAGATGACTTGAGACCAGGAGGTCAAAGCTGCAGTGAGCTGTGATTGCACCACCGTACTCCAGCCTGGGTGACGGAGCAAGACTTGGTCTCAAAAAAAAAAAAAAAAAAAAAATTAGTTAAGAATGGCATCCAACCAGAACAACTACATAAATGTATGTGCAGAAGTGGAAATTAAGCTAGCTAGTGCTGATGTCAGGGGCTGCAGGATTTCCACTCAAGTACCTCCAACAGCAGAGAATGAATGAATGCACTGTTTTCGAGTATTGCCTACCACAAGCTTGAGCCCTCTTTCGAGTGTCATGGTTTACTACTGTTACATAGGTCTTTCTCCACCTTGTGTATACTTTGATCTTGGCTCACCACAACCTCCGCTTCCTGGGTTCAAGCGATTCTACTGCCTCAGCCTCCCAAGTAGCTGGCATTAGCTGCGCCTCCACACCCAGCTAATTTTTGTATTTTTAGCAAGGCGGAGTTTCACCATGTTGGCCAGGCTGGTCTCGAACTCCTGACCTCAAGATCTATCTGCCTTGGCCTCCCAAAGTGCTGGGATTACAGGCGTGTGCCACCGCGCCCGGCCCGTAAATTATTTTTTAAAGTCAAAAACAGTATAACCTATGTATCCCCTCACTGGTTCTTTTTCCCAGTTCTGTAATACCTTGAATTCACTTCAAAAGTGATTTCTTAGGCCAGGTGCGGTGGCTCATGCCTGTAATCGCAGCACTTTAGGAGGCCAAGGCGGGCAGATCAATTAAGGCCAGGAGTTTGAGACCAGCCTAGCCAACATGGTAAAACCCCATCTCTACTAAAAATAAAAAAATTATCTGGGTATGGTGGCACATGCCTGTAATCCCAGCTACTCAGGAGGCTGAGGCAGGAGAATCGCTTGGACTCAGGAGGCAGAGGTTGCAGTGAGCCGAGATTGCACCACTGCACTCCAGCCTGGGTGACAGAGTGAAACTCATCTCAAAAAAAAAAAAGTAATTTCTTAATTTCTCAAAGGGCAATTCTCTACATCTCAAGCAAGCCACAGATAAAAAAAAAAACAAGGCTGGGAACAGGAGCTCACAACCGTAATCCCAACACTTTGGGAGGCCCAGGTGAGTGGAACACTCGAGCCCAGGAATTCAAGACCAGCCTGGGCAACATGGCCAAACCTCATCTCTACAAAAAAAATACAAAAAATTAGCCAGATCTGATGGCACGTGCCTGTAGTCCCAGCTACACAGAGGCTAAGGTAGGCAGATCCCCTGAGCCCAGGAGGTCCAGGCTGCAGTGAGCCATGATCACACCACTGCACTCCAGCCTGGGTGACAGAGTGAGACCTGTATCAAAAAAAAAAAAAAAAAAAAGAGGGCCGGGCACAGTGGCTCACGCCTATAATCCCAACACTTTGGGAAGCCGAGACAGGCAGATCACAAGGTCAGGAGTTTGAGACCAGCCTGGCTAACACGGTGAAACCACATCTCTACTAAAAATACAAAAAATTAACCAGGCATGGTGGCATGTGCCTGTAGTCCCAGCTACTCAGGAGGCTGAGGCAGGAGAATCACTTGAACCTGGGAGGCAGATGTTGCAGTAAGCCGAGATCCCGCCACTGCACTCCAGCCTGGGCGACAAAACGAGACTCTATCTCAAAAAAAAAAAAGAAAAGAAAAGAAAAACAATACACACAAGCAGGGCTGATGCCATCAGAACTTGATCTGCCTGCTGAGTATGCAGCACCATGCCACCCACCTTCTATAAAGTGACTGGCCGTCTCTACGCAAATTCTATATATTTCCTTGGTTGTGTATTGCCTGTCTCTCCACTAGAATATATATTCTTTGAGGACAAGGACATGTTGTAGGTCCTATACTCTCAACATAGAACAATGCCTAGCACCTAACAGGTATTCAATATTGGGTGAATGAATGAATGGCTACTTAAAAACATTATGCACTGTAGATGGACTTAAGGTACCCACGGGAAAGGCATTTAAGGAACTGACCTAAGAATGATGTTGAGAAAGAAAGAAACCCCAAACTACCATGAGTTATAGAAACCAGAGCATATCCTGCTTAGCTTTCTTTTTTTTTTTTTTAGACAGTCTGGCTCTGTCCCCCAGGCTAGAGTGTAATGGCACGATCGTGGCTCACTGCAACCTCTGCCTCCCAGGTTCAAGTGATTCTCCTGCCTCAGGCTCACAAGTAGCTGGGATTACAGGCATGCACCACCACGCCGGCTAAATTTTTATATTTTTTGTAGAGACAGGGTTTTACCATGTTGGTCAGGCTGGTCTCAAACTCCTGACCTCAGGTGATCCACCAGCCTCAGCCTCCCAAAATTCTGGGATTAGAGGCATAAGCCACTGTGCCCAGCCCTGCTTAACTCATATTTGTCCTGTTCAATACCTGGTCATATGACATGTTTTGTTTTGTTTTGTTTTTCCCCTCAAGATGGAATCTTGTTCTGTCACCCAGGCTGGAGTGTAATGATGCGATCCTGGCCTCCAGTACCTAAAACTGTAAAGCAGCATAAAAATTAGCATGTGCTAGCCGGGCACAGTGGCTCATGCCTGCAATCCCAACACTTTGGGAGGCTGAGGCAGGCGGATCACGAGGTCAGGAGATCAAGACCATCCTGGCTAACACAGTGAAACCCCGTCTCTACTAAAAATACAAAAAATTAGCCAGGCACAGTGGCAGGCACCTGTAATCCCAGCTATTCGGGAGTCTGAGGCAGGAGAATCGCTTGAACCAGGGAGGCAGAGGTTGCAGTGAGCCGAGATGGTGCCACTGCACTCCAGCCCGGGCGACAGAGCAAAACTCCATCTCAAAAAAAAAAAAAAAAAAAATTAGCACATGCCGGCCAAGCTCGGTAGCTCACACCTGTAATCCCAGCACTTTGGGAGGCCGAGGCAGGTGGATCACCTGAGGTCAGGAGTTCGAGACCAGCCTGGCCAAGAGGGTGAAACCCCATCTCTACTAAAAATACAAAAATTAGCTGGGCGTGGTGGCAGGCATCTGTAATCCCAGCTACTCGGGAGCCTGAGGCAGGAGTATCGCTTGAACCCAAGAGGCAGAGGTTGCAGTGAGCCAATATCGAACCATTGCACTCCAGCCTAGGCAACAAGCGAAACTCCATCTCAAAAACAAAAAAACAAAAAAACTAAAAAACTAGAACATGCCAACAGCTTTAAAAATACAGATTGTACCTTTCAAAATTAGACTGGCTATTTTATGTTAGTCTTCCTGATTACCAAAGTGATACATATTCACACGCATTAAAAAAACTGTTTAAATATAGAAAAGCATAAGGACGAAAAAGAGGCACCTGAATTCTCACTACCCAAAACAGTGCTAGAATGTAAATTCTTGGAATATGGAACTTTTACTCTACTTCAGGCTGCTGGTTCACTGAAAACATGTCACTATTAAAGGCCATTTAAGTTTTCTGATCCTTTCTACAAGCTCTTGTACACATTATCTCAATTCATATACACAACACCAGCACAGCATAGAGATTAAGAGTGAAGACTCAAAGGCCAGACTGCCTGGGTGGCAACTCCAGCTATACCACTTACTATGTGGGTGAACTTGCCTTTTAAAACCTCTCTACACCGCCACCTTCTGCATCTGTTTAAAGAAGCTAAAAACAGTACCTACCAGAGTAAGTTGTCATAAGAATTCAAGGCATCTAACAGTATCTGGCAACACTAAAGAAGCATTTGCAAAATACACTTCAGAAGCAAAAATAAACCAACCTTTCAATATCCAAGCAAATAGTCTGCATAGTTTCTACAAAACATTTTGCCTAACAATGTTATAAACAGGCCTTGCTGTGAGGTAGAAAATGCTTACAAGAAATCATAATTCCTAAAGTTCATCAAGTTTAATTTAACCTAAATTAAAAGATCTTAGGTTAAATGGAAGGAAAAAAAATTACCTCATGAACTTGTCTAACACGTCCTCTACCCACATGTGCATACGGAGGGATTGAAATCCATAGCGCCAAACTAATTTAATCACGTTAATTATGAACCAGTTGCTCTCCTCAAATACCAGAGTCTCTCCATTATATATCCCCAGTAGGCCACCAGAGGCCTGAACAGCAGAGAGACCTGCAAAAACATAAAGCACAGCTAAGTCAGTGGTGTCTATGCTGATCAAATGAAAGAACGTAATCTGAGTGAATTTGGGGCTTCCCTCAGTTCTCAGGAGACACATAAAGGAGCTCTATCTTTGGAACAGTGTGAAACACTATACTTTCACTACACTGTCCAAAAGCAGATTTGCTAGGCGATGGGTCAGATGATCATGTAAATATTAATATATCAAAAGTAGATATATTTTTACCTGGCTATTTTTAGACTAAAAGTCTAAAAAAACTGGATAGTCAAAGGAAAAAAGCCAGAGTACCAACTGAATTCAATTTAAAAACAAAGATGTCAGACATGCATCTTCGTGGCATAATTTGTTCTGGGTATACCTTCGCCCTCGTGGAGGAAACGGAAGCAGAGGCAGCATCTACAGAGGATGTGGAAGGCAGCTGAGGCACTTCCATTCCTGTGAGAATCCTATTTTGCAAAACTGGATATTTCAGATAACTGGAAGGAGGCCAAAGTTACAAAATACTCCCTGCCGAAAGGGCCTCCAGAGGCCTGTCAGACTTTCCCCATGACCTATCCAGCTCCTCTGCTGTCAGGGCAGCAGTTGCACATCCCAAGTTCTAGGCACGTGTCTGCATCCACAGCTGTGTGACGGAGTTTGTTTTGTTGGTGGTGGTTTGTTTTGATAGGGTCTCACTTTGTTGCCCAGGCTGGAGTGCAGTGGCATGCAAGGCTCACTGCAGCTTCTATCTCCCAGGCTCAAGGGATCCTCCTGCCTCTGCCTCCCAAGAAGCTGGGACTACAGGTTTGTGCCATCACACCAGGCTAACTTTTTTATTTTTAGTAAAGACAGGATCTCACTATGTTGCCCAGACTGGTTTCTAACTCCTGGGCTCAAGTGATCCTCTGCCTCGGCCTCCCAAAGTGCTGGGATTACAGGCATGAGCCACTGACCCTGGCCATGGCCATATGTGAGTGACTTTGAGCCAGACAATTCAAGTCTCTGGGTCTCATTTACTCAGCTGCAAAATGATCACAATGAGATGACTATCTCCAAACCTTCTCTGATTCTTTAACACAAACCCAGAATTTTAAGAACAGACAACAGAGGCCGGGCACGGTGGCTCACCCCTGTAATCCCAGCACTTTGGAAGGCCAAGGCAGGCGGATCACCTGAGGTCAGGAGTTCAAGACCAGCTGGCCAACATGGTGAAACCCCGTCACTACTGAAAATACAAAAATTAGCTGGGCGTGGTGGCAGGCACCTGTAATCCCAGCTACTCAGGAGGCTAAGGCAGGAGAATCGCTTGAACCCGGGAGGCAGAGGTTGCAGTGAGCCAAGATCGCACCATTGCACTCCAGCCTGAGCGACAAGAGCGAAACTCCTCAAAAGAAAAAAAAAGACAATGGCAGCCATTCCCACCCCCACCCCATGGCTGTAATTCCAGATAACTGAAGATACAGACAACTAGTGTCCCATTACAGCAGAACTGCTCCTAACTCAGGCAGTACCAACTAACAAGAAAGTGAGGAAAACAGTTTTACCAACGTCTCTGTAAGGCAATTAACAAGGCAGAAATTTCAGTTCTCCATCTGATAAAAATATCCGGGGATGTCACACAGTAATCTGGTGAGCTCCAAGACCAAAATTACATACCCAGGTCTTTGACAAAACGTTTCATGTGCAGATTTAAAGGATGGATGACAGAACCTCCTGCCTCGTATTCTTGCCCCTGCACCATCATGGTAGCCAGGCGGCCCCCGACCTCTTCTCTTTCAAACAGGTCTATCTTCACATCTTTCCCAAATTTCTGCCGCAGGTAATAGGCTGCTGAAGTGCCACCAATTCCGGCTCCAATAATCGCTATGAGGGAAAAAAACAGAAGATTATATTTTCCCCTTTTACCAGCTCTGTGAGTTGTTTTGTTTTTGAAAGACCATCAATAGCAGAGGTTGTTACTCAAAGCTATTACCAACAATTTGGTGGGGGAAGAGTGACACCTGCAGCGAAGGTCTAACTCCCTGAATCTGGACAGACACTGTTCCCAGACAAAAGCAGTAGATTAATTAACATATTGACATTAACTCGATTTTTTTTCCAGATGCCCAAAGATTCTCACAGGTCTTTATGGAGGAACCAAGGGGCCTGCACACCCTTCCAGATGCCCAACTCACGGGCACATTAGAGGTGGACCTTTCCAGCACGCATTTTTAATAAAGTGACGGCCATTTATGCCTAGCTTTGTTGTGTCTAGATTCAATGTAGATAGGTTAATGATACCGAAGAACACAACTTTAAAGGGGGGCGGGAGGGAGACAGGAAGCAAAGAGCCAAGGCTCCTGACACTGGAGCTCTTGACAGTGGAAAGAGAACAGATTCTTTCTGCAGCTGTGTTAGTCCTAGGCGGAGAAACTGTGCAAGCCAAGGGCCTCTGAGAGCAGGCCGACCTCAGCAAAGCGGAGCTGGGGGAAGGCGGTTCAGCCTCCCAAGGGAAGCAGGCAGGGTCAACTTGTTTGCACTCCTCCCTGTGCTGTGCCTGCGTGAGCCTGTTAATCTGGCCGGGCGCCCCAGGTCAAGCCAGAACACTGGAGTCTTCACGGTCAGTGTTCAACGGGAAGATAGAGAAACCTAGGCCTCCCCGGAGCCCCACACCTAAGAGACAGGGGCTACAGGTACGCTAGGCGCCTGCCTGCCCGCCCGCCCCTGTCCCCGTCCACGCCCATTCCTCAAGTGGGCACCTCTCCACGCCTGGGAATGCACAGTCCTATTCCGACCAGAGCTGAAAGCCGCCCTGAAGTGTGAATGGGGGAAAGCGCGACCTGCGCAGCTGGCTCGGCCTGCACCGCTGGACTGCGTCGCGGCTGTGGGATCTGGGCGCACTGCGCAGCGGCCGCCCGGCGCGGGGCGCGCTCCAGCACCTTCCCGCGCCGCCCCCTTCTCGCCTACCGATTTTATCTGGCGGAGCACGCAGCTCGGCGCCCTCGGGGCATCCGCAGCTGCACAGCAACAGCCACAACCCCAGCAGCGAGGAGACGAGCTCCGCGACGACGCGCCCCATGGCCTCCACAAGCTCTGCAGCTGGCCTCAAGAGCCCCGCAGTCCTCCCACCGCTGCGCGGCTGCGCGCTCCGCCCAGCCCCGCCCCCAGGCCGCCCAGCCCCTGCGAGCCCCGCCCAGGTCCTGCGAGCCCCGCCCCGACCTCGCCCCGCCGGTCCTCTCAACCCTGCAGGAGCTCCCCACTCTGGGCCACTCAGTGCCCTAAGCACATCCTGCCGCCTCGAAGCCCACCCTCCTTCAGAAGACATCGAAGGCAGAAGCTGGCCGGGCGCGGTGGCTCAAGCCTGTAATCCCAGCACTTTGGGAGGCCGAGGTGGGTGGATCATGAGGTCAGGAGATCGAGACCATCCTGGCTAACACGGTGAAACCCCGTCTCTACTAAAAATACAAAAATTTAGCTCGGCATAGTGGCGGGCGCCTGTAGTCCCAGCTACTCGGGAGGCTGAGGCAGGAGAATGGCGTGAACCCGGGAGGCGGAGCTTGCAGTGAGCCGAGATTGCGCCACTGCACTCCAGCCTGGGAGACAGAGCCAGACTCCGTCTCAAAAAAAAAAAAAAAAAAAAAAAGGCAGAAGCTGAGGCTCGCCTCAGCTCTCCTCCTCCTTCCCTATCTATTTGGGTGAAGCACCTTAGTTCTTCACTAGTACCCTCTTCTGTTCCCTCCGTCGCTCCTCTCAAAGAATGCGCACAGCTAATCGCTGCCAGAAACAGACCAAAGGGACAACAGTACTTACTGAGTGATCACCCTGTTGCGAGAACTGTAAGGTTCTCCGTGAATGGGTAAATGGTGCTAACTGTAAAGAAAAATGAGGGAGACTGAGGATGGGGTGGCCCAAGGTGAAGGGGGTGTAATAGTAGTAACAGACATGAATAAAAGTAGTGTACCTGTAAGGACACCAGAATGTGCCACCCCAAAATACGCCTCTTTAGCCTAAGGATTATTTCAAGCCGAAGACAATTGAGAAGATGTAGATACGATGTAGATACGTGGGTGGAAAGTTCTCCGCCTTCCCCATTTGCCTAAAAGCAGGACATAAATTTTATTTTTTTAACAATTTTTAAATATATTGCATTTTATTACATAAAAGTAAAATTAGTAAAATAATATAATTTGATATACTTTATAATTTATAATTTCTCTCAGTATAATGTAGAAAAGTATTACTCTGAACACTTACTTTTTTTTTTTTTTTTTGAGACGGAGTCTCGCTCTGTTGCCCAGTCTGGAGTGCAGTGGTGCGATCTCAGCTCACTGCAAACTCTACGTCCCGGGTTCAAGCAATTCTTCTGCCTCAGCCTGTAGCTGGGACTACAGGCACCCGCCACCGTGCCTGGCTAATTTTGTGTATTTTTAGTAGAGACGAGGTTTCAGTGTGTCAGCCAGGATGGTCTCGATCTCCTGACCTCATGATCCACCCGCCTCGGCCTCACAAAGTGCTGGGATTACAGGTGTGAGCCACCGCGCCTGGCCATGAACACCTACCTTAAACATTACTTAATTTAGGCTAACTACAATGAGCCTCGCTACTTATATTTTTATCATGCATCTTACATTTTAATGTCCTTACTCTTTTATAGAAAAGGTCATAAAGAATGCCCAACTAATAAAGAATCTCTAATATCTCTGATACAGCAACAACTGATCACATACTTTCACATGTGAATACAATAGAAATAAAGTAACAGCATAAAGTAATTTGAAAGCTGTATTATATTATTATTCACTTTTCAAAAAATTGTTTTCAAGGAAACAAATATACTTTCAATGTAATTACAAAGCTTCAAAAAAACTCCTTTTAAAGTTATATACAAATAATTTAACAACTTTAATTGTGAATTCATTTTTATACTCAACACTCCTATTTAGTGTAATGTCTGAAGTAAAGCAGGACATAAATTTTAAAAGGCAAAGGTATCCCTCTTCCCACACTGCCTGGAAGGACAAAGGTTAATCACTAAAGACAATTTTACGCCTGTTAAATAAAATTCATAGGAAGCCATTGGTTTGGACTGAGCTCCTGCACTAGACTAGGCCCAACAGACTAAACCAAAATGGAGTCACTCAAGTCACTCATGTTCCACATCACAAGGTCAAAACTAAGTTGTCGATCTGACTTTCTAAGAAATCAGGAGAAAGAAAAATAATAGCCAAATTCCCGACAGACCAGTTTGAAGTGACATGATAAGGAAATACCCTCTGCTTTAAACTTTTCAAGGAAAGTAACCTCGAAACAACCAATGCACTTTTCTGTTTCTGCTTTCTTCAGCCCTTTCTGAAAGCCAACCTCCTCCACTCAACTCATAGGAACACTCATTCGATTTTATAAAATGAGGTGTTGCACAATTCTACAATCGCAACTAAAAGCCAATTATGCTCTTTAAACTAAATTAGTTGTAATTTTGTCTTTTGACAAACCTTTATCAGCCAGGAATCTACATGACAAACTTCATTAATGAGCCTTTTTCTATCGCGTATTTGCCTTCCCATAATTTGCCACCCCTAGAGACTCAAAATCATTTTCCTTCTCTTAACACTTCTCTTTTTTTTTCTTTCTTTCTTTTTTTTTTTTTTTTTGAGACGAAGTTTCGCTCTTGTTGCCCAGGCTGGAGTGCAATGGCGCAGTCTCACGGCAACGTCCGCCTCTCGGGTTCAAGCAATTCTCCTGCCTCAGCCTCCTGAGTAGCTGGGATTATAGGGAAGCGCCACCACACCCAGCTAATTTTGTATTTTTAGTAGAGATGGGGTTTCTCCGTGTTGGTTAGGCTGGTCTCGAACTCCCGACCTCAGGTGATCCGCCCACCTCGGCCTCCCAAAGTGCTGGAATTACAGGCGTGAGTCACTGTGCCCGGTTCTCTTAACACTTCTCTAAACATATACTGTTCTTTTTTGAAGATGCTGTATAATCCTGAATTCAAAGCTACCTCTTGGAGATTTGCTCATTTCCCTGGTCTCTCTTTTGAATACGTGACGTACATGTTTTTAAATTTCTGTTTTTCTTTTTTTCTTTCTTTCTTTTATTTATTTTGAGATGGCTTCGCTCTGTCACCCAGGCTGAAGTGCAATGGCACTATCACGGCTCACTGCAACCTCTCGCTCCTGGGCTCAAGCGATCCACCCACCTCAGCCACCAGAGTAGAGTACCTGGGACCACAGGCATCCACTACCATGCCCAGCTAATTTTTACATTTTTTGTAGAGATGGTTTTTTGCCATATTGCCCAGGCTGGTCTGGAACTCCTGGGCTCCCAAAGTGTTGGGATTACAGGCATGAGCCACCATGCCTGGTCCTGTTTGTTTTCTTCTTGTTAATCTGTCTTTTGTTACAGGGGTCTATCACAACCAAAACCTCGGAAGGGTAGAGGAAAACTCTTTTTTTCTCCCCAACATACCATACAATAGAACATTATGCATGCATTAAAAGGAAGCCAGGCACGGTGGCTCACGCCTGTAATCCCAGCACTCTGGGAGACCAAGGCAGGCAGAATATCTGAGGTCAGGAGTTCAAGACCAGCCTGGCCAACGTGGCAAAACTCTGCCTCTACTAAGAATACAAAAATTAGCTGGGCGTGGTGATGCATGCCTGTAATCCCACCTACTTGGGAGGTTGAGGCAGGAGAATCACTTGAACTTGGGAGGCCAAGGTTGCAGTGAGCTGAGATTGCACCACTGCACTCCAACCTGACAGGCTGATCTCAAAAAAAAAAAAAATTACAAAAAAAGAATGTTGGAGCTTGGCGCAGTGGCTCACACCTGTAATCCCAGCACTTTGGGAGGCTGAAGCAGGCAGATCACCTGAGGTCAGGAATTTGAGACCAGGCTGGTCAACATGGTGAAACCCTGTCTCTACTACTAAAAATATAAAAATCAGCCAGGCGTGGTAGCGCACACCTGTAATCCCAGCTACTCAGGAACGCTGAGACAGGACAATTGCTTGAACCCAGGAGGCAGAGGCTGCAGTGAGCCAAGATTACGCCACTGCACTCCAACCTGGGCGACAGAGTGAGACTCCGTCTCAAAAAAAAAAAAAATGGGTCTATAACTAATGTCCTAGTATTATCAGTTGAGAAAAGCTTGTGGTTGCATGATGGGTATAAAATGATCTCATGCCTCTTTTCCTTTCTCTGCCATCGTGGTGTGTTCTTGACTCCACCCTCACCATGTCTTCTCACAAGACTTTCAGGATTAAGTGATTCCTGCCCAAGAAACAAAAGCAAAATCGTCCCATTCCCCAGTGGATTCGGATGAAAACTGGAAATAAAATCAGGTACAACTCCAAAAGGAGACATTGGAGAAGAACCAAGCTGGGTCTATAAGGAATTGTACATGAGATGGCACACATATTTATGCTGTCTGAAGGTCACGATCACGTTACCATATCAAGCTGAAAATGTCACCCCTATCTGGAGAGTTCGACGTGTTTTCCTCTCCGAATCTGTTATGAACGCATTGGTTGGCTGGGTTCAGTAATAAATATGTGAGGCCTTTCATTTAAAAAAAAAAAGTCTCATTTCTGTAATTACAATACTTCACCCAAACAAACAAACAAAAATAACTAGTACATGAACATGAAGAACAATATAGATGAGAAGAAAATAGGTTGGATACAAAATAAAGTTAAACTTGGAGAAAGAGGCTGGGCTCAGTGGCTCACACCTGTAATCCCAGCACTTTGGGAGGCTAGGGCAGGCGGACGATTTGAGCCCAGGGTTCGAGACCAGCCTGAGCAAAATGGCGAAACCCCGTTTCTACGAAAAAATACAAAAAAATTAGCCTGGCATGGTGGTGTGCACCTGTAGTCCCAGCTACTCAGGAGGCTGAGGCAGGAGGATCACCTGAGCCTGGGAGGTAGAGGCTGAGGTGAGCAGTGATTGTGGTACTGCATTCCAGTCTGGGCACAGAGTGAGACTCTGCCCCCCAACCTCCAAAAAAAAAAAAAAAAAAAAAAAAGGTACATGTACCAGGATACAACTGCAACATTATTTGTAATACAATAGGTTTTTGAAAAGTAGTAACCTGAATATCCATCAATGCCAGTTATGGTAATTTATTCAATTTACCATTCAATACATTGGGGAACTTTCATTTTATGGACGATTTTGCAACTATTAAAAAACTATTAGGCCAGGACTGGGCGCAGTGGCTCACACCTGTAATTCCAGCATTTTGGGAGGCCGAGGCTGGTGCATCACTTGAGCCCAGCAATTTGAGACCAATCTGGGCAACAAAGTGAGACCTCCGTCTCTACAAAGAATACAAAAATTAGCTGGGCGTGGGCCGGGCATGGTGGCTCATGCCTGTAATCCCAGCACTTTGGGAGGCCGAGGCAGGCGGATGACCTGAGGTCAGGAATTCGAGACCAGCCTGGCCAATATGGTGAAACCCCATCTCTACTAAAAATACAAAAATTGGCCGGGTGTGGTGGCAGGCGCTTGTAATCCCAGCAACTCAGGAGGCTGAGGCAGGAGAATTGCTTGAACCCGGGAGGTGGAGGTTGCAGTGAGCTGAGATCGAGCCATTGCACTCCAGCCTGGGCAACAAGAGTGAAACTCTATCTCAAAAAAAAAAAAAAATTAGCCAGGCATGGTGGCACGTGCCTGTAGTCCCAGCTACTCAGGAGGCTAAGGTAGCAGGAACACCTGAGCCTGGAGGCAGAGGCTGCAGTGAGCTGACATCATTGCCACTGCACTCCAGCCTGGGCAACAGAGCGAGACCCTGTCTCAAAAAAAAAAAAAAAAAAAAAAGCCCGGCGCAGTGGCTCACACCTGTAATCCCAGCATTTTGGGAGGCCAAGGTGGGCGGATCACTTGAGGTTAGGAGTTTGAGACCAGACAGTCCAACATGGTGACACCCCATCTCTACTAAAAAATGCAAAAATTAGCGGGGCATGCTGGCCCACGCCTGTAATCTCAGCTACTAGGCGGGCTGAGGCAGGAAAATCGCTTGAACCTGGGAGGCAGAGGTTGCAGTGAGCTGAGATCAGGCGGGTGGATCATTTGAAGTCAGGAGTTTGAGACCAGCCTGGCCATCATGGTGAAATCCTGTCTCTACTAAAAATAAAAAAAAATTAGGCCGGGCATGGTGGCTCACGCCTGTAATCCCAGCACTTTGGGAGGCCGAGGCAGGCAGATCATCTGAGGTCAGGAATTCAAGACCAGCCTGACCAACACGGAGAAACCCCATCTCTACTAAAAATATAAAATTAGCCGGGCATGGTGGCACATGCCTGTAATCCCACCTACTCGGGAGGCTGAGGCAGGAGAATCGCTTGAACCCGGGAGGTGGAGGTGGCAGTGAGCCGAGATCATGCCATTGCACTCCAGCCTGGGCAACAAGAGCGAAACTCTGTCTCAAAAAAAAAAACTAGCCAGGTGTGGTGGCTCACACCTGTAATCCCAACTACTCTGGAGGCTGAGGCACAAGAAACGCTTGAGCCCAGGAGACAGAGTTCACAGTGAGCCAAGACACTGTCACTCTGGGTGACACTCTGTAAAAAAAAAACAAAAAACAAAAAAAAAAACCCTAAAAATCCCAAGTGTATACATGTGCATCTGTATAGAGTAAAATGTGGAATATTACAGATGAATCTATTAATATTACTTACCTCAAAAGGAGGAAGAAGATACATTTTTAATATTTTCCTTATGTATCCATTTCATTTCATTTGTAACACTAAGCACGTTGTACTTTTGTAACTTAAAAACTACTTTAAAAAAAGTACTTGTGCAATATCCATATAATGGAGTTTTATTTGGGAATAAAAAGGAATGAAGTACCGATACACGTTACAACATAGATGACCCTGAAAAGCATAATGTTAAGTGAAATAAGTCAGTTACAAGAAACCATATATTACATGCTTCCATTTATATGAAATGTCTAGAATAGGCAAATCTATAGGGGCAGAAAGACTAGTGGCTGGGACATGGAATGGGATGAGGGACAGGGAGTGTCTGCTAATTGCTACGGGTTTCCTTTTTGAGGTGAAGAAAATGTTATAAAATTGATTGTGGTGATTGTTGCACACACACCTCTGTGAATAAACTAAAAACCATTAAACTGAAAAACACTTTATATGGATGTCCCAAAAAGGTGTTTTTAAAACACCATCCCCATTAACATTTGTTTTATTCACCATCAAAAGACTAGTACTTGATATCTTTGAAAATAATCTGAAGAATGTGTCAGAGACTCTAAAGACAATTCCAAAAATGAAAAATCCAGAATGTATACAGTCTGAAGAAACTACTTTAAAGAGGACATCACGTTTTTGTTTTTTTGGTGTTTTGTTTTGTTTTTGAGGAGTCTTGCTCTGTGGCCCAGGGGCTCACTGCAACCTCCGACTCCCGGGTTCAAGTGATTCTCCTCCTACCTCAGCCTCCCGAGTAGCCGGGATTACAGACATGTGCCGCCACATCTGGCTAATTTTTGTATTTTAAAGTAGAGACGGGGTTTCTCCATGTTGGCCACGCTGGTCTTGAACTCCTGAGCTCTAGTGATCTGCCTGCCTCGGTCTCCCAAAGACTGGGATTACAGGCGTGAGCCGCCCCGCTCAGCCGACATCACGTTTTTCGATGTGTAAATTCTCCTATGTTTAAAAAATATTTCTACAACTTAAATAAACTTACATCATAGATATTTTCCAGTTCAACACTACAGATCTGATTAATAGCTTTTCAATAACTGCAAAATAGTCCATAAAATGAATGTTCCATCTGGGGGCAGCGGCTCACGTCTGTTATCTCAGCACTTTGGGAGGCTAAGGCAGGCAGATCACCTGAGGTCAGGAGTTCAAGACCAGCCTGGCCAACATGGCAAAACCCTGTCTCTACTAAAATACAAAAATTAGTTAGGCTAATTTAGGTGGTGGCGCACGTCTGTAATCCCAGCTACTAGGGAGGCTGAGGCAGGAGAATCGCTTGAACCTGGGAGGCAGAGGTTGCAGTGAGCCAAGATTGTGTCACTGCACTCCAGCCTGGGAGATAGAGCGAGACTGTCTCAAAAAAAAAAAAGAAAGAAAGAAAAAGAAAAAGTTCCACATGTATTTGGTGTAAATTGAATAAATTACCATAAGTGGCATTGATGGATATTCAGGTTACTCCATTTTTTTCTACTGTAAACAATGCTGCAGTTGTATCTTGGCACATAAATCTTTATAAATTAATTGTTTTATTTCTGTAGGATAGATTCCTAGACATAGGATTACTTTAGTGACATATATATATAATAAGCAATGTGAAATGCATACAGAGTATACTGAATCACATTTCAGAGCTCTAATTTCTCTGCCTCCTAAAGTTGGACTGAAGTTTATGTATCTTTTGACTTGTTTACTTTTAAGATTCTTGTGACCAATTTGCATTAAATAGCTGGGGTTTTTTGTTTGTTTCTTTGTTTGTTTTTTGAGACGGATCCTCGTTCTGTTGCCCAGGCTGGAGTGCAATGGCAAGATCTCGGCTCACTGCAATCTCCACCTCCCAGATTCAAGGATTCTCCTGCCTCAGCCTCCTGAGTAGTTGGGATTACGGGCCCCCACCACCACATCCAGCTAATTTTTGTATTTTTAGTAGAGACAGGGTTTCGCCATGTTGGTCAGGCTGGTCTCGAACTCCTGATCTCAGGTGATCCGCCCGCCTCAGCCATCCAAAGTGCTGGAATAACAGGCGTGAGCCACTGCCCCCGGCCTAAACAGCTATTTCTTAAATGCTTTTCAATGTGCAATCAATACACGGAAGAAATGCAAATATAAATAAAAATCTGGCATCTGGAAATATCCTCCCCGCGCTGAAAAATCTGGCTAGCACCAACGACGCAAATTCTTAATAAAATCCTTACTTTTTTAAGTAAAACTTTTTTTCTTTTTTCTTATTTCTTAAGTAAACATTTTAAATTGAAATTTTTTTTCTGTACAGAGAAAGTTGAAACATCCATTCCTATGTTTGGGATGAGAAAAGATAAATTATTTATGTTATTGGAAAACAGAAGATTACAGACTGTCAATAAACTTTTACTTTTAAATGAATAAATAATACATGACAATTCTTTTCACATGAGAGAACGTCTGCTTCTATTTCCTCCTAAAATACTGTGGCGGCTGGGCATGTCAACAGCGCCGCTGGTGTAGTGGTATCATGCAAGATTCCCATTCTTGCGACCCGGGTTCGATTCCCGGGCGGCGCATAGGCGTTTTGCTTCTCGCTCGCTAAAAACCAGATAGCTTGAAGAGTCTTTATATATCTTTCCAAAAGAGGAAAGATTTAGGCTTTTTACTGTCCCTGAAGGTTTCCACTCCCTCATAATTCGCGGTCGAAACACTCGAATCCGCAGCCAGAAGACAAAAAAGTTCACGCAAATCGTGAAGTAGTTAATACTTGCGCCTGCGCAGTCTGAGGCGTCCCTCGCGTCGGGTGGAAGAGCGGCTGCGCAACAAGTGAACCTATGGATTAAGGTGTAGCCGGGCGGCCCGGAGGTTGAGAGTGCAAGATTATTCTGCGCCTGCGCGGCCCGGGTAACTTTGCTGGCTGCTCCTAGGCTCCCGGCTCGCCGCCATCTTGTATTGGGGTTTCATTGTTCCCGCTGGGCCGGGCGGTTTAGTGTAATTGCCGCCGGAGGAGGAGGCGGAGTAACCTCTGGTCAGCCGAGAAACCCCACTATCCTGTAGCCATAACCGCTTAAACGATTTGGGAGGTAGTGAAGGGCAGGGAGCTGGACCTGGAGGCGCCGCCGCGACAGCAGCAGCCATGGAGGACGAGATGCCCAAGACTCTGTGAGTCTGGGGCAGCGATGAGGGAGGCGGGATGGTGGTCGTCCCGGAGGGAAGGCCTCGGCCCTGCGCCGCTCCCAGCCTATTGTTCTCCGTGGACACCGCGATATCGTGGTTTTTGTTTCCTTAGCATGCACCTGGATGCTTACAACCAAGACCCAATCTGTGAGGACGAGGTGAAGGGAGACGGGGCTCAACCCTCTCAATTAATCCCTTCACTTTAGCAACACCATTGCATGACCTTTGCTCTCGCCACGGGCCCTCTGTGGTCTTAGACCTGGAGAAAAGACTTTAATTCAGACCTCTTTTTAGAACTCGTCGAACCTTCCTTTTGTCCTATGCTTTCTTTCCTTTTCCCGCTTCTCCCCCTTTTTGATTAACCTCTTCTTATCTTTACAGCCGTCTCCCTTTAATTTTACTTTTGATTTCCTACTGAAATTCTTCCTTTCATTTTCTTCTCGGTGATAAGATTTTTTTTCCTCCTCGAGGGTGCTTGTACTCATTTTCAGTGCAGTAAACTTTATTCTTGCAGTTGCCAATTGGAAAAAAGCCAAGCATTTTTCTTTAACCTCTGGCTTTCCTTCTGTAGCACCCACCGACCAAAAAGCCTAACCAGACACCCCAAGGATTTGGAAATCTCACCCAGAAGGAATATATCAATTGAGGGGAAATGGATTTAATATTATTTTTATAGTCGTTTACTACTGTTGTGATTGACATGGTGTTGAACGAGCGGGCTGTAAATGCCCTAACATATTTACAGAGAATTTTTAGAGATAGCGTTAAATTACCGGAGCGTGGATATTTTCTTTGTCGTGTGGCTTCCCCAACTGCGTTCTTTGTTTTTCGAGGTATTATCGGATGAGTTGATCCTGCCTTTGTTGGCATTTCTCGGAAGAAGAAAAGCTCAATGAGTTCTTGACATAGCTTTTTGTTTTTCTTGGATGACATAGCTTTTTGTTTATATTCTTGGAATACTGGCAGTTTGAGAGCTCCATGCATTAAAAATGCAATTTTAGGTTTCTCTTTGCAGCTCTCTAATAAAGTTGCTCTGAAGTACGATGTAATTGTTTTTTTACCTCCAAAATTTTTCCACTTTTAAGTTGCTATTTCTTGTCTATATTGGAAATGTGGTTACACTTGTTTTCTTAATAGATTGTCAGTTAATCTGTTAGTAACCTTGAAATTTCTTTTCTCTATTCCTGAGGCTCAGAAAGTATCTTTTCAGTAGGACGTAGCAATTAGTGCATGACCTTTGTTTTAGGAAAGATTGTATCTGTAGATGAATACTCCCTAAAAAACTACTAGCCTCACGGTGTTGGTGGAATCTCTTCCCTCTTGCCTCTTAGCTATGACAGTCATCAGCATTTTGGGTTAAGGCACTGCTCGTGTTTTATAATGTAAACTTAATATTCTCAGTATTAGTTTGAAAATGTTTAATTTTAGAAACTGCAGAAGTATCTGACCACTTAACTTTTTAACTTTTTAATTTTGTTTTTACTTTTTAATTTTTTGAGATGGAGTCTCACTTTGTCACCCAGGCTGCAAGGCTAGAGTGCAGTGATGCGATTTCGGCTCACTGCAACCTCCACCTCCTGGGTTTAAATGATTCTCCTGCCTCACCCTCCCAAGTAGCTGGCACTACATGCGGGCACCACCATGCCCGGCTAATTTTTGTATTTTTAGTAGAGATGGGGTTTCACCATGTCGGCCAAGCTGGTCTCGAACTCCTGACCTCAGGTGATCCGCACACCTCGGCCTCCCAGAGTGCTGGGATTACAGGTGTGAGCCACTGCGCCTGGCCTGTCCTCAACTTTTAACTATTACATTTATTACTTATTTTGCCTTGTATCCCTCACTAATACACCCCATCCAAGAAACTCTTCCTCAAAGTAGTCATACTGTAAAAGTCTTCTCTTGTTTCTACCTCCCTCAACCCAAACTCCCATTTTTCTAGTCAGGCAAACCTTGACCAAACATGAGGGTACTAATCCCTAAGTTTTCCTAATAGTGTTTTTAATTTTAATGTAAGATTTTTGCTTTAATGACCCTGGAAGTCAGAGGCTTTTAATATATGTTCTTAGCAGAGTTCTTAGCACATTAAAAACACAGCCTCTCAATATATGTTCTTAGTGTGGTCCATGGTAAGTAATCAATACATTTGTTTAAGAAACTGGTATAATTGGCTGGGCACAGTGGCTCACGCCTATAATCCTAACACTTTGGGGGGCTGAGGAGGGTGGATCACTTGAGGGCAGGAGTTCAAGACCAGCCTGGCCAACATGGCGAAACCCTGTCTCTACTACAAATACAAAAATTAACTGAGCATGGTGGCGCATGCCTGTAATCCCAGCTACTCGGGAGGCTGAGGAAGGAGAATCGCTTGAACCCGGGAGGTGGAGGTTGCAGTGAGCCGAGGTTGCGCCATTGCACTCCAGCCTGTGCAACAGGAGGGAGGCTCCATCTCAAAAAAAAAAAAAAAAAAAAAAAAAATCTGGTAGAATTTCAAGCAGTGAATTAAGATTTTACTCTTTCTTGAGGATAAAATAGAGTCTGAATTTTTATCACCCACATACCTAAATGGCTCACTGGAAATTCCTTCATTTGCTACATCTGAGTGTTCGGCATCTCCATGTTAAGTTAGAGAATACCAGTATTTGATTTCTTGTCACCAATACTTTGGAATCATATTCTGAGACAAACTTCCCGAAAGTTTATACTGCAAGATTATTTTGAGGAGTATTCAAGGTACAGTTAATAAGTTCAAACATTTGTAGTGAGCATATGGGTGATGTATACTACTCTTCTCCATATATAAATTTGAAATTTTCCACAGTAAAAAAATAAAAATACGTGTATAGTGAGTCTGAATTGGCCTTGGTTACTTTAAAAATATTCAACTTGTGAACTAAAAGCTACACACTAGACTAGAAAAACATTGCTGGTGTTAGTTGATGAAAGTTAATTCCCTCAAATCCAGACACCTTAATATCCTTTGTGTGGTTTACTCTCAAATGCATGAGTGTTCTCTTTTGAGATAACTATACTGTTATTGTGCGGCTTTCCCATTTGCTAAGATGCAGATCTGTAAATTATAGACCATCTTTAAAAGCCTGCAGCTGGCCAGGCATGGTGGCTCACACCTGTAATCCCAGCACTTTGGGAAGCCGAGGTGAGTGGATCACCTGAGGTCAGAAGTTTGAGACCAACCTGGGCAACATGGTGAAACCCCATCTCTACTAAAAATACAAAAATTAGCTAGGTGTGGTGACACATGCCAGTAGCCTCAGCTACTCGGGACTCCGGAGGCTCAGGAAGGAGAATCGCCCGGGAGGTGGAGGTTGCAGTGAGCCGAGATCACGCCACTGCACTCCAGCCTGGATGACAGAGCAAGACGGAGCCCAATTAATTGCTATATACTAATGAGGGCCTTGCCTTTCTTCTGCTCCATGCTCATCTTTCATTCTTGTTGTCTACTCCACTCTCCAAATAGTATTGGCCTTGTAATTTGTATGAAATAAAATCTCTTGTATTGAGAATCAGACCTATCTTTTTTTTTTTTTTTTTTTTTTTGAGACAGAGTCTCGCTCTGTCACCCAGGCTGGAATGCAGTGGCCCAATCTTGGCTCACTGCAAGCTCTGCCTTCCAGGTTCACGCCATTCTCCTGCCTCAGCCTCCGGAGTAGCTGGGACTGCAGGCACCCGCCACCACGCCTGGCTAATTTTTTGTATTTGTAGTAGAGACACAGTTTCACCGTGTTAGCCAGGATGGTCTCGATCTCCTGACCTCGCGATCCGCCTGCCTCAGCCTCCCAAAGTGCTGGGATTACAGGCGACAATCAGACCTATTTTAAAGATTAGATTGAAGGCAAGGTTGGCCAAAATGAGATATTTATTAGATAATACTTATGTTTCCAAATAACTGCTAGTAATTAAGAATATGCTAGAAACATTACATTCACTCAGTAATATTGAGAGCATACTACATGGCTGTCCGTCTTCTGGGAACTGGGGATATGGTAGTACATATAATAGGCCTTTTACGAATTTACATAAGTAATTATGTTAGATGGTAATAAGTGCTATGGAGAAACATAATGCAGGGTATGCATGGTAAGGAGGAAGGGGTGGATATTTATAGAGAATAATAAAGGAAGGTCATCCTTTGATAAGTGACATTTGAGGAAAAAAGTGAAGGAGATGAGGGAGAGCCATGCTTCTATCTGAAGGAGGAGCACCCTAGAAAGAGCTAGTGCAAGGGGCCCTTGGGGGCAGGTCATGCTGGTTGGTTAGCCTGAAGAGAGTAAATGTAGTAGAGGAGTAGGAAATGAGGTCAGAATGATAAATAGGAATGTTAGGGGAGATAGAAAATGCCAGATCATACGGATCCTTATGAGGGCTATCTTATCTGAGTAGGAATGGAAGCTGTAAGTGGGTTTCACGCAGAGTAGTGGTATAGCCTATCTTAACCTTAAAACTGGCAAAAGCAAGTAGCCTAGTCAGGAAGCCAATCCAGGTATCAGAGAAAGCAGTGCCTGTAATTGTAGTTAGTGCTGGTGAAAGTGATGGGAAGTAGTTGAATTATGGATATGTTTTGAAAATAGAGCAACAGGAATTACCAGTGGCTTAGATGTGGCATGTGAGAATGATGTCAACAATAAATGGATTTATTTTAAAATGTGTAATATCAGTTATCTAAAATGTTATAGTTTGTTGCAAAATATAAGTAAAAATGAAAAGTCTTGAGGATCGATATCCCTTAAGATGTCTACAGGCATAGTATTGAATACATTTGTTCAAGCTGGTTTACCTAGTGAAGGAGGTCCCAACTAGTAAGGCAGTTTCAGCCATCTCTTGTAACAGATTATTCTTTGTGATGGGTATACATTTGTTAAATAATAATAAGGTTAGGATGCTGATGTATAGTATATACACAAGCACTTACTATTCTACACAATTTATTTATTTATTTATTTTAATTGAGATAGGGTCTCATCCTGTTGTCCAGGCTCTGGCGCAGTGGTGTGATCACAGCTCACTGTAGCCTCGACCTCTCAGGCTCAAGGGATCTTCCCACCTCAGCCTCCTGAATAGCTGGGACTATAGGCATGTGCCACCATGTCTGGCTAATTTTTAAAAATATTTGTAGAGAAGCGATCTCACTGTGTTGCCCAGGCTGGTCTCCAACTCCTGGGCTCAAGCGATCTTCCCACCTTAGCCTCCCAAAGTGGGATTATAGGTGTGAGCCACCGTGCCTGGTGTTTACACAGTTTCTTCATTAGCAAAAGACATAACTAATCTTTTCCCTCTAGGGTAACTTAAGCAAAATGAGAGAATTTTCTAGCAAATTGCAAATGTTCAGAAGTCATTCTGAGACAGTACATTTAACTCTTTAACAGATATTTATAGAGCAATAAATATCACTGCAATGATATTGCAATGTTCCAGGCAGTGTTCTAGACTAGCAGTCCCCAGCCTTTTTGGCACCGAGACCAGTTTTGTGGAAGACAATTTTTCCATGGGCGGGATGGTTTCAGGATGAAACTGTTCCACCTCAGAGCATCAGGCATTAGATAAATTCTCATAAGGAACACACAACCTAGATCCCTTGCATGCCCAGTTCACAAATGCTGCTGATCTTACAGGAGGCAGAGCTCAAGCAGTAATGCTCCCTCCCCTGCTGCTCACCTCCTGCTGTGTGGCCCAGTTCCTAACAGGCCATGGACGCATAATGGTCCATGGCCTAGGGGGGAGTTGGGGACCCCTGTTCTAGATGGTAGATACCAACTAAGAATAAAAATGAAAACCTCTTATGGAATTTATTATTAGGTAAAAAACTATTCATCGTTTTTACTCAAATTTTCAGAGACCTTATCAAATTCTGCCTTTTTTTTTTTTTTTTTTTTTTTTTTTGAGACTGAGTCTCTGTCACTCAGGCTGGACTGCCGTGGTGAGATCTCGGCTCACTGCAACCTCCACTTCCCGGGTTCAGGTGATTCTCTCGCCCACCATCACACTTGGCTAATTTTTTGTGTTTTTAGTAGAGGCAAGTTTCAACATATTGGCCAGGCTGATCTCGAACTCCTGAGCTCAAGTGATCCCCCACCTCAGCCTCCCAAAGTGCTGGGATTACAGGCGTGAGCCACCGCTCCCAGCTAATCCTGAAAATTTCTTATAGGCACAAGAGTCAGGTGAGAGTAGACACACAAGAGATGCAGAGATAGTACAGAGTTTTGTTTTTTGCGGGGGAGGGTTTTGCGGAAGAATGGCATGATAACCTTCATCTAGCATCCCTTAATGTTACCATCTTATATAACCGTGGTATAATTATCAAAATTAAGAAATTAACACTATAGGCTTTATTCCAATTTTTCCACTGATATCCTTTTTATATTCTAGGATCCAATTCAGGAAAATACCACATTGCATTTCGTCATCGTCTCTTTATTCTCCTTCATTCTGTGAGAGGTCTTTCTGACCTTAACACTTTTTTTTTTTTTTAGAGGTAAGGTCTCACTCTGGTGCCCAGACTGGAGTTCAGTGGCACAATCATTGTTCACTTCAGCTTCCCAAGTAGCTGGAACTACAGGTGCACACCACCACACCCAGCTAATTTTTTCTTATTTTTTGTAGAGACGGTGCATATCACTATGTTGCCCTAGCTGGTCTCAAACTACTGGCCTCAAGTGAATCTCTCACCTCGGCCTCCCAAAGCACTGGGTTTACAGGTGTGAGCCACCACACCCTACCGACACTTTGGAAGGGTACTGTTTCTCCTGTTCTCCAAAATCACCGTGACTTCTTTTTTCTTAACTTACTCTGTTGGTTAGAAGTAAGTCACCGAGGCTAGCTCACACTCAGGAAGAGGAAGATTAAGTTACACTTCCTGGAGGGAGGTATATCCAAAGAATTCATAGTCATGTAAAACCACTAGTTCATTGGTCAAAACTTTTTTTTTTCTTTTTTTAAGACAGAGTCTCGCTCTGTTGCCAGGCTGGAGTACAGTGGCATGATCTCGGCTCACTGCAACCTCTGCCTCCTGGGTTCAAGCGATTCTCCTGCCTCGGCCTCCCTAGTAGCTGAAACTACAGGCACACGCCACCAAGCCCAGCTAATTTTTTGTATTTTTTAGTAGAGACGGGGTTTCACTATGTTGGCCAGGATGGTCTTGATCTCCTGACCTGTGATCCGCCTCGGTCTCCCAAAGTGCTAGGATTACAGGCGTGAGCCACCGCACCTGTCCCAAAACCAATTTTTAATAAATATTTTAGTGGAGGTACTTTGAGGCTATTCAGATACCCTGTTTCCCCTTTTAAGGTTTCATCAACTAATGTGAGCTTCCATGGGTGGATCTTCCTTTAGAAATTATTACTGTGGTGTTTTAATGGTGATTTTCTATTTCTCTCATTCTTTCTACATTTATTAATTCTGTAAGAAAAAACTATTTTCCCCTCATCCGGGATCCATTTAAACATTATTGATTGTATTTGGTTGTCAGTGTTTTTTATGTCCTTTTTTTTTGGTGGGGGGGCAGGGAGGGCAGTGTCTTGCTCTGTCACCCTGGCTGGAGTACTGTGGTGTAATATGAGCTCACTGCAATGTCCACCTCCCAAGTTCAAGTGATTCTTGTGCCTCCCCTTCCCAGGTAGCTGGGATTACAGGCATGCGCCACCACACCTGGCTGATTTTTGTATTTATTGTAGTAGAGATGAGGTTTCACCATGTTGGCCAGGCTGGTCTCTAACTCCTGGTCTCAAGTGAACTGCCTACCTCGGCCTCCCAAAGTGCTAGGATTTCAGGCTTGAGCCACTGTGCCCAGCTTTCTGTTTCTTTTATTTATTTATATCTTAGAAATGAGGTCTTGCTATGTTCCCAGGCTGGACTCAAACTCCTGGGTTCAAGGGATCCACCCACCTCAGCCTCTCAAGTAGCTGGGGCTGCGGGCTTGTGCCACCACTCCCTTTTATTCAAGAACAGTCATCTGTTGTTTTTGTTTTAGGACAATAATTTTTTGAAGAGACTGAGTTGTCTTATAAAGTGTCCCACATCTGGATTCATGGAATTGTTTTATTTGCCTGATATCCTATAAACTTAAATCTAATTTTCAGCTTGGTTAGATTTAGGTTAGACTTTTTTATGTAAATATTTCATAGGTGATACTGTGTAATTCATATTATATATATGCAGTATCTCATTGGTCGTTGCCCATCTATAAAATAATTGAAAATTTTATCACTGGGTCATAGTGGTAACAGCCAAAGCTCTCATTTTTAAGGTAAGGTTTTCCCTTTGCAATTTATTAAGTAATCTATGTGATAACTTTGACACCTTGTGACTATTTCCACACCAACTGTTCATGTAGTAGTTTAAGCATTAATTAAAGATCCTTGCCTGAAACAGTTATTTCATTAGGGTTTACACATTGTTAATTTAATACTATCTTTCTACATTTATTAACTAGCATTCTCCTGTAAAGGAGAACTTTTCTAAACTAGAGCTATTAGATTACACTATTTAGTGGGAGTTCCTACTTAATAGGATAAATGCTTAATTCTGTCTCTTTTTCAGAATAAAGACTTGGTGTAGTAATAACTCCCAATACTGGTAAATTGCTGTTGGGTAAATGTTGCTGTTACTTTCTCTTTTGAGTACCATTATTTTACCTGATCGTTAAATGTCATTTGTTATTAAGACTCAGCATTTCTTCCTTTGCCATCTTAACCTTTTCCAAAGGCTTCGTGTTAAGCACTCAATATGTGTTTGTTGAATGGTAGATGGAAAGAAGAAATTGATTCCACACTTTGTGAGCATGTATGAATATTTACTTTTCTGGGGAGAAAGTCCATACCTTGTATCAAATTTTCTGAAGGGTACCTGAGAGACAAATGAGAAACTACCATTCTGGGGAGACTGCATTCCCTGATTCCAGAACTGATAAACCTCTAACTCTGTAAAATGACTAGAGGTAATCTCATCTCAAAATCTCATTTAAAAACTTATTTATAAACCCTTTATTGGCCGGGCGCAGTGGCTCACGCCTGTAATCCAAACACTTTGGGAGGCCGAGGCAAGCAGATCACGAGGTCAGGAGATCGAGACCATCCTGGCTAACATGGTGAAACCCCATCTCTACTAAAAATACAAAAAACTAGCCGGGCGTGGTGGCGGGTGCCTGTAGTCCCAGCTACTCGGGAGGCTGAGGCAGGAGAATGGCGTGAACTCAGGAGGCGGAGCTTGCAGTGAGCCGAGATCACGCCACTGCACTCCAGCCTGGGCGACAGAGCAAGACTCCGTCTCTAAATAAATGAATAAATAGTAAAACCTTTATTTTCTTTTTAGAGATAGAGTTTTGCTCTGTCACCTGGGATGGAGTGCAGTGGCATAATCATAGCTCACTGCAGCCTCTTAACTCCTGGGTTCAAGTGATCTTCCCACCTCAGCGTCCGAAGTAGCTGGGACCATGCCATGGGACATAGTGCCACCATGTCCGCTAATTTTTTATCTTTATTTTTATTTTTTGTAGAGACGGGGGTCTCGCTGTATTGACTGGGCTGATCTTGAACTCCTTGGCTAAAGTGATCTTTCCACCTTGGCCTCCAAAAGTGCTGGGATTACAGATGTGAGCCACTGCCCCTAATCTAAACCCTTTAAATGAAGATCATCACAGTCTTATGGTCTTGTAATGCACGATTTATATTTTTATATTGATAACCAACTCATAATCTGTGATGTTTCTACTCCCTTTCACCCCTCTTCTACTGATCAGTAATGTTAAATGGAAGGTTTCTCATCCCACTGTAAGCATTCAAAACAACTGATAATTTACCTATAACTTTTCAAAAATGTGTTCATTGCATAACCAAAGTCTACCTAAATTGAACAAATAAGGGAAATAATGTTAATTTAAAAATTGGGGGTACCAGCCTGGCCAATATGGTGAAACCCCGTCTCTACCAAAAATATAAAAAAATTAGCTGGGCGTGGTGGCGGGCGCCTGTAGCCCCAGCTACGTGGGTGGCTGAGGCAGGAGAATCACTTGAACCTGGGAGGTGGAGGTTGCAATGAGCCGAGATCGCACCACTGCACTCCAGCCTGGGCGACAGAGAGAGACTTTGTCCACAAAAAAAAAAAAAAAAAAAAAAAAAAACTTGGGGGAACGTCAATGTTCTTAGTAGTAGTAATACCATAGAAGTAGAAATAATTGCAATGCCTTTTAGGTTTGATGGTATACATTTTTTTTTTTAATTGAGATGGAGTCTCGCTCTGTTGCCCAAGCTGGAGTGCAGTGGCACCATCTCGGCTCACTGCAAGTTCCGTCTCCCAGGTTCACGCCGTTCTCCTGCCTCAGCCTCCCGAGTAGCCGGGACTACAGGCGCCCACCACCACGCCCAGCTAATTTTTTATATTTTTATTAGAGACGAGGTTTCATCGTGTTAGCCAGGATGGTCTTGATCTCCTGACCTCGTGATCCGCCCACCTCGGCCTCCCAAAGTGCTGGGATTACAGGCATGAGCCACCGCACCCAGCCTTTTTTTTTCTTTTTAAAGACAGTCTTGCTCCGTCACCCAGGCTGGAGTGCAGTGGCGTGATCGGGGCTCGTTGCAACCTCTGCCTCCTGGGTTCAAGCAATTCTCATGCCTCAGCCGTCCCCCAGTAGCTGGGATTACAGGCAGGCGCCACCACGCCCGGCTAATTTTTGTGTTTTTAGTAGAGAAGGGGTTTCACTGTGTTGGCCAGGCTGGTATCAAACTCCTGCCTCAAGTGATCCTCTCTCCTCAGCCTCCCAAAGTGCTGGGATTACAGGTGTGAGCCACCTCGCCCAGCCATTATTGTATAAGATATTTTATATAACTAATGATGATTCATTTGAGTGTTTTTAAAGCTTGTCTTCCTAAGGTAAGCCTGGAAACGTAGAAACAAGCAATCAGTTTGCAAAACGATGACTAAAACAGACAAGCACATACTAGCTTCCCCTTCACTAGCAAGGTGTAATATATTTTCTTTTTTGAGACATAGTCTCACTCTGTTGCCCAGGCTGGAGTGCAGTGGTGCAACCTCAGCTAACCCAGCCTCTGCCTCCTGGGTTCAAGTGATTCTCCTGCCTCAGCCTCCCAAGTAGCTGGGTTTACAGATGTGCACCACCATGCCTGGCTAATTTTTGTGTTTTTAGTAGAGACAGGGTTTCACCATGTTTACCAGGCTGGTCTCAACTCCTGGCCTCAGGTGATCTTCCCACCTTGGCTTCCCAAAGTGCTGGGATTACAGGCGTGAGCCACCACACCTAGCTAATATATTTTCAAATAACATACTTTACATCTGTTTTCAAAGAGATTTTGAAGTGTTGGCAAACTTTTAAAAGTTACTCCCAAATATTATAGTTTAAGGCAAAGATCTGCCTATTTCTCAAGTTTAATTTTTAATGAACAACTTTAGAAACCGATGGAGAATAAGCAAATTAAAAATGGTAAATCAAGGGCTGGGCACAATGCCTCATGCCTGTAATCTTTAAGATTACACTTTGGGAGGCCAAGGCAGGCAGATCGCTTGAACCCAGGAGTTTGAGACCAGCTCAGCAACATGGTGAAACGCCTTCTCTACAGAAACTGTAAAAAAATTAGCCAGATATGATGGCACACGCCTGTGGTCCCAGCTACTTGGGAGGCTGAAGTGGGAGAATCCCTTGTGCCCAGGAGGTGGAGATTGTAGTGAGCCAAGATTGCGCCACTACACTCTAGTCTGGGCAACCCAGAAGACCTTGTCTGAAAAAAAAATAAATTGAGGTAAATTGAGCTGGGTGTGGTGGTTCCTCTAGTCCGTTACTCAGGGGACCAAGGCAGTAGGTTTGCTTGAGGCCAGGAGTTTGAGAGCAGCCTGAGCAATATAGCCAGACTATTTCTCTTAAAAAAAAAAACCGGGTGCAGTGGCTCACACCTGTAATTTCAGCACTTTGGGAGGCTGAAGCAGGCGGGTCACCTGAGGTCAGGAGTTGGAGACCAGCCTGACCAACATGGAGAAACCCCGTCTCTACTAAAAATACAAAATTAGCTGGGTGTGGTCACGCATGCCTGTAATCCCAGCTACTCGGGGAGGCTGAGGCAGGGGAATCACTTGAACCCTGGAGGCGGAGGTTGTGGTGAGCCGAGATCGTGCCATTGCACTCTATCCTGGGCAACAAGAGTGAAACTCTGTCTCAAAAAAAAAAAAAGGTAAATTGTTTCTCTTTGTGTTTCAGATACGTCGGTAACCTTTCCAGAGATGTGACAGAAGCTCTAATTCTGCAACTCTTTAGCCAGATTGGACCTTGTAAAAACTGCAAAATGATTATGGATGTAAGGGTATTTTACTTAGTTAACTTTATTCTTTTTTTTTTTACACATTACTTAAAGCCATTGCTTGGAAGGAATTCTTAGTTTACCATGGTCTAAATATAGTATAAATTATTAGTTTACTGTAGTCTAAATATAGTCTTAGTTTACCATATTCTAAGTTAATAGGGATTTTAGTGAATTTGTAATGAACCTGTTTTGACAGCTGAATTTAATTTGTTTTATTACATGATGGAAGATGACAATAGAACTAGTTATTTCTAGATCAGATGGGAACATATATATGGGCTCTTTCAGGTGCATTGAGGCATCAGAAATGTTTATATGTGGTGTCAACTGGTTGGCTAATAAATTCAGCTCTTACAATTAAATTGGAAAACAGGTTTAAAAATAATAGGCATTTGGTACAGTGAAAGTATTTTTAACTTTATTTTTAAAGGTCATCATTCAAGTTTTTCTTGTATTTAGGCAATTCCTATTTATGAGACAATGTATTAAACACACACACATACACACACACACACACACACACACACACACTCATTCATCTAATTGGTGTTAACCCTGAATCATAATAGGTATAAAAAGACATTTAGGGAACATTTACCCCATTTCCCTGGAGTCTTTGTCTCCTGGTTGGGGGGAAAAGACTTTAAATTTTTTTTTGAGACGGAGTTTTGCTCTTGTTGCCCAGGCTGGAATACAATGGTGCGATCTCGGCTCGCTGCAACCTCCGCCTCCCGGGTTCAAGCAATTCTTCTGGCTCAGCCTCCCAAGTAGCTGGGATTACAGGCATGCGCCACTACACCTGGCTAATTTTGTATTCTTAGTAGAGATGGGGTTTCTCCATGTTGGTCAGGCTGGTTTAGAACTCCCGACCTCAGGTGATCCACCTGTCTTGGCCTCCCAAAGTACTGGGATTACAGGTATGAGCCACTGTACCTGGCCTAAATTTTTTAATGGGAAAGGCTATGTTAAAGAGAAATCCTTTTGTCCCATGGTCTCTCTTTTCTGTAAACTTTTCGTTTGTTTGTTTGTTTGTTTGTTTGTCTTGAAAGACAGGGTCTTGGTATAGCCATTGCACCCAGCCTGCTATAAACTTTCAGTTTTCTTTTCTCCAGAAAAGACAATCATGTATGTGTGTATGTGTATCTGTTACCTTCTTTCCTGTTGTATTCCAGTTCAACTTTTTTTTACTTAATATTTTTAAAAGTAATTATTTAGCCGGGCACAGTGGCTCACACCTGTAATCCCAGCACTTTGGGAGGCCGAGGCAGGCAGATCATGAGGTCAGGAGTTCGAGACTAGCCTGACCAACATGGCGAAACCCCGTCTCTACTAAAAATACCAAAATTAGCCGGACATGGTGGCAAGCGCCTGTAATCCCAGCTACTCAGGAGGCTAAGGCAGTAGAATTGTTTGAACCCAGGAGGCGAAGGTTGCAGTGAGCCGAGATTGCACCATTGCACTCCAGCCTGGGCGACAGAGGGAGACTGTCTCAAAAATATATATTTATCCAATTGGCTTTGATTTGTTGTCTTAGATCTTAAAATGTTGTCAGACCTTTGTTCTGATGCTGCAAAATCATCTGCATATTATATAGATGAAATCAACAAAGAGTTATGTTCTTTTATTCTATCACATTTAATATCGGTATGCCTTTGGATAAAGGAGAAAAAATCCATGTACCCATAGAGAAAGACAGGAGGGAAAGATGGGGAAAGATGAAGAGAAATTTAAAACCAGTCTTTCCTTAATCTAGATCTCCTTACTTATCCCAATGGTAGCATTTATGGAAAATTTGCTGCCTGTCAGTTACTTTAATACATTGTCATAAATGCTCAATAGAAACATAAAGAAGGTGTTATTTTCATTTCATGTATGAGGAAATGAGGCAAAGCAAGGCTGTAAACCCTAATTGATTTATCCGAATATAAATCTTCTCTGTTGGTTTGCCTGCTGCTACTCTCTCTCTGGCTGGTCATATGTTTCCCTGGGGAAAGATCATTAGACAAAACGTTAATGATTGCCTTGGCTACAGAAAAAACCAGGTTAGCCTTTGCCACTTTTTATCATTTGTGGATTCTGATCGCTCAAAAGCTTAGATTTTTATTATTCAAATCTAAATTCCAGTCTGTTCACATTCTGAGACTAATGTTCACATTTATAAATTTTATGCTCCCTGGACTGATAATATGTATATATGCTTCGATTCTTATTTAAAAAGTTAGTTTTTTCTGCATATAAATTAAGTAAAGCATATTCTTTTTCATTTATTTACTCTTAAATGCAAGTGACTTTTTCTTTTTTTTTTTTTAGACAGAGTCTCACTCTGTTGCCCAGGCTGGAGTGCAATGGCATGATCTCAGCTCACTGCAAACTCTGCCTCCCAGGTTCAAGCTATTCTCCTGCCTCAGCCTCCTAAGTAGCTGGGATTACAGGCATGCGCCACCACACCTGGCTAGTTTTCGTATTTTCAGTAGAGACAGGGTTTCACCATGTTGGCCAGGTGGTCTTGATCTCCTGATGTCATGATCCGCCCACCCCAGCTTCCCAAAGTGCTGGGATTACAGGCGTGAGCCACCACAGCCAGCCGCAAGTGACTTTTTCTAACTTCATTTCAGTGTTGCCTGTCAGCATTGATCTTGGTAATAGAATTCCCATTGTGTTTTATTAGTTTGAGTTATATAACATTTTTATTCTCTAATTTTTTTAGACAAAATATAGTCCCAATATATTAAACTTTGTCTTGGCCTCGTTGCTTTAAAATTTTTACAAGTCATTGCCAGTGACTCTCAAACTATTAATTGTTGATGTGCACAGTGACTGATGCCTGTAATCCCAACACTTTGGGAGGCAGAGGCTGGAGGATCACTTGAGCCCAGGAATTTGAGACCAGCCTGGGCAACATAACAAGACCACATCTCTAAAAAAAAATTAATTAACTGTACTTGAAATAAAATTGTATATTCCTCTATTTTAGTAGCTTTCTAGTCTTTTGAATTAGTTTTTTATTTTAACAAATCTGTTTAGGAGGCTATGGAAAGAATTTTAAAATGGCCTATAATGTCATTTGATATTTTGCACTGTAGGTGTAAAAATTGGAATTTTTTTCTGCTACTTGAATTTATAATTAAACATCCAGGTTCTATTTATCACATAGCCTCACCTACCTGGAACACCAGCAGAAAAGGGAAGTTTTGTTTTTTTTTTTGAGACAGAGTCTCGCTGTGCGCCCAGACTGGAATCCAGTGGCACCATCTTGGCTCACTGCAACGTCCCCCTCCTGAGTTCAAGCGAATCTCCTGCCTCAGCCTCCCGAGTAGATGGGATTACAAGCACACGCCACCACACCCAGCTGATTTTTGTATTTTTAGTAGAGATGAGGTTTCACCATTTTGGCCAGGCTAGTCTCGAACTCCTGACCTCAGGTGATCCACCTGCCTCATCCTCCCAGAGTGCTGAGATTACAGGCATGAGCTACTGTGCCCGGCCAAGGGAAGATAATTTTTTTTTTTTTTTTTTTTTTTTTTTTTTTTTTGAGACAGAGTTTCACTCTTGTTGCCCAGGCTGGAGTGCAATGGCGCAATCTCGGCTCACCACAACCTTCGCCTCCAGGGTTCAAGCGATTCTCCTGCCTCAGCCTCCCGAGTAGCTGGGATTACAGGCATGCACCACCACGCCCGGCTAATTTTGTATTTTTAGTAGAGACAGGGTTTCACCATGTTGGTCAGGCTGGTCTCAAACTCCTGACCTCAGGTGATCAGCCCACCTTGGCCTCCCAAAGTGCTGGGATTACAGGTGTGAGCCATCATGCCTGGCTGGGAAGATAATTTTTTTTCTTTTTTCTTTTTTCTTTTTTTTTTTTTTTTTGAGACAGAGTCTCGCTCTGTCGCCCAGGCTGGAGTGCAGTGGTGCAATCTCGGCTCACTGCACACTGCAAGCTCCGTCTCCTGGGTTCACGCCATTCTCCTGCCTTAGCCTCCTGAGTAGCTGGGACTACAGGCGCCCGCCACCAGGCCCGGCTAATTTTTTGTATTTTTAGTAGAGACGGGGTTTCACCGTGCTAGCCAGGATGGTGTCGATCTCCTGACCTCATGATCCGCCTGCCTCGGCCTCTCGAAGTGCTGGGATTACAGGCATGAGCCACTGCGCCTGGCGGGAAGATAATTTTTTAAAGGCTTCTGAGCAAGCAAAAAATTGATGTCAGAAAGTTCACATTCTAAAACTTATTCTAAAATTTTACTTACCAGAGAATCTCTTCAGTTTTCAGAGCCTATTTACCTATATTTTAAAACAGGTTTAAGAAGGTTGGCTAAGATTTTCTGCTACTCAGCAAGCTAGTAGCAGCAAGGAGCAATGTACATTTGTAGCAGTAAAAAGTAACTTATAACAGGGAGGGGATAGAAAAATCATAAAAAGCCGAAGTGAGACTTCAGAACTTAGGAGTTCAGTCAAACTTAATCTGTGTAGCTTGAACAAATGGTTATATGATGATGGGGTATGTGTAGCTATATATCCAGTTAGGATACCTAGTCATTAATATTAAATTATAGTACTATAGTATAACCTGTTGAAGAAAATAGCTATGTATAAAAGCAGTGTGATTTTAAGTGTTTGCTTTTTTTTTTTTACTTTTTAATTATTTTAGAGACAGGATCTTGCTGTGTTGCCCAGGCTGGATTCAAACTCCTGGGCTCAAGCATTCCTCCCACCTCAGCCTCCTAAAGTAGCTGGGACTACAGGAGCTGGCTGTTTACTTTTTTGTTTGTTTGTTTTTGAGACGGAGTCTTGCTCTGTCGCCCAGGCTGGAGTGCAGTGGCGCAGTCTCAGCTTACTGCAACCTCCACCTCCCGGGTTCAAGCAATTCTCCTGCCTCAGCCTCCCGAGTAGGTGGGATTACAGGAGCCTGCCACCATGCCTGGTTAATTTTTGTATTTTTTTTTAATAGAGACAGGGTTTCACCACGTTGGCCAAGTTGGTCTCAAACTGCTGACCTCATGATCCACCTGCCTTGGCCTCCCAAAGTGCTGGGATTACAGGTGTGAGCCACCTCACCCAGCCTACTTTTTTAAATCTAAAATTTACTTGTGGAATAGACCATTCATTCTCCATGGCCTGATAACTTAGATGTATAAAACTTGGTTTAAGATTTTTTTTTTTACATAATTTTAAGGTAATGGGTGAATAAAGCTTAAAATTGGCTTTTGTGTTTCTTCTCCCACAGACAGCTGGAAATGATCCCTATTGTTTTGTGGAGTTTCATGAGCATCGTCATGCAGCTGCAGCATTAGCTGCTATGAATGGACGGAAGATAATGGGTAAGGTAAGCTGTCGTAATTAAAGAAGGTGACTTGCACTGAAAAAATTTAAGTTATATATGATTTTGTTTCCTTTTTAGAAACATTAAACACTTTTTTTTTTTTTTTGAGATGAAATTTTGCCCTTGTTGCCCAATCTGGAGTGCAATGGCACAGTCTTGGCTCACTGCAACCTCTGCCTCCTGGGTTCAAGTGATTCTCCTGCCTCAGCCTCCCTAGTAGCTGGGATTACAGGAACGCACCACCACACCCAGCTAATTTTTCGTATTTTTAGTAGAAATGAGGTTTCACCATGTTAGCCAGACTGGTCTCAAACTCCTGACCTCAGGTGATCTGCCTGCCTCGGCTTCGCAAAGTGTTGGGATTATAGATGTGAGCCACCGCGCCTGGCTGAAACATTAAACACTTTATAGCAAAAGGTCAGTTATTGACATATAATATTAAAAAGGTAGGATAAAGCTTTTAGAGGGCAGAGGCTTGTGTTTATGTTAGTATTTTCTTTTCTTTTTTTTTTTTTTTGAGTTGGGTCTTTCTCTGTTGCCCAGGCTGGAGTGCAGCGGCGCGATCTCAGCTCACTGCAAGCTCTGCCTTCCGGGTTCATGCCATTCTCCTGCCTCAGCCTCTGGAGTAGCTGGGACTACAGGCGCCCGCCACCACGCCTGACTAATTTTTTGTATTTTTAGTAGAAACAGGGTTTCACCGTGTTGGCCAGGATGGTCTCAGTCGCCTGACCTCATGATCCGATCTGCCCGTCTCGGCCTCCCAAAGTGCTGCGATTACAGGCGTGAGCCACCGTCCCCAGGTTTTTTTGTTTTTTTTTTTTGAGATGGAATCTTGCTTTGTCACCCAGGCTGGAGTGCAGTGGCACCATCTTGGCTCACTGCAACCTCTGCCTCATGGGTTCAAGCAATTCTTCTGCTTCAGCCTCCTGGGTAGCTGGGATGACAGGCACCCACCATCATGCCCAGCTAATTTTTGTATTTTTGTAGAGACAGGGTTTCACTCTGATGGCCAGGCTGGTCTTGAACTCCTGACCTCAGGTGATCCGCCTGTCTTGGCCTCCGAAAGTGCTGAGATTACAGACGTCAGCCAGCAGCCTATGTTAGTATTTTCCATGGTGGATTGTACATGGTAAATAACAAAATATTTGCTGAATTACTCAAGCTTGGATGCTAATGGAAAAGAATGAAAGGAAAAAAAATAATATGGGTACTTTAGGTAGGAAAGGTTAATTGAATGATAACAGACACATAAAGATTAGGATTTGTCAACATTATTTGCCTAAATGTAGGTCAGAAGATTAAGTGTTGAAACTTGACCAGAGCTGGTATCTCCTTCAGTGTTTCATCTTAAACAGATATCTTCCTATGTGTTTATAGATACAAATGTGATTTTGGGCTTTATTTTTGTGAAGTATAAATGTAGAAATTTTTTTTTTTTAGGAAGTCAAAGTGAATTGGGCAACAACCCCTAGCAGTCAAAAGAAAGATACAAGCAGTAAGTATATTTTATGCTCTTTGAACATTTGTTTTTATTGTACCCAGTAGTTTTATTGTAAAGCCTATAAACATCATACATGTTTGCAGTAATGTTTTGATCGTTATCCTAAGATATGATTGAATGTGTTTGTGTTAATAAATTTAAGAACAAATCTAATCTTTGTCATCAGGTAGTACCGTTGTCAGCACACAGCGTTCACAAGGTAATTGTATCTTCTTAAACATAAAATGAAATCTCTTGAAAGGGTATTCACTAACCACCTGAAGTTTTTTTGTTTGATATTTGGGGGAGGGGGGCGGGAGGAGATATTATTTCTATTTGTCTCTCTAGCAATACTTTTCTCCCTTCTCAGTGTTGACCAAGTATAACTTGTCCGCTACTTTGGTGCTAGTTCAAGCTTTCTGACCCGTTTGGTAGCAGCTGATGCCTTAGAACTACTTTCACCAACTAAGGGGCAAAATACCCTCCTTTCTTGAGGTCACCATTTGGGCTTCATACCCAGATCTTCCAAATGCTTGAGTTGCTCCTCAAATTTTGTTTCCCAAAGAGCAATCCAAAATGTTGTTTAAGGCCTGTCAAATATGGGTAACTTTTCTTTCCAAATATGCTTTGTCAAATTGATGTATGTGTCCATTTTAAAGTGTTGGTCCAACAATTTTGCATTTTTAAAGTGTTTCTTTTTTTGATAATTGTCTTTTTTAAAAACTTCAGATATGGGTTGGTTATTTCTCTCCAATGCTTTTTTAATGGTTCTGATATAAAGTGAAGGGATTACTGTTTTCATTCTGTTGCCTTCAGTCTTAGTTCACTTGCACATGGATTCACATAAACTGAATGGTGTAATGTCTGGGCAACCAAAACTGTTGGCTTTTGAGAAAACTGTCAAATACTTTAACATCAAACTGTTGCAATGCAAGGTATTTCTTTGATTGTTCTTCACAAAATATGGTTAAACCAAGTATATATCATGTAGCTAGCTTCAGTAAATTGTGTTAACTGAGGCAAATCTAGTCTACATAATTCACAGTACCACTATTTTATTTTAATTTGTAAAGCCTTAATATAGTGGTAAACTGAATAAAAGTAAATAATTATTATTAGAATGGTAACTAAGTCATTAAATTTTTTTGCAGAACTGAAACTTGTATGTTATTAGTTTATTTTCTTAGACCAGTGTAATAATTGACTGTAAATAGAAATATAAATGTCACTTTACAGTTAGATGTATCACAGTCGTTTCAGGAGAATTTTTCCTATATTGTTACCTTGATTCATTGTTTAAAATTGGTAGGATTTGTATAGATATAGGATAGTGTTTTATTTATACTTTATCATAAGCCATAATCATTTTAAGAATACTTTATTGGATAGATTTTAGTACTTTTTAAATTCTAAAGTTCTATTTTTCTTTTCACTTCCCCTTCCTTCCCCTTATAAGATCATTTCCATGTCTTTGTTGGTGATCTCAGCCCAGAAATTACAACTGAAGATATAAAAGCTGCTTTTGCACCATTTGGAAGAATATCGTAAGTAACAGAAGATAAATAAAATCCTTTTAATTAGAAACAATTATATGTAGACATAACTTGAAAATAATTCTGTTGTGAATTTTGTACATTAATTTTATAACTTGAATATAATGTATTACATTGTTTAGAGATCATTCAAGAAGTTAACAGCAAAAGATTGTTTTCCCATTGATGAATAAACCTTTGGTTTTCAATTATCTTAAAATCCTTTTTCAATTAGCATAGCTCTTAAGAGACAAATTTGCCATTGTACATGTTTTACTTTCTTATATAGGTATCAAGCTAGCTTGGTGACAATCTTTAGTAAAATTGTGCTGTAACTAAGGAATTTAGATCTGTTGGGTACTTCTATGATACCATGCATTTTGTGTTAATATATTTTAACAAAAAGAAACCTTAACAATTCAACTTAAAAAGCAGTTATTGAATATTATTTTCTAGATATTTACACCCTTTTAAAAAAACTGCTAACAATAATAGTGCCTTAATAATATTTTATGAAGCACTGCCTTGCTTGCACTTGTTATTAGTCATACATTTTAGGCCCTTATGAATAAATACCTTACTTGAGATAGCATTCATCATAGAAGAACTTTAAAATTTTGAAAAGCATGCCATATTAGAGTAAGAATAACAAGTTGTTTACAGTACTTTCTGTAGAGTAATTAGCTTAGAAAACTTCTTCAGGGTTTCTGCTTGCTCTGTTATTTTTCCACCTAGAAGAATAGTAAAAAGGAAGTGCTAGCTGTGGTTTGGTTTGAACAGACCAACAGCAGAGATGAGATGAGGAGACTGGAAAGTAAATGCCAGTAGTATTGGTGAATTTTAGGAGCTTTCGTTTGAAGAGTTATCGTTCCTTGATTAGGGGATGTGACCAAGGAATTACCAACTTTAAAGGTGGTCACAGAATTAGGGCTTATAAATGGACTTCTTTCAGATGACATTTTTCTTTGTGAGACCTGATCAGGAAAATAAGTACAGCTTTCATTTCTTGATTGTCCTTCTTAATAATATCTTAGAGTTTCAATAATAATTAGCTTGCTTTCGAATATCTGGACTTAGACAGTCTTAGCCTTTGGCCTCTCAAGGGCTCTAAATCTCTATGCACAATTTTGTGTTTTCATTTTGGTGTGGAAAATCTTTGTAAATTTTATCCTATTGTCAGAGTAGTCATAGAACCATAAAAGGATAAAGAAGCCTGATCTAGATCTTTGCTGCTGCTTCAGAGAATCTTTTCAGAGAGAAATAAATGAGTTGAATATTTTTCAAGACTAACATTTTCTGAAACTTTAAGAAGAAAAAATTTTCTAACATTGTGAACAGATTAAGTAGCTATTTTATTAAATGCTTTGATTTTAATTGAGGTAGTTTTTTTGAAAACACGGGAATTTTAGTTTGGAATTAGGCAAAGATTGTTTAACAGTTGGTGAGTTTAAGTTAAGTGACCTTCAGATTTTAGCAATTTCATGATTTACAAATCGTGGGTTATATTTTTTTCTCTTAAATATATTTCTGTGTCATATTTTTAGTCTGTAGATTTTCTTATGGTCCCATGATTATTGGTGTATACTTTTTTTTTCTTGGTAAGACCTTTAAGTTTTATGATTTTCAATTGAGATAATGTATAATGTTTGAGTTTTAGGCTATATAAGGAATTAGCTTTCCTGCATTTAAAGGAATCATTTGGCAGTCAGTAGCATATTTTCCTGATTTTTTGTTGTTGTTAAAGGAGATAAGTTGATAACTGTATGTTGAAGGGTTCTCATGATATTCTCTAAAAAGTGCAAATATCAGTGCTTGATTTATAGATGTGTAATAAACAGTGGTCTGTAAAAGCATGTAGTATAAAAAATATGGTATTTTCCCTTATATACAGCCTATAAACTCTTCCTATTCCTTGAGTTTAGGGTAGACTAACAAATTACAGCGTAGAAGAGAGTCAGCTACCAGATTAAATGCATGCGTACCATACAGATAATTTATTAAGTATTTTTGCATATTGAACATTGACTTACATTAATTTTCCCTTTTCACCACCACGTCTTTGTCATTTTGACCCTGAACACTTAATAAATCACTCAGATTGATCTAAAATATGCTTATGTATACTTTAATAGAAAATTACATTGCATGGCTTTCTGACTTGGGTTTTTGTTATAAAAGTGCCTGTTTTGTTCATGTGTCCTGAGAGAGCAAGCATTGTGACATACCTGACTAACTTAAAAGCAGATTGCCTGTGAAGCACAATTTGAGTCCAATTTTTTGAGGTATGGAGTTTTAGCTATCATGGCTGGGTTTTTACTCAATCTCAAATAATAGGGCTCTGGTTATTTTGCAGAGTGTCTCTGAAGAATGGACAGAATTGCCCTGGCTAACTACAAGCTACGGTTCACAGTGGATAAATGTTGGCGTGCTTTTTTACTTTCTGACTTTTTAAAATTTTGCTTTTATATCTTGTAGTTCCAATCAATTTTATATGAATGCTATTATAAAATTCAGTGTAAAATCTTTTCTTGTCTAGCTTAAAACTTGTGTGTGTCTAGTATTTTTCTTCAATGATTTAACATTTCTGAAAATGTCAAGTTCTCAAAATTTAGACAAAAAGGGGGGTATAAATTGATCTGAAAAAATTAAATAGTTTAATTAGTTTAGGGAATATACAACTTTTTCATTCTTTTGGTTTCCAGTTTTCTATTTTTTTTTAATGATTAGGTAGAATATAGTGTCAAATAAGTTATAAATTGCATGGTTAAAGAAAGCCATTCATCTAATGTCCTGTGAACTTTATAAGTGGTTAAGTAGTTCATGTGAGTAGCTGCTTTCACCATGCTTAATATTTAAAAGTTTAAAAAGTTTTTTGAAGAGAGAGGCAATTTCTGTACAATATAAATATACATATATACTTAAGTTATTGATTTGCATGTCTATAAAATTAAGCCTCATTTCCTAATACATGATAAATTTTGTAGAATAAAAGGTGAATTTGCATTAAAGGTTCACTTTAATGAAGGTGAAACATGAGAATGAGTTGTGTGTGAAATTCTTATTTGATATCCAGAGGATAGTTTGCAAACCTAAACTTCTGATTGTTTCTGATTTCAGAGATGCCCGAGTGGTAAAAGACATGGCAACAGGAAAGTCTAAGGGATATGGCTTTGTCTCCTTTTTCAACAAATGGGTGAGCTCAGTGAGAAGTGCATGGATAATGCTTAAAGAGTAAAGAATGGAAACACTCCGTTTTAATTACTAATCTTTTTTTCGTCTGCTGTTTATTTTACTGATGATTAAAATAAACCCTCACTAGAAGATTTCTTCTGTTTTGTCTGTTTAACATTTATTGGCACCTGAGGCATGCAGAGTACTGATAAGATGTTTTCAGAATGTAGAAAGTAAAGTTGTTTAAATTATCAGCCAAAGGTAGATGTTGAAAATCTCATTTATGGATTTAATTCATTATCTCCCTAGTTTATATTCCCATGGTAGTTTAAAAGTAGCTAATAAAATACTGTGAGGAGGCCGGACGCAGTGGCTCACACCTGTAATCCCAACACTTTGGGAGGCTGAGGCGGGTGGATCACCTGAGGTCAGGACTTTGAGAACAGCCAGGTCAACCTGGTGAAACCCTGTTTCTACTAAAAATACAAAAATTATCCGGGCGTGGTGGCAGGCGCCTGTAGTCCCAGCTACTCGGGAAGCTGAGGCAGGAGGATCACTTGAACCCAGGAGGCACAGGTTGCAGTGAGCCGAGATCATGCCACAGCACAGCCTGGGCGACAGAGTGAGACCCTGTCTCAAAAAATAAATAAATAAATAAAAATACTGTGATGGATAGGAACTTTTTAAAAAATTAAATATTACCCGGGCACAGTGGTTTATGCCTATAACCTCAGCACTTTGGGAGGCTGAGAAGTTTGAGATAAATACTGGCAATATAGTGGGACCCTATCTCTACAAAATATATATATTTTTTATTTTACTTTTTTTTTAATTTTTTTTTTTCCGGGAATTCCGAAAATTCAGCCGAGCCCAGTGGCTCACACCTGTAATCCCAGCACTTTGGGATGCCAAGGTGGGCGGATCACTTGAGGTCAGGAGTTCAAGACCAACCTGGACAACATGGCAAAACCCCATCTCTACAAAAAATTAGCCAGGCATGGCGACACATGCCTGTAGTCCCAGCTACTTGCAGGGCTGAGGCGGGAGGATCACTTAAATCCAGGAGGCCAAAGCTGCAGTGAGTCATGATCAAGCCACTGTACTCCAGCCTGGGTGACAAAGTGAGGCCCTGTCTCAAGAAAAAAAAAGTTGAAAATTGTAAAGTACATTGAGAGGTGAAAACAATACAAGCTCAATCATGTACATGTCCCATCTACCAAAGATTTTTTTTTTCCTGTAAGATGAGAAAATAAAAATTAAGAGAATTTATTTGGTTCTCAAAACTTTACTATTAAGCATAGCATAATGTTTTAGAAAGGTAGAAAAATACCTTCTATAATGGATTGATAGCCGTGATTAATTTGAGTTCCTTAGAGGATTGATTCATAGGTTTTAGGATGTTTTAGTGCAAGTTAGGGAAATAAATTGGCGGTTTGATGGGCTAGGAACTCATTTTTCACATTTTCGAGATTGTGGACTGTAGGGTTCTGCTATATAAAAATCACTGTTGAATGTGTATTTAGTATGAACTAGAGTCAAATAGCAAAGGATGTCTCTTGATAACCTGTGTATGGCCTCTGGAGTTAGCCAGAGATGTATACAAATTCTGACAACCATTATAAAACAGATGTAACTTTGAGTAAATAATATAATTTTTTTTTTGAGACGGAGTTTCGCTCTGTTGCCCAGGCTGGAGCGCAATGGCGCAATTTCGGCTCACTGCAACCTCCATCTCCTGGGTTCAAGCAATTCTTCTGCCTCAGCCTCCCAAGTAGCTGGGATTACAGGTGCCGCCACCATGCACGGCTAATTTTTTGTATTTTTAGTAGAGACAGGATTTCACTATGTTGGCCAGGCTGGTCTCAAACTCCTGACCTTGTGATCCACCTGCCTCGGCCTCCCAGAGTGCTGGGATTACAGGCGTGAGCCACTGCGCCCGGCAGTAAATAATATAATCTTCTATAAAATCTTCTATAAATTTAAATCTATAAATTTCAACTTATGTAAAATTTGTGATACGTGCTTGGCTCTGTTACGCAGTGCTACAGCCCTGATTGCAATTACCCCCAGCCTCTCTTCCTATGTTCTACATGCTAGGAAGACCACAATACTGATTGAGCTTAGCTTCTCTGCCTACCCCAAAATAACTGAATGTTCCTGGAAAAAAACTGAGTTCAGGTGGTTTTGCTTCTAATTTAATGGTCACACACTTTAGGTGAGTACAGAGTACTGTCTTGGCAAACATGTGTTTCTCATCTTTCAACCACCAAACTTACATAAAATTCATCCACCTTCCCATTCTTCCTATTATAGTACAGGAAAGGTCCTTCCTGTCAAAGGCAAAATCACTTATGATTGTGTCCCCATCTCTCTTGCCTTTTCAAGGACTTTGAGCCTATGCTGCCACTGCTTCATTGTTTTTTTTTTGTTTGTTTGTTTTGTTTTGTTTTTGTTTTAACAGCAGCTTTATTGAGATATAATTCAAGTATACAGTGTGGCCGGGCACAGTGGCTCACACCTGTAATCCCAGCACTTTGGGAGACTAAGGCAGGCAGATTACTTGAGCCTAGGAATTTGAGAGCAGCCTGGGCAAAATGGCAAAACCCCTTCTCTACAAAAAATGAGCCAGGCATGGTGGCACACACCTGTAGTCCCAGTTACTTGAGAGGCAGAGGTGGGGGAATCACCTGAGCCCAGGAAGTTGAGGATCCAGTGAGCTGAGATTGCACCACTGCACTCCAGCCTGGACGACAGAGACCCTGTCTCAAAAAAAAAAATTTTTTTTTTAAAGTATACAATTCAGTGGTTTCTAGGTAATTCACAGAATTGTGCAACTATTACCAAAATAAATTTTAGAATATTTTTACCACCCCAAAAAGAAGCTACATGACTCATTAGCAGTCACTATCCTCCTTTCATGCCCCTCCTGCCAGCCCTGAACAATTGTCAATCTACTTTCTGTCTCTGTAGATTTCCCTGTTCTCAACATTTCCTATAAATGGAATCATAATGTGCTGTTCTTGTTATTACTGCTATTCTGTGTCATCACTCTATTCCTTCTCTACTGGATCATTCTCATCAACCTAGGATCTCTCTTTTTTTTTTGGAGAGAGGGTCTCACTCTGTCACTCAGGCTGGAGTGCAGTGGTGTGATCATAGCTCACTGCAGCCTCGAACTCCTGGCCTCAATCCATCCTCCTGCCTCAGCCTCCAGAGTAGCTGGGACCACAGGTGTACACCACCATGCCCACCTAATTTTTTTTTAAAAAAAGGCCAGGCATGGTGGCTCACACTTGTAATCCCAGCACTTTGGGTGGCCGAGGCAAGCAGATCATGAGGTCAGAAGTTCGAGACCAGCCTGACCAACATGGTGAAACCCCGTCTCTACTAAAAATAGAAAAATTAGCCAGGCATGGTGGCACACGCCTGTAATCACGGCTACTCAGGAGGCTGAGGCAGGAGAATCGCTTGAACCTGGGAGGCAAAGGTTGCAGTGAGCTGAGATTATGCCACTGCACTCCAGCCTGGGCAACAGAGTGAGACTCCGTCTCAAAAATATATATATATATTTTTTTGTAGGAACAATCTCACTTTGTTGCCCAGTCTGGCCTCGAACTCCTGGCTTCCACCAGTCCGCCCGCCTTGGCCTCCCAAAGTGGTGGGGTTATAGGCATGAGGCACCGTTCCTGGCCATCTAGTATCTCTTAATCAAAACCACTGTTTATCCTCACATCCCTTCCCTAACTGTATCCCCATTTCTTGGCTATAATTCTCAAGAGTTGTTTGCATATGCTTCTACTTTATCTCCCATTCACAACCACCAACATAGATACATCTCTGTTTTTTTTCCACTTTTTTGAGTGAGTAGTTTTATTTTTTTCCTGAGGAGCTGTATCAAAGTATCATAAACTGGATGGCTTAGAGCAACAAAAATTTATTTTCTCAATGTTTTGGAGGCGTGAAATTCACAATCAAGGTGTCAGCATGTCCATGCTCTTTTGAAGGCTCTGTAGAAGAATCCTTTGTTGCTTCTTCCAAGCTTCTGGTGGTTGCTGGTAATTCTTGGCATTCATTGGCTTGTAGCTGTATAACTCCAATCTCTGCCTTCATCTTCACATGACCATCTTCTCTCTTTGTGTATCCATATAATCATCATCTTTTTTTTTCGAGACAGGACCTCACTCTGTCACCCAGGCTGGAGTGTGGTGGCACAATCACAACTCACTGCAGCCTTGACCTCCCAGGCTTAGGTGATCTTTCCATCACAACCTCCTAAGTAGCTGGGACTACAGGTGTTGCAACACCATGCCCAGCTAATTTTTCTATTTTTTGTAGAGACAGGATTTTGTCATGTTGTCCAGGCTGGTCTCGAACTCCTGGGCTCATGATCCACCTGCCTCGGCCTCCCAAGTGCTGGGATTATAAGTGTGAGCCACCGTGCCCAGTCTGATCTTTACTTCTTATGAGGACTTGAGTCATTGGATTTGGGGCCCACCTTAATCCAGTATAACCTCATCTTAATTACTTCGGCAAAGACCCTGTTTCCAAATAAGGCCATATTTCACAGATACCAGGGTATAGGACTTCATATCGTTTTGAGGGACACAATTCAACACATAACATTAGTTAAGCGTCTCATGGAGTTCGGACTGGTTGGGGTGATAATATTTGTTTCTTTTTAAGAATGTGCATTTCCTGCCAGGCACAGTGGCTCATTCCTGTAATAACAGAACTTTGGGAGGCCAAGGCAGGAGGAGGACTGCTTGAGCCCAGGAGTTAGAAACCAGCCTGGGCAACAGCAAGACCCTGTCTCCATTAAAAAAAAAAAAAAAAAAAAGCCTGGCGACCTAGTCTGTGGACCCCGAATCCCTCCCATTGCCTGTTGCAACCAGTAAAGGCTGTTCCTACCATAGTAAAGAAATTAAAAAAATAAAAAAAACAGCCAACCTTGTTGGTGCATGCTTATAGTCCTAGCTACTAGGAGGCTGAGGTGGGAGTATCACTTGAGCCCAAGGAGTTCAAGGCTACAGTAAGCTGTGATCATGCCTGGATGACAGAATAAGACCCTATTTAATTTTTTTTTAAAGCATTTCGTTTTCATATTTCAAGAAAGGCCTTGAATTTGCCTGTTCCTTCAGTAGTAGATTAAGCTTACCTTTGATGTGTGCACACAAAAGTTACACTCCATTTACTTTTTAGTCTACTCTAAGCTGGTTTTACTCTCACTTTGTACCAATGCTACTCTATTTTCAAGGTCACCTCTTAACCTCTGTTTTCTTGGCTCCCTGGACCATACACTTTTGTGGCTTTCTTCCTTCATCACTGGCTACTCCTCCCTAGTCACCTTAGCTAGTGATTATTCCTTTACCCATTTTTCAAGTTTTGCTGTTTTTCAGGGCTCTGTCCTAGGCTCTTTCTCTAGTCTGCATGAATTTTGTATCTTCAGTCTACTTCTCTGCGTTCCACATTTATTAACAAATGGTCTTCATTTATATGTCTCACAGGCATCTCAAAGTTTTTTCTTAATGGAGCTTTTTGTTTCTTCCTCAGACCTGTTCCCCTTTTCTTTCCTAGTCTTTCTCCGCATTTCAATAAATGCTGTCTTTCCAATTTCTCTAGAGGAACCTAAGAGTTATCTTTTCTCTCCTTTTGCTTGTGGTGTCCCCTCCAGCCCCCATTATTTTGGCCTTGAGTTTAAGTTACATTCACTGCTACTGCAATGCTCCTGGCCACCAACACTTTTTAAAAATCTAGAATATTGCACAAGTTTCATAAAGTATCTTTATCCCCTTACTACCCATTATCCTAAGCCATTCTCCTCTTAGCGCTAAGAATGGCCTTCTTGCCGGGTGCGGTGGCTCACGCCTGTAATCCCAGCACTTTGGGAAGCCAAGGCAGGCGGATCACGAGGTCAGGAGATGGAGACCATCCTGTCTAACACGGTGAAACCCTGTCTCTACTAAAAAAGAAACCCTGTCTCTACTAAAAAATACAAAAAAAAATTAGCCGGGCTTGGTGGCTGGCACCTGTACAGGAGAATGGCAGGAACCCAGGAGGCGGAGCTTGCAGTGAGCCAAGAACGCGCCACTGCACTCCAGCCTGGGAGACAGAGCAAGACTCCATCTCGAAAAAAAGAATGGCCTTCTTAAAACATAGGTCATGATGATTCCTTGCTTAAAATCTTTCAGTTTCATTCTCTGACATTCTTTTTTGCTCGCTGGATTCCACTGAAACTAGTCTTTCACATGCTGCTTTCAGATGCATACCAAACTTTTGTGCCTTAACACACTTTGCAATACTTTTCTCTCTACTGGGGCTTTCTTCCTCATTGTTTTGACTTGGCTATCTCCTATTGCTGTCAGGCTTAGTTTAAATGTCATTTCAGAGAGACCTTTCTTATTCATCCTGTCTGTAGTAGATCCTTGTGCCCATATTCTCTATCTCAGCCTTTTGTTTCTGTCATAGGTCTTACCACAATATGTAATTGCTTTATTTGTTCCCCACAAAAGAATGTAAGAGACCATGTATGCTTGTTTACCAGTGTGTCCCTAGCTCTTAACCGCATGCCTGGAACATAACTGTTCAATATTTATTTGTTGGATGAATGAGAAACCAAATATTGTTAACAAGCTTGTTAGATTGTTTAAGATTTTCTTCTATAGTAGTCTGAGTTGCATGAACTTTATGATATCTACCTCATTAGGGCTGTCGGGCTCACGACCTTTTCAGATGATTAATGTTCCCAAAATTTAATATTCAAATAAGAGAAAAACAATACAAAAGCACCATTGGGTTGAGCATGGTGGCTCATGCCTGTAATCCTAGCACTTTGGGAAGCTGAGGTGGACAGATCACTTGAGGTCAGAAGTTTGAGACCAGGGCCGGGCACAGTGGCTCACGCCTGTAATCCCAGCACTTTGAGAGGCCGAGTTGGGAGGATCACGAGGTCAGGAGATCGAGACCATCCTGGCTAACATGGCGAAACCGTGTCTCTACTAAAAATACAAAAAATGAGCCAGGCGTGGTGGCAGGTGCCCGTAGTCCCAGCTACTTGGGAGGCTGAGGCAGGAGAATGGCGTGAACCTGGGAGGCAGAGCTTGCAGTGAGCCGAGATCACGCCATTACACTCCAGCCTGGGCCACAGAGCGAGACTTAAAAAAGAAAAAAAAAAGAAGAAGAAGTTCGAGACCAGCCTGGCCAATATGGCGAAACCCCATCTCTACTACAAATACAAAAATTAGCCAGGCATGGTGGCAGATGCCTGTAATCCCCGCTACTCAGGAGGCTGAGGCAGGAGAATCGCTTGAACCCAGTTGGCGGAGGTTGCAGTGACCCAAGATCACACCACTGCACTCCATCCTGGGTGACAGAGCGAGACTCTATCTGAAAAAATAAATAAAATAAAATTTAAAAATATAAAAAGCACCATTGCATTTTAGGAAAGCTATCATATGTTGTGTATTTCATAGAGCATTTTCACTTAAACATTTGTGAAAAGCACCAAGTTTTCTCTACTGCTAAGAGTTGTTTAACATCAACTAATAGTGACTTCTTTATTGTTTCTAATGTTGTACGGAACAGGATGCTGAAAACGCCATTCAACAGATGGGTGGCCAGTGGCTTGGTGGAAGACAAATCAGAACTAACTGGGCAACCCGAAAGCCTCCCGCTCCAAAGAGTACATATGAGTGTAGGTGTATTGGAGAAGAAAAGGAAATGTGGAATTTTGGAGAAAAATACGCTAGATTTTAAATGTTAGAGCTGTTCCCGGAGACTTATTGCAGAAATAGATGAGAAGCAAATCAAGACTACTATTCAAAAATGTACTTAGTTTTCATTTTTGTAATTATAAATAATATTATTTCTAATGTCAAGTCTCCTATTAAATAGAAAATACTGGGTAATTTTTTAGACATTCGTGGGGGAGGTTTAATTCTGAACTGAAGTATAATATGTGTAATATAAGCATTTTGATCAAGGTTAATGTTACCTTTACAGTAGTGTAGTGAATGCTACTTTTCTCTTTCTGCACATTTTATTTAATGAATTAAAGACATAAACCTTTTCTCTCACCAGCAAATACCAAACAGCTATCATATGATGAGGTTGTAAATCAGTCTAGTCCAAGCAACTGTACTGTATACTGTGGAGGTGTTACTTCTGGGCTAACAGGTATGGGAGCCTTCCCTGTGTGGCATTAATTTTTAAAGTGCAAAGCTTAATATTTGTAGGATTTTTATATAACTTAGTGTGATTTGTTTGTTTTGGTTTTTTGTCTAACAGAACAACTAATGCGTCAGACTTTTTCACCATTTGGACAAATAATGGAAATTCGAGTCTTTCCAGATAAAGGATATTCATTTGTTCGGTAGGGATGGTTTTTTAAAAAAACATTTTTCTTGGTAATGTAACTGGAAAACCAGAAAATAAATAAAAATAAAAAACTTTTTCCTCCAAAATATTTTTTGAACATTTACCTCGTTTTCTTAAAAATTTACCTTGGTTATAAAAAAGTTGAAATTTTGGCCGGGTGCGGTGGCTCACGCCTGTATTCCCAGCACTTTGGGAGGCCGAGACGGGTGGATCACCGTCATGAGTTTGAGACCAGCCTGGCCAACATTGTGAAACCCCGTCTCTACTAAAAATACAAAAATATAAAAATTAGCCGGCATGGCGGTGCATGCCTGTAATCACAGCTACTCGGGAGGCTGAGGCAGGAGAATCACTTGAACCCAGGAGGTGGAGGTTGCAGTGAGCCAAGATCACAATCACTGCACTCCAGCATGGGCAACAGAGCCAGACACCATCTCAAAAAAAAAAAATTGAAATTTCTCTAGCATCCAGCGTATTTGCCTCTGTGATTTTATAGCTCCCTCCCTAACACAAGGCCAGTGAAACACACATTCTTTGTTAACACAAGTTGCCCCAGAACTACAAGATCTTTGAAAAAAATAGCAAAGAAAATATGCCATGTTACGCAAACTGTTTTACCTCAGACTCACCTTGATTTTTAAAAATAGGTTTTATTCATAAATATTTAAAAGAATTTGTATTGGTGATTCTTAATATTGTTTTCAATAGGTTCAATTCCCATGAAAGTGCAGCACATGCAATTGTTTCTGTTAATGGTACTACCATTGAAGGTCATGTTGTGAAATGCTATTGGGGCAAAGAAACTCTTGATATGATAAATCCCGTGCAACAGGTGAGAGGGTTCTTAACTTTGAGAAGTAATTGTTGGGCTAATAATGTTATTTTAAGGTGAAGATTGTTGATAATCCTTGTTAATAAGTTTCTAGCTAAAATGATAGTATATAAGGGCTCTTCCTACATGTATTATAGTTCCAGAATGGTGTTTCATGGATTGCAGTGGTGACATGATGAATGTGACCGCCTCAATTGACTCATGCTCACACAGTGGATTTTAAAATGCTCCGAGAAACCTAAAAGGGTATTACATCTTTTTTTAATACTTGGTAGATTTATTCACATACCATTTGGAGAACTCACAAGCATGCTTGACTCAACTGAAACAAAAATAAAGCTGTAAATATAGTTATGGCCTTGGCATTTTTCTTCCAGATTTTGCTGCCTTTTTTTTCCAGGCAGCTTTAGTGGTTCAAACTTGATTCCACAAAGATTTCTATGAGGAAACTGTAAATGGAGCACAGAGATGGGAGTAAGCAAATCCTAAACTATATAAGTGTCTTAAGTAAGCTGAATATAGAAATAATTAATCACATCTTCCCTATCTAAAGGAAACAATCATGTAGATAGTATACCAAACACTTAAACATTCTACTAAGTTTAACATTTATTACTAGGGTATCAACTGATGCCTTCCAAAAACTATGCCATTCAGAGTATCACGTAGAGTTACAGCAGTATAACCTCACTTGTTTTGTTGTTGTTTTTTGTTTTTTTTTTTTTTTTTTTTTTTTTTAGCAGTCAACTCTTGTTTATCCTGTCATTTTAATTGTAATGATGGCCCTGTGTGTTTTGGCTAAGAATTTGTGGTATCAGCATATTAGGATTGTATATATATAGTTAACTTCAAGTAATACTAAATTTTATTTAATAGCAGAATCAAATTGGATATCCCCAACCTTATGGCCAGTGGGGCCAGTGGTATGGAAATGCACAACAAATTGGCCAGTATATGCCTAATGGTTGGCAAGTTCCTGCATATGGAATGTATGGCCAGGCATGGAACCAGCAAGGATTTAAGTAAGCATATCTTATGTCTTCCTTTACTAACCTTTGAAAATGTCTAAAGAAATTTTAAGTAGGAAGAAATTTTAAGAATTAGTGGGTAATAGGGCCTCTTATGTAAAGCGTAACTATAGCCTTGAAAGAACTTAAAATTGTTTTTTAGTAAGAAAATAAGAGCTTAATAGTTGTTAAGCTTTTCACATGACTAATGGTCACTTAGCCATTCTTATATACACTGAGTTTGATGCTAGTTGTTGTATTCATTATGCTTTTTTCTGTACAAAGGGTTTTTTCAATATGCCTTGTTACATTGCAAGCTTCCTTATACACCCTGAATTACACTATTTTACTTACATTTCTGAAAAACACACTGGAAATAAAAATACTTGAGAGGTTAAAAAGGAATTTAGTGGGCTGGGCGTGGTAGTTCCTGCCTGTAATCCCAGCATTTTGGGAGGCTGAAGTGGGTGGATCACTTGAGGCCAGGAGTTTGCGACCAGCCTGGCCAACATGGCGAAACCCCACCTCTGCTAAAAATACAAAAATTAGCCAGGTGTAGTGGTGCACACCAGTAGTTCCAGCTATTTGGGAGGCCGAGGCAGGAGAATCACTTGAACCTGGGAGGCGGAGGTTGCAGTGAGCTGAGACTACACCACTGCACTCCAGCCTGGGCAGCAGAGCAAGACTCTGTCTCAAAAAAAAAAAAGGATTTTGTGGTTGGGCATGGTGGCTCATGCCTATAATCCTAGCACTTTGGAAGGCCAAGGCAGGCGGATCACTTGAGTCCAGGAGTTTAAGATCAGCCTGGGCAACATGGCGAAATCTCATCTCTACAAAAGGTACAAAAAAAATTAGCCAGGCATGGTGGTTGCGTGCCTATAATCCCAGATGTTCGGGAGACTGAGGTAGGAGAATCGCTTGAGCCTGGGGAGACGTAGGTTGCAGTGAGCTGAGATCATACCACTGTACTCCAGCCTGGGTGACACAATGAAAACCTGTCTTAAAAAAAAAAAAAAAAGAAAAGAAAAGAAAATCTTGTAATGTTATGAATTTTTATGAGCTTTCATATGCTAATAATTGTTTTGATTTCTTCTTTGAGTAGTATAATGTTCCTTTTTCGTTGTAGGGAACCTACCTGACTCTTTCAGGTAGTGGTTTCCTCAGCAAATATGTTCAACCAAGGCATAGAGATGAGATGGATAGCTTTCTTTTCCAAGAATGGGGTTAGGTTTTTCTATATTCAAAGGAGATGAATGTTGATAAGTTCAGGGTATTTTCTTAGCTTTAATTTCTAACAAAATTAAACTGTCCAAATTAAACATACAGGGATGCTTGTTTTTAAGAGAAAAAAACTTTAGTAAAAGATTTCATTTTCCCTAGCATAAATTATTCTATTTGGGATTAAGAAAAAGTATGTTTCCCATTTCCCATATTTGTTCTTGTTGTTTGTTCTTGCCAATACTTTATTTTAATCAGTGGATTTCCTCTCCCCTCTGCTTCTTTCACATTCTCCACCAGTCAGACACAGTCTTCTGCACCATGGATGGGACCAAATTATGGAGTGCAACCGCCTCAAGGGCAAAATGGCAGCATGTTGCCCAATCAGCCTTCTGGGTATCGAGTGGCAGGGTATGAAACCCAGTGAATAAGGACTCCAGAATCTAAAGCCAGTGGCTTGAGGCTACAGGGAGTGTAGTAAAGCCGTTGTTTACTTAAAGATTTATCAAATCAGTCAGTGCAAATGTCAGATACAATGTATTTATTTAAAAGATTCATTTTTAATCATGAAATTACTTATCATCCACATTGTTTTAAAAAGAAACAAGATGCTGGATGTCTGCCAATTTTTGCCTTCATTACCTTTTTTGATAAAGTTTCTCAGATCCTTGTTTCAAACACAAATGCAGGGATTGCTGCCACTTTTTAACTATTAAGAGGCAGAAAATTGCACAATATTGAACTTTTTTCCACTGAAGTAGTGTGCAGTTCTAGTTTGCATTCCTGATATGATTTAAAACATGTAATATAAAGATGTTAAAAAAAAAAACCAAAACTGTGCAGAGTCTAGAAGTTGTTTGTCATCTTCAGCTTGTGCACAATTCTGTTTTAGGTTAAAAAAAGGCATTGTTTGAGCTGTCCCATCTCCACTGTTATCCCTTTGGGGTTTTTTAATATAAATTATTAGTTTACATCATTTTTGTATCTACATCTTTTTTCACAAATTTGTCTTGCCTTATTAAAGTTCTGTAAAATATACTTAAATGGAAAAAATGATGTTCATTTAGATTGAAAACTTTTCTCAGATGGATTGATAATTGCATTCATCTTGTGTTTTATATGAGAAGGTGCCTCAAGAATTTCCTGTTGGATTTGTTTAAAAGGATTTTTATCTTTCGTGATAAACTTTGCTGTGTACCAGGAACTATAAAAACAAAAACTTGTTACTAAAGAAAATATCTGAAATGTGATAAGTTCTTATGCCATGTTAATTTCATGTGTCAACTTCAACATTTACATGTATTATTTCATTATGTAAAATGTTTTAGCAATTTAATATTTTGCACAGTTAGCAAACTTTGTATGTCATTTCCTTCAAGGCATCATGCAGAGTTGACATGAGATTTATAAGGTTTTAAGTTGTTTGCATGTGAAAATCAAATACATACTTTGGTAGTCTTTGAATACAAAGTCATCTGCTCTTGTTTTTCAAGAATTTTGAGACACAAAGTTGTATGTAAAGGAATATATTAATTTGCCGTTTTCTAGGTAGATTTGCTCAAAAAGAGTGAATCAACTTAATATGTACAAATGATAGCTGTGAAACTGTAGAATATCTTTGTGTCAGGCTTGGAGTTCATTGTGACCTCCAAATTTTGCCTGAAGGACCAGCTGGGCAAAGCATCTTTTAAATGTTCAGAGGCCAAAAGATAAACAAAAAAAAAACCTTAAAATCCTACCTCTTTAAACAGCCTTCAGATAAGAGAATCCTCAGTGCAATCATTATTTTGATTCGTTTGGTACCTGTTTTCCTGGAGTTCCCGATTTTATTATTTTGGGGTGGCTCCAAGCATTAAGAGGTTTAATCTTTGATGGCATTGTTCTAGTTTTGAAATTTCTAGTATATTTCAGAGTCTCTTAGAAGACTTGTGTGGGAAGTTTCACTTTGTTTTCAGTGAAGATCACAAACCTCCTTCTTCCTTTACTCAAGAGGAAAGGTCCCAGTATACATATTTGAATGGTTGATGGTTTTCAAGACCTTCAGGGAGCTCCCTGCATTTTACCTAGAAACAGAAAAGGCCCGCAAAATCTTAAGTTTCCTGGCCTGCATTTCCCGGGTAGGGGCAAATGACTCCAAGCTGGTCTCTAAGCCAATACCCTTATAAACCAGAGCCCAGGAAAGACAGCTCGAGTGTATAATTCTCTGGAGCTCAATTCTATGCAGTTGTGCTGATATTTCATTAAGTCACTGTGTATTTTTAAGTGTTGATACATTAAAAGTCGCTTTATGGAAGATGAGTAAATTTTTTAAATACTTGGAAATTTTATTTCCTTGTTAACTTCTACAGATCAGGGCATGCAACCAAAAGCAGCTTAAATGAAATATTTTAAAATAAAATATCAGGAAGCTATTTTTAGATTTCTTCTGGCTTATGTTTCTACTTTAGGACCCTCATTGTTCTCTTATTAAAAAAAATTATTTCCTGTGCATCTCATGGACTGCAGGGTAAATTATTTGGGCATAAATAATTTAAATAGTTTTCTTTCATTTTGACTATCTCCAGTAATAACAGTTTTTATTATCCAGCATATTGGCTTATTGCACAAATCTTAAAATGTACATTGACTACTTTCTGAGAAGAAAGTGGTATCAGTACTCATGATGAAAAGGTTACTACTGAACAAATTCACATTTCAGGAACACCTCTATCTTTGGTTTAAATCTTACTCTTAGTTTTTCCGTCTAAAAATCATACTGGTATTAGTATCAGGTAAGGAAATTAAAGTTTTTAAAATGGTTTCATTCTCTGCAATATGCAAAATTTAGATTTTACTTTCTGGTACTGTAAAGAACCTGAAGTGATTTACACTTAATGGGTGATTAATCCAGTATTCTTTACCCTGAATGTTTGGATATTAAAGTTCCTTTATGTTTTCTATAACCTGTGGGATCTTCTTGCAGTGATTATTGTGTGTGAGATTTTTTTTCTTTTTGGTCTATCCATATTGTTATATTCACTCAGGTATTTTTTTTTTAATCTTATTCCAGAATCAGTGGTTTATATTGGGTTACTGTTTAACACCAAATGGAATTGGCATTCTGCAGATTTAATTAATTATGAAACCAGGGTCTCATTTTCCTTGCTGATACTTGTTGAAAATGAGATTCACATTCTAGTCTTTATTTTCCTCCTGTTTTGTCCCTGTGCTTGTACATCTTCCTTTTATTTGTGTGTTATAGTTCTATTCCATTTGAGAAGGCAGTTGGTAAGAACTAGATTGCATGTACAAAGACAGGTTTACTAAGTGCTGTACAGTGGTCCTGAGGTTACAGTTGAATTAGAAAAACGAAATGTACTTACAGGAAATAAGAAAGCAAACCTTTCAAATGAGAGTGATGATTTCTTTAAAAAAAATCAGTTTTTTTCTCTCAAATAATGTTCTTTATTTCACGAAATCGTCAATCTTAAGCATGAGCAGGGATAAACAACTCCTAGAAGGAACTCAATTCATTCTTCCTGGATTTTCTCTGTTGTTAAATCACAAAAATGATAGTCCCCAATCGTTTCTTTATAGGAGGTTATTACATTTCATTACAGTCACTGCATTTTGACTGTTGTGTTTAGAATTTGAATGTACATCCAAAATGATGAGTTTCAATTTAAGAGCCTTAATAAAATGTGTGAGTGTGTCTCAATTGAATAGGTTTTTCTACCTTCATTTGAAGACCATAATTCATATTCATATGAATTAACCAAACAGGAAATTCATATGTATTATATGTATTCATATGTATTAACCAAACAGGAAAACAACAGGTGTCAATGGTAGCAGGTTTTTGTAAACCATTTTTTTTTTTTGAGATGATGTCTCACTATTGTCCCCCACGCTGGAGTGCAATGGTGTGATCTCGGCTCCCTGCAACCTCCCCCTCCTAGGTTCAAGCCATTCTCTTGCCTCAGCCTCCTGAGTAGCTGGGATTACAGGCTCCTGCCACCACGCCTGGCTAACTTTTGTGTTTTCAGTACAGATGGGGTTTCACAATATTGGCCAGGCTGGTCTTGAACTCCCGATCTCAGGTGATCCACTTGTCTTGACCTCCCAAAGTGCTGGGATTACAGGTGTGAGCCACCACGACCAGCCTTTTTAAAAAAAAAAAAAAAAAAAACAGGCTTAATTCACTTTATTGTTCGTGTATAAAAACCCGTTTTTGTTTTTGTTTTTTTTTTTTTTTTTGAGACGAAGTCTCTGTCGCCCAGGCTGGAGTGCGGTGGCACACTCTCAGCTCACTGCAGCCTCTGCCTCCTGGGTTCAAGTGATTCTCCTGCCTCAGCCTCCCGAGTAGCTAGGACTATAGGCATGTGCCACCTTACCCAGCTGAATTTTTGTATCTTTAGTAGAGATAGGGTTTTGCCATGTTGAACAGGCTGATCTCAAACTCCTGACCTCAGATGATCCACCTGCCTCAGCCTCCTAAAGTGCTGGGATTACAGGAGTGAGCCACTGCGCCCAGCCAATGGTAGCATTTCTTGAGTGTCTTACAGTTATTTGAAATTTCTGCTCACTCAAATGGCTGTTTGCAGCACTAGCTTCAGAGATAAGATATTCCCAAGATTGCCAGTAATTAATTACACTGTGGCTCCTAAAGTTGGAGGGTGAAGTTACTGAGATAGTAAATTCAACTTTAAAAAGGAAAAAGCAAACTTTACTAGGTGATGCTGTTCAGAAAATAGAGATTAAGCACAATTTTGTATACTGGATAAATGAGATCCTTAGCTATTTATCCTTGTTCAGCTCTAGAATGCCAACAGCCAGACATACCCACCAGGCAGGATGTTGGAGGATCCTTCTGTGGTAAAACTAAGTGACTCTTGAGAGACAACAGTTACTGACATTTAAGAGCACCCACCGAAAACGCCAACTGGCCACCATTCCCTCTGCAGCCAGTCAATAAGGCCTGCCCATGTGCACAAATCTTCCAGACAGGTTTTTAGTGCTTCACTTTTACATAGGGATGGGAAAATACCACTAGAAATTTGAGGAAAACTTTGATTGTGAAAGGTAGCTCTAAACAAAAAGCAACTCTCAATCAGAAAATTTCCAGGAGCTGGAATGTCCCCAGATAAGATGTTGTATTCAAGAAATGATGGCCAGGCTCGGTGGCTCACGCCTGCAATCCCAGCACTTTGGGAGGCCGAGGCAGGCGGAACACCTGAGGTCGGGAGTTCGAGACCAACCTGGCCAACATGGTGAAACCCTGTCTCTACTAAAAATACAAAACTAGGCAGGGCACAGTGGCTCACGCCTGTAATCCTAGCACTTTGGGAGGCCGAGGCGGGTGGGTCACCTGAGGTCAGGAGTTCGAGACCAGCCTGCCCAACATGGTGAGACCCCCCCCCCCCATCTCTACTAAAAATACAAAAAATCCCAGCTGCTCAGGCGGCTGAGGTGGGAGAATTGCTTGAACCTGGGAGACAGAGGTTGCAATGAGCCAAGATAGCGCCACTGCACTCCAGCCTGGGCAACAGAGCGAGACTCTGTCTCAAAAAAAAAAAAAAAAAAATTAGCCAAGCATGGTGGTGCATGTCTGTAATCCCAACTACTCAGGAGGCTGAGGCAGGAGAATCACTTGAACCTGGGAGGCGGATGTTGCAGGGAGCCAAGATCGCACCACTGCACTCCAGCCTGGGTAACAAGAGGGAAACTCTGTCTCCAACAAACAACAGAAAATTCACTGGGCGTGGTGGCACAAGCCTGTAATCCCAGCTACTCAAGAGGCTGAGGCAGGAGAATCGCTTGAACCTAGGAGGCAGTGGTTGTAGTGAGCCAAGATGGCACTACTGCACTCCAGCCTGGGCAAAGCGAGACTGTCTCAAAAAACAAACCAACAAACAAAAAGAAATTAGGAAGCCAGACACAGTGACTCAGGCCTGTAATCCCAGCAATTTGGGAGGCCAAGGTGGGAGGATTGCTTGAGCCCAGGAGTTTGAAACCAGCCTGGGCAACATAGCAAGACCTCATGCCTACAAAAAATGAAATTAGGGCCTGGCTGCGGTGGCTCAAACCTGTAATCCCAGCATTTTGGGAGAGCGAGGCAGGTAGATCACCTGACGTCAGAAGATCGAGACCAACCTGGTGAACATGGCAAAACTCCGTCTCTACTAAAAATACAAAAATTATCTGGGCATGGTGGCACATTCCTGTAATCCCAGCTACACAAGAATCACTTTAACTCAGGAGGCTGAGGGTGCCAAGAGCAGAGATCATCCCATTGCATTCTAGCCTGGGCAACAGAGTGAGACTCTGTCTCAAAAAATAAATAAATAAATAAATAAATAAAATATGGCAGGGCACTGTGGCTCACTCCTGTAATCTCAGCACTTTGGAAGGCTGAGGCGGGTGGATCACCCACTTGAGGCCAGGAGTCCAAGACCAGCCTGACCAACGTGGGGAAATCCTGTCTCTACTAAAAATACAAAAATTAGCCAGGTGTGGTGGCACGTGCCTGTAATCCCAACTATTCAGGAGGCTGAGGCATGAGAATCCCTTGAACCCAGGAGGCGGAGGTTGCAGTGAGCTAAGATCGTGCTACTGTGCTCCAGCCTGGGTGATAGAGCAAGACCCTGTCTCAAAAAACAAACAAAAAACAATTAGCAGGATAGTAGTAAAATACCAGAAAAGGAAATTTAAAATATGAATGAATTCAGAATATTAAAAGACAAGAAACAGTTTTAGAACAGAAATCAAAAGTGAAGGGAAAAAATTAACTTGGCTCAATACAGGAGGTTTAATAACCAACTAACAGGTATCCCAGGAAAAGAACTGAGAAAATAGAGTGGGTAGAATGTACTGTATTTTTTTGAGACAGAGTCTTGCTCTTGCTCTGTTGCCCAGGCTGAAGTGCAGTGGCGCGATCTCGGTTCACTGTAACCTCCACCTCCTGGGTTCAAGTAATTCTCCTGCCCCAGCCTCCTGAGTAGTTGGGACTACAGCTGTAGTATTGGTATTGGGAGGCATTCATGCCCCATTTGGCTAAAATGACAAAACCGTTGTACTGGTTGACAAAAAAGGGGGCTACCTGGGATTGGGATGATAAAGCTAAGGCAGCCTTTCTGGCAGCCATGTGGGCTATTCAATAAGCACAGGCCCTACAAGTGATTGACTAGGGGAGCCATTTAAACTCTTCCTGCCTTGGCCTCCTAAAGTATGGGGGTTATAGGCCTGCCACCACGCCGAGCTAATTTTTGTATTTTTCATAGAGACCGGTTTTCACCATATTGGCCAGGCTGGTCTCGAACTCTTGACCTCAGGTGATTCGCCTGCCTCAGCCTCCCCAAGGGCCTGGATTACAGTCATGAGTCACCATTTCCGGCCTAGAATTTATTTTATTTTATTTATTTTATTCGTTTTATTTTATTTATTTTATTTATTTATTTATTTTTTTTTTTTTTTTTGAGGCAGAGTGTTGCTCTCTCTCCCAGGCTGGAATGCAGTGGCGCGATCTCGGCTCACTGCAAGCTCTGCCCCCCGGGTTCACGCCATTCTCCTCCTCAGCCTCCCCAGTAGCTGGGACTACAGGCGCCGGCCAGCACACCTGGCTAATTTTTTGTATTTTTCATAGAGACGGGATTTCACCGTGTTAGCCAGGATGGTCTGGATCTCCTGACCTCGTGATCCACCCGCCTCGGCCTCCCAAAGTGCTGGGATTACAGGCGTGAGCCACCGTGCCTGGCCGACACCAGACAATATTCTAAAAGTTACCAAATGGAGGCCGGGCGCGGTCCTCACACCTGTAATCCCAGCACTTTGGGAGGCCGAGGCGGGTGGATCACGAGGTCAGGAGATCGAGACCATCCTCGCCAACATGGTGAAACCCCGTCTCTACTAAAAATACAAAAAATTAGCCGGGCGTGGTGGCTGATGCCTGTAGTCCCAGCTACTCGGGAGGCTGAGGCAGGAGAATGGCGTGAACCCGGGAGGCGGAGCTTACAGTGAGCAGAGATCTCGCCACTGCACTCCAGCCTGGGCGACGGAGCGAGACTCCGTCTCAAAAAAAATAAATAAGTAAAAATAAAGTTACCAAATGGAAAAGGATTGAAATTAATACTAGCCTTAGATTCTCAAGCCAGGCGCAGTGGCTCAGGCCTATAACTCCCACACTTTAGGAGGCCAAGGCAGAAAGAGTTTAAATGGTGCCCCTAGTCAATCACTTGTAGGGCCTGTGCTTATTGAATAGCCCACATGGCTGCCAGAAAGGCTGCCTTAGCTTTATCATCCCAATCCCAGGTAGCCCTCTTTTTTGTCAACCAGTACAACGGTTTTGTCATTTTAGCCAAATGGGGCATGAACGCCCGCCAATACCCCAGCAGGCCCACAAAGGTCTGCAGCTGCCTCACCATGGTGGGCTGGGATATGTCTGAATTTTGTCTACGATGGCCTCTGGTATGACTTTTGTCTTACCCGACCAGATAACTCCCAAGAATTTGGCAGACAACCCAGGCCCTTGCACCTTGGATTCATTGACAGCCCAACCTCATGCTGCCAAATGTTGTTGCAAGAGGGGCACCACAGCTTCTAAATCTGCAGGAGAATCAGAGGTTAACATAATATCATCAATGTAATGGAATAGGCGGATCCCCTTTGGAAATTTCCAGGTGGCTAAATCCGTAGCAACGAGACCATGACATATGGTGGGACTATGCACGTAGCCCTGTGGCAACACTGTGAAAGTCCATTGTCGCCCTTCCCATGTGAAGCCAAACTGTTCCTGGCTCTCTGGAGCGATATCATCTGAAAGGGATGCATTAGCCAAATCCACTGCATAATGGTACTGTCCCAATTCCATCGTCAGGTGGTCCATCAAATCCGTGATAGACAGGACTGCTGCATGTAAAGGGGCTGTTACTTTATTTAGTTCTTGATAGTCCACTGTCATCTACAAAGTCCCAACGGGCCTTTTGACTGGCCATACCAGAGAATTGTAGGGGCTGTGTGTGCCATGCACTATCTGCACCTCCTCTACCTTTTTTTTTTTTTTTTTTTTTTTTTTTGAGACAGTCTCGCTCTGTCGCCCAGGCTGGAGTGCAGTAGCGCGATCTTGGCTCACTGCATGCTCTGCCTCCTAGGTTCACGCCATTTACCTGCCTCAGCCTCCCGAGTAGCTGGGACTGCGGCGCGTGCCACCACTCCTGGCTAATTTTTTGTATTTTTAGTAGAGACGGGGTTTCACCGTGTTAGCCAGGATGGTCTTAATCTCCTGACCTCGTGATCTGCCTGCCTTGGCCTCCCAAAGTGCTGGGATTACAGGCATGAGCCACCGAGCCCGGCCATCCTCTAGCTTCTTAATAGTCTCAGTTATCTCCGTATGCCCTCCTGGCAAGTGGTATTGACAAGCGGAGGTAACCCATCGGGGTTGTGGCAGAACCTGGGCAGGTGATGCATATGTCCCCATAGTACCAGCTTTCCTACATGTACGCGGAGTCTGAATTCTCTGGCTGTGGTGTGTAAGTTAAGACTGCAAAATATCCATCCCCAGAATGTATTCCAGTATGGGAGAGATATACACAGTGTATAAATGGGAAGCCAAGCAGCCAATGCCGAGGTGCAAAGATACAGGTTTTACTTTCACTGACTGGCCTCTATAACCATCTGTGTATGCAGCCTTGCCTAAAAACTTATCCCGTTTCCCATAGACGAGGCTATAATCTGCATCAGTACCTACCAGCACCAACACCTGCTGTACATTGGTGGGGTACCAGTGGATTGCCAATTCCACATGTGGCCTCTGATCTCTGGTGTCCTGCCAAGCCGGGCACCTTGGCCAGTTCCCTAATCAAACACAAGAGGCTTTATTCTCCCACCCATCTGCAAGTAATCCTTGAGCTGGAGTGTCCAGCAGGACTGGGTTGAGCAGCATCATCCTGCCCTGCCTTGGGCATTTTCCGGAATTGCTGCTCCGGGGACAATTGCTTCCACAAAGTTAACAGCACTTCATTGGGTTGCCTGTCAATTTTCTCTCAAGCAACCCCAGCCAATATCAGATCAATTCACATCTGCATGGGGGTCACCTGCTGGGGCCACTTTTTGTCCTGTGGCTCCCTATGGGAGGGATACCTTCCCCTTCTTTATAGCACAGACTCCCTGCTCCCACTGCTGGCTTTCTGCTTCCCCAAGGGCTGCCATGGCAGTATCACCTTATGTATGGTAGTCACCTTATGCCCAATGTATGGAGAAGGACAACGACCAGAGAGCCAAAACCACTCGGGGATGCAGAGCCCAACACAAGGTCCCTCATGTGGGAGGTAAAGCGTTCATCATCTGGCCCTTGGGTATTCAAATCAAACATAGCCTGCCACATACCCATCTTCCGAATTACCTCCACCAGCTCTGCATATGATTGCCATTTACTCACAGTTTTTGATAATTCTCTGGCATCATTCCACCCTGTCCACATGGCTGCCATCAGCCATTCAGTCAGGATATGGTCACCTTTCCCTTGTGCCAACTGCCTGCTCACCTGCAACCGCTGATGGAGGGAGGGGTGAGCTGTGACAGAAGCCAACTTTTCCGTCTCAGCAGTGGAACCGGAAATACTGTCAGCTCCTTTGTCCCAGAAGCGGAGCATCCAGGCAGGTAGGGGCTTCCGCTACTTACCTAACTCCCACAACTCAGTGGGGGTGTAGGCACTATATGAAGTGTGCTCCACCACGGTAGGGGGTCCCTGGGCCCACCCTTGGGGCCCAAGTGGCTGTTCATGCTCTATTTTCTGGCAGACCACAGGGTGAGCCTGCAGCAGGGGTTCTTCCTCCTCGGTATCAGATGGAATGGGAGTCTCTGGCCAGGAAGGCAGGCTCAAGCCTGCACTTACGGCAGTTACCCATTCTCATTCCAAGCTTTGTATTTGGGCCTCCAGGCACTCAGCTAGCACCTGGAGGTTCCTTACCTGTGCTGTATCCCGCAGGGACTGGGCATGCACTTTCCATAGCATAGTCAAAAATGCCCATCCAACTCTGCTGGCAAAGGCACCCTCCTTCTCGGTGTTGTATGCTTCCAGGTGCTTCAGGGCCTTCTCCATGCTCATGGGGGACCTGTCTACCTCTGCCCATGTTTCCACCAGGGCCCATCTGGACAGCACAGCTGCCACCAAGTACCGCAACCCATGTTGGGGCCACATGGCCAACCAGGGATCATCAGGTGCTGAGGACTCACTCACTTCAGAATCCTGCTAACTACACCAATTGTCCGGTTCCAACCTAAGCTGGAGTCCGAGGGGAGTTGGTGGACGGGTGGCAGGTAGTTGAAAGAACACTTGGGGGTCCGGAGGCAGGGGCTTTATTATGTGCCCCTCTCACAGTGTCAGTGATACATTTTTGCACCTCAGAGCCAGTTGATGAGCTCACTTATAACATGGTTACATAACTGTGATTATATAATGCACAGGATTGTACACACGCACTCCAATCCTGCTGTGTCACGCTGCACCAGATGTTTACCTTGGCCTACTCTTGACTGCCATGCAGCCTTTTTCCTTACATATATATACCATGGAATACTATGCAGCCATAAAAAAGAATGAAATCATGTCCTTTGCAGCAACATGGATGAAGCTGGAGGTCACTATCTGAAGTGAATTAATGTGGGAACAGAAAACCAAACACTACATGTTCTCACTTATAAGTGGGAGTGAAACATTGGGTACTCATGGAAATAATGATGGCAACAATAGAAACTGGGAACTACTGGGGGGAAGGTTGAGAGACTAACCATTAGGTACTATGCTCAGTACCTGGGTGATGGAACCATTCATACCCCAAACCTCAGCATCGTGCAATATACCCAGGTAAGAAAGCTGCACATGTTCCCCCAATCTAAAGTAAAAGTTGAGAAAAAAAGAAAATTTGATTTTGTGCATTCTATCTTATGCTCAGTTTTGGTCTGAGTTTTGTTGTTGTTGTTGTTGTTGTTGTTTTATTTTTTATTTTTTTCGAGACAGGGTCTCTAAAAAAGGCCCAAGCTGGTTTCAAACTCCTGGGTTCAAGCAATCCTGCCTCACCCTCCCAACATGCTGGGATTATAGGTGTGAGCCACTGCCCCCAGCCAAGTTGTTTTTTATATGAGACAATTTGGTAAGGGATCAAAAGATGAAAATACAGAAATAAATGGCATATAAATTTTGCATAACAGATGAAGCTTCTAGTACTGATGATGGCAGCTCAAGAAATGGACTTTGCTTTGGAAGGAACAGAGTAGTCCACAACTTTCCTTCCTATACTTGCAGGAAACTGCTACTTGAAAAAGATGAAACATCTTTAGATAGGTTTCTCAAAAAGTAGTCAAGTGCCCTTAAGTGAGTACTTCCATTAATCTCAAGATGCCTTTGAAAATTACCCAAAGAAGTTCTGATTTCTTTTTTTTTTTTTTTTTTTTTTGAGACGGAGTCTCGCTCTGTCGCCCAGGCTGGAGTGCAGTGGCGCGATCTCGGCTCACTGCAAGCTCCGCCTCCCGGGTTCACGCCATTCTCCTGCCTCAGCCTCCCGAGTAGCTGGGACTACAGGCGCCCGCTACCACGCCCGGCTAATTTTCTGTATTTTTAGTAGAGACGGGGTTTCACCGTGTTAGCCAGGATGGTCTCGATCTCCTGACCTCGTGATCCGCCCGCCTCGGCCTCCCAAAGTGCTGGGATTACAGGCATGAGCCACCGCGCCCGGCCAGAAGTTCTGATTTCTATGGCTTCAGTGCTTTTTCACCTGATTTGTTGCAATACAAATAATACGAGGGTTAAAAAGTAGGGATTTTGCACCTTTCTGAATTCCAGAGTACATAAGTGGTCTTTGAAGAGATTTTCAAATACAGGTAGGTTAACTACTATTTAAGGCAAAGTCTTTAGTTACATTGCAAACATAAATTAAATACTTAGGAGGTAATGTTTTGGACTCTTCCTGGCTATCACTCATCAGTTAATTAGGGTCTTTTAGAATTTGGTTTGGCTGGGTGTAGTAGCTCACACCTATAATCTCAGCGCTCTGGGAGGCCAAGGTGGTAGGATTGCTTGAACCTAGGAGTTTGAGAGACCAACCTGGGCAACATAGTGAGACTCCATCTCTACAACATAAAAAATTAAAATAAATAAATTAGCCAGGCATGGTGGCATGCACATGTAGTTCCAGCTACTTGGGAGGCTGAGGTAGCAGGATGATTTGACCCCGGGGAGTTGAGGCTGCAGTGAGCCATGATCATGCCACTGCACTCCAGCCTGGGCAACAGAGCAAGACCCTGTCTCAAAAAAAGAAAAATACAATGCCAAATGTTGCATGGGACACACTTATACTAAAAATAAAAATAAAAAAAATAAAAAATTGTTGTTTAGCTGAAATTCAAATTTAATGGAGTGTCCTGTATATTTTTTCTGTTGATTCTAGAGACAGTTGCAGGGTGGTGCAGCCAAAGCTGCCTTGGAGGCAGCTGCAGGTGGGACACATGAGGGGCAGCTGGGGCGGGTCCTGAGGACCACTGAGGTGAGCGCTGCTAGGGCTTCTGTACACTGATCCATTGGCTCCCACGCTGAGTATGAGAAGAGAACCAGAACCCATGAAGGAAGTGCCTTCCTTCCACTATCACTGCATTGTTCCCCAAGTGCCCTCTATTGACAAAGCGTAACATTGAGCCAACAAAGGAAAAATGTTTCAAAAAAAAAAGTGAATTGGGGGCTGAGAGACTCCCTTCTCAGGGCCTTGCACATGAACAGCTTTTCCCTATTTTGTGCTTTCAAGTCTCCACTTAAGTCACTTCCTCTAAGAGGCCTTCCTTTCTTCACTCCACAATCTAAATCACTAGCGTCTCAATCCATCTTATACTTTTCCTTTATAGCATTTGTCATAATTTTTAATTCTATTTAATTATTCATGTAGTTATTTATTTAAAACCTGTCCTCCCCACTAAACTAAAGTACTGATGACTATTTCCTTTTTTTTTTTTTTTTTCTTTGAGACAGAGTCTTGCTCTGTCTCCCAGGCTGGAGTGCAGTGGCACAATCTCGGCTCACTGAAACCTCTACCTCCAGGGTTCAAGTGATTCTTCTGCCTCAGCCTCCCAAGTAGCAGGGATTACAGGTGCATGCCACCACGCCTAGCTAATTTTTGTATTTTTAGTAGAAACGGGGTTTCACCATGTTGGCCACGCTGGTCTCGAACTCCTGCCCTCAAGTGATCTGCCAGCCTCAGCCTCCCAAAGTGCTGGGATTACAGGCATGAGCCACTGCTCCTGGCCTGGTGACTATTTCTTCAATGCCATAATATCCAGTACATGGTAAATAATAAAGCTTAATAAATGTTGAATTAATTGATTAATGAATGAGTTAATTAAATTGTTATTTCAAACAATCTAGTTTTGACCAAATGGCTTTCCACCTCGTGTGGACAGTACTACCAGCTGGAGTACTGGGAGTAAGTTAATAAAAAGCTGGCATTGAAGGACCAAATCAGGGCCAAGTTCTTTAAGCCATGTGATGTCATTTAAACTTTTTTTATCCTGAAGACCCCAGGGAGCCACTGATCCAATTTGTATTTAGTCAAGACGTGTTCCAGGTTGCAGACTTGATGAGCAGTTAGATGCATGGTGGATCCTTAGTTACTGGGATGTGAGAAGGCAGAGAAGCATGTTTGTGAGAGTGAGTAAGGACAGGAGCTATCATGGTGAGAGAGCAGGAGATGAGAGCAAATTAGTCTTACCTTTTTTTTTTTCAGACAGAGTCTCACTCTGTTGCCCAGGCTGGAGTGCAGTGTGTGATCTCGGCTCACTGCAGCCTCCGTCCGCCTCCTGGGTTCAAGCAATTCTCGTGCCTCAGCCTCCCAAGTGGCTGGGATTACAGGTATGTGCCACCACACCCAGTTAATTTTTGTATTTTGGGTAGAGACGGGGTTTCGCCATGTTGGCTAGGCTAGTCTTGAACTCCTGACCTCAGGTGATCCGCCTGCCTTGGCCTCCCAAAGTGCTGGGATTACAAGCGTGAGCCACCTCGCCTGGCCTTATCTTTCGATATGTGAGATTGGACGTGGGTGACACAGGTAGAAATATCCAGTAGGTAATGACATGGAATTTCGGAGGGTGATCTGGGCTGGATATAGAAATGGGAATCGTCTGTGTTTACGTGTTAGTTCAACCCTTGGAGTAGAGATCACCAAGTGAGATGAGGACTGTGGATAAAACTCAGGATCATTAGTGTTCAAGGAGGCAGAGGCAGGCCGGGTGCGGTGGCTCATGCCTGTAATCCCAGCAATTTGGAAGGCTGAGGTGGGCAGATCACTTGAGCCCAGGAGTTCAAGACCAGCCTGGGCAACATAGCAAGACCTCATCTCTACAAAAAATTAAAAAAAAATAGCCAGGCATGGTGGCATGTGCCTGTGGTTCCACCTGCTCAGGAGGCTGATGTAGGAGGATCATTTGCGTCCAGGAGGTTGAGACTGCAGTGAGCTGTGATCATGCCTCTGCACTGCAGCCTGGGCAACAAAACAAGACCCTGTCTCAAGAAAAAAAAAAAAGAGAATTCATGTGTTTTTGTGCATGTCTATACTGTTTTTCTAGGATACTTAGAAATTGAATGGGTTAAGGAAATGTGAATTGTAAAAATTGTATTGTATAGTGCCAAATTACCCTCTTAAAATGCTGTATATCAAAAAAAAAAAAAAAAAAAAAAAGGCTGTATACCAGCTGGGAGCGGTGGCTCACATCTATAATCCCAGCACTTTGGGAGGCCAAGGCAGGTGGATTCCCCCGAGGTCAGGAGTTCGAGACCAACATGGTGGTTGGTCAACATGGTGAAACCCTGTCTCTACTAAAAATACAAAAATCAGCCAGGCGTGGTGGCGCACACCTGTAGTCCCAACTACTGGGGAGGCTGAGTCAGGAGAATTGCTTGAACCTGGGAGGTGGAGGTTGTAGTGAGGCAAGATTAGGTCATTGCACTCCAGCCTGGCTGACAGAGCGAGACTTCATCTCAGAAAAAAAAAGGTCATATACCGTTTTACGCTCCAACCATTTATGTCAGAAAGCTCTTATTTCCCTTACATTCCTTCACCAATGCTGGTTGTTATCAAGCTTTTATCTTTTGCCAATCCAATGAATGTAAAATAATCTCTTTAGCTGTATTTCCCTGATTACAAGTAAAGTTAGTCATTTTTCATGATAATTGGCCATTTGTATTTATTTCTGTGAGATATCTGTTCATATCCTTTGTCTATTTCTTCATTAGATTGTTTCACTGTTTTTTTTTATCAATTAGTAAGAATCCCTTATATAGTTTGATATGCAAAAATCCTCTCTGAAAAAATGTGTCCTCCACCGAGGTCACTCAGGATTACCTCAGATTAAAATAATCATTTGAAGCCAGGTGTGGTGGCTCACACCTGTAATCCCAGCACGTTGGGAGGCTGCGGTGGGTGAATCACAAGGTCAAGAGATCAAGATCATCTGGCCAACATGGTGAAACCCTGTCTCTACTAAAAATACAAAAATTAGCTGTGTGTGGTGGTACATGCCTGTAGTCCCAGCTACTTGGGAGGCTGAGGCAGGAGAATCACTTGAACCCAGGAGGCGGAGGTTGCAGTGAGCCGAGATCGCACCACTGCACTCCAGCCTGGTGACAGAGCAAGACTCTGTCTCAAAAAAATAATAATAAAATAAAACAAAATAATCAGGTGTGAGTTCACAATAAAAAACTATCAAACACGGCCAAGCGCGGTGGCTCACGCCAGTAATCCCAGCACTCTGAGAGGTGGGCAGGTCACTTGAGGTCAGGAGATCGAGACCAGCCTGGCCAACATGGTGAAACTCCATCTCTACTAAAAATACAAAAATTAGCCAGATGTAGTGGTGCATGCCTGTAATCCCAGCTACTCGGGAGGCTGAGGCAGGAGAATCACTTGAACCTAGGAGGCAGCGGTTGCAGTGAGACGAGATTGCACCACTGCACTCCAGCCTGGGTGAGAGTAAAACTCCGTCTCAAAAAACAAACAAACAAAAAACCTATGAAACACATGAGGAAACAAGACTCTACAAGAGATCCAACAGAAACAAAGAACAGCAGAACTGGACCTACAAGAACTTTAGAAAATCACATATTGAATTTGTAATAACTACATTTCATGTCTTTAAAAATAAAAGATGTAATACAAATATGAACAAGGAAGAAATGACTGTCAAATGATTAGGCAGATTTTTGAAAAACTAATAGAACCTCTAGAAATTAAAAATACAATAGCTTAAATTAAAAATTCAATAGGCTGACTAAACAAATTAGATACAGCTGAAGAAGAGAATCTGTAATTCGGAACAGTACAAGAAGAGGGTACAAAATATGAAGGGTACAGCCAGACACAGTGGCTCACGCCTGTAATCCCAGCACTTTGGGAGGCCAAGGTGGGAGGATCACAAGGTCAGGAGTTCGAGACCAGCCTGGCCAATATGGTGAAACCTGTCTCTACTAAAAATACAAAAATTGGCCGGGCGTGGTGGCAGGCAACTAGAGTCCCAGCTACTCGGGAGTCTGAGACAGGAAAATCAGTTGAACCCGGGAGGCGGAGGTTGTAGTGAGCCAAGATCGCACCACTGCACTCCAGCCTGGGTGACAGAGCAAGACTCCCTCTCAAAAAAAAAAAAAAAAAAAAAAAAAAATTAGCCAGGTGTGGTTGTGGGTGCCTATAATCCCTGCTACTTGGGAGGCTGAGGCAGGAGAACCGCTTGAACCTGGGGGGCGGAGGTTGCAGTGAGCCGAGATTGCACCACTTCACTCCAGCCTGGGCAAAAGAGCGAAACTCCATCTAAAAAAAAAAAAATAGTGATTTAAGGGGGTCAGGAAGGGATGAAGAAAGGTTGATTAATGAGTACAAGTATACAGTTTAGTAGAAGAAATAAGACATCATGTTTGATAGATCATAGGGTGACTATAGCTTACAATAATAATCTGTTGTACATTTCAAAATAGAAGAGAATAATTCAATGTTTCTAACATAAAGACAAATATTTAGGGTGATGGATATCCCAGTTACACTGATTTGATCTTTACAGATTATATGAATTTATTAAATTATTACATGTACCCCCAAAATATGTACATCTATTATGTATCAATACTTTATTTTTAAGAGAAGGGGTCTTGCTATGTTGCCCAGGCTGGCCTCAAACTCTTAAACTTCTGAGCTCAAGCAATACTCCTGCATCAGCTTCCCAAATAATTGAGATTACAGGCATGTACCAATACTCCAAAAAATTTTTTAAAAGAAAAAAATATTGGATTAAAATGACAACAGGGCACCAGGAGCGGTGTCTCACACCTGTAATCCCAGCTCTTTGGGAGGTTGATTCGGGTGAATCCCAGAGGTCAGGAGTTTGAGGACAGCCTGACCAACATGGAGAAACCCCATCTCTACTAAAAATACAAAATTAGCCGGGCGTGGTGGCGCATGCCTGTAATCCCAGCTATTCGGGAGGCTGAGGTAGGAGAATCGCTTGAACCTGGGAGGCAGAGTTTAAGGTGAGCTGAGATCGCGCCATTGCACTCCAGCCTGGGCAACAATGAGCGAAACTCCGTCTCAAAAAAAAAAAAGAAAAAGAAAAAGAAAAAGAAATGATAACAGGGGCTAGAAGGATGAGAGAAGTTAAAAAATAATTATTGTCAGTTGGCAAAAATCAAAGAACTATGAATATCTGCTCTAATGTGCAAATAGCATATAAATTCTTTTTTTTTCTTTTTTTTTTTTTTGAGACGAAGTCTCACTCTGTCACCCAGGCTGGAGTGCAGTGGTGCGATCTTGGCTCACTGCAACCTCTGCCTCCCGGGTTCAGGCGATTCTTCTGCCTCAGCCTCCCCAATAGCTGGGACTACAGGCGCCCGCCACCACGACTGGCTAATTTTTTTGTATTTTTAGTAGAGACGGGGTTTCACCGTGTTAGCCAGGATGGTCTCGATCTCCTGACCTCATGATCCACCCGCCTCGGCCTCCAAAAGTGCTGGGATTACAGGCGTGAGCCACCGTGCCCGCCCTTTTTTTTTTTTTTTTTTTTTTTGAGATGGAGTCTTACTCTGTTGTCCAGGCAGGAGTGCAGTGGTGCCATCTCAGCTCACTGCAACCTCTGCCTCCCAGGTTCAAGCGATCCTCCTGCCTCAGCTTCCCAGGTAGCTGGGATCACAGGCGCCCACCACCACACCCCACTAATTTTTGTATTTTTAGTAGAGAGGGAGTTTTGCCACGTTGACCAGGCTGGTCTCAAACTCCTGACCTAGGTGATCCGCCCACCTCGGCCTCCCAAAGTGCTGGGATTACAGGTGTGAGCCACTGTATATCTGGCCAAATTCTTTTCATTGAAAATGGCTTTAGCCGAGCATGGTGTCTCATGCCTGTAATCCCAGCAACTTTGGGAGGCTGAGGTGGGAGGATTGCCTGGGGCCAGTTCAAGACCACTGCCTGAGCAACACAGAGAGACCCACCACCACCCCCAATCTCTACAAAAAATACAAAAATTAGCTGGGCATGGTGGCGAGCTCCTGTAGTCTCAGCTACCCAGGAGGCTTAGGAGGGAGGATCAATTGAGCTTGAGAAATTGAGACTGCAGATCACGCCACTGCACTCCAGCCTGGGCAGCAGAGTAAGACCCTGTCTCAAAAATTAAAAAAAAAAAAAAAAAGGGGGGGGGCGGAGCCGGGTGCAGTGGCTCACACCTGTAATGCCAGCACTTTGGGAGGCCAGGGTGGGTGGATCATGAGGTCAGGAGCTCAAGACCAGCCTGGCCAAAATGGTGAAACCCTGTCTCTACTAAAAATACAAAAATTAGCCGGGTGCGGTGGCGGGTGCCTGTAATCCCAGCTACTGGGGAGGCTGAGGCAGGAGAATGGTGTGAACCCGGGAGGTGGAGCTTGCAGTGAGCCGAGATTGCGCCACTGCACTCCAGCCTGGGCAACAGAGCGAGACTCTGTCTCAAAAAAAAAAAAAGGAAAAAGGAAAAAGGCCAGATGCGGTGAGCCATCGTGTCCCGCCTAGGGATTCTTTAGTTGGCAATTGGTTGAAGGAGTTCAGCTTTGGTAGAGCGCCATGGCTCACTGCCGTAATCCCAGCACTTTGGGAGGCCCAGGCAGGTGGATCATTTCAGGTCAGGAGTTCGAGACCAGCCTGACCAAAATGGTGAAACCCCATCTCTCTGAAACATACAAAAATTAGCCGGGTGTGGTGGCATGCACCTGTAATCTCAGCTACGCGGGAGGCTCAGGTGGGAGAATCACTTGAATCCCAGAGGCGGAGGTTGTAGTGAGCTGAGATCATGCCACTGCACTCCAGCTTGGGCAACAGAGGGAGACTCCTTCTCAAAAAAAAAAAAAAAAAAAAAAAAATAGAGTTAAGCTTTGTCTAAGGACTCGAAGTCAGTACAAAGGAATGCTTACATTATAAGGGTGGGGCATCTGCTTTTTATCATGTGGTGCTATACCTGATTCAGGCTGGAAAGTAAGCCACACGATACAGGGTTAATTTAAAAACTCATTTAAAAAGATGTTATGGTTTGTAGGGTGTGGCTTAATTCTTGCCTTGCATGGCCTTTGGTCTTGTTTATTATTTGGTATTCTATTGCTACAGAGAGTCTGTTCTGCCATTCTTATAATTTCTCTTTTAACATTAATGGTGGTCAGTTGTGCCTAAACTCCAAAAGAGGGAGTATAAGGAGGCATGTCCGACCTCCCTTTCCACCCAGGAGAATTCAGAATTCAGTTTAACATCCCCTTGGCCAAGGGGTGAGGGTTCATTCAGTTGGCTGTGGGGCATGGGATTTTATTTTTAGTTTACATAATAAATGGAAAGAAAACTAAAAAGTCTTCTGGAAAAATTGTGTCCCTCTCCCTCTCTTTCCAGTTTAAGAACTAATACTACAAACATTAGTCCTGGAATGTTCCATTTCTCTTTTTTTATTTTATTTATTTATTTTTTAGACGGAGTCGCTCTGTCGCCAGGCTGGAGTGCAGTGGCGCGATCTCAGCTCACTGCAACCTCAGCCTCCCAGGTTCAAGCGATTCTCCTGCCTTAGTGCCCCGAGTAGCTGGGACTACCCGCACGCGCTACCACGCCCAGCTAACTTTTTTTTTTTGTATTAGTAGAGAGACAGGGTTTCACCATGTTGGCCAGGATGGTCTCGATCTCTTGACCTTGTGATCCGCCCGCCTCGGCCTCCCAAAGTGCTGGGATTACAGCCGTGAGCCACGACGCCCGGCCGGAACGTTCCACTTCTCTTATAAATAGTTGACTAAGGTTTCCCAATAGTAAATTAACCTGCTACCACTAGTAAGTAGCCAGACTAGGGTCAGGAGAGCAGAAAACCTCATTCCAGGGTTTTCCAACACAGTGGCCTCACCATGAACACATTGCACTCGGGAGCTATCTTCAATCATGAACGATGAGCATTTAGATTTATTCCGTGATTCCAAGGACCAGAACTAAGATATACAGGAAGCTCTTTTTTATCTCATTTTAAGAGAAAACGTTCAAGTGTAGTTCAAAGTGTACTTAAGGGAGAAAAAGTTAACTTGTCATAAACATACATGTGATAGAGGTGAATACTCAGGTGGGCAAGAACCTCCAAACAAACTCCAAATTCGCAGCTGACATCTGCTAATAATGTAGAAAATCTCGGGCGATTTTTTTTTTAATTTTCATTTTTTGTAAGGACAGGGTCTCGCTATGTCGCTCAGGCTGGTCTCGAACTCCTAGCCTCAAGAGATCCTCCGCCTCAGCCTCCCAAAGTGCTGGGATTACAAGCGTGAGCCACCACGTCCAGCAACTCAAGTCATTTTTGCATCAATTACCAGCAAAAGTCTATTCAGAAATAGGACTCTCTCAGGCCAGAAGGGAGTCAAGACGAGCCTTGGAGGTGAGCGCCCAGTAAGATAGGCCAGAAGCACTCCAACTCCAAGGCAGAGCCTGAGCTTTACAGCCGCTAGGTCGGCGTATGTTCTACCACCGCATTCCCCCAGTGTCTCAGCGGTCTCTGAAGGAGAGAACTAAAACTCCCATAAGACAACGCGAGCTCAGGTGGGCGGCCACTTGCCGCGCGTGGGCGGCTCTGACCAATAACGATTGTCGTTACAGCGAACAGTTTGGCCCCGTTTGTAAAAGGCCGCGGCAGGCGAAGAGAGAAGAGGTGAGGGCGGTCGTCAGCTAAGGGCCCCGGGGCTCGCGGGGGGTGCGCAGGGCAGGTAAGGGGGTAGTGCTGAGCAAGGACCGGGGCGGCGGTGGGGCAGGGGTGTAGAGCTCGGGTTCCCAGCGGAAAGCATGTCCAAGGAGCGGCTGCCGGCGAGGTGATGCTTCTGCCTGGGCCTACTTGGGACCGGAAGTGAGCGCTCGCGCGGGGAGGATGCCGGGAAGCAGGTCCCAGGGGATATGTGTGTGTCGCTGCAGACCCATCCCGGAAGCCGGCCGGGAGGTGAGCGTCCCGGAGTCGGGCGGCCGCTCCGTTGACTGCAGGGCCCCGGCGGTCTTCCTCCGCTGTTCCGAGGCCGTTGAGGGCTGATGTGCTCCATCCTCCCACTTGTGGTTTGGCAAGCCATCCAGCCGACTACAAACCCACGTTTGTGAGTTACCTGCTGGCTGTGACGCTTCCGTCAAATCTGAGTAACAGTTTCCTCATCTCTAAGATGGGTAACATAGTATCTACCTCACAGGATCGTGTGGGCAGTACATGCATAGAAAGGATTTAACACGCAGTGTACTCAGCTAGTTTTATTATTTATCCGTAATGATCATTTGTTCTTTTCCCCTAACTGTGCCTCACAAGCATGAAACAGAATCCACCAAACATTTAGGTCTGGGTAGTGGTTGGATGGAAACCCATCGCGGGTTAACGCTTCCAACACCAGTCCCTTGACACTCTCCCGCCGAGGAGGCTGATTTGTAAACTTGCTGAGAAGAGAATACCCAGCAGATCTTTCAGGTTTCAAATCCACGTTCTTTACAAGTTGTGTTAATTGTTTGTATATGCTTTCGATATAGAGTCTCTAGGAAGTAATACTAGTACATGTTTTAAAATTCAAATACTGCCAAACAGTGAGATGTAAGTCTCCCTCCTAACTTCTGTTTCCCAAATCCCATGTCGTTTCTTCTGATGCAATAGACATTGTATGTGTGTGTGTCTAGATAGATACATATGTGTATCTCTCGTCTTTTTTTTTTTCTTTTAAAAGAGTAAAACCAAGAATAGCATATTACAAAGTGCTGCACTTTTTTCACTCCACAGTGTATCTTTTTTTTTTTTTAAGAGACAGGGTCTCACTATGTTGCCCAGGCTGGTCTTGAACTCCTGAGCTCAGTGATCCTCCCGCCTCAGCCTCCCAAAGTGCTGGGATTACAGGCGTGAGCCACCACGTCCAGCTACTCAGGCCATTTTTTTTTTTTTTTTTTTGAGACGGAGTCTCGCTGTCGCCCAGGCTGGAGTGCAGTGGCACGATCTCGGCTCACTGCAGGCTCCACCCCCCAGGGTTCACGCCATTCTCCTGCCTCAGCCTCCCTAGTAGCTGGGACTACAGGCGCCCGCCACCTCGCCCAGCTAATTTTTTGTATTTTTAGTAGAGACAGGGTTTCACTGTGTTAGCCAGGATGGTCTCGATCTCCTGACCTTGTGATCTGCCCGCCTCGGCCTCCCAAAGTGCTGGGATTACAGGCGTGAGCCACCGCGCCCGGCCCATTTTTTTTTTTTTTTTTTTTTTTTTTTGAGATGGAGTTTCTCTCTTGTTCCCCAGGCTGGAGTGCAATGGCACGATCTTGGCTCACCGCAACCTCTGGCTCCCGGGTTCAAGCGATCCTCCTGCCTCAGCCTCCGGAGTAGCTGGGATTACAGGCATACGTCACCACGCCCGGCTAATTTTGTATTTTTAGTAGAGATAGGGTTTCTCCATGTTGTTCAGGCTGGTCAGGAACTCCCGACCTCAGGTGATCCGCCTGCCTCGCCTCCCAAAGTGCTGGGATTACAGGTGTGAGCCACCGTGCCCGGCCATGCCATTTTTTTTTAAACAGCTGTAAAAATATTTTATTTTCTGGGAAGTATTCCATTTTGTAGGCATACCATAATTAATTACACCAGTATCTTCTTGAGGGACATCAGGTTGTTTCTTATATTTTGCTGCTACAAATATTCTTCATTGAGTTGCCTTATAATTTCCCTCATTTCACACATGTGGGAGTCAGTCTGTAAAATAAATTCTTAGTAGTGTAATTGCTGGGTCAGAATATCAAATCAAAATATACTGATTCCAAATATGCAAGGAAGATATCAAACAAGCTCAAATTGAGGGACATTTTGTAAAATATTCGACTCTTCAAAACTGTCAAGATTAGGAAAAAGAAAGACAAACTCACGGACTTGAGGGGACTAAGGAGACGTGATGACTCAATGCAATGTGGTATCTTGGATTTGATCCAGAAACAGAAAAAAGGGGCAAAGTCTAGAGTTCAGTTAATAATAATGTGGCAATGTTGGTCCCTTGGTTTTGACAAATGTCCCATGTTTATATATGATGTTAACATTGGGAAACTGGGTGAGTGGTGTTTGGGAACTGTGTTCTATCTGCCACTTTTCTGAAAATCTAAAATTAGTCTAAAAGATTTATTCTTTTTTAAAAGGGAGATTGAGGCCAGGCATAGCGGCTCACGCCTGTAATCCCAGTACTTTGGGAGGCCGAGACAGGCAGATCACTTGAGGTCAGGAGTTCGAGACCAGCCTGGCCAACATGGAGAAACCCCGTCTCAACTAAAAATACAGAAAAATTAGCCGGGCTTGGTGGTGGACGCCTGTAATCCCAGCTACTCAGGAGGCTGAGGCAGGAGAATTGCTTGAACCCGGGAGGCAGAGGTTGCAGTGAGCCAAGATCACGCCACTGCACTCCAGCCTGGGTGACAGAGCAAGACTCCGTCTCAAAAAAATAAATAAAATAAAAAGGGGCATTAGTGGACAACTGGTAAAATCTGAATAAAGCCTGTAGTAGAGTTAATAGTGTTGTACCAATGTTAAGACCTTATTTTTGACAAATGCCCCATAGTTATGTGAGATGTTAACATTTGGGGAGTCTGTGTGAAAGGTAGGTAGGAAGTCTCTGTACTGTCTTTAGCTTTCCTATAAAAGCCAAAATGCAGTCGGGTATGGTGGCTTATGCCTGTAATCCCAGAGCTTTGGGAGGCCGAGGTGGGTGGATCATCTGAGGTCAGGAGTTCGAGACCAGCCTGGCCAACATGGTGAAACCCCGTCTCTACTAAAAATACAAAAATTAGCTGGGCGTGGTGGCATGTGCCTGTAGTCTCAGTTAATCGGGAGGCTGAGGCAGGAGAATTGCTTGAACCCGGGAGGCGGAGGTTGCAGTGAGGTGAGATCACGCCACTGCACTCCAGCCTGGGTGACAAAGTGAGACTCCGTCTCAATTTAAAAAAAACTAAAATGTAATAAATGTGTTGAAATAAATTTTCTAAAATTATTGCAAAATTGAAAGCATTTTTAATAAAGAAATATGGATTTATAATGTTAAAGATACTCACAAATCGCCTGCTGGAGGGCATAATCAAAAAGTAAAAGAAAAGACTGGGCACAGTGGCTCATGCCTGTAATCCCAGCACTTGAGAGGCCGAGGCAGGCAGATCACTTGAGGTCGGGAATTTGAGACCAGCCTGGCCAACATGGTGAAACCCTGTCTCTACTAAAAATACAAAAAAGTTAGCTGGGCGTGGTAGCAGGTACCTGTAATCCCCGCTACTCAGGAGGCTGAGGCAGGAGAATCACTTGAACCCGGGAGGCGGAGGTTGCAGTGAGCTGAGATTGCGTCATTGCACTCCAGCCTGGGCAACAAGAGCGAAACTCCGTTGTCAACAACAACAACAAAAGTAAAAGAAAAGATAAAAGAGTGGAACTCCATTGTTGATGCTACAGCTATTCCTATGCTAAAGCTACAGCACCAACAGCTGGCAAACCACCTCCTCCCTTAATGACAGAAAGGTTTTTTTTTTGTTTTGTTTTGTTTTTTAATTATTATTATACTTTAAGTTTTAGGGTACATGTGCACAATGTGCAGGTTAGTTACATATGTATACATGTGCCATGCTGGTGTGCTGCACCCACTAACTCGTCATCTAGCCTTAGGTATATCTCCTAATGCTATCCCTCCCTCCTCCCCCCACCCCACAACTGTCCCCAGAGTGTGATGTTCCCCTTCCTGTGTCCATGTGTTCTCATTGTTCAATTCCCATCTATGAGTGAGAACATGCGGTGTTTGGTTTTTTGTCCTTGCGATAGTTTACTGAGAATGATGATTTCCAGTTTCATCCATGTCCCTACAAAGGACATGAACTCATCATTTTTTATGGCTGCATAGTATTCCATGGTGTATATGTGCCACATTTTCTTAATCCAGTCTATCATTGTTGGATATTTGGGTTGGTTCCAAGTCTTTGCTATTGTGAATAGTGCCGCAATAAACATACGTGTGCATGTGTCTTTATAGTAGCATGATTTATAGTCCTTTGGGTATATACCCAGTAATGGGATGGTCAAATGGTATTTCTAGTTCTAGATCCCTGAGGAATCGCCACACTGACTTCCACAATGGTTGAACTAGTTTATAGTCCCACCAACAGTGTAAAAGTCTTCCTATTTCTCCACATCCTCTCCAGCACATGTTGTTTCCTGACTTTTTAATGATATGACAGAAAGGTTTTTTTCCACTTTGATATGTTAAATCATCATTAGCAACATAATTTTTAAATTAATTTTTTCTAAGCTCTTTCATATATACAAATTGTATATATGTGTGTGTGTGTGTGTATATATACATATACGTATATATATGTCGTATCGTAGCTTTGCAGATGAAAAAATCCTGAAGCTCAGAAGTTAAAGGACTTGGTCACAGAGATCGTTCATGGTAAAAAGCAAACTGATCCTTCATGTTTTGACTTTGGAACAATATTCTAAGAATCCATGTGGGACTGAATGAGAATACCTACTAAAGAAGTTCATTGAGCTAGGAAGGAATGCTGTGTGAACAGGCTAATGACTCTACATCAGTGGCTTTTAACTGGGGCAGTTTTGCCTCCAGAGGACATTTGGCATTATCTGGAGACTTTTTTTTTTTTTTTTTTTTTACAATTAGGGATGGGGCCTGCTACCGGGATCTAGTGGGTAGAAACCAGGGATACTGTTAAACATTCTGCAATGCATAGGATAGCCCCCACAACAAAGAATTATCCAGTCCTAAATGTCAGCAGTGCCAAGGTGGAGAAACCCTGCTATGCATCTTATTTCACAAAGCACTTGTTTTCCTTAAAATATATATATATATGTGTGTGTGTATATATATATATGTGTGTATATATGTATGTGTGTGTGTGTTTGTGTGTGTGTGTATATATATATATTTTTTTTTGTGACAAAGTCTCACTCTGTTTCCCAGGCTGAAGTGCAGTGGTGCGATCTTGGCTCACTGCAACCTCTCTGCCTCCTGTGTTCAAGCAATTCTCATGCCTCAGCCTCCTGAGTAGCTGGGGTTATAGACATGTGCCATCATGCCTGCCTAATTTTTGTATTTTTAGTAGACACAGGTTTTCATCATGTTGGCTAGGCTGGTCTCGAACTCCTGGCCTCAAGTGACCCTCCCACCTCAGCCTCCCAAAGTGCTGGCAATTACAGGTGTGAGCCACTGTGCCTAGTCTTTTTAAAACTTTTTTTTTGACACGGAATTTCACTCTTGTCACCCATGCTGGAGTGCAATGGCGTGATCTCAGCTCACTGCAACCTCTGCCTCCCAGGTTCAAGTGATTCCCCTGCCTCAGCCTCCGGAGTAGCTGGGATTACAGACGTGCACCACCACGCCCAGATAATTTTTTTTGTTTGTATTATTAGTAGAGACAGGGTTTTACCATGTTGGCCAGGCTAGTCTTGAACTCCTGCCCTCAGGTGTTCCACCCGCCTCGGCCTCCCAAAGTGGTGGGATTACAGGCACGAGCCACTGCGCCCAGCCTAAAACATTTTTTTATTTTTATTTTTTTTGAGATGGAGTCTCACTCTGTCGCCCAGGCTGGAGTGCAGTGGCATGATCTCGGTTCACTGCAAGCTCTGTCTCCCGGGTTCACGCCATTCTCCTGCCTCAGCCTCCCAAGTAGCTGGGACTACAGGTGCCCGCCACCACGCCCGGCTAATTTTTTGTATTTTTAGTAGAGACAGGGTTTCACTGTGTTAGCCAGGATGGTCTTGATCTCCTGACCTTGTGATCCACCCACCTCGGCCTCCCAAAGTGCTGGGATTACAGGCATGAGCCACTGCGCCCGGCCTAAAACATTTTTTAAGAAGAATAGAGACCACTGGGCATGGTGGCTCACACCTGTAATCCCAGAACTTTGGGAGGCCGAGGCAGGAGGATTGCTTGAGCCCAGGAGTTCAAAGCCAGCCTGGGCAACATAGTGAGACCCCCATCTCTATAAAAAATTTATAATTAGCTGAGTGTAGTGGCACGTACCTGTGGTCTCAGCTATTTGAGAGTCTGAGGCAGGAGGATTGCTTGACCTTGGGAGGTCAAGGCTGCAGTGAGCCATGATCTGCACTCCATCTTTGACAACAGAGTGAGACTCTGTCTCAAAAAAAAAAAAAAAAAAAAAAAAAATAGGGCCAGGCACAGTGGTTCATGTCTGTAATCCCAGCACTTTGGGAGGCCAAGGCGGGCAGATCACTGGAGGTCAGGAGTTCAAAACCAGCCTGGCCAACATGGTGAAACCACATCTCTACTAAAAATACAAAAATTAGCCAGAGAATTGCTTGAGCCCGGGAGGCGGAGGTTGCAGTGAATCGAGATCACGTCACTGCACTCCATCCTGGGTGACAGAGCAAGACTGTCTCAAAACAATTTTTTTTTCTCTCTACATCTTCTATCCACTGATTAACAAATTGGAAAGTACAAATAAGAATAGTTTTAAAATGTCCACCTTTTCATTGGTGCTATGAACTAGTCCCCGACTGTAATTTTTACTGAGTAAATGAAGCTGTGTGGCTCACACTTATAATCCCAGCACTTTAAGAGGACAAGGCAGGAGGAGCGCTTGAGGCCAGGAGTTCGAGACCAGCCTGAGCAACAAAGTGAGACCCCTGTCTCTACCAAAAAATTTTTTAAAAATTAGCCAGGCATGGCAGCATGTACCTATAGTTTCAGCTACTTGGGAGGCTGAGGCAGGAAGATCACTTGAGCCCAGGAGGTTGAGTCTGCAGTAAGCTGTGATCACACCACTGCACTCCAGCCTGGGTAAGAGAGCAGAAAAATGCATAAAGCACTCAAAATGTGATGTATTACTATTAGGAAGGATGAGTTATTGACCAATTATATAACATAGCTCTAGGTGTGTTCTTTTTTTTTTTTTTTAAAGAGATGGGGTCGGCCGGGCGCATTGGCTCACGCCTGTAATCCCAGCACTTTGGGAGTCTGAGGTGGGCAGATCACGAGGTCAGGAGATCGAAACACAGTGAAACCCCGTCTCTACTAAAAATACAAAAAATTAGCCGGGCATGGTGGCATGTGCCCGTAGTCCCAGCTACTAAGGAGGCTGAGGCAGGAGAATCGCTTGAATCTGGGAAGTGGAGGTTGCAGTGAGCCGAGATTGCGCCACTGCACTCCAGCCTGGGTGAGCAGAGTGAGACTCCATCTCAAAGAAGAAAAAAAAAAAGAGATGGGGTCCTGCTCTGTCGCCAAGGCTGGGGTATAATGGCACAATTTGCAGCCTTGCTCTCCTGGACTCAGGTGATCCTCCCACCTCTGCCTCCAACGTAGCTGGGACTACAGGTGCACACCACCATGCCCAGCTAATTTTTAAATTTTTTTATAGAAATGAGGTCTCACTATGTTGTCCAGGCTGGTCTTGAACTCCTGGGCTCAAGTGATCCTCCACCTCAGCTTCCTAAATCTCTGGGATTACAGGAGTGAGCCACCATGCCAGACCTCTAAAGTGTTCTTGACAACCCCCTTTGTAATGACATTAGCACCTTTTTACCTTCCTTACAGTTGGAAGTACAAAACACTTAACCCATTTCCATAATCATTTCTGTCAAATATTTCTCAAGTAATTGTGAAAGACTTTGATTCCTATTCTGTTTGATTTCTAACGAAAGAATCATCCTGTCTTTGTATAACTTTAATATTTTTTCTTGTTTTACTCGCAGACTATCAAGATCTCCACTTAGGGAAGTGGGAATCTTATTTGCGGAACATTGGGCAGAAGCTTTGCCATTGGCTGGTGGAGAAGGAGGAGGCAGAATGTCTGCATTGTTACACCATACAGCTCAAACTTCAGAAGATTTTGGGTTAAGCAGTTATCATTAGTCTGCAAATGATCGTGTTTTCACCTGATCATTAGAAACTAATGAAACACCTTTTAAGTCTTATGAATTCAGGTTACACTGTTTTCCAGATGCCTTGGCAGCTGGTACAGGTAGGATTGGGCTAGGTTTTGTGGGGAATGATGGAAGGGAAAAAAACTCATCTTTCATGTTCTCTAATTCTTGCTGAAGTTAGACATCTGGGCATGTAAAGATTAGGTTAACTAACTTCCGTTGTTATATAGAACAGAGTTAAATCTGGAGAAATGCTTTGATTATTAGGATTTAAAAAAATAGGTATGAAAGGCAGTTTCCACTTTCATTTTGTTTGTAGGTTTAAATTTATGTTGTTTTGTGGTACAGTTTAAAAATAGTGGATAGCAGCCAGGCGCCGTGGCTCACACCTGTAATCCCAGCACTTTGGGAAGCTGAGGCAGGCGGATCACAAGGTCAGGAGTTCGAGGCCAGCCTGGCCAACATGGTCAAACCCCATCTCTACTAAAAATACAAAAATTAGCTGGGCGTGGTGGCGGGTGCCTATAGTCCCAGCTATTCGGGAGGCTGAGGCAGGAGAATCACTTGAACCCAGGAGGCGGAGGTTGCAGTGAGCCGAGATCGCGCCGCTGCACTCCAGCCTGGGCGACAGAGCGAGACTCCGTCTAAAAAAAAAAAATAGTAGATAGCTTTTTTATATTTTGCCTTCTGTACTAAATATCATAAGTGATTTTAACTTTTTGTGTGTGAAGGTATACTCATACTGTTGGATGTATTGTCTTTTGTAGGGCCTCTGAAAAATGGAACCAAATTCTCTGAGGACTAAAGTCCCAGCTTTCTTATCTGATTTGGGGAAGGCCACATTGAGGGGAATCAGAAAGTGTCCCCGATGTGGCACATACAATGGAACCCGGGGACTGAGCTGTAAGAACAAGACATGTGGAACCATATTCCGCTACGGTGCACGCAAGCAGCCTAGTGTTGAAGCTGTCAAAATCATTACAGGCTCTGATCTTCAGGTCTACTCAGTGCGGCAAAGAGACCGGGGCCCTGATTACCGATGCTTTGTGGAGCTCGGGGTTTCAGAGACAACAATCCAGACAGTGGATGGGACGATCATCACTCAGCTGAGCTCTGGACGGTGTTATGTCCCCTCATGCCTGAAAGCTGCCACTCAAGGCGTTGTGGAAAACCAGTGCCAGCACATCAAGCTGGCGGTGAACTGCCAGGCAGAGGCCACCCCTCTGACCCTGAAGAGCTCGGTCCTGAATGCAATGCAGGCCTCCCCGGAAACCAAACAGACCATCTGGCAGTTGGCCACGGAACCCACAGGTCCTCTGGTGCAGAGAATTACTAAAAACATCTTGGTGGTGAAATGCAAGGCAAGCCAGAAGCACAGTTTGGGGTATTTGCATACATCTTTTGTGCAGAAAGTCAGTGGCAAAAGCTTGCCTGAGCGCCGCTTCTTCTGCTCCTGTCAGACTCTGAAATCGCACAAGTCAAATGCCTCCAAGGATGAGACAGCCCAGAGATGCATTCATTTCTTTGCTTGCATCTGTGCCTTTGCCAGTGATGAGACACTGGCTCAGGAATTCTCAGACTTCCTAAATTTTGATTCCAGCGGTAGGTGGTATGGTTGATGTGGTTATTACGTTTTTCTAAAACTGCAATGAAAAGAGTTCCACTGATGCATTTGGAGATTGTCTTAGCAACCTTCAGAAACAGTTGCTAGATAATTCAAATGAAAAGTGTTCCTTCTTTTTTTTTTTTTTTTTTTTTTTTTTTGAGACAAGGTCTCACTTTGTTGCCCAGGCTAGAGTGCAGTGGCCTGATCACAGCTCACAGCAGCCTTGACCTCCCAGGCTCGAGATCCTACCACCTCAGTCCCCGCAGATAGCTAGGACCACAGGCACGTGCCACCATGCCTGGCTAATTTTTTTAATTTTTTGCAGATAGGGGTCTTACTTTGTTGCCGAGGCTGGTCTTGAACTCCTGGGCTGAAGCAGTCCTCCTGCCTCAACCTCCCAAAGTGCTGAGATCACAGGTGTGAGCCGCCACACCTGGTTGCATTCCTTCTTTCAGTCTCAGTCAGCACACTTGCATAAAGGTTGGTTGGTTGGTTGAAATTAATGATCAAGAGACAGAATCTCTTGATTTTTTTTTTTTTTTTTTTTTTTTGAGACAGAATCTTGCTCCATCACAAACGCTGGAGTGCAGTAGCACAACCTTGGCTCACCGCAACCCCTGCCTCCTGGGTTCAAGGAATCCTCATGCCTCAGTCTCCCAAGTAGCCGGGATTACAGGCGCCTGCCACCATGCCTGACCAATTTTTGTATTTTTAGTAGAGACAGGGTTTCTCCATGTTGGCCAGGCTGGTCTCAAACTCCTGGCCTCAGGTGATCTGCCTGCCTCAGCCTCCCAAAGTACTGGGATTACAGGCATGAGCCACTGCACCCAGTCTAAAGGAACTTATTTATTTATTTATATATTTATTGAGATGGAGTCTCACTCTGTCACCCAGGCTGGAATGCAATGGCGCAATCTCAGCTCACTGCAATCTCCACCTCCTGGGTTCAAGCGCTTCTCCTGCCTCAGCCTCCTGAGTAGCTGGGACTACAGGCATGTGCCACCATGCCTGGCTAATTTCTGTATTTTTAGTAGAGATGAGGTTTCACCATGTTGGCCAGGCTGGTCTCAAACTCCTGACCTCAGGTGATCCACCCGCCTCGGCCTCCCAGAGTGCTGGGATTACAGACGTGAGCCACCGCACCCGGCCCAAGGAACTTATTTTAAAACAAGCAATCACTCCATAATTTTTTTTTTGTTTTTGTTTTTGGTTTGTTTTTTGAGACAGCGTCTGCCTCTGTCGCCCAGGCTGGCATGCAGTGACATAATCACGGCTCATTACAGCCTTGACCCTCCTGGGCTAAAGTGATCCTCCCACTTCAGCCTCTCGAGTAGCTGGGAACACAGGCGTGGTAATTTTTTATTTTTTGTAGAGTTGGGGTCTGCCTATGTTGCCCAGCCTGGGATAATTCGTTTGGGGGATTTTTAAAAAGAAATTAACTTTTCGCTACATAGAGGCCTATACTTATACTTACCCTTGGATAGGATTAATAATTCAGAAATCTTCTTTTTTTTAGGTCTTAAAGAGATTATTGTACCCCAGTTAGGTTGCCATTCAGAATCAACAGTATCTGCTTGTGAGTCTACTGCCTCTAAGTCAAAGAAGAGGAGAAAGGATGAAGTATCTGGTAAGAGTCTGGTTGGTTGGTTTGGTGGTATTGTCTTTAGAGATTGTTTTACTGCGTTTTATGTCTTTGACTGAACCTCAGCAATTATAAGAAAATACTATATTTTATTTTATTTTTATTAAAATAAAGAGACAGGGGTCTTACCATCTTGCCCAGGCTGGCCTCGAACTCCAGGCCTTAAGTGATTCTCCCATCTTGGCCTCCCAGAGTGCTGGAATTATAGGTGTGAGCTATCACACCTGGCCAAGAAATATTATGTTTTTGTTCTTATGGGTTTTTTTCCTGAGAAAAGTTTTACTCTCCATTGATGATTCTTTTTCAAGTTAAGCTAAAAGTTTGATCCCTTAGCCAAAAATAAGATCCAACCAAATTCTACTTTTACTGTATATGTTTGTACATCCCTTAAACAGATTAATTTTATACCTTAATCTGCCTTAGGATAGTATTATGAAGTTTTCATCCATAGAGTGTTTAAAAAAATTTTGTGACAATGGTTATATTCCCCACACTAATTTAGAAATATAGGTTATTGTCTTCATTTTCAGTATATGGAGAAACACACACATACACACACCCACACACACATTTTTTTCTTTTTTTTTTTTTTGAGATGGAGTCTTGCTCTGTCGCCCAGGCTGGAGTGCAGTGGTGCGATCTCAGCTCACTGCAACCTCTGCCTCCCGGGTTCAAGCAATTCTCATATCAGCCTCCTGAGTAGCTGGGACTAAGGGTGCACGCCCAGTTAATTTTTATATTTTTAGTAGAGATGGGGTTTCACCATATTGGTCAGACTGGTCTTGAACTCCTGACCTCAGGTGATCCACCCGCTTTGGCTTCCCATAGTGCTGGGATTACAGGCCTGAGCCTGTAATAAGTAAGGCGTGAGCCGCTGCACCCAGCCTTATTTATTTATTTATTTATTTAGAGATGGAGTCTCGCTCTGTTGCCCAGGCTGGAGTACACTGATGCGATCTTCGGCTCACTGCAACCTCCACTGCCCAGGTTCAAGCAATTCTTCTGCCTCAGCCTCTTGAGTAGCTGGGATTACAGGCACCCACCACCATGCCTGCCTAATTTTTGTATTTTTAGTAGAGACGGGGTTTCGCCATGTTGGCCAGGCTGGTCTTGAACTCCTGACCTCAGGTGATCCACCCGCCTTGGCCTCCCAAAGTGCTGGGATTACAGGTGTGAGCCACTATGCCTGGCCAGGCCACATTTTTAAATTCAAATGCTTAATACTAGTGTCAGTTAAGGACTCTGATAAATCAATATGAAAATGGTGAAGTATCCTAGTAGGTAAGCATCAAGAGACCTAGAGTCTAAACAAAATGAAAATATTACTTGGTCCACACCCATGGACCAAACTCCAAACTTACTAGTAGACAGAGAAATGCAAACATTTTAGAAATGCAAAATTAAAACAGGATACCTTTTGCTACCAAATTAGCAAAGTTTGTGTGTTTTTTTGTTTGTTTGTTTGTTTGTTTTTTAAGAGATGAGTTCTCACTCTGTTGCCCAAGCTGGAGTGCAGGGGCACAATCATGGCTCACTGCAGCCTGGACCTCCTAGGCTCAAGAGATCCTCCTGCCTCAGCCTCCCAAGTAGCTGGGACTACAGGCACAAGCCACCATGCCTGGCTAATTTTTTGGTTTGTTTTTTGTAGAGACAGGGTTTCACTGTGTTGACCAGGCTGGTCTCAAACTCCTGACCTCAAGTGATCCTCCTGTCTCAGCCTCCCAAATTGTTGGAATTACAGGTGTAAGCCACCATGCCCAGCTGGCAAAGTTTTTTAAAATGATGAGACCACAGGCAAAGGTAAAATCCAGGCTCTCTGGCATGGCTAGTGTAGTATACATTGCTATAATCATTGGTATATAGCTTGTAGTATCTGTTAAGATCCTTAAAATGGTCCTACCTATAGGAAATATTGCTAGGGATGGATCAGGTGGTCATGCACAAGAGTTTTGGTGCTGGGAAGTTGAAGAAAGATGGAGAAACAAAGTGACATGGTCATTTGTGTATTTTAGAGAGGCAATTCTGGCAGGAATATAGAGCAGAAATTGTTGTTAAATGTTTACTTATTAGTCTTTCCCCTTTTTTTGGAAATGGAGTCTTGCTCTGGATTGTGCAGTGGCGTGATCTTGGCTCACTGCAACCTCCACCTCCTGGGTTCAAGCAATTCTGCTGCCTTAGCCTCCCGAGTAGCTGGGATTACAGGCTCCTGCCACCACGCTTGGCTATTTTTTTTTTTTCTTTTTTGAGGTGGAGTTCGGCTCTTGTTTCCCAGGCTGCAGTGTGATGGCGCGATCTCAGCTCACTGCAGCCTCCATCTCTCGGGTTCAAGTGATTCTCCTGCCTCGGTCTCCTAAGTAGCTGTGATTACAGGTGCTCGCCACCACACCCAGCTAATTTTTGTATTTTTAGTAGAGATGAGGTTTCACCATGTTGGCCAGACTGGTCTCAAACTCCTGACTTCAGGTGATCCACCCGTCTCGGCCTCCCAAAGTGGTGGGATTACAGGTGTGAGCCACCATGCCCGGCCCCACTTCTGAATAATCTTTTCTAAGGAAATAATTATTGGTATAGGAAAAACATTTTGTCTGGAGATGTTGATTTTATGATTATTTAGAAAATTAAAAAATTAGAAACAACTAAGGGTTAACCACTGGGGATAGTTAAATGAACCATGGTAAAGCCACTTTACCATAGAATATCAGGCAGGCATAAAAATGATTATAGTCTGGGTGCAGTGGTGCATGCCTGTAGTCCCAGCTACTCAGGAAGCTGAGGCAGGAGGGTCCCTTGAGCCCGGGAGCTCAAGGCTCTAGCACACTGTGATTGGACCTGTGAATAGCCACTGCATTCCAGCCTGGGCAATATAGCAAGACCTCATCTCTAAAAAATAAAAATTAAAAACAAGTGATAATAAAGAATTTGGGAAAATGCTCAGATCACTTGGGTAGCCAGATAAAGTATAGAATACTCAGTTAAACTTGAATTTCAGTTAACAAATAATTTTTTTTTTTTTTTGAGACAGTCTCGCTCTGTCGCCCAGGCTGGAGTGCAGTGGCGCAGTCTCGGCTCACTGCAAGCTCCGCCTCCTGGGTTCAGGCGATTCTCCTGCCTCAGCCTCCTGAGTAGCTGGGACTACAGGCACCTGCCACCGCGCCCGGCTAATTTTTTATATTTTTAGTGGAGTTGGGGTTTCACCATGTTAGCCAGGATGGTCTCAAGCTCCTGACTTCATGATCAGCCCACCTGGGCCTCCCAAAGTGCTGGGATTACAGAACGAATAATTTTTAGTATAAGTATTTCCATGCAATATTTGTGACATACTTTGATACTAAGACATTATTTGTTGTTTATCTGAAATTTAAAAGAACATTTTCTTTTTGCTAAATTTGGCAACTCTGGTAAAATCACAACTACTTAAAAATCACAAAACCAATAACATATTCACAGAGAAGAAAACGGAAGACAGTTCACTAGAAAAGTCATCGTAATTGTCTGACAGGTGGGAGCAATAAGTGAATTTTTTTCTTCCTTTCATTTCTGTTTATTCACCCAATTTCCTATAAAGAGCATAAGAAAGCTAAAATTTTATGTGTAAAGACTAATGCTAACTCCTAGAAACTGTGAAGCTAACCTAGAAATTAGCAAAGACTGTTTATATGTTTTAGACTCTAAAAATTAACATCAAATCAATTTATATTTAGCAGATACATTGTTAAACCTGTAATGATTTGTGGTTTAGGTGCACAGATGAACAGTTCACTACTGCCTCAAGATGCAGTGAGCAGTAATCTAAGGAAAAGTGGCCTGAAAAAGCCTGTGGTTGCTTCCTCGTTAAAAAGGCAGGGTAAGTTTCCCTTCCCTAGAATAGGCTACAGTGGTGGAAAGTCATCCTAAAGAAGCCAGAAGCAGTATAATCATGCACATTGTCACCCAAAGAGTCCCAGCATAAATACTAACAGAAGCACTGAGGCTGAGGTCCCTCCTGTCCCACCAGTTTCAAATCATGCTCAAAGCTAAATTATGCTGGAGGCCATTATCCTTAGCAAACTAATGCAGGAACAGAAAACCAAATACAGTATGTTCTTACTTATAAGTGGGAGCTAAATGATGAGAACACATGGACACATAGAGGGGAGCAACACACACTGGGGCTTATTGGAGGGTGAAACGTGGGAGGAGGGAGGAAAGGTGGAAGGGGGTGAGAGGATCAGGAAAAATAACTAATGGATACTAGGCTTAATAACCTGGGTGATGAGGCTGGGTGTGATGGCACATGCCTGTAATCCCAGCACTTTGGGAGGCCAAGCCAGGTGGATTACTTGAGGCCAGCAGTTCGAGGCCAGCCTGGCCAACGTGGCAAAACCCTGTCTCTACCTAAACAAACAAACAAACAAAACATATGTGTAATTAAATTTTAAAAATACCTGGGTGATGAAATAATCTTTTTTAATTTAAAAAAATAATTTTTAAAAAAAACTAAATTATGTCTAAAACCATAAAGATAGAGAACAGATTAGTAGTTGCCAGGATTTAAAGAGGGGGTTGGGGCTGAGCACGGTGCTCACGCCTGTAATCCCAGCACTTTGGGAGACTGAGGCAGGCAGATCACCTGAGGTCAGGAGTTTGAGACCAGTCTGGCCAACATGGTGAAACCCTGTCTCTACTAAAAATAGAAAAAATTAGCCAGATGTGGTGGCAGACGTCTGTAATCCCAGCTACTCAAGAGGCTGAGGCAGGAGAATCACTTGAACCCGGGAGGCAGAGGTTGCAGTGAGCCAAGATCGCACCATTTTCCTCCATCCTGGGCAATAAGAGCAAGACTTAGTCTCAAAAAAAAAAGAAAGAGGGGGTTGGGAGGGTTGTAACAGCAGCAATAAAAGAGTAGCACAGGGAGTCTTTGTGATGGACTGTTTTATGTCTTGACTGTGGTGTTGGTCACACAAGTCTACACATGCCCTAAAATTGCATGGAACTATATGCATGCATACCACACACAAGTACATAAAGCTGGTGAGATGTGAATAAGGTCACTAGATTGTAACCATGTCATTTTCCTGACTGTGATGTACTATAGTTTTACAAAATGTTACTCTTGGGTGAATCCGGATGAAGGGTATAGAAGCCTTATATTTCTTACAACTGCGTGTGAATGTACAATTACCTTAAAAAGTAATTTATTGTATTTATTTTTATTTATTTATTTATTTATTGGAGATGGAGTCTCACTCTGTTGCCCAGGCTGGAGTACAATGACATGATCTTGGTCACTGCAACCTCCGCCTCTGGGTTCAAGCGATTCTCCTGTTTTAGCCTCCCAAGTAGCTGGAATTACAGGTGCACGCCACCATGCCCGGCTAATTTTTGTATTTTTAGTAGAGATGGGGTTTCACCATGTTGTCCAGGCTGGTCTCAAACTCCTGACCCCAAGTGATCTGCTCACCTCAGCCTCACAAAGTACTGAGATTACAGGTGTGAGCCACCACGACTGGCCTAAATTATGTCTTTAAACAAAAAAATTCTGACATGTTTAGCAGCAGGTGTCTTGCAGGATGTGTTCATCTTATTGCTTATTACTCATGTGCAATTGGTATAGAGATTCAAAGTTGAAGGAAAAAGGCGTTTTATGTGACTGGGTGTGGTGGCTCACGCCTATAATCCCAGCACTTTGGGAGGCCGAGGTAGGAGTAGTGAGACTCCATCTCTACCAAAAAAAACACAAAAAACAAAAAAAAATTAGCTGGGTGTTGTGTCACATGCCTGTAAACTCAGCTACTTAGGAGGCTGAGGTGAGAAGATTGCTTGACCCTGGGATGTCGAGGCTGCAGTGAGTCATGATTGCACCACTGCACGGGTAACAGGATGAAATCTTGTCTAAAATAAAGAAAAAAAAGAATAATATAAAACAATACTAATTAAGTAATTCATTAAGAACTTATGACCAAGCACGGTGGCTCACGCCTGTGATCCCAGCACTCTGGGAAGCTGAGGCAGGCGGATGGATCACTTGAGGTCAGGAGTTTGAGACCAGCCTGGCCAACATGGTAAAACCCTGTCTCTACTAAAAAGTATAAAAAATGTAGCCAAGTATGGTGGCATGTGCCTGTAATCCCAGCTACTTGGGAGGCTGAGGCAGGAGAATCGCTTAAACCTGGAAGGTGAAGGTTGCAGTGAGCCAAGATCATGCTACTAGACTCCAGCCTGGGCAACAGAGTGAGACTCCGTCTCAAAAAAAAAAAAAAAAAAAAAAAAGAACTTACGCACTTAGGCATTCTAGGCATAAGTGTTTAAGGAAAGTCACAAAGTAAGCAGATCAACAGCATCAAATAGGTTTTTTTATTATTTATATACATATATTTTTTCAAGACAGAGTCTTGCTTTGTCACCCAGGCTGGAGTGCAATGGCGTGATCTCAGCTCACTGCAACCTTCGCCTCCCAGGTTCATCTCGTGCCTCAGCCTCCCAAGTAGCTGGGATCACAAGCATTTGCCACTATACCCTTCTAATTTTTGTATTTTTGGTAGAGATGGGGTTTTGCTATGTTGGCCAGGCTGCTCTCGAACTCCTGGCCTTAAGTGATCCGCCTGCCTTGGCCTCCCAAAGTGCTGGGATTATAGCAATTAGCCACTGTGCTTGGCTGATTTTTAATAATTTTTTGTCACTTCCTTTGGTGCAAAGAAAAAGGAAGGTAGCTTCAATCTAAATTGTCACTGTATGCCTTTACCTCTGATAATCTTAGTTTTAAATGAATAGTCATTGAGGCATTATCTCTACAAAAGGTGATACTGTACTTCAGACACGTGAAGATATTTTGTTGTTGGCGGTATTTTTTTGTTGTGTTTTTCTTTGACACAGGTCTTGCTCTGTCACTCAGGCTGGAGCGCAGTGGCGGGGATACAGCTCGCTGCAGCCTTCTGGGCTCAAATTATCCTCCCACCTTAGCCTCCCAAGTAGCTGGGACTACAGGCACATGCCACCACACTTGATTATTTATTTGTATTTTTAGTAGAGACGGAGTTTCGTCATGTTGCCCAATCTGGTCTCAAACTCCTGGGCTCAAGAGATCCACCCGCCTCGGCCTCCCAAAGTGCTAGGATTACAGGCATGAGCCACCGTGCCCGGAATAAAGATATTTTAAGAAAAGAAATAGAATGATAGATCTGTGGAAGGCTCTTGAATTTGGAGATATCCAGATGCATATCTTCATCTTAGAAGAGAGGAACTTGAGATATGGACCCTCGTCACTCAGTGGGTGGGGATCCTAGGTCCCATAGCCTTTTTTTTTTTTTTTTTTTTGAGACAGAGTCTCACTCTGTCGCCTAGGCTGGAGTACAGTGGCACAATCTCAGCTCACTGCAACCTCCGCCTCCTGGGCTCAAGCGATTCTCCTGCCTCAGCCTCCCGAGTAGCTGAGATTACAGGCGCACACCACTACGCCTGGCTAATTTTTTGTATTTTTAGTAGAGACAGGGTTTCACCATGTTGGCCAGGCTGGTCTCGAATTCCTGACCTCAGGTGATCCACCCGCCTTGGCCTCCCAAAGTGCTGGGATTACAGGCGTGAGCCACTGCACCCAGCTTCCCATAGCCTTTTGACTCCGACCTCTAAACTCTGGCTCCATTAAATTCCATCACTCGTTACTGTTTTTTCCAGTTATTTACTCCAGGGCTGCAAGATTTCACTCTTTCACTTATATTTAAGAGTGAATTTGGCTGGGTGCAGTGGCTCATGCCTGTAATGCCAGCACTTTGGGAGGCCGAGGTGGTTGGATCACGAGGTGAGGAGTTCAAGACCAGCCTGACCAAGATGTCAAAACCCCATCTGTACTAAAAATACAAAAATTAGCCAGGCACGGTAGCAGGTGCCTGTAAATCCCAGCTACTCAGGAGGCTGAAGCAGGAGAATCGCCTGAACCCGGGAGGCAGGGGTTGCAGTGAGCTGAGATCATGCCACTGCACTCTAGCCTGGGCAACAGAGCAAGACTCGGTCTCAAAAAAAAGTGAATTCATTCATTTTACATTTCTGAATACAAGGTTTTAGGTTTTAAGTCTAAAGGTATTATCATTGCAACCCACAGTGCGTGCATCACTCAGTCATCTATTTGTGGTCAACCTTGGCATGAAAGAATATGTTCATTATTGAGAGGGTCTGGGGCATATGGATACATGTTCATCAGGAATAAAACTAATTTATAAACCTCTAAAACAGCCATTATTTTTATTTATTTACTTATTTATTTTTACTTGAGATGGGGTCTCACTCTACACCCAGCCTGGAGTGCAGAGGCATGATCTCGGCTCACTGCAGCCTCTGCCTCCTGGGCTCAAACAATCCTCTCACCTCAGCCTCCTGAGTAGTTGGGACCACAGTCACGCACCACCATGCCAGGTTAATTTTTTTTTTTTGAGATGGAGTCTCGCTCTGTCACCCAGGCTGGAGTGCAGTGGCACAATCTCGGCTCACTGCAAGCTCCGCCTCCCGGGTTCATGCCATTCTCCTGCCTCAGCCTCCCGAGTAGCTGGGACTACAGGTGCCTGCCACCTCGCCTGGCTAATTTTTTGTATTTTTAGTAGAGACGGGGTTTCACTGTATTAGCCAGGATGGTCTCGATCTCCTGACCTCATGATCCACCCGCCTCGGCCTCCCAAAGTGCTGGGATTACAGGCGTGAGCCACCAAGCCCAGCCTAAAACAGTCATTATATAGGACCATTCTTTTATATGCAGTTTAGTGTTGCTTCTCATTTCGTATTTTCTTTTTCTTTTTTTTTTTTTAGAGTCTCACTCTTGCCCAGGCTGGAGTGCTGTGGCACGATCTCAGTTCACTGCAACCTCCGCCTCCCGGGTTCAAGCAATTCTCCCACCTCAGCCTCCAGAGTAGCTGTGATTAAGGTGCATGCCACCACGCCCAGCTAATTTTTGTATTTTTAGTAGAGACGGGGGTTTCACCATGTTGGCCAGCCTGGTCTTGAATTCCTGACCTCAGGTGGCTCACGCCTGTAATCCAGCACTTTGGGAGGCCAAGGCGTGCAGATCATTTGAGGCCAGGAGTTTGAGACCAGCCTGGGAAACACGGCAAAAACCCTGTCTCTATTAAAAAGAAAACAAAATTGGCTGGGCATGGTGACGCACCTGTAGTCCCAGCTACTCAGGAGGCTGAGGCATGAGAATCGCTTAAACCTGGGAGGTGGAGGTTGCAGTGAGCTGAGATCATGCCACTTCACCCCAACCAGGGCGACAGAGTGAGACTGAAGAAAAAAAAAAAAATCCCAGAATATCTTATTTCACTTAGTTTATTTGCTTTCTTTGAAGTTCAGCTTCAAGTTTTTTTTTTTTTTTTCTGGACAAACTTATTAACACTTCTCCCAGGACTTCAGAAGGCTGAGGCAGGTGGATTGCTTGAGCCTAGGAGTTCGAAGCCAGCTGGGCAACATGACAAAGCCTTGTCAATAAATAAAAAACAGGCCGGGCGCGGTGGCTCACGCCTGTAATCCCTACACTTTGGGAGGCCGAGGCAGGTGGATCACCTGAGGTCAGGAGTTGGAGACCAGCCTGGCCAACATGATGAAACCCCATCTCTACTAAAAATACAACAATTAGCCGGGTGTGGTGGCGGGTGCCTGTAATCCCAGCTACTCAGGAGGCTGAGGCAGGAGAATCGCTTGAACGCAGGAGGCAGAGATTGCAGTGAGCTGAGATTGTGCACTGCACTCCAGCCTGGGCAACAAGGGCGAACCTCTGTCTCAAAAAAATAAAATAAAAATAAAAAAACTTGTTAACTTTTTCAAACTTCAATTAGCTGTTTATTTTGTAAGAAAAGTTACTAAAGAAGTGTGTATGTGTGGTTTTTTTTTCCCTAGCCTGTGGTCAGCTGTTAGATGAGGCACAAGTGACTTTATCCTTCCAAGACTGGCTGGCCAGTGTCACAGAACGCATCCATCAAACCATGCACTATCAGTTTGATGGTAAGTATTGTTCATCTAACTGGGCTCTTGCTGAAAGTAGGAGAAATTAAGGTAATTGTGCTGTAATTCTCCTCTGATAGGAAAAGTAATTGGACTTCAGTCCAGAGAGCACTGGGCCACAAGAAAGTAGAAATCTAATTGAAAGAAAAAAACAATCACATAGTTAAAATTCAGGCGCAGCAAAATTATTATAATTTAGAGACAGAAGAGAAAAAACATAGCAAATAATAAGTAAAGGCAGGTAGTCTTATTGCTTGCATAAGTTCGTGTGCACGTGTGTGTGTGTGTGTGTGTGTGTGTGTGTGTGTGGTGAGGGAGATACTGAAGCTTTATGAGACTATTCTAACTCTCAAACTTAAAGCAAGGGGAAAAAAGATTAGAGAAAATCTAAGCCTGCACAACATAGTGAACCCCATCTCTACAAAAAATAGTGCCATTGCACTCCAGCCTGGGAAACGAAGCGAGACCCTGTATGGAAAAAAGAAAAATTGAAAATCTAAACACATGAGACTAAGATAGTTATATAGAATTACTAAACATACTGGCCGGGCATGGTGACTCTCACCTGTAATCCGACACTTTGGGAGGCCGAGGTGGGCGGATCACTTGAGGTCAGGAGTTCAAGACAAGCCTGGCCAACATGGCGAAACCCTATCTCTACTAAAAATACAAAACAATTAGCCAGGCATTATAGTGGGTGCCTGTAGTCCCAAATACCTGGGAGGCTGAGGTGGGAGAATTGCTTGAACCCGGGAGGCGGAGGTTGCAGTGAGCCAAGATCGCACCATTGCACTCCAGCCTGGGCAACAGTGAGACTCCATCTAAAAAAAAAAAAAGGGACATAAACATGCTGAGGAAGATTGGAGAACACAGGCTGGATTTGGGTGTTATTTGTTATAGTCTCATGGAACGTCACCAGTTTCAGATCTAGCCAGTCTCTGCTTGTTGCCTTAAAAGTATCCTATTAGCAGCCGGGTGCGGTGGCTCATGCCTGTAATCCCAGCACTTTGGGAGGCTGAGGCGGGCGGATCACGAGGTCAGAAGATTGAGACCATCCTGGCTAACACAGTGAAACCCCATCTCTACTAAAAATACAAAAAAATTAGCCAGGTGTGGTGGCGGGTGCCTGTAGTCCCAGCTACTCGGGAGGCTGAGGCAGGAGAATGGCGTGAACCCAGGAGGTGGAGCTTACAGTGATCTGAGATTGCACCACTGCACTCCAGCCTGGGTGACTAAGTGAGACTCCATCTCAAAAAAAAAAAAAAAGGATCCTATAGCTGGGCATGGTGGCAGAGGCCTGTAGTCCCAACTACTCAGGAGGCTGAGGTAGGTGAATCACTTGTCGCCCAGGCTGGAGTGCAGTGGCGTGATCTTGGCTCACTGTAATCTCCACCTCCCAGGTTCAAGCAATTCTCCTGCCTCAGCCTCCCAAGTAGCTGGGATTACAGGCACGCACCACCATGCCTGGCCAATTTTTTGTATTTTTAGTAGAGATGGGGTTTCACCATGTTAACCAGGCTGGTCTTGAACTCCTGACCTCAGGTGATCCACCTACCTCGGCCTCCCAAAGTGCTGGGATTACAGGCGTGAACCACCGTGCCCAGCCCAGAAAACAGAATATTGATAATACTATAAGCTAAACACTTGTAGTCCTCTTCCATCCCATCCTATTCCCTCTTCCATCCCATTCCTGTACCACCCTCTATTCCATCTTACCATCTCCATTACTACCACCTTTGTCCAGGTTTCCATCAGCTCGCTCCTTGACTATGAGTGTGTGTGTTTTACCTTTTTGAAGTTAATTCTTTTTTATTTTTTGAGACAGTCTTGCTCTGTCACACAGGCTGGAGTGCAGTGGTACAATCTCAGTTCACTGCAACCTCCACCTCCCAGGCTCAAGAAATTCTCGTGTTTCAGCCTCCTGAGTAGCTGGGATTATAGGCATGTGTCACCACTCCTGGCTAATTTTTGTATTTTTAATAGAGACAGGGTTTCACCATGTTGGCCAGGCTGGTCTCGAACTTCTGACCTCAAGTGATCCGCCTGCCTAGGCCTCCCAAAGTGTTGGAATTACAGGTGTGAGCCACCACACCTGGTCTGGACAGAATTTTTAAGAAAGACTGAACTCACTTGACCCCCTCCCCTTAACTCTTTTTGTTGACCTAATGTCTGACAAGTTTCTTTTCTTTTTTTTTTTTTGAGACAGAGTCTCACTCTGTCGCCCAGGCTGGAGTGCAGTGGCGTGATCTTGGCTCACTGCAACCTCCGCCTCCCAGGTTCAGGCGATTCTCCTGCCTCAGCCTCCCAAGTAGCTGGGACTACAGGCGCATGCCACCATGCCCGGCTAATTTTTTGTATTTTTAGTAGAGATGGAGTTTCACCATGTTAGCCAGGATGGTCTCAATTTCCTGACCTGGTGATCCACCTGCCTCATCCTCCCAAAGGGCTGGGATTACAGGTGTGAGCCACTGTGCCTGGCCGCAAGGTTCTTTAAGAGGTTGGTTAAGTACTTTCAAGTATTTTACCTGCCTTGAGGTCATATTCAGAGAGAAAGACAGATGCTTGCTGGGTAAGCAGTGTCCTAACTTGTAGTCCCTCAGCATTCATGGTGCTGACCATCGGGTGAGAGAGCATGTCATTAGTTTGCTTAGACATGAATGCAAATAGCAAGAACCTGGGGATAGCGAGCAAAAGGGAATCAAGTGGAGGCAGCCACCTCGGCCTCATTGTTCTCATCCCATCTTACTTCGCATACCCTTTAAGGGGGAAAGTCTGTGCTGTGTTGGTCTTTTTAAAATTTGCGGATTTGAAATGTTATACTTGGTGGATGACAAGGGTCTACTGTGTTGGTTTGTTTTTTCATTGTCTTTTTTCTTTTTTTTCAGTGGAGTCTCACCCTGTTGCCCAAGCTAGAGTGCAGTGGCATGATCTCGGCTCACTGCAACCTCTGCCTCCTGGGTTCAAGCGATTCTCCTGCCTCAGCTTCCTGAGTAGCTGGAATTACAGGCACACACCACCATGCCCAGCTAATTTTTTTTTTTTTTTTTTTTTTTAGTAGAGATGGGTTTTCACCATGTTGGCCAAGCTGGTCTCGAACTCCTGACCTCAGGTAATCCACCCACCTCGGCCTCCCAAAGTGCTGGGATTACAGGTGTGAGTCACCACGCCTGGCCTCTCTTTTCTTTTCTTTTTTTTTCCTTTTTGAGGGAGGGTCTCACTCTGTTGCCCAGGCTGGAGTGCAGTGGCGTGATCATGGCTTACTGCAGCCTCAACCTCCTCGACTCAGTTGATCCTCCCACCTCAGCCTCCCAAGTAGCTGGGACAGCAGGTGCATACCACCACGCCTGGCTAATTTAAAAAAAAATTTTGGCCAGGCACGGTGGCTCACGCCTGTAATCCCAGCACTTTGGGTGGCCGAGGTGGGTGGATCACGAGGTCAGGAGTTTGAGACCAGCCTGGCCAACATGGTGAAACCCCATCTCTACTAAAAATACAAAAATTAGCCAGGCGTGGTGGTGCACGCCTGTAGTCACAGCTACTCAGGAGGCTGAGGCAGGAGGATTGCTTGAACCCGGGAGGCAGAGGTTGCAGTGAGCCGAGATCATGCCATTGCACTCCAGCCTGGGCAACAGAGTGAGACTCCATCTCAAAAAAAAAATTTTTTTTTATAGACACTGGGTCTTTCTTTGTTGCCCAGGCTACACTGTGTTTTTTATGTTTGCAAGGGATCAACAGTAGGACTAGTGACAGTTCTTGGCCCAGAAAGGTCAATCAAAGCCTTCTTTTTGCCTCTGTATAAAGAAATCTCAGTGGTATTTTTAGTTATTACCGTCCCTTGATTCCTTTTCTTTCACCTCTCCCTGTACATCAGAAAGTCCACTGAGTTTCTTTAAATGAGTTGTTTCTTCTTGTTTCCCATAGGCAAACCAGAACCATTGGTGTTCCACATTCCTCAGTCATTTTTTGATGCCCTGCAACAAAGAATATCTATAGGAAGTGCAAAAAAACGGCTCCCCAACTCCACCACAGGTACAGGATTTCCCTTTGGTATAGTGATGGATGTCTCGAACATAGAGAATTATGTTTGGAAAAAATCTGTGTGGAATATTCACCGTGAGTATTCAGAGTTAGGACTTCTACTCACATGTCTGGAGCACAAAGCCTTCAATGATCAGCATATCAATTATCTACATCAACTGATTTGTCACCAAAACCTTTTATATATTTGCCTCTAGAATTTCTTTTTAAAAGTGCTGAGAATCTATAAGGAAATAATAGTACTGTATTAGAAACTAGGTAACAAATACAACAAAAGAAAATGTTATTTTTTGGTAATCTAATTTTGTCCTTTTTTCACGTTGAAGCTTTTGTTCGGAAAGATGCCTTGCCACTGGGAACCTTTTCCAAGTATACTTGGCATATCACTAATATCCTGCAAGTTAAACAAATCTTAGATACCCCAGAGGTGAGAGTTTATTTCTATAACAGTGGGAGGGTTGTGAAGGGAAGAGAGGGAGGCAAGTACAGGGACTATATTTGCACTGGTTCCTTGAGTTACAGACACCAGAGTTTCTTTTTTTCATGCTAAGAGATATTCAGAAATATCCCTGGCTTTATAGTTCTGACTCCAATTTTAATGTGTGTTCCCTATGGCTTGAAAAAAGTATCTTAAATTGGAATATACTTTTCCTTTGCCTTTGGGATTAAAAAAACATAATTTTTCTTATAAATTAAATAATGATCCCCTAATACTTATGATGAGTCCTAGATTTGACTGGCAGGCAGCTAGAAAGTATATAAATAATTTGAGATGATATAATATTTGTGAAGTCAGTGGCACCAGCACAGTTAAACCCTCCTCCCCAAACTACAGCTTTGTTCTCATTAGAGAAATGACCCTTTTTATTTTATTTTATTTTATTTTTGGGATGGAGTCTTGCTCTGTCACCCAGGCTGGAGTGCAGTGGCGCAATCTTGGCTCACTGCAACCTCTGCCTCCCGGGTTCAAGCAATTCCCTTGCCTCAGCCCCCCGGCTAGCTGGGATTACAGGCACGTGCCACCATACCCGGCTAATTTTTGTATTTTTAGTAGAGACAGGGTTTGACCATGTAGGCCAGGCTAGTCTCAAATTCCTGACCTCATGATCCTCCCAAACTGCTGGGATTACAAGGCATGAGCCACTGTGCCTGCCCGAGAAATGACCCTTTAAAAAAAATTTTTTTTTGGTCTTTTTTTTTTGAATTTTGGTTTTTTTGGGACAGAGTCTTACTCTGTTGCCTAGTCTGGAGTACAGTGGTGCAGTCACGGCTCACTCTACCTCCACCTCTTGGGATCAAGTGATCCTCCCACCTCAGCCTCCTGAGTAGCTTGGACTACAGGCATATGCCACCATGCCCAGCTAATTTTTGTAGAGATGGGGTTTCCCCATGTTGCCCAGGCTGGTCTCAAATTCCTGGACTCGAGCAATCTGTCTGCCGCAGTCTCCCAAAGTGCTGGGATTACAGGCATGAGCCACCAGGCCCACCCTATTAATTAAAAAAAAAAAAAAATTTAAGATAGGGTCTTGCTATGTTGCCCAGGCTGGTCTCAAATTCCTGGGTTCAAGCAGTCCTCCCATCTTGGCCTCCCAAAGTACTGTGATTACAGGTGTAATCTGCCTCTTCCAGCCACACTAGACATTTTATGTTTTTATTTTTATTTTTTGGAGACAGAGTCTCTTGCTCTGTTGCCCAGGCTGCAGTGCAGTGGCACGATCTCGGCTCACTGTAACCTCCACCTCCCAGGTTCAAGCAGTTCTCATGCCTCAACCTCCTGAGTAGCTGGGACTATAGGCACGCACCATCATGCCTGGCTAATTTTTGTATTTTTAGTAGAGACAGGGTTTTGCCATGTTGGCCAGGCTGGTCTCAAGCTCCTGATCTCAAGTGATCCGCCCACCTTGGCTTCCCAAAGTGCATGGATTACAGGCGTGAGCCCCTGTGCCTGTCTTACACATTTTAAAATGTTTTTCGGGCTGGGTGCGGTGGCTCACGCCTGTAATCACAGCACTTTGGGAGGCCGAGGCGGGTGGATCACGAGGTCAGGAGATCGAGACCATCCTGGCTAACACAGTGAAACCCCGTCTCTACTAAAAATACAAAAAAATTAGCCGGGCATGGTGGCAGGCTCCTGTAGTCCCAGCTACTCGGGAGGCTGAGTCAGGAGAATGGTGTGAACCCGGGAGGCGGAGCTTGCAGTGAGCCGAGATCGCACCACTGCACTCCAGCCTGGGCGACAGAGCAAGACGCTGTCTCAAAAAATATATATGTATGTATGTTTTTCAAGTAGATCCTGAAAATCTGAGATGGAGTTTTTTTTCCTACAGTAATAGAATTATGTAGAAAATTCAGGCCGCGCACGGTGGCTCACACCTGTAATCTCAGCACTTTGGGAGGCTAAGGCAGGTGGATCACCTGAGGTCAGGAGTTTGAGACCAGCCTGGCCAACATGGTGAAACCCCGTCACAACTAAAAATACAAAAATTATCCAGGCATGGTGGCAGGCACCTGTAATCCCAGCTACTTGGGAGGCTGAGGCAGGAGAATCGCTTGAACCCGGGAGGCGGAGGTTGCAGTGAGCTGAGGTTGCGCCATTGCACTCCAGCCTGGGGGACAAGATCGAGACTTCGTCTCCAAAAAAGTAGAAAATTCAGCATAATGTGATTTGATACATTAAGAGTAGCTTAATTGCAAGGCATTCTTCTGTTCAGGAAAAAAAAATAAGTTGTTTGATAGCTACAGAATTTACATGTGAGCCAGGCATGGTGGCTATAATACCAGCGATTTAGGAGGCTGAGATGAAGGATTGCTTGAGGCCAGGAGTTCAAGACCAGCCTAGGCAACACAGCGAGGCCCCTACTATTTTTTTTTTGTTTGAGACAGAGTCTCACTCTGTTGTCTAGGCTGGAATGCAGGGCACAATCTTGGCTCACTGCAGCCTCTGCCTCCCAGGTTCAAGCAATTCTCCCACCTCAGCCTCCCGAGTAGCTGGGATTACAAGCGCACCATCCTGCCCAGCTAATTTGTATTTTTAGTAGAGACAGGCTTTCACCATGTTGACCAGGCTGGTCCCAAGCTCCTGACCTCAGGTGATCCACCCTCCTTGGCTTCCCAAAGTGCTGGGATTACAGGCGTGAGCCAGTGCGCCAGGCCAGCAAAGGCCCCTACTCTTAAAAAAATAAAAAGAAAGAAAGAAAGAAAGCAAAAGAGGCTGGCGAGGTGGCTCATGCCTGTAATCCCAGCACTTTGGGAGGCCAAGGTGGGCAGATCACCTGAGGTCAGGGGTTTGAGACCAGCTTCGCCAACATGGTGAAAACCCGTCTCTACTAGAATACAAAAATTAGCCGGGCGTGGTGGCTTGCTCCTGTAATCCCAGCTACTCGGGAGGCTGAGGCAGGAGAATCACTTGAACCTGGGAGGCGGAGGTTGCAGTGAACTGAGATCGTGCCACTGCATTCTAGCCTGGGTGACAGAGCTAGACTCCATCTCCAAAAAAAAAGAAAAAAAGAAAAAGTGAGGCCTGGTGGTGTGTGCCTATAGTCCCAACCACTAAGAAAGCTGAAGCAAGAGGATCACTTGAGCCTGGGAGTTGGAGGCTACAGTGAGCCATGATTGTGCCACTGTACTCCAGCAGGGGCAACCAAGTGAGACCTTGACTCTTTTTTTTTTTTTTTTTTTGACACGGACTTTCACTCTTGTGGCCCAGTCTGGAGTGCAATCATGTGATCTTGGCTCACCTCAACCTCCACCTCCCAGGTTCAAGCGATTCTCCTGCCTCAGCCTTCTGAGTAGCTGGGATTACAGGCGTCTGCCACCACGCCTGGCTAATTTTGTATTTTTAGTAGAGATGAGGTTTCTCCATGTTGGTCAGGCTGGTCTCAAACTCCCGACCTCAGGTGATCCGCCTACCTCAGCCTCCCAAAGTTCTGGGATTACAGGCGTGAGCCACCACTCCTAGCGACCTTGCCTCTTAAAAAAAGTAAATACATGTGAACCCTAGAAAAGGGCTGTGTTGGCATTAAAAACACTTGAGGAACTCCTTTAAATGCACATGGCACAGAGGCAGTTTTTAGCCTGGAATGGATGACATTTAGGGAGACACTGAAGCAACTCAGGGTGCAGGCATGTGGGAGAATAGAGCTAACCATCATGGAGCTTCTCACTGTCAGGCATTACTTACCTCCGTCACCTCATTTGACCTCCCAGCCATGCCCTGGCATTAACTGCATTTTGCCCGTGAGAAAACAGGCTCTGAGAAGTTTGTAATTTGCTCTGGGTCACCACAGCATCCAGTTCCAGTTCTGCTTGGCTCAGTCCCAAGGACAGTATGAAGCATACAGGATGTGAGGTGAGCTGCAGGTGCTATGAACAAAGGAATTTAAGAGAAGAATGCTGCTAGCAGAGCAGTAGGGGAAGGAATGAAACTGATTTTAGAGCAGGTCTGTGCCAGCAGCAGTCATGTACCCATGAAGATGTTAGAGGCTCAATTGGTATATAGTTTGGCTGGGGTGGAAATTTAAGATTTTAGAGAAAAAAGGAAAGCCATGAATGATGTAAGGGAGAAAAGGCAGATTTGTTGACAGGATTTTCTTGAAAAACAGGGAAGTTGTAATTCATTTGAATATACTTAACAAGAAAGAAGGAATAATAAAAGATTTGTCGTCATCCAGGTATTGGTCTGTTTTGAAAGTTTTCTCTCTCACCTTTTTTTGGTATTGTCTTGGTGTCCAGATGCCCTTGGAAATCACCCGTAGCTTTATCCAGAACCGAGATGGGACTTATGAGCTATTTAAATGCCCTAAAGTGGAAGTAGAAAGCATAGCAGAAACCTACGGTCGTATAGAAAAACAACCAGTGCTGCGACCCTTGGAACTAAAAACTTTTCTCAAAGTTGGTAAGTGAACTTCAAAACTGCATCTTCCTTTGAGTGTCAGCTGGTGAACAGTACAGTACACTGTCCAAAGCTTTGGATCTTGACCTTAAACAAAGAAGACACATTCATTCACCTTGTAAAGGCAATCGTGGGATAAGGTATTTTGTTTCAATTGAACCAGTGTTTTCAAAAATAAAATTACAGGCCAGGTGCTGTGGCTCACACCTATAATCCCAGCACTTTGGGAGGCCAAGACAGGTGGATTGCTTGACGTTAGGAGTTTTGAGACCAGCCTGGCCAACATGGTGAAACCCAGTCTCTACTATAAAAATACAAAACTTAGCCAGGCATAGTGGCGCATGCCTGTAGTCCCAGCTACTCGAGAGGCTGAGGCACAAGAATCGCTTGAACCCAGGAGGCAGAGGTTACAGTGAGCCGAGATCTCACCACTGCACTCCAGCCTGGGCGGCAGAGTGAGACTCAGCCTCAAAAAAAGAAAAAAAAAAAAAAAAGACTTGCTGAATGAATAAATGCATGCCAGCCATAGTTTTAACTAATTTAGCTTTGTGATCTATCTGGTGGCCTCCCTTTGTTTCTTCAGTTTTGTATTTATTCTTCCAGAAGAAATTTAGAATTTATAATTATTCTGTCAAATTCTTGTGAATATTATTTTTTTGCTGCTCTTGTGAATGAAATATCTATCCTGATTCTAACTTGTTATTTCCAGTTATGGAAATCTCTTAGTTTTAATATACTTAATATTAAATTGGTACCCTTGATGAAGTCCCAGTAGTGATAATAGTAAATGAAAGCTGGGCACAGTGGCTTATGCCTGTAATCCCAGAGCTTTGGGGGCTGAGGCAGCAGGATCGCTTCAGGCCATGAATTCAAGACCAGCCTGGGCAATATAGCAAGACCCCCACTTTACTAAAAGAAGAAAAATTAAAATCTCTTCTAAGTCTGTTTTAGACTGTACTTGAATTTCATCTGCTTTATGGTGTTTTCCAAATCAGGTAACTGGCTTTTTTCAGTTCTAAATTTTTTTTTTTTTTTTGGAGAGGGAGTCTCGCTCTGTCACCAGGCTGGATAGAGTGCAGTGGCATGATCTTGGCTCACCACAACCTCTGCCTCCCGGATTCAAGCGATTCCCCTGCCTCAGCCTCCCGAGTAGCTGGGATTACAGGCGCCCACCGTCACACCCAGCTAATTTTTTGTATTTTAGTAGAGACGGGGTTTCACCATGTTGCCCAGGCTGGTCTCGAACTCCTGAGCTCAGGCAATCTGCCCACCTCGGCCCCCCAAAGTGCTAGGACTACAGGTGTGAGCCACCAGGCCGGGCCCTAAATTTGCTTTAAATTATTTCCTTCTTTTGTCTACAATAATTTCTCTTTTAAAATTTTCCTAATATTTTCTTGGAACTGTTTTATTTTTGTAGCTTTTAAAAGGAATACTCCGCCGAGGGCCGGGCACGGTGGCTCACGCCTGTAATCCCAGCACTTTGGGAGGCTGAGACAGGCGGATCACAAGGTCAGGAGATCGAGACCATCCTGGCTAACATGGTGAAACCCCATCTCTACTAAAATACAAAAAATTAGCTGGGCGCGGTGGCGGGAGGCTGAGGCAGGAGAATGGTGTGAACCCAGGATGCAGAGCTTGCAGTGAGCCGAGATCGCGCCACTGCACTCCATGCACTCCAGCCTGGGCAACAGAGCAAGACTCCGTCTCAAAAAAAAAAAAAAAAAAAAGGAATACTCGGCCGAGCGCGGTGGCTCATGCCTGTAATCCCAGCACTTTGGGAGGCCTAGGCAAGTGGATTACTTGAGGCCAGGAGTTCCAACCAGCCTGGCCAACATGGTGAAACCCCATCTCTACTAAAAATACAAAAATTAGCCAGGCGTGGCCGGGCGTGGTGACTCATGCCTATAATTCCAGCACTTTGGGAGGCTGAGGCGGGCAGATCACGAGGTCAGGAGATCAAGGCCATCCTGGCCAACATGGTGAAACCCCATCTCTACTAAAATGCAAAACATTAGCTGGGTGTGGTGGTGTGTGCCTGTAGTCACAGCTACTCGGGAGGCTGAGGTAGGGGAATTGCTTGAACCCAGGAGGTGGAGGTTGCAGTGAGCCGAGATCGTGCCATTGCACTTCAGCCTGGGCGAGAGGGCCAGACTCTGTCTCAAAAACAAACAAACAAACAAATAAATAAATAAATAAATAAATAATAAAAGGAATATGCAATTTTTTAAATTAATGTTTGATAACATTTAAAGTTATTATCTGAATCATCTATAATTATAATTTAGTTTCTCCCTGTCCTCAGTACCTTGTATTTAAAATTTCAAATTAGTTGAGGCTTTTAATCTTCATATTCTTAGTTTCCAATTTCTAGTTTTATTATTTTGAGGTCAGAAGATGTATCTTTAATTTCTTTCTTTTTTTTTTTTTTTGAGACCGAGTCTCACTCTGTCGCTCAGGCTGGAGTGCAGCAGTGCGATCCTGGCTCACTACACCCTCCATCTCCCAGGTTTAAGCAATTCTCCTGCCTCAGCCTCCTGAGTAGCTGGGATTACAGGCGCATGCCAGCATGCCCAGCTAATTTTTGTATATTTAGTGAGACAGGGTTTACCATGTTAACCAGGCTGATGTCGAACTCTGGACGTCTGGTGATCCGCCCACCTCGGCCTCCCAAAGTGCTGGGATTATAGACGTGAGCCACCAAGCCCGGCCTTAATTTCTTTCTTTTTAGGAATTTTAAAATGTTTTTTCACTAACAATATATGATATGAATTTGTGCTAGCATAGATGTTATTTATCCAATATAAACTCGTATATAGTTTTTGTTTGTTTTTCAGATACAGTCTTGCTCTGTCACCCAGGCGGGAGTGCAGTGGCACGATCTCGGCTCACTGCAACCTCCGCCTCCCGGGTTCAAGTGATTCTCCTGCCTCAGCCTCCTGAGTAGCTCAGATTACAGGCGTATGCCACCACACCCTGCTAATTTTTGTATTTTTAGTAGATATGGGGTTTCGCCATGTTGGCCAGGCTGGTCTCGAATTTCTAACCTCAGATGATCCGCCCACCTTGGCCTCCCAAAGTTCTGGGATTACAGGCGTGAGCCACCGCGCCCAGCTATATATAGCTTTTTCATTTTATTTTGGTGGTTTTTTGTTTGTTTGTTTGTTTGTTTGTTTTGAGACGGGAGTCTCGCTGTCGCCCAGGCTGGAGTGCAGTGGTGCGATCTCGGCTCACTGCAGGCTCCGCCCCCTGGGGTTCACGCCATTCTCTTGCCTCAGCCTCCTGAGTAGCTGGGACTACAGAGGCCCGCCACCTCGCCCGGCTAATTTTTTGTATTTTTAGTAGAGACGGGGTTTCACCATGTTAGCCAGGATGGTCTCGATCTCCTGACCTCGTGATCCATCCACCTCGGCCGCCCAAAGTGCTGGGATTACAGGCGTGAGCCACCGCACCCGGCCTTATTTTGGTGTTTAAGTCCTCTTTGTTATCTCTTTGACCTGCCAAAGACTAGAAGAGTCATTTTACCATTTGCTTCTAAAATTATGTTTCCCTGAATGACTTCTTATATTTCTAAAAGCCTTTAATTATTTTAAATGCAGTGTTGTTGGTACATCAGAGTTATTGCCAGATGTTGTTAACGTAAATTGTATGTTATCAATGTAAAAATAACTTTGCCCTAAATTCTTTGTCCAGTATTACAACAGTGACACCAGCTTTCTTTTGTTTTTTATTCTTTTAATTTTTTAAATTTTACTCTTTTTTTTTTTTTGAGATAGGGTCTTGCCCTGTTACCCAAGCTGGAGTGCAGTGGCACAATCACGGCTCACTGCAGCCTCAAACTCCTGGGCTCAAGCGATCCTCCCACCTCAGCCTCCTGAGTAGCTGGGACTACAGGCATGTGCCACCATTCCCAGCTAATTTCTTTTTATTTTTAGTAGGGACGAGGTCTTACTCTGTTGCCCACGCTGGTCTTGAACTCCTGGGTTCAAGCAGTCCTCGTGCCTCAGCCTCCCAAAGTGCTGAGATTACAGGCATAAGCCACCATGCCTGGCCTGTTTTTTATTTTTTTTAATATGTTCGCCATCCATTTAGTTTTAACTTTTTTGTGACACTGTTTTAATGGAATCTTTTTTCAGAGACAGGGTCTTGCCATGTTGCTCAGGCTGGAGTGCAATGGCTATTTCCAGGTGTGATCATAGTGCACTACAGCCTTGAACTCCTGGGTTCAAGTGATCCTTCCACTCTGCCTCCCAAGGAGGTGGGACTACAGGCACACACCACCAGGCCCAACTTAGATGAATCTCTTATCAACATTATATACTTGGTTTTGAGTTTTTCTAATTTTAATGGTCTATCCTCTTTATATTTATTATAATTTATATAGTTGGTCTTTTGTCTTATTTTTTGCTAAATGGACTACGTTCTCTGTCTTGTCTTCATAGTTTTTGAAGGTGATACCATATTCTTTTTTTTTTGAGACGGAGTTTCACTCTTATTGCCTAGGCTGGAGTGCAATGGGGCAATCTCGGCTCACCGCAACCTCCGCCTCCCGGGTTCAAGAGATTGTTCTGCCTCAGCCTCCCAAACAGCTGGGATTACAGGCATGTGCCACCATGCCCAGCTAATTTTGTATTTTTAGTAGAGATGGGGTTTCTCCACATTGGTCAGACTGGTCTTGAATTCCCAACCTCAGGTGATCTGCCCGCCTCAGCCTCCCAAAGTGCTGGGATTATAGGCATGAGCCACTGCACTCGGCCAGTGATACCATATTCTTAGTTTAGTTCTGCTAGTGTTTAATTTTGTATTTTTCTTTTTTTTTTTCTTTTTTTTTGAGATGGAGTCTCACTCTGTCACCCAGGCTGGAGTGCAGTGGCGCAATCTCGGCTCACTGCAACCTCCGCCTCCCAGGTTCACGCCATTCTCCTGCCTCAGCCTCCCGAGTAGCTGGGACTACAGGCACCCGCCACCACGCCTGGCTAATTTTTTGTATTTTTAGTAGAGATGGGGTTTCACCATATTGGTCAGGCTGGTCTCGAACTCCTGACCTCAGGTGATCCACCCGCTTTGGCCTCCCAAAGTGCTGGGATTACAGGCATGAGCCACCACACCCGGCCTAATTTTGTATTTTTCAAAAGTATTCTTTAACCTTCTATGTTTAAATCTTTGATCTGACAGAGCACAGCAGCTCACACCTATAATCCCAGCACTTTGGGAGGCTGGGGTTGGAGGATAGCTTGAGCCCAGGAGTTTGAGACCAGCCTGAGCAACACAAGGAGACCCCATCTCTATAAAAGAATTTTTAAAATTAGCCAGGGGCTCCTCTGCCTATGAAGTAGCCATTCTTTATTCCTTTACCTTCTTTTTACCTTCTTTTTATTTTTTATTTTTTTAGATGGAGTCTTGCTCTGACACCAGGCTGGAGTGCAGTGGTGCGATCTTGCTCACTGCAACCTCCACCTCCCAGGTTCAAGCAATTCTTCTGCCTCAGCCTCCTTAGTAGCTGGGACTACAGGCCTGTGCCATCATGCCCAGCTAATTTTTGTATTTTTAGTAGAGACGGGGTTTCACCATGTTGGCCAGGATGGTCTTGATCTCTTGACCTTGTGATCTGCCCGCCTTGGCCTCCCAAAGTGCTGGATTACAGGCGTGAGCCACCATGCCCGGCCTCCTTTACTTTCTTAATAAACTTACTTTCAAAAAAAAAAAAATTAGCCAGGAATGGTGGTACATGCCTGTGGTCCCAGCTACTTTGGAGGCTGAGGTGGGAGGATCGCTTGGGCCCTGGAGGTCGAGGCTGCAGTGAGCCATGATTGTGTCACTACGCTCCAGCCTAGGTGACAGAGCAAGACCTTGTCTCAAACAAAACAAAACAAAACAAAACAAAAAACTTTGATTCTCTGGAATTTATCATGATGTAAGTTAGGTAAGTTATAGGTAAGATTCTACCACCTTTTATTTTCTTCCAGATGGATATCTGGTTGATACAAACCATTTATTAGAAGAAACACTTATTTGTTCTTCTTTTAGTAGTTACAAATGCCATCTTTATCTTAGGCTAAATTCCTGTTGTATTTGTGTCTATTTCTAATCTTTCTGTTTTCTTCCTTTAATCTGTCTAGATGCATGCTAGTACCACACTCTTTGGGTTATTACGGGTTTATAATATATTTTAGAACCATGTCAGATTTTTTTTTTTTTTTTTTTTTTTTTTTTTTTAGTAAAAATTTCTTACAGAGATGGGGGTCTTACTATGTTGCCCAGGCTGGTCTTGAACTCCTGACCTCAAGTGATCCTCCACCCTGATCCTCTCAAAGTGCTGGGATTACAGGCATGAGCCACTGTGCCCAGCTGACCATGTAGATTTTAATTCTATTCTTTGTGATTCTTGAAATTTGGCCTTTTCTTGTTCGTCTTCCTTTTACTCTCATCCAGCTGCCTTTTCCTCCCAGTCTGAGCTCTCCTTAATGATTCTGGCCTTACTTTCATAAAGGCTGGATCTTATTTTTTTTCTTTTGTGGATGCTAAACAGTTCCCTGAAATTTCTGTGTTTTTTTTTTTGTTTGTTTGTTTGTTTTTTTGAGACAGAGTCTTGCTCTGTCACCCAGGCTGGAGTGCAGTGGCGCGATCTCGGCTCACTGCAACCTCCACCTCCCGGGTTCAAGCGATTCTCCTGCCTCAGCCTCCCGAGTAGCTGGGATTAGCCCGCCACCACGCCCAGCTAATTTTTGTATTTTTAGTAAAGACGGGGTTTCACCACATTGGCCAGGCTGGTCTCGAACTCCTGACCTCGTGATCCACCCGCCTCGGCCTCCCAAAATGCTGGGATTACAGGCATGAGCCACCGCGCCCGGCCGTTTAAATTTTCTTTTGGATAGATATATCAGTCATTGCTTTCCCTTCCTTTGATTCTTCTAGCTGTTTACTCCCTTTTCCTTATGTAGTTTTTTTTTTTTTTAATTTCCTGTTCTTTTCTTTACTTATTACTGAACAGATTAAGATCTGTCCAGACTTTGGGAGGCCAAGGCGGGTGGATCACGAGGTCAGGAGATCGAGACCATCCTGGCTAACATGGTGAAACCCCATCTCTACTAAAAATACAAAAAAATTAGCTGGGCGTGGTGGCGGGCGCCTGTAGTCCCAGCTACTCAGGAGGCTGAGGCAGGAGAATGGCATGAACCTGGGAGGCAGAGCTTGCAGTGAGCCGAGATCGCACCACTACAGCCTGGCGACAGAGCAAAACTCTGTCTCAAAAAAAAAAAAAAAAAGATCTGTCCAGACTCAAATTCTGGTAACAGGCAGGTTGCTTGGGACCACTCCTGCATGATGGCTGGCTCCCTCTCAGATCTGTATGTGGAGCGCTGATGCAGAGTTCTCAGATCTAATGTTTCTCTTTCCTACCACAGTGGCATCTCCTGACCATCTCTGCCTCCTTCATTGCTAATAATGGAATATAGGAAAAAAACACACAAAACTAAGATTCCCCGCATATATAGTTTTCAAGGGTTTCTCCTCCTTCTCACACCCAAATTGCTTTACTAGTGCAGACTGTACCTTCCAGAACACACTCTGCCACTGCTATTCACTTTTTTTTTTTTTTTGAGATGGAGTCTTGCTCTGTTGCCTAGGCTGGAGTGCAGTGGTGCGATCTTGGCTCACTGCAACCCCTGCCTCCCAGGTTCAAGCAATTCTTTTATCTCAGCCTTCTGAGTAGCTGGGATTACAGGGGCGTGCCACCACGCCTGGCTAATTTTTGTATTTTTAGTAGAGACGGAGTTTCACCATCTTGATCAGGCTGGTCTCGAACTCCTGACCTCATGATCTGCCCGGCTTGGCCTCCCAAAGTGCTGGGTTTACAGACGTGAGCGACTGCACCTGGCCCTGCTATTCACCTTAAATGCACCTACTCTCCTCCAAGTCCCCTTTGCAGTCATCAAGAATTCAGGTACATGAGTGGGGAGGGGTGTGTGTGAGATGTTCTAAAGGAAACGAAGTGGCGCTGCTCATTTGCTGCTCTGTACAAGTACTAGCCAGGGCACAAACAGTGAGAGAGACAAAGTATTTTCCTGCCTTTTTCCATGTAGCCTCCCTTTATGAAGGAAAGATGGGATATGCTATGGCCAAAGTCTGGGTAGGTTTCTTTCCATCCATCTCCACCTGTTTTATATTTCCTCCCAGAAGCTGCCAGTAGTCTTAGTGTTCATCAGTTGTAAGTTTTTATCTTTTTCTATGTCTTCATTGATATTTAAGTGAAAAGTTGGCAGCAGCTCCAGATATCATTTGAAATGGAAGCTAGAATGTCTGTGACAAACATGAACTAGATAATACCTAACATTTATATTCTATGACTAAAAGAAACCAAACAGACCAAAATACCCTGCCAATGAAGTTGTTAGTCTGGGGTGGGTGGATGGATGCTTTGTTTCTCATCATATCAGTGATGTCTTAGTCTTTGTGAGAAAGGACCAAAAGAAGTAGAGGGAAGGAATTTAAAAGGGGTGACTATTTAGGCTAAAGTGGAGGGAGAGTAACATAGTGAAGTTAAAAGTAAAATATAAGCCAGGCGCAGTGGCTCACGCCTGTAATCCCCACACTCTGGGAGGCTGAGGTGGGAGGATCATCAGAGGTCAGGAGTTCGAGACCAGCCTGGCCAACCTGCTGAAACCCTGTCTCTACTAAAAATACAAAAATTAGCTGGACATGGTGGTGCGTGCCTGTAGTCCCAGCTACTTGGAAGGCTGGAGAATCACCTGAACCCAGGAGGTGGAGGTTGCAGTGAACCGAGATTGCAACACTGCACTCCAGCCTGGGCAACAGAGCAATACTCCATCTCAAAAAACAAACAAACAAACAAAAAAGTAAAATATTAGCTTATGAAGTCAAAGATTTAGTAGTGCTGAGAGAAAAATGTATATACATTGTTAATTTTTATAATATAAAAATGTATATACATTAATTAATCCATCCTTCTTGTTTTTTTATTTTTTGGGGGTGTTTTTTGAGGCGGAGTCTCACTCTGTTGCCCAGGGTGGAGTGAAGTGGTGCGATCTTGGCTCACTGAAGCCTCCACCTCCTGGGTTCAGGCGATTCTTCTGCCTTAGCCTCCCGAGTAACTGGGATTACAGGAGCATGCTACCACACCTGGATAATCTTTGTATTTTTAGTAGAGACGGTTTTGCCGTGTTGGTCAGGCTGGTCTCAAACTCCTGACCTCAAGTGATCCGCCCACCTCAGCCTCCCACAGTGCTGGAATTACAGGTGTAAGCCACTGTCCCTGGCCTATCCTTCTTGTTTTCTTGTATTACTTTGTTTTTTTGAGACAAAGTCTCACTGTATTGCCCAGGCTGGCATTGAACTACTGGGTTCAAGCAGTCCTCCCACCTCAGTCTCCCAAGTAGTTGGGACTATGGGCACATTTCACCACACCTGGCTAATTTAATTTTTTGTAGAGACAGGGTCTCACTTTGTTGCATAGGCTGGTCTTAAACTCCTGGCCTCAAGCTATCCTCTCGCCTTGCCCACCAACACTGTTGGGATTACAGGCATGAACTACCATGCCTGGCCTAAATATATATGTTTTAACTTCATGATGGCTGGGCGTGGTGGCTCACGCCTGTAATCCCAGCACTTGGGAGTCTGAGGTGGGCGGATCACAAGGTCAAGAGATTGAGCCATCCTGGCTAACACGATGAAACCCCATCTCTACTAAAAATACAAAAAATTAGCCAGGTGTGGTGGCACGTGCCTGTAATCCCAGCTACTCAGGAGGCTGAGGAAGGAGAATCGCTTGAACCCGGGAGGCAAAGGTTGCAGTGAACTGAGATTGCGCCACTGCACTCCAGCCTGGGTGCCAAAGCGAGACTCCGTCTCAAAAAAAACAAAATAACCCAAAAACTTCATGATGATCAATAAATCTGATATCCCAATCACCACTGAATTTATAAACCTCATTCGGCCTTCTGATTATCAAAGCTGAACAGGCTGCTCCAATTCCGGACACTTTTTTTGCAATTAGGAACACCCATTAGAGTTAGGTGGAATTGTACTAATACTCCTTTCTTCTCTTTAGGCAACACTTCCCCAGATCAAAAGGAGCCAACACCTTTCATCATCGAGTGGATCCCAGATATCCTTCCCCAATCTAAGATTGGCGAGCTGCGGATCAAGTTTGAGTATGGCCACCACCGGAATGGGCATGTGGCGGAGTACCAAGACCAGCGGCCCCCCTTGGACCAGCCCTTGGAACTGGCCCCTCTGACCACTATTACTTTCCCTTAAAGCAAAACAAGATAATAATCTTTTGCTGCTTAATTTGCACATCCCCACCCCTTGACAACTTTAAATGCTAGTTAGGCACTTAGATGGCCCTGTTCCTTGGTAAACTGCTCTTAGCTAAGATGCAAATTCTCAGTGCTTTCAAGTGGATTCTGTTGAAGAAAATCTCTTGTAAATAGCCTTTTTGATGCTGCTGTGTACAGTCTTCATTATGCATTGGGCAGTATTTCTGGCTAGAGTTTTAAAAGGAACAGAAAGAAAACCAGCTTATTTTCCTTCTTACGGACTCATCTTTAGCGTTTATTTCAACCTTTTGCTAATTCTCTGAGAAATCTGCAGCACTCAGCCATACACCAACAGTGTTGGAAAGTTAACACCCTGGTTAGGGCAGAATGTTAAAGACCATCTTGGCAGAGTTCCAGCCACGCTCTTTATTCTGTTCTCAAATAAAGCAGTGTCACTAGTTTTTCCTAATTATATCTCATGGTTGCCTGTTTATAAAATTATAAATTTCGGGGGGGGGAGGCGGGATTTAACTGATAGTGATACTGGAAAAAGAGATCCAGGTGTGTCCGGAATTGGTGGGTTCTTGGTCTCACTGACTTCAAGAATGAAGCCGCGGACCCTCGCGGTGAGTGTTACAGCTGTTAAGGTGGCGCGTCTGGTGTCTGCCCCTTCTGATGTTCAGATGCGTTCGGAGTTTCTTCCTTCTGGTGGGTTCGTGGTCTTGCTGGCTCAGGAGTGAAGCTGCAGACCTTCGCGGTGAGTGTTACAGCTCTTAAGGCAGCGCGTCTGGAGTTGTTCATTCCTCCCGGTGGGCTCGTGGTCTCGCTGGGCTAAGGAGTGAAGCTGCAGATCTTCGCGGTGAGTGTTACAGCTCATAAAAGCAGCATGGACCCAAAGAGTGAGAGCAGTAGCAAGATTTATTGCAAAGAGCGAAAGAACAAAGCTTCCACAGTGTGGAAGGGGACCCGAGCGGGTTGTCAATGCTGGCTCTGGCAGCCTGCTTTTATGCTCTTATCTGGCCCCACCCACATCCTGCTGATTGGTAGAGCCGAGTGGCCTGTTTTGTCAGGGTGCTGATTGGTGCGTTTACAATCCTTGAGCTAGATACAAAGGTTCTCCACGTCCCCATCAGATTAGTTAGATACAGAGTTTCCACACACAGGTTCTCCAAGGCCCCACCATAGCAGCTAGATACAGAGTGTCGATTGGTGCACTCACAAACCTTGAGCTAAACACAGGGTGCTGATTGGTGTGTTTACAAACCTTGAGCTAGATACAGAGTGCCGACTGGTGTATTTACAATCCTTGAGCTAGACATAAAGGTTCTCCACATCCTCACCAGAGCAGCTAGATACGGAGTGTTGATTGGTGCACTCACAAACCTTGAGCTAAACACAGGGTGCTGATTGGTGTAGTTACAATCCCTGAGCTAGATATAAAGACTCTCCACGTCCCCACCAGAGCAGCTAGATACAGAGTGTCGACTGGTGCACTCACAAACCTTGAGCTAAACACAGGGTGCTGATTGGTGTATTTACAATCCCTGAGCTAGATATAAAGACTCCACATTCCCCCCCAGACTCAGGAGCCCAGCTGGCTTCACCCAGTGGATCCCACACTGGGGCTGCAGGTGGAGCTGCCTGCCAGTCCTGCGCCATGCGCTCACATTCCTCAGCCCTTGGGTGGTCGATGGGACTGGGCACTGTGGAGCAGGGGGTGGTGCTCGTCAGGGAGGCTCGGGCCGCACAGGAGCCCATGGAGTGGGTGGAAGGCTCAGGCATGGCGGGCCGCAGGTCCTAAGCCCTGCCCCGCAGGAAGGCAGCTAAGGCCCGGCGAAAAATCGAGCGCAGCGCTGGTGGGCCAGCACTGCTGGGGGACCCAGTACACCCTCCGCAGCCACTGACCCAGGTGCTAAGTGCCCCATTGCCCGGGGCCAGCAGGGCTGGCTGGCTGCTCCGAGTGCGGGGCCCACCAAGTCCCCGCCCACCGGGAACTCCAGCTGGCCCGCAAGCGCCGCACACAGCCCAGGTTCCCGCTCGTGCCTCTCCCTCCACACCTCCCAGCCTTGGCCAGCCCAGAAAGGGGCTCCCACAGTGCAGTGGGGGGCTGAAGGGCTCCTCAAATGCCACCAAAGTGGGAGCCCAGGCAGGGGAGGTGCCGAGAGCAAGCGAGGGCTCTGAGGACTGCCAGCACGCTGTCACCTCTCACAGGTATCAAGGGAATATTGCTGTTTAAAACTAATGCCTGTAATAGCTTGTTCACTTCATACTTGTATCTCTATATATTCTCAGTTAGTAAAATTCAATTGCTGTTTCTGATTGAATGATCACAGAATAGAGATACTGAAAGACCCAGAAGTATAAGCCTATCTTTAAGGAGGAAAGAAGGGAATGAACATTTCTTGCATGCCTACTATGTGCCAGGTACTTTCTTTGTTTTTGTTTGTTTTTTGAGATGGAGTCTCACTGTGTCGCCAGGCTGGAGTGTAGTGGCGTGATCTCGGCTCACTGCAACCTCCGCCTCCTGGGTTCAAGCGATTCTCCTGCCTCAGCCTCCCAAGTAGCTGAGACTACAGGCACCCGCCACTATTCCCAGCTAATTTTTTTTATTTTTTTTTTGTATTTTTAGTAGAGACGGGGTTTCACTATGTTGGCCAGGCTGGTCTTGAACTCCTGACCTCGTGATCTGCCCTCCTCGACCTCCCAAAGTGCTGGGATTACAGGCGTGAGCCACCACGCTCGGCCATACCAGGTACTTTGAATTGCGAGTGACAGAAAGCCAGTTAACCAGCTTGGGCAAAATAGGTATGAATGACTGGCTTGTGGACACTAAAGCAGAGCTAGACAACCACACTGGGCTGGAGCTGATGTGGCTGGGCCTCGGGACCTGTGGAGCTAGGGTCCATCTGACCCATTTCTGCCTCTCTCTGGGGCTTCATTTGATCTCAGCACAGAGCAGCTCCCCTAGTAGGAATTCTGGCTCCTGAAGTGCCTGAATGTATGGCTTCCTCACTGGAGCAGGACTCACTGCTCCACTCTCTGATCCAAAAGGCAGAACCCCTCCCAGCCCCCAAAAAGGCACTGATTGGCCTAACAGAGGGGGAGACATTTTTGGTAAGAGAGGTACTATGCCTCTAAAAGAGAAGGAATAACCACATTGTGTTGTCTACCCTCTGGGATTGAGGGGCTGGTTTGTGTCAGCTCCTAAGTGCGTCAGACAATAGGGAAAATTGTTGAGAATCCAGGGAGGTGCACAGAGACCTAGAACTTGAATTGGGCTTCAAAGGAGAGGAAGGGTTTGGATAGGTGGAGAAGATAAAACTAGATGAGGCATGCCCGGCACAGTGGCTCATGCCTGTAATCCCAGCACTTTGGGAGGCTGAGGTGGGCAGATCACAAGATCAAGAGATTGAGACCATCCTGGCCAACATGGTGAAACCCCGTCTCTACTAAAAATACAAAAATTAGCCAGGCGTGTTGGCGCGTGCCTGTAGTCCCAGCTACTCGGGAGGCTGAGGCAGGAGAATCGCTTGAACCTGGGAGGCAGAGGTTGCAGTGAGCCAAGATCGCACCACTGCACTCCACCCTGGCCATAGAGGCGAGACTCATCTCAAAAAAAAAAAAAAACAAACAAACAAAAACTAGATAAGGCAGAGGCTTGCCTGAAGAGCAGGAACACCCAAGGAAAGACCGTGGTTGGCCATCCTGAGAAATCCTTCAACCTGAAAACTTGGAGGACATCAGTCACAGCTTTTTCACAAAACACACCTGTGGGTGACAGGCAGATGCCTGCTCTAGTAATACCTGAATGACTCAGAAGAACCACAGGGGCCACAAAACACACGGGTGGAGCAAATCATCCACCCAAAGAGGACTCTGCTCAAGCAGTCAGATCTTCCCCCCAGCACCACTCCAGGACACTATCACAGCCCATCACAATCTGGAATGGAGTTCAGAGTCACCCCTTTTTTTCTAACTTGACACCCCCTCTACCAAGTCAAGCACGGGCCTAGGAGGACCAGCAGAACTGCTGCACCCACTCCCAGCCTCCAGACACCTCTGGGACAACATCAGTGTTGATCTCATTTCGGGCCTGCCCCACTCTCTCCCAGAGTCGTCCTAGATACTCCCACAGCAGCACTCCTCAAACCCCGCATCCACCTACCTCCCCACCCATACACATTCCCACGTGTACTGTCCATTGCACCCCTCCTCCATCAGTCAATGGGATCTCTAAGGACTGCCCAGGTGCTGCCTCTCCAAGCTAAGCCACCATTTGTATTCTGGAGAGAACAGCTTAAAACCCTCCATACCCACACGGCCTCCTGTCTACCGCACAGACTGATCATTCTCAGACTAAGTGTATCAATAGGTCTGAGAGGGATGCCTTCTTAACTCTTCCTCCTCCAGGCAACATGGCTGGGGCCCCTGACATCCTCATGAGAACAACAACTTGCTACTCCTCCACTCAGAACACTCTGGTTCTAATCTACTATGGCCCTGCCTCTACCAGTACTACTGTTGTCTCAACAGATTGCTTATATATATATATAAAACAGATTGCATATATATATACAAATTTTTTTCTTTTTTGAGATGGAGTCCCGCTCTGTCACCTAGGCTGGAGTGCAGTGGCGCAATCTCGGCTCACTACAACCTCCGCCTCCCGGATTCAAGCAATTCTTCTGCCCCAGCCTCCCGAGTAGTTGGGATTACAGGCATGCGCCACCACACCCAGCTAATTTTTGTATTTTTAGTAGAGATGGGGTTTCACCGTGTTGGCCAGGCTGGTCTTGAACTCCTGACCTCAGGTGATCCACCTGCCTCGACCTCCCAAAGTGTGCTGGGATTACAGGCGTGAGTCACGGCGCCCAGCCAGATTGCTAATATTTAGAAGCTACTTGGGGACCTCCAAACTCTAACTCCAAGAACTATCCACCCAAGAGATCTGTAGGCCTGCCACCTGACTTTCAAGGTACCAGATGTCATCAGCCCTGTGGCTTTGTGGGCCCACTAATTCCCAATCACCTAAATTCACCCCATCTTTCAGTGACTGCTGTCCTGGGTTGGTGCCAATGCCCTGCCCTTCCCTCCAGCCCACATGTGCATACACAAGCGCACACCATACATACTCCAGCCCTCATCCAACAGACACTGTTCTGTCAGAACCTCAGCCAGCTCCTCCTATCCCTGGTTCTCCCCTGTCCAAAAACGCCCAGAATATGCCCTCAGCTAGAAGAACCCAGAGAAATCTCACTATACCCTGCTGGAGGGGATGGGCAGGGGCTGCTCTCCCTAAGCTCTGTGAATTATAATAACTAGACCCTGTAAGTCACAGACAACACAAAAAAATCACCCACAGGGGGGCAGCCCTTTGTCTATTAGTGAATTTTCTCAAGAGATCTGCTTACCTGCTTCACCTATTTCTTCTTCCTTTAGCTCCCAGATTCTGATTTCCTGGTTTTCCTTTGTGGCAGATCATATTTTCTGACACTCGTAGGAATTTTTTTTTTTTTTTGAGACGCAGTTTCGCTCTTGTTGCCCAGACTGGAGTGCAATGGCATGATCTCGGCTCACCATAACCTCCACCTGCCGGGTTCAAGCAGTTCTCCTGCCTCGGCCTCACCAGTAGCTGGGATTACAGGCATGCGCCACCCATGCCCGGCTAATTGTGTATTTTTAGTAGAGACGGGGTTTCTCCCTGTTGGTCAGCCTGGTCTCGAAGTCCCGACCTCAGGTGATCCGCCTGCTTTGGCCTCCCAAAGCGCAGCGATTGCAGGCGTAAGCCACCGCGCCCAGCCTTGATTTTTTTTTAATCCTCCTTACCGACCTTGCTCCCTGCCTGCCTGTCTTCCCATCATCCAGTTCTGCAAGCGCCCTTCGCATCTACCATCCCACCTGCTGTACCAAGCGAGCAGGACGACTTACTTTATTTACAACAGCACTTCTCAAACTTCAATGTGCACAGGAATCACCCAGGGACCTAGTTAAAATGCGTATTTTGATGTAGAAGCTTTATTTTTTAAATTTTTTGAGACAGAGTTTCAAAAACGTGGGGGGAAAAGGGAAAAGATAGGTAGAAAATGATTCTTAGCACCCCCAAGCATCTTTAACCTTTCATTATGTTTACTTCCAGCCTTTTTCATGAAACAAAATTGTGGTCTGACTGTATACAGTGGTATTAACTACAAAGGTTCCTAAGAAGGGACATCTTGGTTGCCCAGGCTGGAGTGCAACGGAACAGTTTTGGCTCAATGCAACCTCTGCCTCCCGGGTTCAAGCGATCCTCCTGTCTCAGCCTCCCAAGTAGCTGGGATTACAGGCGCCCGCCACCATGCCCGGCTAATTTTTGTACTTTTAGTAGAGATGGGGTTTAGTAGAGACGGGGCCAACATGTTGGCCAGGGTGGTCTCAAAACTCCTGACCTCAGGTGATCCACCCACCTTGGCCTCCCAAAGTGCTGGGATTACAAGCATGAGGCATCGCATGCCGCCCGATTCAGAAGCTTTAAAGTGTGGTCCAAGATTCTGCATTTCCATCAAGCTTCCAAGTGATGCGGAAAGTGCTGGACAGCAGGGAGGCTGCTGGCCTGCAGACTGCACCAGACTGCACTTGGAGTAGCAGGTCTAATGCCTGATACAGTCCTGTAACGTCCCTCCCACCTTTCACTGTCACTCATGGGGAGGGCAGTGCTGGAGATGGGTGGAACTTAACAACTAGTGGCCAGGGCCATGTACCAGTGTCAGCTTTGTGCCACTCTCTCACCAAACTGCTCCAACTGCTGGGGCACTAACCTTGTTCCTTAGAACTAGTTCCCCACTCAGCAGTTCCAGAAGTACAAAGTGGGTTCTGTAGTTCTGTGAATTCCCTGCACAACTTTTCACTGTCTTCCCCACTCCCACCATCTTGCAGGTTCACAGTTTAGAGCCTGGGTTTGAAACCCCAGTCTGCCACTCTTTTATGCGCGGCCTTGGGCATGACTCTGAGCCCGTTTCCTCCGGATGATGTGAACAGTGATTAGATACCGTGGACGAATCACTCATTTTGTCCATTGTTTGAACTTTTCCTCTTCTACCTGTTCCTCTAAATTAGCCTTGAAGCTAAAAGGTGCTTTTTGTCCCTTCTTAGGAATCTTTGTAGTTAATACCACTGTATACAGTCAGACCACAATTTTGTTTCATGAAAAAGGCTGGAAGTAAACATAATGAAAGGTTAAAGATGCTTGGGGATGCTAAGAATCATTTTCTACCTATCTTTTCCCTTTTCCCCCCACGTTTTCTATAATTAACAATATTAACTTGATAGGTTTGAAAACAGTCAAAGTAAAATAAACGGCATGAAATCAAGCTTCCACCCGCTCCGCTGAGAGTAGGAGAAGAGAAAGAGAAACGCGCCGACCGCGCCTGGCTGGGGCTGGTCACGCGGCAGCCGCCCCCACGCCTCCGCCAGATGACGTAAGTCACGTTCTCCACTCGCCCGCGCCGCCGCTTCCGGGGGGCTCGGCTGCTTTGCTTCCACCAGGCGGCGCCGCAGGACGCTCAGTTGCCAATGCCTCCTGCGCAGCCGCCCTGGCGCACGGGACACGTCACCACCTTCGCGTCTTTTCTGGAGAGCGCGGGAATGAGAGCGCCGGAGGGTGGTGACGTCACCGGGGTTCCCTGCGTGGCTCGCAGGGGCGGGGCCAGGTACGTGGCGCGCTGCGGCCCGCCCGGGGATCGGGAGGGGAAGGAGAACAGAGAGGGGGAGGGGAAGGAGGGGGAGGGGAAACCAGCGGGACGGGGAGGGGCGAGGTGGGTGGTGCCGATGCCTAGTCTAGCCAGGGCTGACCGGGCCGCGCCCGCCTCGTGACCACTGTGGGGCTGCGCTGCGGGAAAGGTGCTGACGAGGCGGGCGCGCGAGCTCGGCGGGGAGGGGTGCGGCCGGTCGGCGGCTGGCCGGTCCCCGACTTCCCGGCACCCTGGGCGACCGCTCCCTCGTGCGAGCGGGACCACGCCTGGACCGGGGCCCGCAGGTTTTACAGGGCAGCGGGGGGGATTTGGGGCACGTGGGGTCGGGCCGCACCCCGACCTCGAGACGGCGCGGCGCTGCGAGCAAAGAGCCGTCGCGCCCGGAGCCAGGCCCCGCCCTACCTGGGATCCCGTCGCCCTCCCGTCCCCGGGCCTACACCCGCCCCACCTGGGATCCAGTAGCCCTCCCGCCCCCGGGCCTACACCCGCCCCGGTCAGCTCCGGCCAGGTCGGGGAGGAGGAGGGCACGCGCCGGGAGGACCGCGACTGGCCGCCTGGAGCCCGTGGCTCAGGCTTTCCCAGCCGCTGTTTTCCCCTTTGTACATCGGGATCCGCTTCGCACACTTAGTTTCTGCCTAGCACATGCTGGGTGTTGTGTCCAGATACACTAATTCTTTTTCCCCTTCTTCCCCGCCAGTCACTAGAGCCGGTCTGGAAGGGCACTAACGCCTGGGTAGTCCTTCAAACAAAAAGCGTTGTGTGTCTTGCTTACTGGCCGTTAATAGAAGTTTCCCCTTGAGAGTGGCTTTGGTTAGGAAAAAGGTGGCAAAGGGCCCATCCCTGAACTGATTAGTTGAGCCTGGGACCTGATCAGAATTGAGGGGAGGAGTGTTACCAGAATTTTCTCTGTGCCCCGCACTTGCATAAGTGCTTATGGCTAGGAGCCCTGTGTAGGGCACACATTACCTTGGGGCGCCCTTCGCTTCTTTCTCCTCTTGCTGCCCCTTCCCGGAATCTCTCACCTCATGACGTGACTATGGTCAAGTCATCGTTTCTGGGATGGCCTGACCCCTGGGGACACGCCAGCCTCCAGGAGCTTATATGAGGCTGGTTTACCAGAGTAGACAGTGTAAGGCCCTGTCCTGGAAGGAGGAACATGAATATGTCCTGAAGTGCTTGTGTCATGTGTCAGGGGTTGTGCTAGGCTTTTCACATGAGTGATCTCATTTGATTCCCACAGCGGTCCTGTGAGCTAGGGGGAATCATCATCCCTCTATGTAGTTGAGGAAACTGGTTCCGCCGGTTTAAGCAACTTACCTCACATTTCACAGTAGGGAGGTGATGGTTGTAGGGCTTTGGCAAGAAAGTGTCAGTACCTGGTCAGGCCCCTAGGGTGTGAGACGCTCAGGGCCATCCTGGAGGGTATGGGTGAAAGCATGTAACACCGTGGGTTTCCCCCCCTCTGTCACCCCATTCTCTTGGCCACCGCTACCATTTATATCAAGGCAAAACCAGGTTAGGTGGCAGATGGATAGTGTTCGAGGCAGAAGAAGCCCCAGAGGGCAAAGACAGGGCAATTCCTTCTACCCCTCACCCCACACACACTTTGCTTTGGTCATGGATGGGTTAATGGAAGGACTCCTGTGTATCAGACTTGGGTCTTTTTTAGCACCATCTGGCAGAAGTCACCTCTCCTCACACTTGCTGCTTCTACAAAACATTGTTCACTTGGCAGTCAGCAGTGCAAAAGGCAGAAGTGTGGTGCGTGTGTGATTTGGATTCAGTGGACCCCAGAGACAATTGTGTTGTTTGCATTATGTTGCGATTGACAGCCCATAGACACTGCTGTGTTGTATGTGGAACCACAAAAGACGAGAAAGGCAACAAAAGCAGACGTTCCCTCTCCTTTTAAAATTATCTTGTCGCTGGGCACGGTGTCTCATGCCTGTAATCCCAGCACTTTGGGAGGCCGAGGCAGACGGATCACGAGGTCAAGATCGAGACCATCCTGGCAAACATAATGAAACCCCGTCTCTACTGAAAATACAAAAATCAGCTGGACGTGGTGGCGCGTGCCTGTAGTCCCAGCTATTCAGGAGGCTGAGGCAGGAGAATCGCTTGAACCAGGGAGGCGGAGATTACAGTGAGCCGAGATTGCGCCACTGCACTGCAGCCTGGCAACAGAGCGAGACTCTGTCTCCAAAAAAAAAAAAACAACTTGCCTGCAGGATTGGATAGAGAAATTCCCAGGAGAAAGCAAACAAATAAGGGTGCAGGCATTTGTCCTTCAAAACAGGCGGGCAGATCACAAGGTCAGGAGCCAAGACCACGCCATTGCCCTCCATCTTGGGCGAGTGAGACTCCGTCTCAAATAAAACAAACAAAAAATCCCCAGGGCTTTGTAGGTAGACGCTTTTTGGCTTTGAACAAGGCAGGTAGCTTCAGTGTTTCAGATCAAGGAGTGGATGTAGGTTGAAGTGGGCAAATCACTTGAGGTCAGAAGTTTGAGACCAGCGTGGCCAACATGGTGAAACCCTGTCTTTACTAAGAATAAAAACATTAGCTGGGTGTGGTGGCACACACTTGTAATCCCAACTACTCCGGAGGCTGAGGTGGGAGGATGGAGGATTGCTCGAACCGGAAGGCGGGGGTTGCAGTGAGCCAAGATCGCACCACTGCACTCCAGCCTGAGCAACAGAGCAGGACTCCATCTCAGAAAAAAAAAAACAAAAACGAGTGGTTGAGCCTGATTGACCCAGGGACACGTTTTGTTTGTTTGTTTGTTTTTTGTTTTGTTTTGTTTTGTTTTAGATCAAGGACCCTCTCTGTTGCCCAGGCTAAGTGCAGTCGCACAATTATAGCTCAGTTAACCTCAAACTCCTGGGGTCAAGCCACCATCCCACCTCAGCGTCCTGAGTAGCTAGGACCACAACAAGCACATGCCACGGCGCCCGGCTAATTTTTAAAATTTTCTGTAGAGATGGGGTCTCGATACGCTACCCAGCCTGGTCTGGAATTCTTGGCCTTGAGTGATCCTCTCGCCTCAGCCTCCCAAAGCACTAGGATTACAGGCATGAGCCACAGCACCTGGCCCAGGGACACTTTAAACAGGGAGTGAGGCCAGGGGAGGTGGCTCATGCCTGTAATCCCAGCAATTTGGGAGGCTGAGGTGGGAGGATCCCTTGAACCCAGGAGTTCCAGACCAGCCTGGGCAACATGGTGAAACCCCATCTCTATTAAAAAAAGAAAAAAAAAAAAACCACTAGTCAGCGTTGTGATGCACGCTTGTAGTCCTAGCTATCTGGGAGGCTGAGGGTAGGACGAAAGCTTGAGCCCTGGAGATTAAGGCTGCAGTGAGCTGTGATCACACTCCAGCCTGGGCGTCGGAGAGAGACCCTGTCTCTTAAAAAAAACTGTGGGCGGAGTGAGTTTTTCTATTTCTTTCTTTGCTGACAAAGCGGCCCTTTCTGTCACAACATACTTATTGAAACCTGCTGGCCGGGCGGGGTGGCTCACGCCTGTAATCCCAGCACTTTGGGGGGCCGAGGCGGGTGGACCACCTGAGGTCAGGAGTACGAGACCAGCCTCAACATGGAGAAACCCCATCTCTACTAAAAATACAAAATTAAGGCTGGGCGCGGTGGCTCACGCCTGTAATCCCAGCACTTTGGGAGGCCGAGGCGGGCAGATCATGAGGTCAGGAGTTCTAGACCAGCCTGACCGACATGGTGAAACCCCGTCTCTACTAAAAATGCAAAAATGAGCTGGGCATGGAGGCACACGGCTGTAATCCCAGCTACTCGGGAGGCTGGGGCAGGAGAATCACTTGAACCTGGGAGGCGGAGGTTGCAGTGAGCCGAGACTGCGCCACTGCACTACAGCCTGGGCGACAGGGCAAGACTCCGTCTCAAAAAAACAAAAAAACAAAATTAGCTGGGCATGGTGGTGCATGCCTGTAATCCCAGCTACTCGGGAGGCTGAGGCAGGAGAATTGCTTGAACCTGGGAGGCAGAGGTTGCGGTGAGCCGAGATTGTGCCATTGCACTCCAGCCTGGGCAACAAGAGCGAAACTCCATCTCAAAAAAAAAAAAGAAAAAAGAAACCTGCAAGGCATGGGCCCTCGGGAGCTTATAGTCTAATAGGAGAGGGGCTGGAAAGTGGTTGTAATTTAGGTGAAGTTTAATCAATTGGGTTATAAACCAGTTTGGCAAACTTAACAGGAGGGGTTTGGCCATCCTTGAAAGTACCTGTGCTTCCAAGTACAGCCCTGGCAGGACCCAAGGCTAGTGGGAGACCAGGTAAGCTCCGTGAGTTCCTTGGTCAGGCTGCTGCTCCTGTTGCAGGAAAGAGGATCTTCTGCCTTAAAAAGTGAGACCTGACTTTAGGTTGGTTACTTTTGTTCTAAGTCTGCATTTTACTAAGCAATCCTTAGCCCATGGGGACATCGGCCAGTCAGGCCAGTTCAAGCGTTGCAGTCCATTTTGAATATCTGTCATTCCTCAGTGTGAGTAAATTGGCATTTGATTTATATGTCCCTCAACATTATGTGAACTCTCTAGGTGTTTGAGAGATGAGTCCCCTCGTACTGGGCCAGCCTGAAAGTGTAAGTCCCACATCTGGGTCCTTGTTTAAATTCCGCGAGGTAAGAAGTGAGGAGCTGCTGGAAAGAGGGGAAGGGGTTGGTGCAGGAAGCCAGCTTTGCTCACATTCAGGAGAATTATATTATCCACACAAGGCAGAAAGTGCTAAATTGTAGATGAATGATACATGCACTGGATGCTGTGAGTTCAGAAGAAGGTGAGATCACTGTGGGAGGTTAAGGGATGGTGCCACAGAGGAGGTGAGTAGGACTTGCAAAATGTTTGTGCTATCAGTAGATGGAGATGCAGGAGATGGAGAGGAACTACCCACTGTTTTGGTGGTTCGCCTCCACAGCTTACACAGAACATACAGTCATCTGATCTCTTAGGGACTGAGCCAATGGAAAGACATTGTGGCAGGAGAGGGAAGTGGTAGGCCTCAGACAAGGAAGGAAAAATCAACTATTTATTCACCAATTTATTTGTTCAACCTTTATTGAGTATTTTTTATGTGCCAGGCACTGAGCTGGGCCTGGGAATACAGCAATATACAAAACAAACAAAAGCCCTGCCCTCAAAAAGTTTACATTCTTTTTTTTTTTTTTTTTTTTTTTGAGATGGAGTCTGGTTCTGTCACCCAGGCTGGAGTGCAGTGGCGCAATCTCGGCTCACTGCAGCCTACAGGCATGCACCACCATGCCTGGCTAATTTTTTTTGTATTTTTAGTAGAGATGGGGTTTCACCATGTTGGCCAGAGGCTGTTCTTGAACTCCTGACCTTAAGTGATCTGCCAGCCTCGGCCTCCAAAAGTGCTGGGATTACAGGTGTGAGCCACCATGTCTGGCCAAAAGTTTACATTCCAGTGAGGAAAGAGAGAGAGACAAACAATGAATGAATGATGAACAAATGAATAAGCTATCTAGTATGTCGATAGTGACAAGTGCTACGGAGAAAATTAAAACAAGGGGGCCAGGCACGGTGGCTCACGCCTGTAATCCCAGCACTTTGGGAGGCTGAGGCTGGCAGATCACGAGGTCAGGAGATCAAGACCATCTTTGCCAACATGGTGAAACCCCGTCTCTACTAAAATACAAAAAATTAGCCGGGGGTAGTGATGGGTGCCTGTAATCCCAGCGACTTGGGAGGCTGAGGCAGGGGAATTGCTTGAACCCGGGTGGCGGAGGTTGTAGTGAATTGATATTGTGCCACCGCACTCCAGCCTGGTGACAGAGCAAGAGTCTGTCTCAAAAAAAAAAATTAATAAAAAAAACAAGGGGTGGGAGGCAGGAGGAAGTACAGAGGTTTTCCTCTAAATTTTAAATAAATTTTGTGGAAGTGAGTGATATAAAGGTAAAAGGGGGCCAGACGCGATGGCTCGCGCCTGTAATTCCAGCACTTTGGGAGGCTGAGGCGGGTGGATCACCTTAGGTCAGGAGTTAGAGACCAGTCTGGCCAACATGGTGAAACCCCGTCTCTACTAAAAATACAAAACTTAGCCAGGCGTGATGGCGGGTGCCTGTAATCCCAGCTCCTCAGTAGGCTGAGGCAGGCGAATCGTTTGAACCCGGGAGGCGGAGGTTGCGGTGAGCCGAGATCATGCCATTGCACTCCAGCCTGGGCAACAAGAGCGAAACTCCATCTCAAAAAAAAAAAAAAAAAAAAAGTAAAAGGGACACAAAATCTTTGTGATCATTTTCTGTGAGTTGGGGTAGCTAACTGACCAGGTTGTGTCCCAGGAGATAAGGCGTGTTTGTGAATATGACTCACTCCCTGGGGAAAAATAAGCCAAGATCTCCAAAAGAGAAAGCCAGAAAAGCCAGTTGCAATGATAGATGAAAATGGAATTTTACCCTAGACCCCAAATATAAACACTATATAGTTCTAAGAAAATAACAGTGTTGATGTGGTGAGATGTGATAGATCTAAGTGCAGAAGAGGAAGGAGCTGAAGACTCACTTTCTCGGCTCCTTTTCCTGCCCAGGGGGTGGAGGCTGGGCAGGGGGGAGGGGAGGAATCCAGGTCATGAGATGGGTGTGGCTGTGGAATCTGTGGAGACCACGTGTATTTCCTCAGGAGATTCCCTGTTCACAGATACAGGCATGAGCCTGGAGGGACTGCAAGTTGTGGTCTCAGGGTGACCACCTAGCTCTCCACGGCACTATTTTTTGAACCAAGAGTTTCAGAGCTATAAAGTTTATCATGCCAGAGATGAAATCGGAACACACAAAAAATTGGCATTCTGAAGACATTTTGATGGTTTATGAGAATCATGGGATAGAATAGCAGAAGGAAATAAAAGTTTGTGGTTGAGGGCAGGATGCGGTGGCTCACGCCTGTAATCCCAGCACTTTGGGAGGCCGAGGTGGGTGGATCACGAGGTCAGGAGACTGAGACCATCCTGGCTAACGTGGTGAAACCCCATCTCTACTAAAAATACAAAAAAATTAGCCGGGTGTGGTGGCGGGCAACTATAGTCCCAGCTGCTCGGGAGGCTGAGGCAGGAGGATGGTGTGAACCTGGCAGGCGGAGCTTGCAGTGAGCCGAGACTGCGCCACTGCTCTCCAGCCTGGGGGACAGCATGAGACTCTGTCTCAAAAAAAAAAAAAAAAAAAGTTTGTGATTGAGGAGTAAAGATTGAATATGGGATAGTAGGAATACTAGTGTTAACAGATAGTATCCATTGTAACCTGGCTAAGAGAGACAGCAGGCTCCCAAGAATTTGCAGTGGCCAGGCACAGTGGCCCACACCTGTTATTCCAGCACTTTGGAAGGCCAAAGCTGGAGGATTGGTTGAGCCTAGGAGTTCGAGAATAGCCTGGGTAACATAGTAAGACCTTGTCTCTACAAAAAATACAAAAATTAGCTGGGCATGGTGGCGCACGCCAGTAGTACCAGTTACTCGGAATAACAGTACCTGTTATTCCAACACTTTGGAAGGCCAAAGCTGGAGGATTGGTTGAGCCTAGGAGTTCAAGACTAGCCTGAGTAACATAAGACCCTGTCTGTACAAAACATACAAAAATTAACTGGGCATGGTGGCACACGCCAGTAGTACCAGTTACTTGGGAGGCTGAGGAGGGAGGATTGCTTGAGCCCAGGAGGTTGAGACTGCAGTGAGCCGTGATTGCACCACTGCACTCCAGCCTGAGTGACAGAGCAAGACCCTGTCTCAAAAAAAAAAAAAAAAAAAAAAAAATCCGGATGTGGTGGCTCATTTCTGTAATCCCAGCACTTTGGGAGGCGAGGCAGGCAGATCATTTGAGGTTAGGAGTTCGAGACGAGGCTGACCAACATGGTAAAACCCCATGTCTACTAAAAATATTTTAAAAATTAGCCAGGCGTGGTGGCTAATGCCTGTAGTCCCAGCTGCTCAGGAGGCTGAGGCAGATGAATTGCTTGAACCCAGGAGGCGGAAGTTGCAGTGAGCCTAGATCGCACTACTGCATTCCAGCCTGGGCAACCGAGAGACTCCGTCTAAAAAAAAAAAGTGCTCTATAGATGTCTATTGAATGAGTGAATGAATGCATTGATGAATGGATGGGTGGTCTCTCTGATCCTGAGCTTGCCATGACAAGCCTGGAGAACAGACATCTAGCCTATACCCTCCTTTTAATGGATTCCCCTTCATTGTAGGGTTCCCCCAAGGAGACAGCTACTGTTCAAAGTGTAGCCTTATACTGTTCTGCTGAGCTGATCTGCTTACACCTTACACTGTTCAATGGCAGATGGTGAGGCGTGCAGGGCCTATGGGCACTGGGGAATTCAAAGGCAATCTTCAGTCACCAACAAAATAGGGCCTACTACTTACGCGGTAATGCTTGTATACTGAGTTTGTCATGTCCTTATGACAAATTTGGACCAAGGTTGTTGGTCTGAGACAAGACCCAGTCTGCCCAGAAACTGCATGGGGCCTTCCCCAGCCCAGATTCCTTCAGTCATTTCATGCCCCCATGTTCCTGTGATCCTCTTTGCCTGGAAGAAAAACTACCCGTCATCAATGGGAATGGGTGATTTTCTACTTGCTTTTGAGCTCTATTTCATAAGCTGACAGTTTTCTGAGATTCCCAAGGACATAATGAAGCAGTTTCCCATCTGCGGGTTATCTTAATATTTTTAAGTGACAGACCTGTGTTTCAAGCCAGGATGTCCTGACAGGAAACCTGAGTAATATATTGCTCTTTCTTCCTGCTGGTGTGTTTTGGGTGGATGTGTGGGAGCCACAAATGTGTGGTAGCTTCTTGCTGCTTCCAACAGTCTGTGGTGTTCATTATCTTCTGGTTGGGGTTTTCCTTTGAGAATAAGCCAGCAAAGAATGAATGTCGAGGTATGGTTCCTGGTGATGCTGTGCGTGTGTAATGGGGAGTGAGCATGCTGCCTCCACGGAGTCCTCTGCTCCGTGTGCCCAGTGAATTGAACAACGCTCAAGGGAAGACATGTTCTGGCCCAGCATTCTCTGGGGAGTATATGGTATGGTTCTAGACACCTGAATCTCTGCCAAGCTCAGTGTCTCTCAAAATGACTTGCTTTTAGACTCACATTTGATTTTGTAAAATCTTTCACCGAACACACCTGGCAGACATCTCAAATTTCCTGCACATTAGCCAAGGAATTCTAGCTAATGAAAGCTGAAAGCTATGACACTGTTATGACAAAATTAACACCCTGAAAGGCTAATTAATCTTATATGGATTACATTACCTAGAGTTTGAGCTTTGGCCATTATCTTTGCAGTATAAAAGCTATTTCCCCAAAACCTTAAAAAAGAGAGAAAAGAAAGCCATTCCCATAAATCATATTTCCGACACATAGCTCACCATGAAAATGTCCACAACACAGTGATATAACTGATACCTTGCAAATGGCTTTTTAAAAACAAAACAAATTAGGCCAGGCACTAATGACCTGGCTTGATGACCTGAAGGTATCCTAACATGGCTGTTAGAGATTTGAGGGCAGGGGCTGAGTCTCGGTGTTTGTTTCTGTCCCTAGCACAGGGCCTCAGACAGTGATGGATACATATTAGGTGTCGATTAACAGTCACTGAATTACTGAATGGAAATTTACTGGTGCTGACTGCACCACTAGACTCCACACACAAATAGACCTGCCCCGTGGGATTCTTCACAAGAGCAAATATTTTATGAGAGCTGTTACTCCGAGTTGATTGGATGGGCAAAGTGAAACCACAGAATTGGGCTTTAAAACCAAGTGGATTTACTCTGCTAAATTTTACAACTAGGATCTTCTGCTCTGGGTGGAGAGTTGGACAAAATAACTTCGAATTTGAGGTTTGTAGGTTCTATGAAAATACAGGCTTTTTGTTTTGTTTTGTTTTGTGTTTTAAAGACAGATGAACCCAGCAGGCAAGCTGGCAGGAAGTCTGACTGCAGTACTTGCCTGAGAGGATGACACAGGCCAAATGAGAAAAGGAAAACAACAAGGCAGCCAGAGCTAGTAAAGCACTTTGCAAAGTAGCTGCAGAGCTTTCCAGGATTTTCTGGAAAAAGGAAGAAAAGGAGAGTAAAGGGCAGGAAGAGGATTGGTTAACAACTGGATTCAGAAATGCCGATGAGTGGATTTGCCTATCGGTTTTGTTTTTCTAAGTCAGGGATAAGGAAAGAGGGTACACTTGGCCTGGCGCTGCCTGCTGGCAGGGCTTCCTTCCCCAGGCTGTGCTGAAGCCATCCTTAGAGCTGCCAGGGTGTCCTGAGGCCTGCTGCCCTGTGCAACTCACTGGAAAAGAGGACAGACTGCCCTCCAAAGATGTCTAAGGCACATGGTACAGTGGAAGGAAGGGACAGCAGTTTTGTTTAATTTCATGTTGCTTAAAAAAATGTTTATATGCATTTGCTTTTTTGAACAGATAATTTATTTATATGTTTAAAACTAAAAAAAATGAAAAGATGTACATCTCTTCTGTCCCTGTCCCCCAAATGCCCACTTTCCCCCACCCTAAATAGATAACCCTGTTATAAGGTTTTTGTTTATCCTTCTAACGTTGTTTTTCTACACATACAAGCTAAAACAAATCTATACCCTTCCTTACTCCATTTTAACATATTTAGTGCCAGTCTGTACACGTTCTACACGTTTGTTGGGTTTTTCCCCCGCTTTAACACCCTATCTTGGTGACATTTCCTTATCGGTATATGAGAGTATCCTCATTTTTATCTATCTTTGCGGCTGTAGAGTATTACATTGTATGGACTACTATAATTTAACTGGTTCCCATCAAGGGGTGTTTAGATTGTTTCCAGTCTTTTGGCATTACAAATAAAAGCATGGACTTTAGAGACATGTGCTTTCAAACCCCAGTCCCGATGCCTACTAGGTGATTGACAATGGGTCTTAATTGCCTCCTCTGTAAAGAGGAATTTTTTGTTTGTTTGTTTGTTTGAGACAGAGTTTTGCTCTTGTTGCCCAGGATGGAGTTCAGTGGCGCGATCTCAGCTCACTGCAACCCCCGCCTCCTGGGTTCAAGCAATTCTCCAGCCTCAGTCTCCCAAGTGGCTGGGATTACAGGCATGTGCCACCATGCCCGGCTAATTTTGTATTTTTACTAGAGACGGGGTTTCGCCATGTTGGTCAGGCTGGTCTCGAACTGCTGACCTCAGATGATCCACCCGCCTCGGCCTCCCAAAGTGTTGGGATTACAGGCATGAGCCACTGCACCCGGCCAGGAATTATTTTATGTTTATTTCACCTGTCCCTTAACATTGCTGTGAAAGACTCATATAATATACAAAGAACTTGAGAAATCCTAGGTGCTCAGTGGAAACAATATACCTTGCAATGAAGCATATTCAAATTTATTCTTGAAAAAAAGAATACTGATCAGGACCCCTGGCTCATGCCTGTAATCCCCACGCTTTGGGAGGCCAAGGTCTCAAGAAGGACTGCTTGAGACCAGGAATTCAAGACCAGACTGAGCAACAGAACAAGACCCTACCTCTTCAAAAGTAAAAATAAAAAAATTAGCCAGACATGGTGGCACATGCCTATAATCCCAGCTACTTGGGAGGCTGAAGCAGGAGGATCTCTTGAGCCCACTACTGCACTCCAGCCTGGGTGAAAGAGCAAGACCCTGACTCTAAAAAAAAAATGTGTTTGATTATTTTTTGAGACAGTCTTGCTCTGTCACCCAGGCTGGAGTGCAGTGATGCAATCTCGGCTCTCTGCAACCTCCGCCCTCCAGGTTCAAGTGATTCTCCTGCCTCAGCCTCCCGAGTAGCTGGGATTACAAGTGTGCAACACCACGACTGGCTAATTTTTGTATTTTTAGTAGAGACAGGGTTTTGCCAGGAGTTGGAGGTTGCAGTGAGCCGAGATCACGCCACTGCACTCCAGCCTGGGCAACAGAGCAAGACTCCTTCTCAAAAAAAAAAAAAAAATGTGGCCACTGAAAAATTGTTAACATGATTCACTTTATATTGCTATTGACAGCATCTTCTATGCACTTTCCTACATAATCATCCTTCGCTTGGGTGAAGACAGTCCGTGTGATTGCCTGAGTCTTCTCTTCTCCAGTTATATCACACTGCTTGCGCCTTTTATTTTTTATTTTTTTTCAGACGGAGTCTCGCTCTGTTGCCAGGCTGGAGTGCAGTGGCGCAGTCTCGGCTCACTGCAACCTCCGCCTCCCAGGTTCAAGCAATTCTTCTGCCTCAGTCTCCCGAGTAGCTGGTACTACAGGCACGCACCACTATGCCCAGCTGATTTTTGTATTTTTAGTAGAGACGGGGTTTCACCATGTTAGCCAGGATGGTCTCAATCTCTTGACCTTGTGATCCGCCCGCCTCGGCCTCCCAAAGTGCTGGGATTACAGGCGTGAGCCACCACGCCCAGCCTGCTTGCTCCTTTCAAATCTGTTGATATACTGAAACCTCCTGAACTGAGATCATCCCGAGACCTCACTGTCTTGAACATGCTCAGTTCCCTCCACTCTTCCTTACAGATCATTTCTCATAGAACCAAATTTTGTCATCCTTGTTGTCCACATCTCAATATTCTCCAGGTTATGGCTATCTCTATCCCTCCTGCCCTCCAAAATGAGACCACACGCTTGTAATCCCAACACTTTGGGAAGCCAAGGCAGGCAGACTGCTTGAGCCCAGAAGTTGGACACCAGCCTGGGCAATGAAGTGAGACCCCTTCTCTATCAAAAAAAAAGAAAAAGAAAGAAAACAAAATAAATTTTTAAAAAAGGGGAGACAGAATCCTCCAGAGAACCGTTGCAGATGTCCCAGAAAGGTGATGCTCCCAAGTGCACAGGGACAGAAAGTAGAATGGTGGTTGCCAGGAGCTGGGTAGAGGGGAATGAGGGAGGAGTTGTTTCATGGGTACAGAGTTTCAGTTTAGGATGATGGAAGAGTTCTAGAGATGGATGATGGTGGTGAGTGCACAACCACGTGACTATATTTAGTGCCACTAAACTACACTTAAAAAATTGGTTAAAATGGGGCCGGGCGCGGTGGCTCACGCCTGTAATCCCAGCACTTTGGGAGGCCGAGGCGGGCGGATCATGAGGTCAGGAGATCGAGACCATCTTGGCTAACACGGTGAAACCATGTCTCTACTAAAAATACAAAAAAAATTAGCTGGGTATGGTGGCGGGCGCCTGTAGTCCCAGCTACTTGGGAGGCAGAGGCAGGAGAATGGCGTGAACCCGGGAGGTGGAGCTTGCAGTGAGACGAGATTGTGCCACTGCACTCCAGCCTGGGCCACACAGCGAGACTCCGTCTCAAAAAAAAAAAAAAAAAAAAAAATTGGTTAAAATAGGGTGGGTGTGGTGGCTCAAGCCTGTAATCCCAGCACTTTGGGAGGCCGAGGTGGGTGGATCACCTAAGGTCAGGAGTTCGAGACCAGCCTGGCCAACATGGTGAAACCCCGTCTCTACTAAAAAAAAAATACAAAATTATCTGGGCATGGTGGTGGGCAGCTGTCATCCCAGCTACATGGGAGGCTGAGGCAGGATAATCACTTTAACCTGGGAGGCGGAGGTTGCAGTGAGCCGAGATTGCGCCATTGCACTGGGCAACAAGAGTGAAAACTCCATCTTGAATAAAAAAAAAAAGCATTAGTCTCTTCACCCCACTCCCCATCAAGTTTTCCCAGACTGGGCCGGGCGCCATGGCTCACGCCTGTAATCTCAACAATTTGGGAGGCCGAGGCGGGTGGATCACGAGGTCAGGAGATCGAGACCATCCTGGCTAACATGGTGAAACCCCGTCTCTACTAAAAATACAAAAAATTAGCCAGGCATGGTGGCGGGCACCTGTAGTCCCAGCTACTCGGGAGGCCGAGGCAGGAGAATGGTGTGAACCCGGGAGGTGGAGCTTGCAGTGAGCGGAGATCGCACCACTGCACTCTAGCCTGGGTGACAGTGTGAGACTCCGTGTCAAAAAAAAAAAAAGCTTTCCCAAACTGGAAAATGCATGCTGTCTTGCGGCATGGTCCTGGGCATCTGTGAGGGCCTGCACTGACCTCTGAAGTATCTCCATGTCCAAGGGAGTACAACAATAAATAGTAAATAAAAACATCATGACAGGTTGAGAGAGAGACTGTAGAAAAAATGAAAGGGCTTTTTTCATCCTTTTATGAGAAAGGGGCCCATATTTTCATTTTCCCCTGGGCCCCAAAAATTATGTAGCCAATCCTGCTGGCAGATAAAACATTCCTGAAGGAGGTAGCCAGAAGCCTAATAATATTCTGGGGGTATTGTGGCTTAAGTATGTCAGCCCTGTCCAAATGTAGAACAATGCTGGGGGCTATTTCAAGCCACGTGAAATGTCAACACCTGTGGTAAAGGACTATTAGCAAAGCTAATGTGCAGAGTCTGCACACATGACAAGAAAAAAGTCAACTTGCTAGGAGGGGTTTGTTGGCTGTTTAGCTTTATCTGGACAAGGGAAAAAGTGGGTAGAAAAGGCTCTCTGGCTAGTTCCTCCTTGAAGCAAGAACTCAGCTTGTTTCTCTGGATAGTCTGTGGTCAGATATAACAATGGAAACTTCAGGAAATCTTTATTTAAAAAGAGAAGGTATCTCCCCACACCTTCTTCAATATTAGGTGCCACCAAATTCTGGCTGTTGATCTGTTACTCAACAACAACAAAAAATGTCTTTTGTTTATTTTTATGTCTGATTCCAAGGAGAGTTGAACTTATTTAAAGTGGGTCTTTAAAAAAAATCACTTCAGATGTTTGTTTCTTTTGAATTTTCCATTGGTATTCATTTTCTTATTTATTTGCAAGCACTTCCTACATAGCAAGAATAACAACATTTTGTTTTCATGTGTGTTGCAAATAGGTTTTCCCAGTTTGCCTATTGTTTTTTAACCTTGCCCGTTTGGAATAGCTTCAAGCCACATCATCTGATGGGAATGGAGGTCACCCTAACAGTGATACTGCAATGTCACTAATTCAATAACCACCAAATTTACTGCTAATAATCGCCAACATTTACTGAACATGCACCATATGCTTCATGTGCCATTAATCCACAAAATTACCCTATAAAGTAGGTACTATTTTTAGTTTCATTTTGTAGATGAAGAAACAGAAATAGGAGAGGCTAAGTAATGTGCCTAGTTACCCAGCCTAGTAAGGGATGGAATGTGGGGCTTGAACCCAGCCCTGACTCCTAAGTCCAGTTTCCAACCCTGCACTGTCCAATACAGTGACCGCAGGTAGCTATAGAGCACTTCACATGTAGCCAGCCTGATTTCAGAGACCAAGTGTAAAAAAAAGAATGTCAGATATCTCATTATTAAAAAATTTTTTTTTCAACAGGGTCTTGCTTTGTCACCCAGGCTGGAGTGCACTAGTGTGAACACAGCTCACTGCAGCCTCAACTTCCTGGGCTCAAACGATCCTCCCACCTCAGCCTTCTGAGTAGCTGGAATCACAGGTGTGTGCCACCATGCCCAGCCTCTCATTATTAATTTAAAAATTGGCCAGGTGTGATGGCTTACGCCTGTAATCTCAGCACTTTGGGAGGCTGAGGCAGGCAGATCACCTGAGGTCAAGAGTTTTGAGACCATCCTGACCAACAAGGTGAAACTCTGTCTCTACTAAAAATACAAAAATTAGCCGGGCATGATGGCATGCCTGTAATCCCAGCCACCCGGAAGGCTGAGGCAGGAGAATCGCTTGAACCCAGGAGGCTGCAGTGAGCCAAGATCGCACCACTGCACACCAGCCTGGGCAACAGAGCAAGACTCCATCTCAAAAAAAAAAAAAAAAGTGCCTACTGAAAAATTGTTAACATGATTCTGTTTACATTTCTGTTGACAGCATCTTCTATCCACTTTCCTACATAATCATCCTTCACTTGGGTGAAGACAGTCTGTGTGATCACCTGAGTCTTCTCTTCTCTAGTTATATCAAAAGGCTTGCGCCTTTTAAATCTGTTGATAAACTGAAACCTCCTTGCTTCCTGGTTTTCTTACATGAATTGAGATCATCCCAGGACCTCACTGTCTTGAACAAGCTCAGTTCTCTCCACTCTTCCTCACAGATGATTTCTCATAGGACCAAATTTTGTCATCCTTGTTGTCCACATCTCAATATTCTCCAGGTTATGGCTATCTCTATCCCTCTTGCCCTCCAAAATGAGACCACAGGCGGGGCACAGTGGCTCATGCTTGTAATCCCAACACTTTGGGAAGCCAAGGCAGGCAGATTCCTTGAGCCCAGAAGTTGGACACCAGCCTGGGCAATGAAGTGAAACCCCTTCTCTACCAAAAAAAAAAAAGAAAGAAAGAAAAGAAAATAAATTTTTAAAAAAGGGGAGACAATCCTCCAGAGAACCGTTGCAGATGTCCCAGAAAGGTGATGCTCCCAAGTGCACAGGGACAGAAAGTAGAATGGTGGTTGCCAGGAGCTGGGTAGAGGGGAATGAGGGAGTTGTTTCACGGGTACAGAGTTTCAGTTTAGGATGATGGAAGAGTTCTAGAGATGGATGATGGTGGTGAGTGCACAACCACGTGACTATTTAGTGCCACTAAACTGTACACTTAAAAATTGATTAAAATAAGCTTTATGTTGTGTACATATTACCACAAATACAATAAAAGAAATGAAGTTCTCATACGTGCTGCAGCAGGGATGAACCTTGAAAAGATTATGCTAAGTGGCCGGGCATGGTGGCTCACACGCCTGTAATTACAGCACTTTGGGAGGCTGTGGCAGGAGGATCGTTTGAGCTAAGGAGCTGGAGACCAGCGTGGGCAACATGGCGAAACCTGGTCTCTACCAAAAATACAAAAATTAGCTAGGCAGTGGTGGCAGCGCACCTGTAGTCCCAGCTATTTGGGAGGCTGAGGTGGGAGGATCACTTGAAACCCGGAGGTGGAGGTTGCAGTGAGCTGAGCGCCACTGTGCCCCAGCCTGGGCGACAGAACGAGACCGTGTCTCAAAGAAAAAAAAATAAAAAATAAAAAACCTTGTACTAAGCAAAATAAGCCGACACAGAAGGACGAATATTATATGATTCCACTTATACGAAATACCTAGAATAGGTAAATTCATTAGACAATTAGCCAAAGTGTATCAGAGGAGGTTGGGGGGATGCTGAGGGGAGGGGAAAAGAAAAAAGAAAATCAAGGGGTGGGAAGCAAATGGCTGCGGGGTAGAAGGGGAGTGGGCTGCCGCTTGGGTGTGTGGGCGTCAGGGGGAGACGGGACAGGCGATTTAGGCCCTGCGCGCAGGCGCCCCTGCGCTCCCGCCGTACGCAGCTGTCTTTGTCTGGGGCGGCGGCAGCGTGGCAGGAGCGAGGGGCGCCCCGACCCGTCCCCTCTGCCCTCCACTACCCCTGCCGGCTCCAGCCCGTCCGTGTCTCACCGTCTTTATTTAACAAAGAACGGAGAGACTATAAATGACCCTGAGCAGAGTGGCTGCGAGCAGGGCCCCTGGGGCGTCCCACGGGCGTCATCCTAGCCGCGTGAGCGCCGAGCTTGGGCACCGGGGGGGTTGGCGTGCTTGTACACTTGCTCCGTTTTCTCTGTAAGTACTAAGGATTCCCCTGCCGCCCTCTTCCTCATTTTCCACCATCCCAATTTACACAAGCATTAGTATTTTTTTTTTTTTTTTTGAGACGGCGTCTCGCTCTGTCACCCAGGCTGGAGTGCAGTGGCGCGATCTCGGCTCACTGCAAGCTCCGCCTCCCGGGTTCACGCCATTCTCCTGCCTTAGCCTCCCGTGTAGCTGGGACTACAGGCGCCCGTCACTACGCCCGGCTAACTTTTTGTATTTTTAGTAGAGACGGGGTTTCACCGTGGTCTCGATCTCCTGACCTCGTGATCCGTCCGCCTCGGCCTCCCAAAGTGCTGGGATTACAGGCGTCAGCCACGCGCCCGGCCACAAGCATTAGTATTTACTTCCGTAATTTCCCCATGCCCATGTAACATCACACACACACACACACACACACACACACACGTTTGCTTTTGTTTTCCAAGATGGCATCTAGTAGGCGCTTCTCTTTGTTTTGCTTTTCTAGTACACCGTGGAACCCCAAATCCCAGCTGGGATTCACTCTTTTCTAATGGCTGAACATTCATCCGGGGCATGAAGGCAGCTCAGTTCATTTCATCATTCCTTTGTTTCCTCTGTTTTGCCACCAGAAACTGCCGCGATGAATGTCAGTCCCCAGAGCCGGAACCGTTCCCGGTTTTCTCTACTTGGATCTGAGAACTCTGTCCCTCCAGCCCTGCGAGCGCTTTGCCAGGGTGACGGGCGGAAATGTCCCCGCATCCGTGCCTGCTTTCCCAGATGGGACCCTCCAGCAGTCCCCTCCACTGCCCGTGCTTCCTCCTAACCACTTCCCCCCAGCGACCGCGGAAGGCGCTTCCTCCCCCGCAGCGCGAGCCCCAAGCTCCTCCAGAGCCCCAGCTCTCCCCGCCCCCTTCCCGACCTTGTTTCATATGACCCCTCCCCCGCACATACTCAATTTCGTCTTCCCAAGGCGCCCACTCTCCACATCCTGATGAAAAAAAGAGCCGGCTGCTGTCCTATGTTATTGTCATACTTCTTTCCTCCCGTGCACTACACAACTTGAACAACTTTTTTTTTTCTTTTTTTGAGAAAAGGTCTCGAACTGTCGCCCAGGCTGGAGTACAGTGGCACGATGATGGCTCACTGCAGCCTCGCCCTCTCTGGGCACAGGTGATCCTCCTGCCTCAGCTTCCCAAGAAGCTGGTACTACAGGCGCGTGCCACCACTATTGGCTAATTTTAATTTTTTTTTAACCACAGGGTCTCGCTATGTTGCCCAGGCTGGTCTCGAACCCCTAGGCTCAAGGGATCCTCTCACCTCAGCCTCCCAAAGCGTGAGATTACAGGCGTGAGCCACCGCGCCCCGCGGTAAATACTATTCCAAGGAAATGGCACCTGAGTTTGAGGAGATTAATCGGGTTTACTGCAGGGAAGGAGCATTGGCCCTGGTGGCCAGAGGCAAGGGTACGAACCTGACCCTGCCCTTTCCCTGCCTGGTTCTGCCTTCAGCAAATTGTTCCACACATCTCTGGTTTCCTCCCCACATGATCCCAAGGCCCTGCTGGCTCTAGCCTTTGTGAGGCTAGAATTACAATTCCATTCCTCCCCAGCCACGCCCCATCTCTTGCTCCCTGTGCTAGCGCTTTCCCCAATCAGCCACACTTTCCTTTCCCATTCACTGAGCCTGTGGAAAGCCCTCTTATTCTGAATATCTAGATCCTATTCACCTTTGAAGACCCGACTTGGCCACGTTTCTTCCCAAAGCCTACTGCATGCCCTTTGTGGGAGGAACTGCTCTGTCCTTGCAACGCCACTGTGTGTAGTACTTTCTCTGTATCTTACCAGTGGCATCGCCCACTCTGCCTGGGGTGCTGTTCCATACTTGCCCTTCTTCCAGTGCCATCTATGTGTGTGGTAAGACCTCAGCATAGCACTTTGCCCACGGTAAAGGATATGGTTTCGGGAGTCCCAAGACCCGGGTCCACGTCCCAGCTCTGACACTAAATGTGTTATCTTGAACATGTCACATGGCCTTTCTGAGCTTAATTTCCCCAAATGTAAAATGGAAATAGTAACTTATTTCATAGTGTTGCTGTGTTGATTAGATGAGACATTATATAAGAAAATGCTTTGTGAACTGTAAAGCTATTTACACACATAAATAATAGTAAAGATAGATATTATTCAGATGCTGGCAAGAGGGATATTCTTTGCAAAACAGAATTAAAAAAAAAAAAGAAAAGAAGGCATGGTGGCTCATCTCTATAAACCCAACACTTAGCACTTAGGGAGGTCGAGGCGAGAGGATCACTTGAGCCCAGGAGTTCAAAACCAGCCTGGGCAACATAGCAAGACTCCCGTCTCTACAAAAATAAAATTAGCCTGGCATGGTGGCATGCGCCATTAATCCTAGCTATTTGGGAGCCTGAGCCCAGGAATTTGAGGTTACAGTGAATTATGATCATCCCACTGCACTGCAGCCTGAGTTGCAGAGCATCTCTTGAAAAAAAAAACAAAAATGTGGGAAAACTGTGGAAAATGAAAAAGACTTCTTGGTTGCCATCTCCAAATTTGGGGACTGATTCCTAATTATTCCTTTTAGATCAATTACCAGGTGATGTTAAATATACTGTAATAGTAAAAGCTAGAAATAATCTAACTTTTGAACAGTTGGAGGATGATGAAGTTATGGGTAATGGGAATAATATGTTATCATCAAAGTTAAATTTCTGAAGAATATTTAATGACATGGGAAACCAGTCATAATATAACATGAAAGCTAAAAAAGCAAGGTACTAAATAGTGGTGGAGAGGAGGTGTAAGAAGAGACTTTTCTCACCACCCTTCACAGCTTTCTGTTTGGCCCCTGAGTGGGGTGTCTGATGCCAGAGAACGTGGGACATATTCTAAGGCCTTAGTCTTACACAAATAGCTCACTCCCTGCCTCCCAAGAGACAGGGATTCAGAACAGGTGAACCAGGAGCCTAGAGCCTCAGGGGAGACCAAGGACTGTCCCAGATCCAGGCCCTGATTCTGTGGCCCAATGGCCTGACAATCTAAGGTCCTCTGTCTACCACTTCTTCCAGCCGGACTGTGGACCTCAAACATAACCTCTCACTTCCTGCTTTGACACTGTTTCCAGAGTGGGTTTATAGGAAAGACCTCCTCCAAAAAAGCAGGCTCCAACTACCAACACTAGAGAACTAAGCTCTAGCCAGGTGCAGTGGCTCACGCCTAATCCCAGCACTTTGGGAGGCCGAGGGGGGCAGATCACTTGAGGTCAGGAATTCAAGAGCAGCCTGGCCAACATGGCAAATCCCTGTCTCTACTTTTAAAAATACAAAAATTAGCCGAGCGTGCTGGTGTGTGCCTGTAATCCCAGCTACTTGGGAGGCTGAGGCATGAGAATTGCTTGAACCCAGGAGGCAGAGGTTGTAGTGAGCTGAGATCACACCACTACACTCCAGCCCAGGCAAGGCAACAGAGCGAGACACCGCCTCAAAAAAAAAAAAAAGAAAAGAAAAGAAAAAGAGAGAACTAAGTTCCAAAAAGAGGGGCCATGTGGGCCACAGGAGAGGACAAAAATGAGCTGTCACTGGTGGTTGGGGAAGTGCAAGGGGCTCCAGAGAGAAGGTGACATTTATGCTGGTCATGGGATGGTATTTGGCAAGTGGAGATATGATCATTAAAAGAAAGTTGTATTGTTATTATCTTACATTTCATAGTTCAGGATGGGGGAGGGGAGATGTTTTGTTTAAAATACCCTTTCTCCTCTTTTTTTTTTTTTGAGATGGAGTCTTGCACTGTCACCCAGGCTGGAGTGCAGTGGCCCGATCTCGGCTCACTGCAAGCTCTGCCTCCCGGGTTCACACCATTCTCCTGCCTCAGTCTCGCAAGTAGCTGGGACTACAGGTGCCCGCCACCACGCCTGGCTAATTTTTTTTGTATTTTTAGTAGAGACGGGGTTTCACCATGTTAGCCAGGATGGTTTCCATCTCCTGACCTCGTGATCCACCCACCTCGGCCTCCCAAACTGCTGGGATTACAGGCATGAGCCACTGCACCCGGCCCCCTTTCTCCTCTTATTAAAACTTTTATTGTAGAAAATGTGGAAAATAAAGATAAGAATATTAAAACATAAATAAATAAAGATAAGAATAAAAGTTTCCAGGCCAGGTGCAGTGGCTTACGCCTTTAATCCTAGCACTTTGGGAGGCCAAGGCGGGCGGATCACCTGAGGTCGGGAGTTCGAGACCAGCCTGACCAAAATGGAGAAACCCTGTCTCTACTAAAAATACAAAATTAGCCAGATGTGGTGGCTCACGCCTGTAATCCCAGCTACTTGGGAGGCTGAGGCAGGAGAATTGCTTGAACCTGGGAGGCAGAGGTTGCGGTGAGCTGAGATTGCGCCATTGTACTCTAGCCTGGGCGACAGAGCGAGACTCTGCCTCAAACAAAAAAAAGGAATAAAAGTTTCCTATAACCTCACCATCTAGAGCAGTGGTTCTTAACCCTGGCTGCACATTAGTGTCTCCTGGGGAGTGTTTAGGAAATACCATGAACTTTCTCCACCAATAACTTGAAGGGAAAAAAAAGAAAAGAAATACCATGAACCATCTGCAGAGAATCTGGTTCACGTGGGGCGAGGTGGGCCCCATGTTCTCTCTCTCTCTCTTTTTTTTTTTTTTTTGAGACGGAGTCTTGCTCTGTTGACCAGGCTGGAGTGCAATGGTGCAATCTTGGCTCGCTGCAACCTCTGCCTCACAGGTTCAAGTGATTCTCCTGCCTCAGTCTCCCGAGTAGCTGGGATTACAGATGTGCACCACCACACCCCGCTAATTTTTGTATTTTTAGTAGAGATGGGGTTTCACCATGTCAAACTCCTGACCCCAGTTGATCCACCCACCTTGGCCTCCCAAAGTGCTGGGATTACAAGCGTGAGCCACCATGCCTGGCCTGTTCTCTTGCTCATACACACACACACACACACACACACACACACACACACACACACACAAAATCTCACCCCATCCATTAGCAAATTCTATCAGTCTACCTTCAAAATAGATCCAAGATCTGAACACATGTCACTGTTTCCTCTGCCATCATCCTGGTCCAAGTCACCACCTCCTACCTGGATTATTGCAGTAACCTCCTAAGTGTTGTCCAACTTCTGTCTTCAGCCCCCATACCTGTCCCCTAAGCCTGTCTTCCACATTGCACTCTCTAGAGTGATCCTTTAAAAACCTAAGTCAGGGCCGGGCTCAGTGGCTTATGCCTGTAACCCTAGCACTTTGGGAGGCCAAGGCAGATGGATCACTTGAGGTCAGGAGTTCAAGATCAGCCTGGCCAACATGGTGAATCCCTGTCTCTACTAAAAATATAAAAATTAGCTGGGCATGGTGGCACACCCATGTAATCCCAGCTACTAGGGAGGCTGAGGCAGGAAAATCGCTTGTGCTCGGGAGTGGGAGGTTTCAGCAAGCCGAGATTGTGCCACTGCACTCCAGCCTCGGCGACAAAGCAAGACTCCATCTCAAAAATAAATAAATAAATAAAAATAAGAACCTAAGTCAGGACATGTCCCTTCCCTACTCAAAATCCTCCCCACGGCTCCCCATCTCACTCAGAGTAAATGACAAATCCTTAGAATGCCCACAGGGTCCTACATGACCCAACCTGGGCTGCTTTGCTGCCCTTGTCTCCTGCCAGTGACACCTGTGCTCACCATACTCCAGCCACACTGGCCTCCTTGCTGTTCTTAAAACACAGCAAGCATGTGCTGCCTCAAGGCCTTTGCACTGGCTGTTCCCTCTGCCTAGCCTCCCTTGGTAGTTCTCACCATTTCTTCAGGTCTCTGGTAAATCTCAACTCATCAGAGGGGCCTTCCCTGCCTACCCTAAATAAACCTGCAAAGTCCCTCACAGTCCCTAGACCCTCTTGTCTGCTGTACTCTTCTCCAGGGCACTTTTTACCAACACACCTATGATGTCTTTTTTGTTAATCCCAGGCCTCAGACTTAGAGTCTTGCAAAGTATCTCTTGAAAATAGCTCCTCAGCTTCCATCTCAAACCGTCTCTGCTGAGGTTCAACAGTCCCATTGTCTGCATCGCACCTCCCCCAAGCCTGTGTTCTCTAAACTCCTCCCTCCTTCTGCCTTCATCAGTCAGCTCGGGAAAATGAACTCCTATAGGAGTGGTCAGGCTTTCAGCCCCCAGAATGGCCCAAACTCAAGCCCCATGTTGGGGCTTTGCTAGTTAACTTATTAATTAATTAATTATATTTTGTAAACAAGATCATAACATTCCTATTGTTGGACAGCCAGGGTTTGTTTTTTTTTCCTCAAGTTTTTTACTATTGTTAACAACCTTGAACACACCCATGATTGTTTCCTTGAGATAAATTATTTGAAGAGGGATTATTAAGACAAAGGGTACAATTTTCAAGGCTTCTGGTGTGTATTGCCAATTTTTCTCCCAGTTTATCTAATTATACTCCCACTAGCAATATGTGGCGCCTTTTATAGTGTTACATCCTTGACAAAACTGGGTATTTAAAAAACATTGGGAGTTGAAAAAAAATTAGATCCTGTCTTAATTGACGTTATTGGTGAAGTTGAACATCTTTTTATTTTTATTTATTTATTTATTTTTGAGACTGAGTCTCTGTTGCACAAGCTAGAGTGCAGTGGGCATTCTTGGCTCACTGCAACCTCTGCCTCCTGGGTTCAAGTGATTCTTGTGCCTCCGCCTCCCAAGTAGCTGAGCCTACAGGCATGCGCCACCATGCTCAGCTAATTTTTGTATTTTTAGTAGAGACGGGGTTTCACATGTTGGCCAGGCTGGTCTAGAACTCCTGACCTCACGTGATCTACCCACCTCAGCCTCCCAAAGTCTGGGATTACAGGCTTGAGCCACTGCACCCGGCGAACATCTTTTTATCTATTTCCCTTTTTCTCATGATTTGCCTCCGTCCCTTTTCTTCTGTTGGAATATCAGACTTTTTCACTTCTTGATTTATAATCATTATTTTAATAGTAAGAATTTGACACTTTGACATGTGGATGCAGATGTTTTTTCAGTTTTACACCTTTCAATTCTGTTGTATGTTTTAATATAGACAATTTAGAAATATTTTACAAAATCTAGTTTCAAAATCTTTTTCCTTGCAGCTTTTGGTTTTGGTTTTATGTTTCTGGGTGGCAAGTTTTAAATAGGCCTCATAATATTCCCTGACATCTGAGATCCCATATTAAGTGGAGAGGGTTATAAATCTCAGACATTCCAGTTCTCAATCCACTTAGCCAGTGCCTTTCAAACTTTTTTTTTTTAAACTAAGACTTGTGGTAAAAGATACATTTTTACATACCATTATACATAAATATATTTATTTTTGAAAATTATTTTAAAACGTTTTATGAAACATTATGTACCATAACTACATGTGATATAGTCTGATATTTCCCGCTTGACTAATTTTATCTTATTTTTTAAGTGTTGGTCTTTACCTAGTAAATTGCTTTAACAAACCCATCAGTGGATTCTTGACTCAGGGTTTGAAAAACAGGTCAGGACCGTGAAGAGGCTGATTTTTCTCTCTGCCCAAATCATACCTCCTTCCATGCCACTTTCACTTATTTCCCACTCCAGAGGGGTGATGGAGAGGCCAGACAATCATAAATCCATAGAGGAACACTGAAGACTTGTGCAGGAGCACTCAGGCTGAACTAAGCTCTGATTGACATCTAACAGGCAAGAGTAAAAACTCTGGTTTTGAATTTCAAGCCTGAGGTTTAGAATAAAGTTCCTTCTAGTTCCATGGTCCTGAAATCCTCACCCTAACTATACTCATTTTAGTGTAGTCCTAGAAAACTCCTCTTGTCCACTGTGTAATCCTGGACTTGGCAACAAATGGTCACCAGGATCTGCTCCAGCTCAGCTGTTCTTGCAATTAGAGCCCAAGACAAGGGTGACATTACTTTCTTGGGCATAGAAACTAATCTGATGCATTCTTTGTACGTACATTTACACTGGCATGGAGAAGCCAGCCCCACTGTGCAAGGGTGGAGAATCATTAGGTAACTTACTCTGAAAAAAGAACTGATGACATAAAGTGAATAAAGAAGTGATGAATCCATGAGAAAGTCCTCATAAGAAACACCCGTCTAGGATTTGGGATCAGAAGACCTAAATTCAAGTCCCCATTCTGTCTGGAATTTCCCAACATTGTGTGTTCTGGGTCACGTCAAAACTCTGTGCCTCATCTTTCTCATCCATAAATGGTTATAATAATAGCAGCTTTCTCAGGATTGTAGAGAAATGCAATTGAAATAGCAGTAAGGTAGGTGCTAAGCAGTGGTAGTTGCTGCTGTCGATTTATATACAGGCCTTCCTGAGTTTGAAAGGCTGTTAAACCACTGGCCAGTTAATTTGGCGAGTGATTTGTGCCTATAGATTAACTCCAGTTAGAGTTAATGGTTCTAATATCCTTAAGAGCATTTTAGAGTTTAGGCCAGACACCTCTGGTTATTGCTTGTTAGGGCTGACTGTGCATGGGCAGGTTTCCATGTCATGAGCCCCAAAGCACAGCTAAACCGAGTCAAATGCATGGCACACATTTTTCTTTTCTTTCTTCCGAAAGAGCCTTCAGGGGTTTCTGGAGAGTGAGCACAGCCTGCCTTCCAGGCACCTCTGAGCTTTCTTGGTTGTGTGCCTTTCATTTTCATTTGCCCTGAGCGGCCCTTGCACCCACTAAGCCCCCAAGGGTGACTTTGGAAGACAAGCTCCAGCAACCTTGGTGTAGTTAAGATGAGTTTTAACACTGAAGGATAAAGCGAGGCCAGAATTGCAGATATGCTGCCCAGGTTTGCAGCCCCTGATAATGGTGAAACCTTGAAGGGAGCAAACTGTGAGGCTGAGGCTGAATTGATAGCTCCAAATGTTGCCATGGAGGCTTCTCGGGTGACAGGCTACTTCTGTTCCCTTTTTCCTCCCCACAGAAAATTTTCTGCTGGGGACTTACCTGAGGGGACTGCCTGACTCACAGGGATTTCCCTCCTCTGGGAAGAGCCAACACCTAGGATGCACCCCAGTGGCCATGTCTAGGGTTCAGGACTCTGTCTCCCTGGGCAGAGCTGACTGATAGGGCTGTGGGCACCTAACACAGGCAGGCAAACCAGATTCTCTCTCCTAGGAATTTGAAACCTGAACAGAATCTCTGAGCCTGGCAAGCTTGGAGCAGTGTCACATGAATGCTCGTGTTTTAGAATGAAGGTCCCTCAGCTGCCGCGGTCCCTGCCTGTCTAGGGCTGTTTGTTAGCACTTCCTTTAGTCCCCGGAGCCACCCTAGGCTCCTTCTAATAATGTCCTGTTTTGATTAGGTAGTCAGAGTTGCTTTGGGAGGACTCAAAGCAAAACCAAGCCTAACAAGAAAGCCATTATAAGGAATGGGGCACTGGAAACAGCATGGACTTGGTTGATTTTTTTTTAAACTCTTCCCACACCCAAGGTAGTTTTGAATCTTAGTTTTCAACTGGCCAGCTGTATATATAAATTTACACAAGTTACCTTTTCTTTCTTTCTTTCTTTTTTTTTTTTTTTTGAGATGGAGATTTGCTCTTGTTGCCCAGGCTGGAGTGCAATGGTGCGATCTTGGCTCACTGCAACCTCCGCCTCCCAGGTTCAAGTGATTCTCCTGCCTCAGCTTTCCGAGTATCTGGGATTACAGGCATGCACCACCACATCTGGCTAATTTTGTATTTTTAGTAGAGACAGGGTTTCTCCATGTTGGTCAGGCTGGTCTTGAACTCCTTACCTCAGGTGATCCACCCCCTTTGGCCTCCCAGAATGCTGGGATTACAGGCGTGAGCCACGGCACCCAGCCACAAGTTACTTTTTCTAAGCTTTAATTTCCTTGACTATAAAATGGTAACCACTGGGTGCAGTGGCTCACTCTTGTAATCCCAGCCCTTTGGGAGGCTAAGGCAGGAGGATTGCTTGCAGCCAGGAATTCGACATCAGCCTAGGCAACATAGTGTGAACCCTCCCCCACACCCCCGCCAAAAAAATTAGCTGGGCATGGTGGTACACACCTAGGGTCCTAGCTACTTGGGAGGCTGAAGTGGAAGGATTGCTTGATGCCAGAAGGTTGAGGCTATGGTGAGCTATAATTGCGCCACTACGCTCCGTCCAGCCTGGGCAACAGAGGTCTACCCTGTCTTTTCTTTTCTTTTTTTTTTTTTGAGATGGAGTCTCACTCTGTCACCCAGGCTGGAGTGCAGTGGCGCAATCTCGGCTCACTGCAATCTCCGCCTCCCGGGTTCAAGCGATTCTCCAGCCTCAGCCTCCCGAGTGGCTGGGATTACAGGCACGTGCTATCACACCCAACTAATTTTTGTATTTTTAGTAGAGACGGGGTTTCACCATGTTGGACAAGATGGTCTCGACCTCCTGAGCTTGTGGTTCACCCACCTTGGCCTCCCAAAGTGCTGGGATTACAGGAGTGAGCCACTGCACCCAGCGAGACCCTGTCTTTATAAAACAAAAACAAAAACGTAAATGCTTTCTTTACAGTTTTAAAAATTGGGATCATCTACTTCATAAAATTGGTTCTTTGATTAGTCTAATGATATTTCTTGTGGTCCCACAGAGGCATTTTTGCTCATTTCCTAGCCCTCAGTGTGACAGATGGCTGAGGCTTCTGGGCATTGGTGATATTAGGGTACTTTAAATTTCACTACATTTAACATTTTGTTAAACCAGGAATCCTTTCTTTCTCCATCTTCTCTAGGAATCAAAGGTTTCAATACTTCTCCTACTTGAGATTTTTGTTTGTTTTATCTCTTTAAAAGCCCCCTCTACAGAAGGGCCAGGGGCATGGTGGTAGCAACTACACATCCAGGAAAGTCTTGAGTTTTTTGTTTGTTTTTTTGAGACAGGGTCTCACTCTGTCGCCCTGGCTGGGGTGCAGTGGCACGAACGCTACTCACTGCAGCCTCAACCTCCTGGGTTCAAGCGATCTTCCTGCCTCAGCCTCCCGAGTAGCTGGGACCACAGGCATGCACCACCATGGCTAACTAATTGTAAGATTTTTTTGCTGTTGTTGCCCAGGCTGGTCTTGAATTCTTGGCCTCAAGTGATCTTCCTGTCTTGGCTTCCCAAAATGCTGGGATTATAGGCGTGAGACATCGTGCCTGGCAGTCTTGTTTTTTTTCAATTGTAGTGAAATACACATAACATAAAGTTTACCATCTCAGCCATCTAAGTGTACATGGCATTAAGCACATTCACATTGTTGTGTAACCATAGGATGATCTTGTTTTAAAGCAATTTTAAATATTTAAATTGCATTGTATTTTAATTTTTCTGCTGTATGCAAAATTGTCATATGAATAAAAAACTTTTAAACCCTTTGTCAGACCACCTGTCTCTGTTTTTCAAACTGCAGTAACAGTATGAACTAGGTCAAGTCCTAAGCAGTTTTGAGCTCTGCCCTGGGGAACATTACTCAGAAGTTAGTGCTGGAAGGGAATTTAGGAGTTGTCCAGTCCATGGGCCTTCCTTGATTTACATGATTGCCCATTTAGTTGGTTATTCAGGCATCAAACCTTTACTGAGCCTCTGTGCCAGGAACTGGAAAGGGTACTGGGGGAAGAACACAGCTGGGGTGGCCAAGCCACTGTCCTTCCCAGTGGAGCTCATGGCTGTCCAGAGGCAGATACGGACTCAGGACAATAGGGAAAGGGGCTCAGTGAGCTGGAGAGTATGAGATGAGATTAAAAATGTAGCCTGGGACCAGATTTTAAAGGCTTCAAATGTCATAGAGAAGAGTTTAGATTTTCTTTTATTTTTTGCTACAGGTAATGGAGTCAGTGGGGTGGGAGTGGAGGTGGAGTCATGTGCATTTTAGAGTCAGTGCTGGCAGCATTGTAGATAGAGGGTGGGCTGGAGGGGTGCAAAATCAAGCTCAGTGAGAAACCTGTTGCACTCAGTAGCTTGGAAACATTAAATGTCTTTTAAAATCACACAGTGACAGAGCCAGGCCGACTGCCCAGCCCCAGGTTCTTTCTAAGCAAATGCAATAGGATGGATTTTTTCTTTTTTTTTTTTTTTTTTTTTGAGACGGAGTCTCACTCTGTCACCCAGGCTGGAGTGCAGTGGCTTGATCTCGGCTCACTGCAAGCTCCACCTCCCGGGTTCACGCCATTCTCCTGCCTCAGCCTCCCGAGTAGCTGGGACTATAGGCGCCCACCACGACGCCCGGCTAATTTTTTTTGTATTTTTAGTAGAGACGGGGTTTCACCAGGTTAGCCAGGATGGTCTCGATCTCCTGACCTTGTGATCCGCCCGCCTCGGCCTCCCAAAGTGCTGGGATTACAGGCGTGAGCCACCGTGCCCGGCAGGATGGATTTTTTCAAAACTTTGCAATACCGGATTTTGCCAGTATTTCCTTCTAAAGAAGGCTCTCTCCCACCCAGTCCATGTTCTTTCCCTCATTCCATTGCTAGTTTCCCCAAAGCCTCCCTGGGGAAAGGCCTCTCCTCAAGATTATACTACTAGGAATGAAACTTGCTAGAAAAATGTGAAGCATTCCTGAACACCACCTCCACACCAGCAGCAGGCTTTGCAATGCTATCTTTGTGCCTTCCAGATAAAGAGATCGAAGTTTCTCCAAGATCTGATTCCCCAGGCTGATTTACATGAGGGGGGGTGTCAGTGGGGAGGAGGGATAGGCATGATCTGCAGAGAGGATGCAGATGGAAATTTCTGTTCCAAAGGTGAAGTCTCTCATGGCTGACAGCACTGGATCGCATTAACAAGGAAACCAGCCCTGCTCTCTGGCTGTGGGATCAGACACAAAATCTAAGGAACAGTTTGACTTCAATCTAGAATCCTGCAATATCTAAGCTGGAAGAGTCCTTAGGCCTATCTAGGCCAACCCACCCATTTTATGAATGGGGAAATTGAGCCCCAGGAAGTGGGAGATCAGACCTGGAGACAAGTGCTCTTGGCTTTATGCCAAGTATCCTTTCCACAGCCTCCTGCTGCTCTCATCCAATAGTACATGTGTATGTGTGCATAGATTTATAAATAAGTAAAACTTGAAAGATAAATAAAACAACAGAAAGTGCCCTTAAGTGGCTGCATTTTTTAAAATGTGCCACACTGGGTGCCGTGGCGCATGCCTGTGGTCCCTGCTACTCCGGAGGCTGAGCCGAGAGAATCCCTTGAGGCCAGGAGTTTGAGGTTGTAGTGTGTTATGATCACATCTGTGAACAGTCACTGCGCCTCAGCCTGAGCAACATAGCGAGACCCCTTCTTTAGAAAGAATTATTATTATTTCTTTTTTGGGATGGAGTTTTGCTCTTGTTGCCCAGACTGGAGTGCAATGGCATGATCTTGGCAACCTCTGCCTCCACGGTTCAAGCAATTCTCCTGCCTCAGCCTCCCGAGTAGCTGGGATTACTGGCATGTGCCACCATGCCTGGCTAATTTTGTATTTTTAGTAGAGACAGGGTTTTTCCATGTTGGTCAGGCTGGTCTCGAACTCCCAATCTCAGGTGATCCGCCCGCCTTGGCCTCCCAAAGTGCTGGGATTACAGGCGTAAGCCACCGCGCCCCGCCCATTTCCTGTATCTCTTACTCTACCAGCATGTCATAAATGTTTAGCAATCTTTGTAAAAAAAAACAAAAAAAAAAAGGAAGACTAGGAAAGAGAGCAGACAGATTGCTATATCTTTCTATCAGGTTGAAAAAACATTTAAGGCTGGTGGGGTGGCTACACAGGAGGCTAAAGCGGGAGGATCACTTGGGCCCAGGAATTAGAGGCTGCAGTGAGCTAGGATTCTGTCAATGCATTCCAGCCTGGGTGATAAGAGTTGTTTGTTTTGTTTGAGAAATAGTCTCGCTCTGTTGCCCAGGCTGGAGTGCAGTGGCGGGATCTTGGCTCACTGCAACCATTGCCTCCCAGGTTCAAGTGATTCTCCTGCCTCAGCCTCCCGAGTAGCTGGGATTAAAGGTGTGTGCCACTATGCCCAGCTAATTTTTGTATTTTTAGTAGAGACGGGGTTTTGCCATGTTGTCCAGGCTGGTCTTGAACTCCTGACCTCAAGTGATCTGCCTTCCTCAGCCTCTCAAAGTGTGCTGGGATTACAGGCATGAGCCACTGTGCCCAGCTCGTAGTCAGTATTTTTAAAGTATTAATAAATTATTGAGTTTGGCCAGGTATGGTGGTTTATTAATCCCAGCACTTTGGGAGGCCAAGGCAGGAGGATCACCTTAGCCCAGGAGCTCGAGACCAGCCTGGACATAATAGCAAGAACCTATCTCTACAAAAAAGTAAAAGGTTAGCTTGGCATGGTGGTGAGCGCCTGTAGTCCCAGCTGCTCAGGAGGCTGAGGCAGGAGGAACACTTGAGCCCAGAGGTTTGAGGCTGCAGTGAGCCGTGAAAACAAAACAAACAAAAAATACACACACACACACACACACACACACACACAGATATATACATGGAGAGAGAGGTTTTTTTTTTTTTTTGAGACGGAGTCTCTATGTCTCCCAGGCTGGAGTGCAGTGGTGTGATCTCAGCTCACTGCAACCTCTTCCTCCCAGGTTCAAGCAATTCTCCTGCCTCAGCCTCCCGAGTGTCTGGAAGTACAGGCGCCCGCAACCATTCCCAGCTAATTTTTGTAATTTTATTAGAGACAGGGTTTTGCCATGTTGGCCAGGCTGGTCTCAAACTCCTGACTGCAGGTGATCTGCCCACCTTGGCCTCCCAAAGTGCTGGGATTACAGGTGTGAACCACTGTGCCCGGCCTATACTGAGCTATTTTAAACTCTTTCCCACCCCTGTACTAAGTCTAAAATCCGGCGTATGTTTTACATCTTTATTCAGACTAGCCATATTCCAAGTATTCAACTGCCGCATGTGACAAGTGGCTGCCGTGTTGGACAGGACAGGTTAAATGTTTCCTTCATGTCCCAAAACCTGCATATTGTAAGTTTTTATTAAATATGCACCCCTGGGGTGCCCTGTCTCCTGCTGAGGAACCCTCCTGACAGCAGCACATGCTCTGCTTAGACCTTCTCTTCCAGTTTGAGCCCGTTTGGAAAAAGCCAATGTATTTTAACTTACTATATCCCATCCTTGTGCAAACATTGCCATGCCTTTGCAAGATCCATTGGCTTCAACATCGCTTTGACTTGCCTGCTTACACCAGATTTATGACCATAGGAAGAAAGTTACATTTTCTGGTTCTTTTTTGTTTTTTGTTTTTTTTGAGAGGGAGTCTGGCTCTGTCGCCAGTCTGGAGTACAGTGGCACGATCTCGGCTCACTGCAACCTCCGCCTCCTGGGTTCAAGTGATTCTCCTGCCTCAGCCTCCCGAGTAGCTGGGACTATAGGTGCGGGCCACCACACCCAGTTACTTTTTGTTTTTGTTTTTGTTTTTTTTTTGAGATGGAGTCTCACTCTGTTGCCAGGCTGGAGTGAGGTGGCGCAGTCTTGGCTCACTGCAACCTCCACCTCCTGGGTTCAAGCAATTCTCCTGCCTCAGCCTCCTGAGTAGCTGAGACTACAGGCACGTGCCACCACACCCGGCTAATTTTTTGTATTTTTAGTAGAGACGGGGTTTCACCGTATTAGCCAGGATGATTTCGATCTCCTGAGCTCGTGATCTGCCCGCCTCAGCCTCCCAAAGTGCTGGGATTACAAGCGTGAGCCACCACGCCCTGCCTATTTTTGTATTTTTAGTAGAAACAGGGTTTCACCATGTGGGCCAGGATGGTCTCCATCTCTTGACCTCGTGATCCGCCTGCCTCGGCCTCCAAAAGTGCTGGGATTACACGCGTGAACCACCGCACCCGGCCTTCTGTCTTAATTTTCACAAAAGTATTTGGCCCCAAAGGCAGCCGATGCAGGGGCAGAGTGTGAATGTCACAGGAGCCTCTGTACCTGTGACTCTTCCCACCCAGGCCCCGCCCCGCTGGGGGTGGCAGCCCTGTGGCCTTTGCAGCCAAGCAGCATGAGTCATCTTGGTCACTTGTTAAACCTTAGCTTCAGACTCAGAGCCGCTTTTGTTTTTCAGTTGAATCGGCAGCCCCGGACACACACATACCCCACCACACACCCACACACAAGCACGCGCGCGCACATGCGCAGCCAACCAGGCTTAGTTCTTAAGTGGGAGAACATATTGTTTGTCATAATTAATGTCACATTCCTGAACCTGGCCTTTCTCTGCCACCCTAGGGGCTGATGGTCTCTGTCTGGGAAGCCCTGTATGCTATCAGTTAGGGCGGGAGGTTGGGGAAGAATTCAGATCCGACCAAAGGAACAAGGCAGGAATTCATCCTCCTGTGACTGAAGGGACGTCCACAACCCAAACAGGGCCCCACTATTCCAGCCAGGGCGGCAGAGCCTCTCCTTGTCCTCCCACCCAGGGTTGGAGATTTAAGTCTCCATACGTCTCAATTCACTTCTTAACCCCAGTGGTTCTCAACCATGGCTGCATGTTAGACTCACTCAGGGAGCTTAAAAAATTTCTGATGCTCAGGTCAAAAACCAGACCAATTAACTCAGAACCTTTGAGGCCTTTACTCTTTGACCAGGTAGATTTATGATTTACAGGCTCAGATGGAGCCATACGCTCCGTCCAGCAGTCCTTCAGTACTCTGGGGTCCACAGCCCCAACAGTTTCCAGGCCCAAGAACAGTGATTGGACACCCCCACTGCTCTCTGGGCCCCCTCTGTCCTTCCTCAGTCAGTGTGGTTGAGAAAGTGCAGGGAAAGGAACACTCCTTTTCTCCCACTTCAGAGAAAGCTAGCAGCGTCCCCACCACTGCTGGCCACACACCCTGTGACCTCTGTGCTTTGCTCCGTATGCTTTTTCCTCTGTCTCATTCTCAAATGTTTAGTCTGTTTGTTGGTCTTTTCTTCTTCAGCTTATGAACATCCTTGTGTCACTACCACCTAAAAAACCCAAATCCTTATCTCCATTCTGTCTCCCCTTCAACTTAGTACCTACCTCTTAGCTTAGTGGCTTCTTCTTCTTCTTTTTTTTTTTTTTTGAGACAAGGTCTCGCTCTGTCGCCCAGGCTGGAGGGCAGTGGCGCAATCACGGTTCACTGCAGCCTCGAACTCCCAGGCTAAAGCAATCCTTCCACCTCAGCCCCTGGAGTAGCTGGGACTACAGGCGCCAGCCACCACACTGAGCTAATTTCATTTCTTTTCTTTTCTTTTCTTTTTTTTTTTTTGAGATGGAGTCTCACTCTTTCACCCAGGATGGAGTGCAGTGGTGCAATAATTTTTGTATTTTTGTATTTTTAGTAGAGATGGATTTTTACTGTGTTGGTCAGGCTGGTTTTGAACTCTTGACCTCAAGTGATCCGCCTGTCTCGGCCTCCCAAAATGCTGAGATTACAGGCATGAGCCACCGCACCCAGCCTCACTCAGCTAATTTTTGTATTTTTTGTAAGAGACAGGATTTCAGCATGTTGCCTACACTGGTCTTGAACTCCTGGGCTCCAGTGATCCTCATGCCTTGGCTTCCCAGAGTGCCGGGATTGTGGGTGTGAACCACCGCCTGGCCCTGCTAAGCTTCTTGAAGGAGTAGCCCAGAGGCAGTCTGCATATTGTCACCTCTCCTCAACCATCACAGGCGGCTTTCGCCCCAGCCCAACAAAGATACTCCCCACACTCACTAAGATCACCAATGACCTCCTTGCCACCAAATCCTTCCTTTGCTCATTTTCTTTTTCTTTCTTTCTTTCTTTCTTTTCTTTCCTTCTTTCTTTCTTTCTTTCCTTCTCTCTCCTTCTTTCTCTCCTTCTTTCTCTCTCTTTTCTTTCTTTCTTCTCTCTCTCTCTTTCTTTTTTTCTTTTGAGGGGGACAGAGTCTTGCTCTGTCGCCCACGCTGGAGTACAATGATGCAATCTCGGCTCACTGCAACCTCCACCTCCTGGGTTCAAGCAATTCTCCTGCCTCAGTCTCCCGAGTAGCTGGGATTACAGGCACACGCCACCACGCCTGGCTAATTTTTGTATTTTTAGTAGAGACGAGGTTTCACCATGTTGGCCAGGCTGGTCTCAAACTCCTGAGTGCAGGTGATCCACCCACCTTGGCCTCCCAAAATGCTGGGATTACAGGCATGAGTGAGCCCCTGCGCCCGGCGCCTGTTACAAATTAATAACACTAAAATAATAGCATTGCTTTGTGCCATTATTCCTTCATTCATTTAAAAACTTTTATTGAGAAACTACAATGTGGAGGCACTGTTTCTTAAGCTCTATGGCTATTTTTTTTTTTTTTTTCTGAGACGGAGTCTAGGTCTGTCTCCAGGCTGGAGTACAGTGGCTCGATCTCAACTCACTGCAACCTCTGCCTCCTGGGTTCAAGTGATTCTCCTGCCTCAGCCTCCCAAGTAACTGGGATTACAGGCATGTGCTGCCACACCTGTCTAATTTTTGTATTTTTAGTAGAGATGGAGTTTCACCATGTTGGCCAGGATGGTCTCGATCTCCTGACCTCGTGATCCGCCCACCTTGGCCTTTCAAAGTGCTGGGATTACAGGTGTGAGCCTCCATGCCCGGCCAGCTCTATGGCTGTTATGAACAAAAGATATGTGGACTCTGCTCTCATGAAGCTTACATTCTAGTAATAAGAAACAAAGCCAGGCACAGTGGCTCCCGCCTGTAATCCCAACACTTTGGGAGGCCAAGGTGGGAGGATCACTTGAGGTCAGGAGTTCAAGATCAGTCTGGCCAACATGGTGAAACCCCACCTCTACTAAAAATACAAAAATTAAGGCCAGGCATGGTGGCTTACGCCTGTAATCCCAGCACTATGGGAGGCTGAGGTGGGCGGATCACCTGAGGTTGGAAGTTCGAGACCAGCCTGACCAACATGGAGAAACCCCGTCTCTACTAAAAATACAAAATTAGAAGGGCGTGGTAGTGCATGCCTATAATCCCAGCTACTCGCGAGGCTGAGGCAGGAGAATTGCTTGAACCTGGGAGGCAGAGGTTGCAGTGAGCTGAGATCGCGCCACTGCACTCCAGCCTGGGCAACAAGAGCGAAACTCCATCTCAAAAACCAAAAACAAAAACAACAACAAAAATTAGCCTGGCATGGTGGCACGCCCCTGTAATCCCAGCTACTCGGGAGGCTGAGGCAGGAGAATCGTTTGAACCTGGGAGGCAGAGGTTGCAGTGAGCTGAGATCATGCCACTGCACTCCAGCCTGGGTGACAGAGTGAGAAATGAGATGTTATATTTAAAAAACTTCCACTTCTTTTACTCTTTTATTTTTTAAAATTTATTTATTTATTGTTTTCAGACAGTCTCACTCCGTCACCCAGGATGGAGTGGAGTGGTGTGATCTTGGCTCACTGCAACCTCCCCCTCCTGGGTTTAAGAGGTTCTCCTACCTCAGCTTTCCTAGCAGCTGGGATTAGAGATGCCCAGCTCCAAGCCAGGCTAATTTTTGTATTTTTAGTAGAGACAGGGTTTCACCATGTTGGCCAGGCTAGTCTCGAACTCCTGACCTTAAGTGATCCCCCCACCTCGGCCTCCCAAAGTGCTGGGATTACAGGCGTGAGTCACTGCGCCCTGCCAAAACTTCCACTTCTGATAGCAACCACAAATATGAAATATGCAGGAATAAAGTCGACCAGTAATGTGAAAGACATTATGAAAAAAAAACATTCAGAGAAATAAAGGGAATCTTTAAAAATGGAAAGAAACACTATGTATACCTAGATTGGAAAATCTAATATGAATTTTAAATTTTAATTTATTTTGGAAATACTTTGATGTAATAAAAATCAAAAGTTTAAATCAGAAAAAATAATTTTATTTTTTATTTTTAAATATTTTCTGACATATTCTGAGTCTGACTTTTGTTTGAGGAAATAATTTTAAAATGTTGAAAAATGGTATAAGACTGGTGCTACCAGTCATTACCATTTAGTACTTGGAAGTGATAACCAAACAGTGTGGAGCTGGCACAGGAAAAGACAGGTATGTCAGTAACACAGAAAGAAAAGACAGGTATGTCAGTAACACAGAAAGAAAAGACAGGTATGTCAGTAACACAGAAAGAAAAGACAGGTATGTCAGTAACACATCAATAGGAAAAAGGATAGATTACTTAGGGAATGACAAAATGTTTCATCTTGATGACAAATCTCGTAGGTTGGAGGTAGCTGCTTGCAGTTCTAATCGGGCTGTGAGGCCTAGTCTGAGTTTAGCCAGGAGTTCTGCATTTGATTAGAAATGTCTTCCGGGGGCCCGGGAAGGGGAGACAGATTCACTCGGACCACATATTTTCCCTTCTTGGATTATTCAATAAATATCATTGGACAACGAGCCTGCAATTTGGGGAAAAAAAATTACTAGCTCTTCCCATCATATATAATATATACCCAAGTAAATGTCAGATGGTTTAGATTTAAATAGTATAACAAAATGGAAATATAAAATACTAGGAGGAAAAAAGAGGAAATTTTGAAAAACAATTATTGAAGTTAGGGAAGGACTTTCCAAACCTGACTTTAAAGACAGAAACCATAAAGTTAAAGATTGATAGATTTAGCTACTTAATCATTAGACACTTCTGCAGAGCAGAAGTTAAAAGAAAACTGACACATTAAAAAAATGCATTATATGTCGAAGCGTTAATATTTTACTGTATAACGAGATCCTCAATCATTAAGAAAAATACGAACACTCCAATAGAAAAAGGTGAAAAAGATACGAATAGGCAATTCACTAAAGGAGAAATGCAAACAGCTGAGAGATACATAACATTTCTTTTTACTCACCAGTAATCCAAGAAATGAAAATTAAAACAATGCTATACCATTTTTTTCACCTGCCAAACTGGCAGAGAAAAATCTCCAGTGTGCTTAAGGATGGGGGAAACAACACTGAAATGGAGAAAATCCCAGCTAACTGGGCCTAGTCACTTTGGACACAAATTCTACTTTATAATGGTTTCCTATTTCAGAAAGCAGTCAAGCAGTAGAGGCATTTACTGGAGAGATCTGCAAAAGTTGAGAAAGGAGAAGACCTCTATGGCTAAACTATAATTCTGTAAATTTGTGGTTAGCAAGAATATCCTGTCAGACTGTTAAATTCTAGTTTCCTTTTCTTATTCTAAAACATCTTTTCTGAAGAAATGGGTCATGAGGGCTTAGCCTATTTTCCCCTAACAAAGCTTTAACATCTTGGATACCCAAATCCCTTGTTAAAATTTTGGGTATAAACTGGCCCCACCTTAGGGTACAGTGAGACAGCCCCCTACTGGGGATCACAGCATTGGCTTGAGGCCAAGAAGCCCACCCAGATGGGCCACTTCCTCCCCTGTGAGGAACAGGGGACTCACAGGTCTCCAGTCTTCTAATCCTGATCTGACACAGGTACAATAAACTCCATGTTTGTCACCTTGTTCTCAGTGGTGAGCTACAAAAATTAGCCGGACGTGGTGGCCGGCGCCTGTCCCAGCTACTGGGGAGGCTGACGCAGGAGAATCGTTTGAACCTGGGAGGCGGAGGTTGAAGTGAGCCAAGATCGCGCCACTGCACTCCAGCCTGGGATAGAGCCAGAAAAAAAAACAACAACAGTGCTCTTATAATAAATAAGACAAAATGCCCATCCCAGAAAGAAAACATGCAAAGGATATAAAGAGGTGGTTTATAAAAGAAAAAATATAAATTCAAAAATCATGAACCTTTCAGAATGCAAATTAAAATCACGAAGAGATCCTGCTTTTTGTTTAACAAATCAGCAAAGGCTAAAAAAAAAAGCAAGATGATGCCCAATGTTGGTGAAGGTACAGAAAAAGGGGCACAGTGATGACAGTACACTTTGGTAAAATCTTTCTGTAGAGTAGCATTTCTCAAAGAGTGGTGGGGGGCCCTAGGGCGCCCTCAGATCCTTTCAGGGGTCTGAGAGGTCAAAACTATTTTCTTTTTTTTAATAGGAAAATGTTTTTTAATTGGAACATTTTGGAAATAAGATAATGCAATGTCTTCTATAGTTACTCATTTACACTGAAACGTGATGGGTAACTTTTAGGGCGTTTGCTTCCAGTCACTTTCCCCTGACTCCTTGATGTGATAATTCCTTCCATAAGATACAACCATTCTCCCAAGAGACGCGATGACGAGTATGTGCGTGACTCTGGAGGGAAAGGGTCTACATCTGTCTCTGCTTGTGCCTCGGATGGGTTTTACAGTAGACGTACCACTGACCCCGCCTCTTCACCAGGTAACAGTCCTTGCAGCGCTTCTTAAGGACAGTCTTGTTTTTGAACCCCAGCGCGGGCAGCAGGTGGGGCAGGAGGCCGGGTGAGAGAAGTGAGCGCACTTCTGCCCCGGGTTCCACAGCCACGGGGGCTGCACCTCGAAGGGATCCAAATAGAAATGTGGAGAGGGCTCGAGGCTTCACTGTGTGACGACTGAGATATAGCATAGGGTTCACCATTTTCCTTATAAAAAGAGTTGCCATGTTGTGGTGAATCCGGCCGCGCGCTCTCACCCCCGCGCCGGTCCCTGCGTCGGCCCCTGCCAGGAAGAAAGATGGCGGCGGAACTATTTTTATAATAATACTAAGATGTGGCTGGGTGTGGTGGCTCACGCCTGTAATCCTAGCACTTTGGGAGGTTGAGGTGGGTGGATCACCTGAGGTCAGGAGTTTGAGACCAGCCTGGCCAACCTGGTGAAACCCTGTCTTTACTAAAAATACCAAAAAAAAAAAAAAAAAAAAAAAAAAATTAACTGGGTGCGGTGGTGCGCGCCTGTAGTCCCAGCTATTCAGGAGGCTGAGGTAGAATCGCTTGAACCTAGGAGGCAGAGGTTGCAGTGAGCCGAGATCGCGCCACAGCACTCCAGCCTAGGAGGCAGAGCAAGACTCCATCTCAAAAAAACAAAACAAAACAAAATTTGTTTGCCTTTTTCACTCTCGTTTGCTCACTGGCACAGAATGTAATTTTCCAGAGGTTAGATGATTGTGATATCACGTGATTAAGGCAGAAACAAACAGGAGACAGTGTATTCTATTGTCAGACATTAAGGAGATTTCCAAAAATGTAAATCTTAGTGTGCAAAATAGTTTCTCACACTAAGTTTTTTTTGCTTTGGAAATTTTTTTGTTTGTTTTTGTTTTTAGATGGAGTTTACTCTCGTTGCCCTGGTTGGAGTGCAATGGCGCCATCTCGGCTCACTGCAACCTCCGCCTACCGAGTTCAAGCAATTCTCCTGCCTCAGCCTCCCGAGCAGCTGGGATTACAGGCATGCGTCACCACGCCCGTCTAATTTTGTAATTTTAGTAGAGACGAGGTTTCTCCATGTTGGTCAGGCTGGTCTTGAACTCCCGACCTCAGGTGATCCGCCTGCCTCGGCCGCCCAAAGTGCTGGGATTACAGGCGTGAGCCACCGCGCCCGGCTGGAAAATAGTTATTTTTAATAAAAAATATCAACTTATGTTAGCATTTAATGGGTTTATTATAGTTATTTGTAAAATAATTAATATGTAAACATTTAAAATGTTTATATGCTTTATTTTGTGAGATGGTTAACCACATAACAAAAATGCTTTTTAGGAATCTCAATTTTTTTTTTTTGCAACAGGGTCTCACTCTGTTGCCCAGGCTGGAGTGCAGTGGTGCGATCATGGCTCACTGCGGCCTCATGGGCTCAAGTTATCCTCCCACCTCAGCCTCCCGAGTGGCTGTGACCACAGGCACTAGGCACTATACCTGGCTAACTTTCGTATTTTTTGTAGAGAAGAGGCTTTGCCATGTTGCCCAGGCCAGGATTGTCTATGAGCTTCCGGGCTCAAGTGATCCTTCCTCCATGACCTCCCAAAGTGCTGGGATTATAGGCGTGAGCCACCACATCGGCCAAACTGAGTAATTTTTAAGAGTGTAAAGGGATAAGATCAAAAAGTTTGAGAACTGCTGTTCTATAGCAAAGTGATAATGTGCATGAAAAGCCTTGGAAATGGAGCTGCCCTTAAATCAAGGCTTTCCTCTTTTGAATAATTTGATTTTGTTCTTTTGTTTTTGAGATGGAGTCTCGCTCTGTCCCCCAGGCTGATGTGCAATGGTGCGATCTCGGCTCACTGCAACCTCTGCCTTCCGGGTTCAAGCGATTCTCCCACCTCAGCCTCCCCGATAGCTGGGACTACAGGCACCCGCCACCGCGCCCAGCTACTCTTCTGTATTTTTAGGAGAGACGGGGTTTCACCATGTTGGCCAGGCTGGTCTGGAACTTCTGACCTCAAGTGATCCGCCCGTCTCGGCCTCCCAAAATGCTGGGATTACTTACAGGCGTGAGCCACCGCGCCCGGCCTCCGTTGTCTGTTCTGGAGTTCCAGACCAGCCTGGCCAACATGAAGAAACCTCATTTCTCCTAAAAATACAAAAATTACCTGAGCGCTGTGGCGGGTGCCTGTAGCCCCAGCTACCGGAGAGGCTGAGGCATAAGAATCACTTGAACTGAGCTGATATCGTGCCACTGCACTCCAGCCTGGGCGACAGAGCGAAACTCTGTCTCAAAAAAAAAAAAAAAGAAAAGAAAAAGAAAGAAAGACAGCAAAATGTACAAACAAATATGCATTAAATAGGAGAGAGGTTAAAAAAATAACATATGGCTAAAAAAAAAACGCACAAAATTGTAGTATTTATTGTAGTGAAAATGTTCACAATTTATTAAGGTAAAAAATAGGAAAAAAATATAAAATAATGAAAGAATAGTCTTTTCAACAAACAATGTTGGAACAACTGGATATCCATATGCAACAGAACAAATCTGGAATCTTACACCATATACAAAAATTAACATAAAATGAGTCAAAGACCTAAATCCGAGGTCATGAAGATTTATATTTTTGTTTTCTTCTAAGATTTTTATAGTTCTAGTTCTTACACTATAAAACTCATAGAAGAAAACATGAGTATAAATCTTCGTGACCTTAGATTAGGGAATGGTTTCTTACATATGACAATAAAAGCACAAGCAACCACAACCAAAAAAACAGAAAGAAAAAATTGGTCTTCATCAAAATTAAAAACTTTTGTGCTTCAAAGGACATTATTAAGAAAGTTATGACAACTCACAGAACGGGAGAAAATATTTACAAATTATATATCTAATAAGGTTCTAGTATATAGAATATATATAGAACTCTTACAACGCAATAATAAAAAGACAACTTAATTTTTTAAATGGGCAAAGGATTTTATTTTATTTTGTTGTTTTGAGATGGATTCTCGCTCTGTCACCCAGGCTGGAATTGTGATAGCGTGATCTCGGCTCACTGAAACCTCCACTTCCCGGGTTCAAGCAATTCTCCTGCCTCAGCCTCCCGAGTAGCTGGGACCACAGGCGCACACCATGGCACCTGGCTAAATTTTTTTAATTTTTAATTTTTTAATTTTTAATAGAGATGGGTTTTCACTATGTTGCCCAGGTTGGGGAGGATTTTAATAAATGTTTCTCCAAAGAAGATATATAAACAGCCAATAAGCAAATGGAAAGATACTCAATTAGGGAAATGCAGGTCAAAACCACAATGAGGTGTCACTTTACACCCACTAGGATGGCTACAGTAAAAAAAAGAAAAAAAAAAAAGTGGCCAGGTGCAGTGGCTCAAGCTTGTAATCCCAGCACTTTGGGAGACTAAGGCAGGCAGGCAGATAGTTTGAGACCAGCCTGGGCAATGTGGCAAAACCTTATCTTTACTAAAAATACAAAAAATTAGCCAGGTGTGGTGCCGCGTGCCTGTAGTCTCAGCTACTTGGGAGGCTGAGGTGGGAGGATCACCTGAGCTCGGGAAGTTGAGGCTGCAGTGAGCAGAGGTCGCACCACTGCACTCCAGCCTGAGCAACAGGAGTGAGACCCTATCCCAAAAAAAGAAAAAAAAGTGTTGGCAAGAATGTAGAAATATTAGAACCCTCATATACTGCTGGTGGGAATGTAAAATGATAGAGCCACTGTGAAAAAAATTTGGCAGTCCTCAAAAAGTTAAACATAGAGTTACCACATAACCCAGTAATTCCACTGATAGGTATATACTCCAAAGAAATGAAAACATATGTCCATACAAAACTTGTACACAAATGTTCAATGTTCACCATAGCATTATTCATAATAGTCAGGAAGTGGAAACAATACAAATGTCCAGCAACTAATGAATGGCTAAATAAAATGTCATATGGTCATGTGATACCATATATTGTATGACCATATCACACTTGAATATGAATATATTCAACCATTAAAAGAAAAGAAGGCTGGGTGCGGTGGCTCACGCCTGTAATCCCAGCACTTTGGGAGGCCGAGGCGGGCGGATCACGAGGTCAGGAGATCGAGACGATCCTGGTTAACACGGTGAAACCCCATCTCTACTAAAAAAATAAATAAATACAAAACATTAGGCCAGCCATGGTGGCTGGCACCTGTAGTCCCAGCTACTCAGGAGGCTGAGGCAGGAGAATGGTGTGAACCTGGGAGGCAGAGGTTGCAGTGAGCTGAGATCGTGCCACTGCACTCCAGCCTTGGTGACAGAGCGAGACTCCGTCTCAAAAAAAAAAAAGAAGAAAATAGGTACTGATACATGCTACAACATGGACAAACCTTGAAAACTTATATTAAATGAAAGCAGTCAGATGCAAAAGGCCACATATTATATAATTCTATTTATATGAAATGTGCAGAATAAACAAATCCATAGAGCCAGAAAGTAGATTAGTGCTTGCCAGGGACTCGGGGGTGGGGACTGGAGGTGAGGGAGGATGGAAATGACTGGTAATAGGTGCAAAGGTTACTTTTTGGGGTGATGAAAATGACTGGCATGAGAGAGTGATGATGATTACACAATCTTGTGAATATACTAAAAACCATTAAATTGTACACTTTAAAATGGTGAATTTGGCTGGGCGCAGTGGCTCACGCCTGTAACCCCAGCACTTTGGGAGGTCGAGGTGGGCAGATCACTTGAGGTCAGGAGTTTGAGACCAGCCTGACCAACATGGTGAAACCCTATCTCTTCTAAAAATACAAAAATTAGCCAGGCGGTGTGGTGGGCACCTGTAATCCCAGCTACTCAGGAGGCTGAGGCAGGAGAATCACCTGAACCCAGGAGATGGAGATTGGAGTGAGCCGAGATGGCACCACTACACTCCAGCCTGGGTGATGGAGCGAGACTCTGTCTTAAAAAAAAAGGGGGATATTTATATACACACACACACACTTTCTCTCTCTCTCTATACATATATGCGCATATATATATATATATATACTGCATCTCTATATATTGAAAAGTATTATATTTATATATGCATACAACAAAGAATAGAGGATGTTAATAGCAATAAGGATTTTTATATGTGTTAGATATTCATGTATGCTCTATAAAGACATATATTGCTTTCTTTTTTTTTTTTTTTTTTTTGAGACAGGGTCTCTGTCACCCAGGCTGGAGTGCAGTGACATGGTCACGGATCACTACAGCCTGGACCTCCGGGACTCAGGTGATCCTCCCACCTCAGCCTTCCAAGTAGCTGGGACCATAGGTGTGCACTACCAAGACCAGCTATTTTTTTTTTTTTTTTTTTGTATTTTTTGTAGAGACAGCGTTTTGCCATGTTGCCCAGGCTAGTCTCAAACTCATGGGCTCAAGCAATCTTCCCGAGCCTTGGCTTCCCAAAGTGCTGGAATTACAGGCATGAACCACCATTTCTGGCCTTTAAATTTTTATTTATTTATTTATTTATTTATGTATTTATTTATTTATTTATTTATTGAGGCGGAGTCTCGCTTCATCGCCCAGGCTGGAGTGCCGTGGCGCGATGCAAGCTCCGCCTCCCGGGTTCAGGCCATTCTCCTGCCTCAGCCTCCGGAGTAGCTGGGACTACAGGCGCCCGTCCCCACCCCCGGCTAATTTTTTGTACTTTTTTTTTTTTTTTTTTGAGACGGAGTCTCGCTCTGTAGCCCAGGCTGGAGTGCAGTGCCGCAATCTTGGCTCACTGCAAGCTCCGCCTCACGGGTTCACGCCATTCTCCTGCCTCAGCCTCCCGAGTAGCTGGGACTACAGGCACCAGCCACCACGCCCGGCTAATTTTTTGTATTTTTAGTAGAGACAGGGTTTCACCGTATTAGCCAGGATGGTCTTGATTTCCTGACCACGTGATCCGCCAGCCTCGGCCTCCCAAAGTGCTGAGATTACAGGCATGAGCCACCATGCCTGGTCCCTATTTTTTTTAATATAATAGAGATGAGGTCTCACTATGTTGCCCAGACTGGTCTCGAACTCGTGGCCTCAACTGATCATCTCGCCTTGGCCTCCCAAAGTGCTGGGATTACAGGCATAAACCACCGTTCCTGGCCTTTACATTTTTATTTTTTTTAAACATAATAGAGACAAGGTTTCACTATGTTGCCCAGACTGGTCTCGAACTCCTGGCCTCAACTGATCCTCCTGCCTTGGCCTTCCAAAGTGTTGGGAGTATAGGTGTGAGCCACCGTGCCAGGCTTCATGTATGTTTTCTTGACTGAAAAATTGGGCAGGCTGGGCACGCCGGCTTACACCTGTAATCCTAGCACTTTGGGAGGCTGAGGCAGGTGGATCGCTTGGAGGAGTTCGAGACCACCCTGGGCAACACGGTAAAACCCTGTCTCTACTAAAAATACAAAAAAATAGCCAGTGTGGTGCCTTATGACTGTAGTCCCAACTACTTGGGAGGCTGAGGTGGGAGGATTGCTTAAACCTAGGAGGCGGAGGTTACAGTGAGCCTAGATCACACCACTGCACTCCAGCCTGGGCGATACGGTGACACCCTGCCTCAAAATAAATAAATAAATAAATAAAATTATAAATAAATAAATAAATAAATAAAATAAAAAATAAAAAAATAAAAAAGAACAATTGAGCAATAAAAGTCATTACAGACAAGATGAAAAATGTGCAGACCGTCCATTTAGAGTCACCTTACTGTGACTGAACTGCTCAGGGAATAACCAGTTTGGCATCTTGCACCATTCGAGTGGCTAGCTGACATGATATGAGTTTGCTGACGCTGAAGGACGGTGGTCTCAGCTCCCTACCAAGGCTCACTCAGCCCAGTGGCAGATGTTTGGAGGCACAATCCACCCCTGGGAGGAGAAGGAGGGCAGCACAGTTACTATCTCCCTACTTCAGTGGACACAAGGTATAGGGGAAAATCAGGGCAGCCAAGCCCTCTCCCAAAGCCCTTGCTTTGAGGGCAGGAGGGCAGGGGAAAGGAGGGGCGAGGGCTTGGGCCTGCTTTTAGGGATTAACTTCTCCTCGTGTGTAACCTTCTCTGGAGTGTCTGTCTTCTTCCCCTCTACTGTCCTTACATCTTCCCCTCAAAGTCTAAAGTGATAGCCTATAATCCCAGCTACTTGGGAGGCTGAAGCAGGAGGATTGGTTGAGCCCAGGAGTTTGAGGCTGCAGTGGGCTGTGATCATACCATTGTCCTCCAGCCCAGGCCACAGAGTGAATGACCCCGTCTTAAAAATAAATAAATAAAATAAATAAGTAAGAAAAAGTCTAAAGCGACAGGCACAATAATAGATCAGGGATGTTCCGAGCAAATCTCACTGCAGTTCTTCCTTTCTACTTCCTCCTCAATCAAGTGCCTATGAATAGTTACCCAAAATGCCAAGCTGGGGCTTGTTGCTGCCAGTTTTTTGTCAACTTCCGCTTTTCTCTGTTAGAGTATTTACAGAAGGCCTGTGTGTCAGAAGTCAGCCCTGTGGCAGGAGGCAGAAGCTGGGATGGGTGCCCACAAAGGAAGCCTTATTTTCCAAGGCAGCCAGAGAATCATGGGTCTGAACTTATCCCGTCTTCTCAGATGGAGGACTAAGACCCAGAAAGAGGGAGGAATTTGTCCAAGCTCTCCCAGTGAGCTGATGCCAGAGCCAGGACTAGAACTCAGGTCTCCCAATTCTCAGCACAGTGTGATTTTCCTTGCAGAATGTTGATGCTCAAAGAACAGGAACCCCAGAACCCCAGGGAGGTAAGGAAGAAGAGCACAGCCAGGATCAGAAGAGTGAAGAAACAATGATGTCCCACAGGCAAGGATGCCCACACAGAATGACTTTGGGGGGACTGCCAGTTATTTTGTATGGAAGGCTGAAGGTAGTGGCAGGAGACTTGTTAGGCCTTGCACTGGTGAGGCTGGTGGGGAACAGATGTTCAAGGGCCTGGAAAACTGTGCTGAACAGTTTGGGTTTTCTTTCATAGACCATGGGGGTGAGGTGGGACTTGAAGGCCTTTGATCGGGGGACACATGTGTTTAGATCTGAATTTTAGGAAGGCCCCTCAGGTGGCCAGGCTAGGTGAGGTGAGCAGAGGACTTGGTAGTGGAAGGCTTCTCTTGCTGTGACTGCCTATTTGTATGTCTGACTGGGCGCTGTCTCACTGGCAGGAGGTGGCAGGCCCAGGGATGCTGGACAGTATGTGGTTCACCACTTGGGGTAGCCAAGAGTAGCAAGGGGTGAGGTGGGTTCAACTCACAAACCTGAAGCTCTTGGTAAATACTGCTTACTTTTCAGGTCACAGGGAGTAAGTAGCTGCTCTAGGGGTGAACCCAAGAGTGGTGATTCACTGTCCAAACTACTGGCTGGAGGAGAGCTCGTGGTGGTCATGTACGTGTGTGCATGTGTGTGTGTCTATATTTGAGTGGGGCAAGGGAGGGGATTGGGGACCGGGGGAGACCAGCCTTCTAAACACATGATACAAATACTATGGCTATGACACAACAGGTGTTTGTCAACCTGTTCCAGCTCTTCCCAACTATGGCAGTGGCTATGGCCTAACAGCTGGAGGCAGGAACAGGGCAGTGACAAGAATCAGCAACTGCATAGGGGCCTCATCAATTTCCAGTCCTCCATCCAGAAGAGGACAGGACATGCTCAAGCTGCCCCAAAGAGAAAGGACAAAGGAGAGGAATTCTGAGATGCAAGTCCCTATGGAAGAGGGGACAGAGTTAAATTCCAGCAGTCCAACAGACTATGGCTAGAGCCATAGTCTTCTCTTACCTGTATCTTTAACGTTCAGCTTACTATTGGTTCCTTATTATCTCCTGTTAGTGAGGTTCCTTTCAAAAACAATAAAACAAAACAATATTTTCCCGCTCAACTGCTCAACTTTTTGACTTAATTTTTTTTTTTTTTTTTTGAGACGGAGTCTCGCTCTTTTGCCCAGGCCGGACTGCAGTGGCGCTATCTCGGCTCACTGCAAGCTCCGCCTCCCGGGTTCACGCCCTTCTCCTGCCTCAGCCTCCCAAGTAGCTGGGACTACAGGGGCCCGCCACAGCGCCCAGCTAATTTTTTGTATTTTTAGTAGAGACGGGGTCTCACCGTGTTAGCCAGGATGGTCTACGATCTCCTGACCTCATGATCCGCCTGCCTCCGCCTTCCAAAGTGCTGGGATTACAGGCGTGAGCCACAGCGCCCGGCCAACTTTTTGACTTATTTCTTTTCCTCCTTTGCACCATCAAGTATTTGAGCAGTGGACACCCTTGCCTCCATTTCCTCACCCACTATGCCCTCCTCTCCTCCTGCAAACTGGTTTCCCCGCATCACTCTTCTGAAATTCTGCTCCCCAAACATACTCATTCCAGTGAAATTGTCTTCCCCAGAATTCCTTTGGTGTCTGAAAGGACTGGGGAGAAAGGATAAAAAAACTATTAAGATTGGCTGGGCGTGGTGGTTCACGTCTGTAATCCCAGCACTTTGGGAGGCCGAGACAGGTGGATCACCTGAGGTCAGAAGTTTGAGACCAGCCTGGCCAACGTGGTGAAACCCCATCTCTACTAAAAATACAAAAAATTAGCCAGGCGTGGTGGTGCGCACCTGTAATCACAGCTACTCAAGAGGCTGAGGCAGGAGAATCGCTTGAACCCAGGAGGCAGAGGTTGCAGTGAGCTATCATGCCACTGCACTACAGGCTGGGAGACAGAGCGAGACTCAGTCTCAACAACAACAACAACAACAACAACAACAACAACAACAACAACAACAAAAACTATTAAGATTTAGATTTTGGCCAGGGGCGGTGGCTCACATGTGTAATTCCAGCACTTTGGGAGGCTAAGAAGGGCGGATTGCTTGAGCCCAGGAGTTTGAGACCAGCCTGGGCAAATAGTGAGGCCCTGTTTCTACAAAAAAATACAAAAATTAGCCGGGCGTGTTGGCACATGCCTGTAGTCCCAGCTACCCAGGAGGCTGAGGTGGGAGGATCAGCTGAGTCGGGGAGGTTGAGGTTGCAGTGAGCCGTGACTGTGCCACTGCACTCCAACATGGATGACAGAGTTAGACCTTGTCTCAAAATAAATTAAATAATTTAGGCCGGGTGTGGTGGCTCACACCTCTAATCCCAGCACTTTGGGAGGCCAAGGTGGGTTGATCACCTGAGGTTGGGAGTTCAAGACCAGCCTGGCCAACATGGTGAAACCGTGTCTCTACTAAAAATACAAAAATTAGCTGGGTGTAATGGTGGGCACCTGTAATCTCAGCTACTTGGGAGGCTGAGGCAGGAGAATTGTTCGAAGCCAGGAGGCAGAGGTTGCAGTGAGCCAAGACTATGCCATTGCACTCCAGTCTGGGCAATAGAGACTTTGTCTCAAAAATAAATAAGTAAATAAATAGTTTAGATTTCAATTAAAAAAATTGTCTTTGATTCAGATTTCATTTGTTTTTAAACTGGTAATATTTAACTTTTGTGTTTATAATGTATATAATATTTAGGATTCTGCTTATATATAGCTTATAAACAAGCATAAGGATTAGCATACATATATAATTTATAAATAAACAAGTTATAAAGACATATGCTAAAGACTTGCTATGGAAGGCCTATACTTTAAGAAAATGTTTGGAGACCACCGATTTTCAGTATGACGCTCAAAGCCTTTGTTACGGCATTCAATGCTGGTGATAATTTAGCCTTAAGTAATTTTACGGCTTCCTTCACCTCCTCTTCCTCCCTTTACCACAGATCATACTCTTAACTATAATCAGCTACTAGACATCTTCCAAGCGCACCACAACAGCACGATGTAGTTCAGAGTACTTTGCCCACAGTAGCTGCTCAATCAAATCTGTTAAATAACCTCCTTACAGCATTATTGTCACTCCGTCAGCCCTGGACTGTTCCTCCTTGACTTCTCTCAAGGGCACTCTCCTGATTTCTCTCCTGCTGCTTCAACTATTCCTTCTGTCCTCACTGGCTGCCTCTTCCATATACACTTTACAAATATTTACTGAGTCCCTGCTATGTGTCAGGTATGGTGACAGGTACTAGGGTACCCAGTGAATAAGAAAACTAGGTCCTTCAACCCAACGAAATACCCCAAAACTCCATCTCTAGTCCCTTCCCCTCATTTACCTCTGTTCCTATGCAGCTTTGACTTCACCTCAGTCTTATTTCTAGCTACTTGTTGACTATTTCTGTCTGCATATACTTCTATCACCGTGCCTGAATTCATTGCTCCCCCTTTTTACATCTTCCTCTGGCCTCCACACCCAGTTTCAATATCTCTGCCATTGCCTAGTTCCTTTCCTTGCATTCCTATTGATACCACTTGCCAGCCTATATTAGAACCTGCTTCTTCCTTGAGGTAGTTTGCCAACTGCTATTCTTGCTTTTCATCTTTCCAAGTAGCAATTCGTCCTATGCCTTGCTGCCTAAATCATTATTTTACAAATTATTGCCAGCTTTGCCCAGTATAAGATGCAGTGGGGAGGAGGTTCAGGAAAGTCTGAGGCCTACTTTTCTTTCTTTTTTCTTTTTTGAGACAGGGTCTTGCTCTGTCGCTCAGGCTGAGTGCATTGGTATGATCACAGGCCACTGCAGCCTCGACCTCCCAGGTGCAGGGCAATCCTCCCACTTTAGCCTCCCAAGTAGCTGGAACTACAGGTGCACACCACCACACTTGTCTAATTTTTTTTTCTTTTTTTTTTTTTTTTGTAGAGACGAGGTTTCACCATGTTGCCCAGGTTGGTCTCAAACTCCTGAGCTCAAGTGATCTGCCCACCTCGGCCTCCCAGTGTTGGTATTACAGGCATGAGCCACTGCACCTGGCCTAATTTTTGGTATTAAGACCTGCTTTTCATAGGGCATTCAAACTGCTTCACCCAGCATTTCAGGGATTCTTCAAAGACTATTTGGCTTGGTGTTTGAGGGTTCAAGCTTATATCCCCTCTTGCCTTGATTTGGATTTGTGCTTATTGTTCCCAGAAGGCATGGTACCCACTTCTGGGTCTTCACTAGGTCCCCCTCCCTCCCCACCTGTCTTGGCCTCTCAGTCCAACTCATTTAATACACATTGCTTTGTTTCCTACCTTTTAATCATCTGTCTTCTCTGCCCAGATTTTGTGGCCAACCCTCAGCCCCCAGAAATGGGCCTTTTGGCTTTTTATAATCGAGTACACTGAAATTTACTGTGTTCTAAGCACTGTTCTGTTTTATATACATGCTTTCATTTTATTTTCACAAGCCCAGAAGGTGTTAATTTTAACATCTTCATTTATAGAGATTAATTTGTCCAAAGCCATGAATAGGAGGCAGAACTCAAATTTGAAAGCAAGTCTAACTCCAGAATTTGGGCTCCTTTCAGTGACTGCTTGCCTAACCCTGCGTGACCACATAATAAGCCTCAACGAATATTTACTGTGGATAATACTCCCCTCCCACAGGAACTTCTCTTTGCCATGAGTGATCTCCCATAGTGCCTGGGGTTTGAACTACCCACTTTGGCACCTACTGGTCTATTGTCTGATACTATTGTTTCTTCTTTCCCTCATCTCAGGCTCTATTTTCTCATACTATTGTTTCTAATGTTGCCTTTGCCTAGCAGTTTTCCTTCTCTCATCAGGTCAGGGATAGTCCTATTGGCTGACGTGGGCGTGAGGGTGCTACGGCCTTCACAGCGGGATCTTCCTCCTCCACTGAAGACAATCAGTGGCATTCAAATCTAAGACTCCTTTGGGGTGTTTGTTAAAAATACAGCTGATTAGTTTTGGGGTGGGACAGAGGAATCTGCATCTTTAACACTCAGATCATTCTTAGGTTATAGTCAGTGCATCAGTCTACATTCCCGCCTTGTGAAGACTGACCCATTTAGGCAGGATTATTTCCTGGTATAGGGATTCTCTAAACATTGCACACAGCTGAAGAATTGGAAACTGGGCCTCTTTTGTTTCTGGATACACCACTTGGCAGGTGTAATAACATCCTCTGACAGGCTGCTTGCCACAGGTGCATGCTTGACACGTGCGTCTCGTTGGTACCGTCCCCTCCCCCCTTCCCACCCCTGCTGCCCAACCAAGACCCCTCTAGTCCCACCACCACCCGGCAGCTGTTGCCCTCCTCCAAGCCCCCAATCCTCCCCGGCCCACTGCCCTCCCTTCCTTTCCTTTCCCTGCCCCCACACCCCTTCCCCAGGCTCCTCCCACCCCAGAATATTTTTTTGTTCCTAAGTTTATCCTGTGAGGTGGGGGTGGGGGAACTGGTTAGATGGAGAGGACGCTCTGCCATTTAGAGGTCCTACTGAGTGGGCACACCTTTTCCCCTCGAGAAAACCTTGTTTCTACCAGAGAAATGGGCAGAGGCCTCTCTCTGGAACTTGAACCTCTCTGTCCCTGGAAACATCCCAAAGCAGGCCCAGCCTGCCATGTTCCTTTGTTGGGGCACAGAGGGAATGGAATCTTACCGATAAGGTGAGAAGAGCTTGAGAGAATACCAAGGACGGGCCCACCCTTCTCCCTCCTCCCTCCAAACACCTCAGGCTAAAAGGGGAGGGAAAAAAAAGGCACCAACAAAGAGTTTAAGACAGCAATTCCCAGCTTTTTCAAATATGAAGCATTTTTTAACCAATCCGTTTTTTAATTCTTAAATTCTTGACATTACAGAACTAAACTGAAATTTATTAACATTCCACTCTTACATTTCTTATCGACAAACAGAAATAAAATTCATGAGCCAAAAAACCCAAAACAAAACTAAAAACAGGGAAAAGCTTATAAAACTAAATATGGATCCCAGCATTAACAGCTGAACAGAGAATGTGATTTTTAAATTCTTAGCGGATGATAAAGTTGTGTAGAAACTGAACACTTACAAATTATTTAAAACCTGGAATCACTGACCAGAAATTACACAGTTGGATCATGGGAGAACAGCAGAAAGGGGTTATTGAGGGAACCTACACTGTTCTAGCTGCACCCCATGCCCTTCTCAGAGGAAAGCCTGGCATTGATTAGATACTGGGCCAGACTAATACTGGCAGCAGAGCCAGTGATAGTAACCTGCCTACCAGAGGAGCCTTCCACTGGGTTGGCAATTTTGATCTGGGCCCCGGACATCTGGCGGATCTCATTAATGTTGGCGCCTTGGCGCCCGATTATGCAGCCAATTAAGTTATTTGGAATGGTGAGTTCATGGGTGGTTTGAGTAGATGCATCCAAACTTGCCCAATAGCCTTTCACCTCTGGAGAGCTGGAGTCAATTCCGGCGAATCCGGTCCCGCCGTGCATCATGGCAAAGTGAGACTGTTGTCTTGCCACCTGGTTCAGCTTGGCCAGATCGAGCGGAGAAATGGTGTGTTGTCCTTGAATCGAGTAGGCATCTAGAGGTGGTCCCTCCAGGTCATGGGTGGCATGGGGGTAGCCCGCAGCGTCGCTGCACCGATCTTGGCCGCCCGCGCAGATGACTGGGGAGCTGGCCGGCATGGGCTGGTACGGAATGGTCATGACTCTCCCTTGCGGAGACTGGGAGAGCGTCTCCAGCATGACCAGGCAAATCTGCTTGACACACTCGGTGACAGACTGCGGCACGCCAGCGATGGTGATGGCCCGCTCGGTGGAGTTGGGCAGCATATCCCCCGCCACCTGGACCTGCGCCCCCGTACTCTCGCGGATCTCTTTGATCTTACACCCGCCTTTCCCAATCAGGGAGCCGCACTGGGTGGCCGGCACCACCAGCCTCAGGGTGACCGGGGGCCTGCTGGCCGCGGTACTGTTGGTCATGGAGCTGTTGATATCTTCCTCCAGCTTGTCGATGATCATAGCGAAAGCCTTAAAGATGGCATTGGTGGGGCCGGTCAGAGTGATGATTCTCTCCGGACAATTCCCCTCCGAGATGTTGATCCGCGCGCCACTCTCCTCGCGGATCCTCTTAACCGACTCCCCTTTCTTCCCAATGATGCTTCCTACTTCCTTTCCGTGCATAAGAAGCCGAATGGTGAGAGTCACATTTAGTCCACTTTCAGTCACACCGGCATCCATGGCGAGCGGCGGGCGGCGTTCGGGGGAGTTGGGCTCGTTACGTGGTCAAGTCTTTGGCGGCTGGCGGGGGGAGGGGAGGTGTAGGCCCAAAACTGCCGGCGCGAGGCGAGCGAGGGCCGCGGGAGCGAGCGGGAGCGGGCGGGAGGCCGCAGCGTAGTCGCAGGGGCGGGCGGCGGCGGCGGAGGGGGCGAGCGGGGCCGGGAGCGGCGGGCGGGCGGGTGGGCGAGGGCGCGGCGGTGGCGACTCCGGCGGCAGCCTCGGCGGTCTGGGCGGGGCGGGAAGCCCGCTTTCAACCCCGCGTACCCTCTGACCCCGGAAGTGCTTGCTGCGCAGGACCCCTTGAAAAAAAATGAGGACCCGTCTTTTTTAGGTCACAAGATTGCGCCAACCCTTACATGGTCCTTAAAAAAAAAACCTTCTGACACTGCAGTAGTGAAAATGAAGCGCACGATGGGCGGAAGCTGTGAGTCCGGCAAAGTTTTAAAATGATGACGTATTTTATTAACTCTAACGGCACTGGCGGGTGACTGAAAATACTAGTGCTGTGTATGCGGGATAGACATTATTTTCCTGCCCTACATGAGGGGCTCGTGCGCGGAACGACATGGGCAGCCCCGGCGGAAACTGCAGGCACAAGCCGGGACGCCGCGGGTTTAAAACATGCGCGTGAGGTGACCAGAGCGCGTGCGCGAGGGTGTGGGGGGATGGGAGGGGCAGCAGCCCTCTTCCGGGGGGGAGGGGCGGCGAGGCGAGGCCTGCGGAGCGGGTGCGCGCGGGCGGGCACGTGGGGCCCTTTCGTCCCCGGCGTCCGGGCGCCCTGCATGGATCCCCCACCCCAGCTCCTGCTCCCCGGCGGCGGCCGGTGGGCAGAAAGACCGAAACCCACTCACGGCCGCCTGCCGAATCGCGGCTCTGCTGTTTGTGGGGCGTGCTAGAAACGTGGTCCTAAAAAGAATGGCGTCCATTTACATAATGCTTTGTTTGCGTTTCGCAAGTTTCTTTCGGTTAAAGCCACAGAAACCCCACCTCCTGCCCTTGTGTCGTTTCCACCGCGGCACCCTTTTCCGACATTAGAAACAATAGTGTACGCCTGTGGAGGCCTCGTTTGTTCAGGGGCTGCCGGCCAGGGCTTCAGGACGTTTCTGCGGCTTTCCCCGCGCGGCCTGGGCTCCCGCGGCTGCTTTTCGGGCCCATGGGCGCAGCCACTGCGCCAGGCTCAAGGGGGGCGGCCCCGTCAGGGCCCGCCATCTTGGAAGGCCTTTTTTGCCGGTTCTTCCCGCTGAGGAAGTGTCGCTCAAGACGCTGGCCTATGAGTTGTGATTTCTGCCTTTTCCCCTTCCTCCTTGGGCTAAGCCAGACCAGAAAGGGCCCCGTGCGCAACGTGCTTCACAATCTCTCAGGGAAAGCGGCTAACGTGGCGCTACTCCGCCTCCCCTGTTCCTTACCCTTGGGGCGGCCGCCATGTTTCCTGAACACAAAATGGCGACACGTGGTTAGCATTCGTCGCCAACGAGAAATTGGGGTCGGCCCGAAAGCTCTAGAATGCACCCCTCTTCCTCCCCGGGGCCTTCCACCTCCGCGAGTTTTATGACTTAAAAAAGCCCACAGGCTGGTCTGAAGGTCGGAGGCCTAATTTTAACGCGTTTTCCTCCCTTTAATTTGAAACGGGAACGCGAATGACTGTAAAATGTGGGCACAATATTTAATCTCTCGCCTTTTTAAAGCTTAATAGTGGATAATAGGGGGGCAGTATCAAGGGATAATTTGGGTCCCCACAGTACCAAAGCATTTAGAAACCTCTGTTTAATTTAAGGAATGAGATAAGTTACTGCTTTTCTAGACTTCCTAGCATGGGCTGTTGTGCTGGAGAGAACGAGAGCTACGAAGAGACTACAGTGCCTCTGACTTTTTCATAGGACAGTTGGCCGGTGAATCTTATTAATAGTTTACCACAATTAAGTGTTCATTTTTAGTCTAGAAGGGACAGGCGTTTATTGTGCATTGGCCAGTGCCAGCACATCCGATGCAAGGCAGTTCACCGTATTCTATCTTTAATTTTTACCATGGTCCTCTGAGGTAGGTGTTCTTATCTCTCTCTCTCTCTCTCTCTTTTAAACAGAGGAAGACAAACATAAAGATGAAGTGCTTAATTCAAGGTCACACAATGTCGGGGATGGACCTCCAGATTTCCTTACTGGTGAGCACATTTTCCAGGTTTTTCTGTAAATCAGGGTTTTGGAATTTAAATACTATTTAAAACGTTTAGGTGAGCTTGTCATTTAAATGAGCCCTTCAGGTAATCTTTTGTTGTGCAGTCAGCCCCTTTTTGTATCAGGCAGCTCCCAGCTTTTCCTGATAAGAGCTACACCTGTAACGGGCGGGCGGGCTGAAATGCTGTCTTATGCAGTGTCTGGTGAGGATAGGGAGGGGGAAGTGATTCAGCCTGCCCAGAGGCTCAGGTGTCTGTCGGTCTGGCCCTGTCTGTGGCACATTTGAGCCTACCTGCCTCTGGGGGAGCAAATGGTTTTTTGTATGACTGACTTGCTTCCGTCAGCTCCCCATGGGCTTGACTCTTGCCTCCCCCACCCCAGCACCCCAACCAGGTAAAAATAAATTCGCTCTGGCACCAAGCCTCCATTTCTCTGCAGAGATTGACAGAGCATGACAGAGTGTTAGGTCAGTCTGTGGACTCTTCAGTTCAATGCAACACGTAGCTAGTGGGCCAAGCAACAAACTGGTGCCTGAGCAGGGCTCTGATTGTGTGTGGATATGAGAGACAAAGAGAAGGGCTTTTTGCCTTTAACTTATGTTACTATCAGATATATTTTCCAAAGTGGTTTCATGTTAGTTTATATAACTCTACGAACATTTAATAGGTACATAACAGCAACGATGACAGTTACAGCACTAGGTGCTTACTGTGTGCTGGGCATTGTTCTAAGCCTTATTTTATGTATTCAGTGTCTCACATTTTTAAAAAAACCACTAAGAAACAAATTTTACATTATGATTTAAGACATTTATGCACACATATGTAACAAAATTTTTGCAAAACAATATTTGTTACTACATGCAGTATATGTACTTGGGTAATTTCTATTCTTTATATATAAAAAGGACACATTATAAAGTGATTAAAAACCCATTAATAAGTTGTGACCGCTTATACACATTTAATCCTCACAAAACCTCCTGAAATGGGTGGTGATATTAGGTCAGTTTTACAGAGGTACAGATTAGTGAAGGAATTTATCCAAGGTCACACAGCTATTAAGTGGTAAAGCAAGGATTTGAATTTAGGCAATCTGAGTCCAGAGACTCCATTCTTAACCACTAAACTGGATGTGGTCTCTGCAGAGAGTCCTGTCTCATAGGGAGACAGAATAGATGAGGGAATTAAAAATATTACCAAGTGTTAGAAACTCAGGTGACAACAAAAGGACTAAATTGCATATAATCAAGGAATGTTCAAACAAAGCCTTCTTCTGGTCTTTTAAATCTAACTTATTTCTTTTCTCTAGAGAAAATTTTATCTGTCAGGTCTTTCTTTCCAAGACTACCTACTGAAATATTTCCATAATTTCCTGTTATGTACTCCTGGGACTTAGTGCACCTCCTCAGTGAAGCCTTCCCTTTCCCAGCTTCCCCAGCTCTTAGCCTCCCTCCTTCCCCGAGAGTCTTAACAGTTTCTCCCTTCGGTAGCCCACGTTTGGACGTTGGTTAAATTGTAATGTGTCTTGGGGTTGGTAACATGTCATACAGACACCTTGGGTGATGCTGTGGTCTGGCAAAGAGGTCATTGGACCTTGGAATCTGAGGCTCTGGGCCCTAGTCCTAGCTCTGCCCCTGTCTAGCTCTGAGACTTCTACAACTCATCTGTCAGGGTTTCAGTTCTCCCTTTTATAAAGCAAGAGATTAAATGATCTCTAAGGGTCCTTCTACTTATGTCCAGGGACTGATGATATTTGATGACTTTGGTTATTTTTCTTTGGCGGGGTGGGAGGTTTATGTAAATGTTTTCTGCACTTTTGGTAAAATCTCCACTCCCTTCCTCAGACCTGCATTATCTTGTGGATACCTGAGTGAATTCCACACCACCCATTTTATAGATGAAACCACTGAGACATGGAGCAATTGACTGAGTAGTCACTGCCCCACCCCTGCCTGGAGCCTCACACATGACTCGCCTCCTCTCAGTGACCACAGGTTGGTTGAGGGGTTTAACAAGGCTAAGAAGGTGAGTCAGGTTTAGACTTTGGAAGTTGAACCACAGGATTTATGCTACATACAGAGGAATGATTGTTGCTTCCTCTTATGTTAAGTTGGTATGTCACGTAAAACCTTTCAGAGTGCTTTCACGTTACTTGTTTAATCATCACAGACAACTTTGCCAGTAGGGTCTTATGCCCATTTTACAGAAGAGCCATTTTTGGATTAGAGGAGTGAAGTGACTTGCCCAACGTTACACAGCCTGTTAGAATTTGAGCTGAACCTCTTGACTCTTAGTTATGGATTACACCTTTCCATGGCTTCTGATGCTTTTGATATGGACTTTGATGTGTGGGATAGCTTTACCTTAAACTCAAAAGGCTTTCTAGCCAGTTACTATTTTTCTGTCCCCAAACAGCCAATGCATTTACCTTAAGTTCCTAACTCTTGTTTTAGAAAATCTCTTCCCTCTTTTCCCTGATGTTTACATTTATGGGTTTGGAAGGGGTGGGAAGGATTCCTCAATAAGACTCTTATGTTCTCTGGGGGCAGGGACCACATTTATTTTCTGTAACCTACCTGGTTCAGCAAGCATACTATGGTTGTTTAATTTTTTTATTTTTAATTTTTATTTATTTTTTGAGAGAAGGTCTTGCTCTGTCACCCATGCTGGAGTGTAGTGGCTCCATCGTAGCTCACTGCCACCTCTATCCCCCAGGCTCAAGCAATCCTCCCACCTCAGCCTCCTCAGTAACTGGGACTGCAGGTGTGTGCCCACCATGCCGGCTGATTTTTAAGTTAAATTAATTTATGTATTTATTTTTGAGACAGAGTTTCGCGCTTGTTGCCCAGGATGGAGTGCAGTGGCGCGATCCTGGCTCACCACAACCACTGCCTCCCAGGTTCAAGCGATTCTCCTGCCTCAGCCTCTTGAGTAGCTGGGATTACAGGCATGTGCCGCCACACCCGGCTGATTGTGTATTTTTAGTAGAGACGGAGTTTCTCCATGTTGGTCAGGCTGGCCTCGAACTCCTGACCTCAGGTGATCTGCCTGCCCCGGCCTCCCAAAGTTCTGGGATTATAGGTGTGAGCCACCGCACCCGGCCTAATTTTTTTGTTTTTATTTTTAGTAGAGATGAGGTCTTGCTGTGTTGCTCAGGTTGGTTTTGAATTCCTGAGCTCAAGTGATTCTTCTGCCTCAGCCTCCCAAAGTCCTGGGATTTCTGGTGTGAGTCACCATGCCTGGCCTATAGCTATTTAAAGTTGCCGTACTGGCCAAGTACTGTGGATGAGGTGGTGAGGCGGGTAGACCATCTGAGGTCAGGAGTTCGAGACCAGCCTGACCAACATGGCAAAACTGTGTCTCTACTAAAAATACACACACACACACAAATTAGCTGGGCGTGATGGTGCGTGCCTGTAATCCCAGCTACTCGGGAGGCTGAGGCATGTGAATGTGAACCTGGGAGGCAGAGGTTGCAGTGAGCTGAGATGGTGCCACTGTACTCCAGCCTGGGAGACAGAGTGAGACTCTGTCTCAAAAAATAAAAATAAAAAATTGCCCTACTAACGTAGCTTTTTTTTTTAAGTGGTTTCTTTTTCTCTCTTAAGATTTATCTTTCTATTTCTCTTTTATTTAAAGTAATAGTAGTCTGGGCACGGTGGTTCACACCTGTAATCCCAGCATTTTGGGAGGCTGAAGCAGGAGGATCACTTGAGTCCAGGTGTTGGAGACCTGTCTGGGCAACATGGTGAGACCCTGTCTCTACAAAAAAATAAAAACATTAACTGGGTGTGGTGGCGTGCACCTGTAGTCCCAGCTACTTGCAAGGCTGAGATGGGAGAATCACTTGAGCCCGGGAGTTGGAGGCTGTATTGAGCCATGATCGCGTCACTGCACTTCAGTCCGGACAACAGAGTGAGACCTTATCTAAAAAAAGAAAATAAAAAATAAAGAGTAAATTGAGAGAGCCTTTCCCCTGTTACTTTCTAGGTTACTACAGTTGGAAATATATCTGTTGAAAAATTTTTTTTTTTTTTTAAGATGGAGTCTTGCTGTGTCACCAGGATGGAGTGCAGTGGCGCAATCTCGGCTCACTGCAACCTCTGCTTCCCGGGTTCAAGTGATTCTCCTGCCTCAGCAACCCGAGTAGCTGGCACTACAGGCGTGTTCCACCATGCCTGGCTAATTTTTCAGTATTTTTAGTAGAGATGGGGTTTCACTGTGTTAGCCAGGATGGAAAATTTTTTTATTTGGAAAGGAGAGCTTTATTTCTCATAAATAAATGCCAGGCTGGGAAGTGAGCCTCCAGCCAGAAGCCAGAAACAGGCACTTCCAAGCAATGTATCTTACCCATATTGTAGATAGTAACAATTTGACCTCATATGCTGGTGACCCTGCACTGCTGTTAGGAGATCACTTCTTGGTTCTCTGAGAAATGTAAGAAATGTGTTGGGGTTGGTATAGCTGGGTGTGGTGGCTCACACCTGTAATCCCTGCACTTTGGGCGCAGAGGCAGGAGGATTGTTTGAGCCTACGAATTCAAGACAAGCCCGGGCAACATAGGGAGCCCCTGTGTCTACCAAAACAGTTAGCCCAGCTGCTGGGCAGGTTGAGGTAAGGAGTTTCAAACTAGCAGACTGCAAAGTGGAGGACAGGGAAGGGTATTCCAGGCAGAGGAAGCAAAGGCCTGAAGTCAAAGAAAGCACAGTCAATTGAGAAGTTGTAGTCATTTCAGAAAGATATGAATGAAGGATGTTTACATTATCCAGTTTTTGGTGACTATTGTTTTGCTACTTCACTAGTGTATATTATTGAGATTTGACTATACTTGCTAGAGCACAGAAAGTTAAAGGCTTTATTTTATAGCAATAATTCTCTTTTAAGGTGAAGACATCAGAAATTATACTTCCTGTCCAGAGATTCTAAGGAGAAAATGTAAATTAAACCTGACCTTTGAGTTAGCAAATGATTGATAACTCTCTGTCCTATAAAAAAAAGAAGGGGTGGCCGGGCACAGTGGCTCACGCCTGTAATCCCAGCACTTTGGGCGGCCGAGGCGGGCAGATCACCTGAGGTCAGGAGTTCGAGACCAGCCTGGCCAACGTGGTGAAACCCTGTCTCTACTAAAAATACAAAAATTAGCTGAGTGTGGTGGCACATGCCTACAATCCCAGCTACTTGGGTGGCTGAGGTAGGAGAATTGCTTGAACCTGGGAGGCGGAGGTTGCAGTGACCCAAGATGGTGCCATTGCACTTCAGCCCAGGCAACAAGAGTGAAACTGTCTCAAAAAAAAAAAAACAGAAGGGGCAGGGCACAGCCTACTCCTTTCTCTCTAACTTCTGAATCTTACCATGTTTTGCTTTGTTTTTGAGGAGGGGTATGTATGGAAATTTAGGGTCTTTGTTAAGCTGGTTAGGAGGTTTGAGTTAGAGGGGAGAGAAAGGAGTTCAAGAATGATTGCTACTTTATGCAGAACAAAAAAAATACATTTAAATAACTCATTTCTCTGATCCCACTTACTAAGCACAAGCAAGACTTAACGGATTTTGTTTCAGAGAGACAGTTACTTCAACCAGACAAAGCATTTGTTCAACATTATTCACTGTGTAATATTTGTTGTGTCCCGATTAAGAGCATTGATTTTTGCTTTTTGTATTTCTGAGACACGGATATAGCTGAATTAAATAGAACCCTTCTGTGTGTTCATTGGATAGTACTGGGATTTTTATGTGGATTAAAAGAGAAGAAAAGTGTTATGCGTGGAATAGGAAAGAACAGGTTTAGAAAATGTATGTAGAGTCAGTGGTCATTTCTCACCCATTTTTATTCTTGATATCTCAGTAGCATTTGATACTCTGTTGCACCCTAGCTTCACTTGTCTTCCAGGATGTCACTCCCTTGATGCTGTTCCTGCCTCACTGGTTCCTCCTTCTCAACTTTTTTTTTCTTATTCTTCATCTCCTCACTCTCCATTGGTGGAGTACTCAGAGCAGTCCTTGGATCCCTTCTCTGTCTACACTCTTTTCCTAGGTGCTCTCTTTCAGGACTTTATTTTTTAGAGACAGATTCTCACTCTGTTGTCCAGGCCGGACTGCAGTGGCATGATAATAGTTGACTGTAGCCTTGAATTCCTGGTCTCAAGAAATCCTCCCTCCCCTCCTCAGTGGCTAGTACTACAGGTACCCACCACCATGCCTGGCTAATTTATTATTTTTTTTTTTGTAGAGACAGGGTCTCACAATGTTGCTGAGGCTGGATTCGATCAAGACTTTAAATGCCGTTATTCCCTGACAATTCATGAGTTTACATTATTAGCTTGAATGTCTTTCCCTGAACTCAAGACTTATATCCAACTATTCACTGGATATCTCCACTTGGGTGTCTAATAGTTTGTTGAACTTATTAAAAAACTTCAGAACATCTCCTCTCAAATCTGCATCTCTGGAAGGTCCTCCCCATTTCAGAGTTGCTATTCATCTGTGTATTGAATATATAGAGAGTCTCCCTTAAATCTGTTTTTTCATTCTCTTCATCCAATCCACCAGCAGGTCCTGTCAACTTCACCTTAAGATATATCCAGTATTTAAACACTTCCCACCACCTGCCCTGCTGCTACTGGAATAGCTTTCTAAGTGGTCTTCCTCCTTTTGCTCTTTGCCCCCTCAATCTAATTTTAACAGTGACCAGAATAATCCTTTTAAGTATATATCAGATCAAGTCACTGCTTTGCTGAAAACTGTCACCTGGGTGCCCAGATTAAAATCCCACCTGGATTAAAAGGTAGTGTCCCTACCATGGTCTATAAGACCATGTAGGATTCACACCACTCTCTCCCAGCTGCTCTGACTTCATTTCCTACCACTTCCCCTTGTGCTGTAGCCACAATGGTCTCCTTTGCAGTTGCTCCAGCATGCCAGGCCTTGGGGCCTTTGTAGTTGCTTTTTCTGCCAGGAACATCATTTTTCCAGATGTCAGTATGGCCTTCTCCCTTATCTCCTTCAGGTTTCTGCTCAACTGTCACTTAATCAGTGAAATATACCTTAACTGCCTTGTTTAAAATAAAAGCTATCTCTCTGCCTTCTGCTTTCTCTGCTCCCCTTCCCTGTTTTTTCTGCATAGCACTTGCTATTTGACATATTGTTTATTCATTCATTGTTCATTATTTAGCAAGTATTTATTGAGTGCTGTCTGCTTGTGCCAGGCATTGTGTTCTAGGGACTCTCTACCATAGTTTATTACATGTCACCACCCACTAGAATGTAAATTTCATGATGGTTAGGACTTTGTTTTGCTCATTGCTATAGCCCCACTGCTAGAACAGTGCTTGTAACATAGGAGCTGAATGAATAAATTTATTTAATTATTATTTTTTTTGAAACAGAGTCTTGCTCTGTCGCCCAGGCTGGAGTGCAGTGGCGCGATCTCGGCTCAGTGCAGCTTCCGCCTCCCGGGTCTCCTGCCTCAGCCTCCTGAGTAGCTGGGATTACAGGCGTGTGCCACCACGCCTGGCTAATTTTTGTATTTTTAGTAGAGACGAGGTTTCATCATGTTGGTCAGGCTGGTCTCAAACTCCTGACCTCATGATCCACCCCACCTCCGCCTCCCAGAGTGCTGGGATTATAGGTGTGAGCCACCACGCCCGGCTAATTTATTTAATTTTTATTTTATTTTTTTTGAGACAGAGTTTCGCTCTTGTTGTCCAGGCTGGAGTGCAATGGCGTCGTCTCAGCTCATTGCAACCTCTGCCTCCCGTATTCAAGTGATTCTCCTGCCTCAGCCTCCTGTGTAGCTGGGACAGCAGGCGGACGCCACCATGCCCAGATAATATTTTGTGTTTATAGTAGAGGCGGGGTTTCACCATGTTGGCCAGGCTGGTCTCGAACTCCTGACATCGGGTGATCTGCCCACCTCGGCCTCCCAAAGTGCTGGGATTACAGGTGTGAGCCACTGTGCCTGGCTGACAGTTTCTGTTTAAAGTAAATACTATTTATCTCTGCTTTATTTTGAAAAAAAGTTTCATAATAAGTGTATGGTTTTTTTTCCTAATGAAGGTAATAAAGGTTTTATTTTTAAAAACAAAGACTTTAGAATATTGCTTTTTATAGAGTAACATGTTTCCAATAAATATTTCCCTTTTTCTCCACCCAAGTACTTATCCTGTATTACATGAAGGAAATGAAATAAAAAGACTGCAGCCCCACTCCCAGCTACTCAGTGAGGTGGTAGCTAGGTAAGAAAACAACCCTTTCCTTTTAGATGAAATTGGAACTTAGGAGGTAGTAATCTTTGGGAGAGGCTTAAAGGGATTGATAATGATGATAACAAAAATAATAGTAATGGCCAGCTTTGATGAACCGGGCACTGTGCTAAGAACTTTATGTTGGTTGCCATCTTCTGACAACCATATGATTCCGGTACTATGAGAAGTAGAGCCAGTGTAGTAGGAGTGAGGAGCATAGACTATGGGGTCGGACCTCCTGCTTTGACACCTAAGTTTTGCCGGTAACTGACTGTGTGGCCTTGAACAAGAAAACTGTGCCTCATTTGTACGGATAGTCCCTGACTTACAGTGGTTTGACTTACAATTTTCAACTTTACGATGATGCAAAAGCCATATATGTTAATTAGAAACTGCACTTGAAATTCTTAATTTTGATATTTTCCTGGCCTACTGACACGTTCTCATGATGCTGGGCTGCAGCAACAAGCTGCAGCTCCCACTCAGCCGTGCAGTCATGAAGGCAAACAACCAATACTGCACACTGTACTGTGTTTAATAAATTACATGAGATATTCAAGTTTATAATAGGCATTGTATTAGATGATTTTGCCAAGCTAGAGGCTAATGTTAAGTGTTCTGAGCATATTTAAGATAGTCTAGGCTGAGCTATGATGTTTGGTAGGCTAAGTGTATCAAATATGTTTTTGACTTACGGTATTCGAGATGTAACCTCATCATAAGTCAAGGAACATCTGTATTTGTACAATGAGGATAATGATAATACCTGCCTCCTAAGATGGTGGTGACGGTTAAATGCCATCAGCTATGTAAAGTGCTTAGCATAGTGCTTGGCACATAGAAAGTGCTTACCAAATGTCAGCTATTATCATAAAAATTAAAATAGTTGTTATTCTCATTTAAAAGATGGATAAACAAAGGCTTAGAGAAATAAGGTAAATAAAGTAATTTGTGTAAGTCACACAGCATATAAATGACGGAATTAGTTTGCACCCAGGCAGTCAAACTCCAGAGCTTTTGCTAACCATTACGCTGCATCACCTTAGTAGGTTGAGAGGAAGACTGGGCAAAAACTGCATCTTGTCAAACTTGAGTGTAGGGGTAAAGGTCAGGCTTGAGTTCTGACTTACCTAACCTTCATTGTGATCTTAAGCATCTTATCAGTGTAGCATGTGCCTCGATTATTCTCTGAATTGATTCTTCCCTAGATCCAAAGACATGAATGATAGGTTAGTTATATTCTTCTCCTGCTGAGGGATTGGGTGTTCCCTGGACCGGGAAATGGAGCTAAACAAACACCTATGTCTCAGTGCTTTTTGGACCATAAGTAAGAGCTTGTCCGGCCTCTCTTGTTATTATGCTTGTTTATTTTTTCACATGACTGGTAATGATGAGAAGCAGAACAGCATACACATTGAGAATTTTCTTTTTTTTTTTTCTTTGAGACGGAGTTTTGCTCTTGTTGCCCAGGCTGGAATGCAATGGCGTGATCTCACCTCACCGCAACCTCCGCCTCCCGGGTTCAGGCAATTCTCCTGCCTCAGCCTCCCAAGTAGTAGCTGGGATTACGGGCATGTGACACCAAGCCCGGCTAATTTTGTATTTTTAGTAGAGACAGGGTTTCTCGATGTTCCTCAGGCTGGTCTTGAACTCCCAGCCTCAGGTGATCTGCCTGCCTCAGCCTCCCTAAGTGCTGGGATTACAGGCGTGAGCCACTGTGCCTGGCCACACGTTGAGAATTTTCTACATGCTATGTACTCTACATGGATTATCTCATTTAATCCTTAAAAATAACCTCATGGTGACTCTTATCCCCGTTTTATAGAGTTGAAGAGAGGTTAGAAAACTTGCTTCAAGTTGCACAGTTAATAAGTAGTAGAGCAGGGATTTAAATAAGGCAGTCCATCCTGAGTTCATGCTTGCTTTTTTTTTTTTTTTTTTTTTGAGATGTTGTCTTGCTCTGACCATTCTGGCTAACACGGTGAAACCGTGTCTCTACTAAAAATACAAAAAAAATCAGCTGGGCATAGTGGCAGGCGCCTGTAGTCCCAGCTACTCGGGAGGCTGAGGCAGGAGAATGGCGTGAACCCGGGAGGCGGAGATTGCAGTGAGCCGAGATCGCGCCACTGCACTCCAGCCTGGGCGACAGAGCGAGACTCTGTTTCAAAAAAAAAAAAAGATGTTATCTTGCTCTGTGGCCAGGCTGGAGTGCAGGGGCGCAATCTTGGCTCACTGCAACCACCTCCATCTCCTGGGTTCAAGCGATTCTCCTGCCTCAGCCTCCCATGTAGCTGGGACTACAGGTGCATGCCAGCATGCCCAGCTAATTTTTCTATTTTTTAGTAGAGACAGGGTTTCACCATGTTGGCCAGGATGCTCGATTTCTTGACCTCGTGATCCGCCTGCCTCGGCTTCCCAAAGTGCTGGGATTATAGGCGTGAGCCACTGCGCCTGGCCCCGAGTTCATGCTCTTAACCTCTGCACTCTACTGCTTGTAGTCTTTTCTTACCTCTGTTAAGTAGGTAGTATGGACTGTGTGGTATAAGAGTAGTAGGGCCAGCTCTGTTTTTCTCATATGAAAAATGGGAAGATTTTGACCACTGGACTAGGAATAAAGAGGACTGTGATCTTGACTTGACCCTGCCACCAACTTGCCATATTTAGGACTTCACTTTTTTTAGTTTTATGGTCCTTATTCATTAAACAAAGGGGTTGGGGCCAGGCGCGGTGGCTCATGCCTGTAATCCCAGTACTTTGGGAGGTCGAGGTGGGCGGATTACGAGGTCAGGAGCCTGGCCAATATGGTGAAACTCTGTCTCTACTAAAAATACAAAAAAAGGCCAGGTGTGGTGGTGTGTGCCTGTAGTCCCAGCTACTCGGGAGGCTGAGGCAGGAGAATCGCGTGAACCCAGGAGGCAGAGGTTGCAGTGAGCCAAGATTGTGCCACTGCACTCCAGCCTGGGCGACAGAGCAAGACTCTGTCTCCAAAAAAAAAAAGCAGTTGCTCTAGATGGCCTCTGAAGTCTCTTTGAACTCTGATGTTCTGTAATTGATCATAGGAAGTAAGAGTAACACCTGCTTAACACCTGCTTAGCTCCTTGAGTTTGGGGCAATGGTATTTGTGATTTCTGTTTTTTTTTTTTTTTTTTTTTTTTTTTGAGATGAAGTTTTGCTCTGTCGCCCGGGCTGGAGTGCAGTGGCGAGATCTCGGCTCACTGCAAGCTCCGCCTCCTGGGTTCACGCCATTCTCCTGCCTCACCCTCCCGAGTAGCTGGGACTACAGGCGCCCGCCACCATGCCCGGCTAATTTTTTTGTATTTTTAGTAGAGATGGGATTTCACCGTGTTAGCCAGGATGGTCTCCATCTCCTGACCTCGTGATCTGCCCATTTCGGCCTCCCAAAGTGCTGGGATTACAGGTGTGAGTCACCGCACCTGGCTGTGAGTTCTTAGAGAGTCTGCCTTGTGCAGGGAAGATGCCAGATTCTAGGGCAAGGGATGAGCCGTCTCCCTGAAGAAGGTAGATCTAGGTTCTTTTTTGAGGCTGGTTGCCAAGGGAACCCAGCCTCTGGCCAGCAACAGCCAGCAATGCTTTGGTTGAGGCTTGGGTACACATAATGAAAACAAGCCGCACATTTAGGTTTCATTCCTTGCCTTTCTCCCATCTCCACCTTTCCTTTTTCTTTCCTTGTTAAGCTGCTAGTTTTAAACACATTCATGTGTCAGACACTGTTTTAAATACTTAACAAAGTATCGTTAAGTATCGTTAAAGATTAAATGAAGTATCATTTAATCTTCACAGTAATCTTACAAAATAGGTACTCTTATTCTAAACAGAGGCAAGTAGAGTTAAGTAATTTGTCCAGATTTACTCAAGAGAAAGTAGTATCAAACCCGTACTTTTAGCTACTAAGTTGTACTGCCTGGTTGGATATTTAAAAAAATAGAAGAGGGACTTCTTAGTTATTTATTAGTGGTTTTTGTTTGTTTTGTTTTTATTTAGAATAAAAACTCTTGGAGCTGAAAAGAGCCTTTGAAGTAATTTTATGCAGTCTCCTTGTCTCCAGCCTGCCATCCAATTACAGGAATGTTTTCTATCATTCTCCTGACAAATGATCTTTCAAGTTCTCTTTGAATACCTCCATTAATAGGGGAGCTCATCAGTTCTTAGGACATCGTTGTTGAAAAGCTCTCATTGGTAGAAATATAATCATAATTTTTTGAGATAGGGTCTTGCTCTGTCACACAGGCTGGAGTGCAGTGTTGGATTACAGCTCACTGCAGCCTCAACCTCCCTGGCACAAGCGATCCTCCCCCTCAGCTTCTCCCTTCTCCGAGTAGCTGGGACTACAGGCACATGCCACCATGCCCGGCTGTTTTTTTTTTTTTTTTTTTTAGTTTTTTATAGAGACAAGGTTTCACTATATTGTTCAGACTGGTCTCGAATTCCTGGGGTCAAGTGATCCTTCTGCCTTGACCTCCTGAAGTGCTGGGATTACAGGCATGAGCCACCATGCCCTGCAAAAAATTATTATTTTTGTTTTTATTTTATTTTATTTCATTTTATTTTTGAGACGAAATCTTGCTCTGTCGCCCAGGACAGAGTGCAGTGGCACAATATTGGCTTACTGCAACCTCTGCCTCCTGAGTTCAAGTGATTCTCCTGCCTCAGCCTCCCCAGTAGCTGGGAGTACAGGCACTCACCATCATGCCTGGCTAATTTTTTTATTTTTAGTAGAGACAGGTTTCATCATGTTGGCTAGGCTGGTCTCAAACTCCTGACCTCAAGTGATCCTCCCGCCTCGGCCTCCCAAAGTGCTGGGATTACAGGCGTGAGCCACTGCGCCCAGCCACCTGGCCTTTTTTTATTTTTAAGAGATAGGGTCTTGCTTTGTCACCCAGGCTAGAGTGCAGTGGTGTGATCATAGCTTACTGTAGCCTTGAACTCCTGGGCTCAAGTGATCCCCCTGCCTCAGTCTTCTGAGTAGCTGGGACTACTGTGTGCCACCACACCAGGCTAATTCTAAAAATTTTCTGTAGAGGCTGGGTGCAGTGGCTCACACCTGTAATCCCAGCACTTTGGGAGGCCGAGGTGGGTGGATCACTTGAGGCCAGGAGTTTGAGACCAGACTGGCCAATGTGGCGAAACCCCATCTCTACTAAAAATACAAAAGTTAGCTGGGCATGGTGGTTCACATCTGTGATCCTACCTACTCGGGAGGCTGAGGCATGAGAATTGCTTGAACCCAGGAGGCAGAGGTAGCAGTGAGCTGAGATCGTGCCACTGCACTCCAGCCTGGGCAATAGAGCGAGACTCTTTCTCATAAAAAAAAAAAAGAAAGAAAAATTTTTGTAGAGACTGGGTCTCGCTATGTTGCCTGGGTTGGTCTTGGACTCCTGACCTCAATCAGTCCTCCCGCCTTGGCCTCCCAAAGTGCTGGGATTACAGGCATGAGCCACTGTGCCCTGCTGAAAATTATTTCTTGTTTTGAATTGAAATCTAATTGAGACTTCTCATTAATTTAATTTTTGTTTTTATTTATTTATATTTGAGACGGAGTCCCACTCTGTCACCCAGGCTGGAGTGCAGTGGCACGATATCGGCTCACTGCAACCTCCACCTCCTGGGTTCAAGTGATTCTTCTGCCTTGGCCTCCTGAGTAGCTGGGATTACAGGTGTGTGCCACTACGCCTGGCTAATTTTTATATTTTTAGTAGAGATGGGGTTTCACCATGTTGGCCAAGCTGGTCTGGAACTCCTGACCTCAGGTGATCCTCCCACCTCAGCCTCCCAAAGTGCTGGGATTACAGGCGTGAGGCACTGTGCCCGGCCTAATTTTAGACCAGTACCCCGGAACTATACAGAATAAATGTAATACATCTTCCACATGCAAACTCATGAACCTTTGAAGACAGTCTTCCTATGTGTAAGACATATTTGCAGTTTATCCTAATACCTAAACTTGCTTTCAGTTCAGATCATTCTGCACAGAAACAATTTCTACTTCTCCCTACTTTGTAAATGCAGTCTGACAAATCTGTGCTTCACTTAGGATTATTTAGTTACAAGGTGAGTATGCTTTCCTTTCCTCCTTGAAGAATGAATTGATGGTGAGCTAAGTCTTTACAATTGTCTGTGAGTTTGGAGGGTTTGCAGTCTCCTACTCTTGTAATCATTAGGAGGTCAGGCTGCTGCCCTGCTGCATACGCCATCAGAGCTCACAAAATGGCTGGAAGTTTATCCGGGCACTTGACAAACTGCATTTACTTCATCAGGCCACTAGGTGATGAACAACTCACAAACCCAGACTGCCAGGGACTGTGGTGTACAGGGCAGTTTCTGTTTATACTTGGAAAGGCCATTCGAAGTCATCTGGTCCAAACTCATTAAAAGGTTTTTGTTGGGGAGGGGAAACATGTTTTTTATATAGTTTGTCTTTCCTGGCTTTGTTACAGTTAAATGTTAATTGCCTGGGACATTTCCTTTTTTTTTTTTTTTTTTTTTTTTTGATACGGAGTCTCACTCTGTCACCCAGGCTGGAGTGCAATGGCACAATCTCGGCTCACTGCAGCCTCCGCCTCCCGGGTTCAAGCGATTCTCCTGCCTCAGCCTCCTACAGGCGTGCGCCACTGTGCCCAGCTAATTTTTGTATTTTATTTTTTTAGTAGAGACAGGATTTTGCACTGTTAGGCTGGTCTCGACCTACTGACCTCATGATCGCCCGCCTTGACCTCCCAAAGTGGTGGGATTACAGGCGTGAGCCACCACTTCCAGCCAAGTAGGACATTTCTTTGAGTGATTTTCTTAGAAGGGGGGCATGAGTGGTACTTTCAAAGTCTTTTTATGTCCAATTTCTTTTTAACCTTCGTGTATGAATGATATTGTGGTTAGGTTTAGAATTCTTGGAATACTAGTCCTAGTCTCGACAAAGTCTAAGTAGCTTTCCAGTGTTTTGAGTTTCTGGTGATACAGATGAGAAGTCCAATGGGATTTTTTTTCCTTGTAAGTAATAATCTGTTCTCTTGTTCTGGAAGTTTGTGAATTTTTATTTATGCTTAGAGTTTCCTGTGGTATGCTTCTGGTATGTCTTTTTTTTTTTTTTTTTTTTTTTTGAGATGGAGTCTTGCTCATGTTACCCAGTCTGGAGTGCAATGGCACGATCCCAGCTCACTGCAACTTCTGCCTCCTGGGTTCAAGCGATTCTTCTGCTTCAGCCTCCCGAGTAGCTGGGATTACAGATGCGTGCCACCACGCCTGGCTCATTTTTGTATTTTTAGTAGAGATGAGGTTTCGCCGTGTTGGCCAGGCTGAGGTGTATGCCTTTTAAAAATAACACTTGTTGGCACTTGATGAGCCTTTTAGACTTAAAAACTTAAAGTCTTTTTTCTGTTCAAGGTTGTTTTATTGCTTCCCTTTCTTTTTTTTTCCAACCTCCTTACTTTATAGAACTCAGAAAGGTGAAGTGACTTGTCCAAGCTCATATAGCTAGTTACAGATGAACCTCAAGCAAATAACCTGACTCCTTTGATGAACTAGACTTTTGTGTATTGAATATTGCTCCATTGAGAGGGCCATTATGAACAACTTAGAAACTTTTTAGTGAGACAGGAATTTTGCCAAGCCTTTGTGGGGAGATGAAGAAGGAAGAAGAGATAAAATTCATTATTTGTGGCCCATTTGAAGGGCTAAAGAATTCGCAAGTTCCCTGGTATCTCAGTTATTGAGCTACCCCGAAGCTCTAAAATGTAATAAAACCAGGAAGTTGCTTGAGCACTTGGAGAATTAGATTTTTAGTAGTCAGGAGTTGGATAAATGTGGTCATGCCCTATTGTAAATATCAAAAACATATAAATGGCATCCGAAGGCTTGGAGACAGACATCATAAACCATGTCTTATCAGTGGTCTGGTTTCTGTTTTGAGTTCCAACCTGGGATGCTTCTGTGGGAACCACCTGTTCCTGGCTCTGTTGATCTTTGGATTTCCCCAGCCCTTCAGTCCCTTTCAGTTTTGAAATGAAACCTACCCCAGAGGGCGAGGTCAGGTTACGAAGAGGACTTTGACAGCTCACCTTGGGTTGTTTTTTTCCCCCAGAGCTGTCTAGTGTGTGACTGTGTGAGGTGTGAGGCTCAGCAGGCTGTGATACAGATTAATTGATGGTGAATCAGCTGTTGGGTAAGGCCTGGGCTGTGTCATTTTTTGGGTAACCAGGAAAACATGACCAAATACATTGTCTTTCATCTATAGAAAGTTGAAACTTAAGGGTACAATCACCAGAAAGCTGCCCATGATCTCTGCCTTTGGTTTACTGACGAAGGAAAGGCTTTTTTTTTTTTTTTTTTTTTTTGAGACAAGAGTTTTGCTCTTGTTGCCCAGGCTGGAGTGCAATGGCACAATCTCTGCTCACTGCAACCTCCGCCTCCTGGGTTCAAGTGATTCTCCTGCCTCAACCTCCTGAGTAGCTGGGATTATAGGCATGTGCCACCACGACTGGCTAATTTTGTTATTTTTTTTTTTTTTTTAGTAGAGACGCGTTTTCTCCATGTTGGTCAGGCTGGTCTCGAACTCCCGACCTGAGTCAGGTGATCCGCCCGCCTTGGCCTCCCAAAGTGTTGGGATTACAGGCATGAGCCACTGTGCCTGGCTGAAGGAAAGGCTTTAACTTGCCTTCATCTTTCCTCATTTGTAGATCTTCCTTACCTCCTTTCTATTCACATCTCTAGCTTCCTGCTGCTGCTCTAGCTACTAAACCTTTACATAATGTGCCTTTTGGAATTGGTGCTTTGGAAGTGACTCCTCTAGATACCCCTAGAAACCCCCGTTCTCCAGCCAGACTCACAGAATGCAGCTTGCCGCCTCCTTTTTCTGTAAACCTGGTTTCCATAAGATTGCAGCACTTCATTTGGAATCTTTACAAGTGAAACTAGCTCTTTCTTCAACCCACTCCTTACCACTTCACCCCTGACTTTGCCTGACTGTACTTCAGCCCCATTCCTCAGCACTCCAGAGCTGCCTCCAAATGGCCAGATACTTTCAGATACCTTTTGCTCTTTGAAATTTCTGCTGGCCAGGAGGCCAGCAAGGCCACTTGATCACTGTCCTTGAAGCTGGCATCTATACCCATTTCCCCTGTGTGTGTTGCGATTTTGGTGTCTGATCTCTCCTCCTGGGGCTATAGCCCAGGCTCAGAGATTGGTGACCAGGGCTTGCCTGGAGCCAAGGATTTGGGATAGAGTGTGGACTTAGGGGGCTTGGTGTTAACATTTCAGAGGTAGACAGATGAGAAGCCAGAATACGTGAACCTCAAGGCCAGTGGAGGATGGGAAGGACAGAGAGAATTTAGTATCTGAAGCAAAAGATGACCTTTGTAAGCTTCTCCTCCTGCCCAATCTTTTTGAAAAATTATTTAATTTACAGAGAATATAATAAATGATATTTTTAAAATACCAAAACATTGTAGATCATATTTTGGCTATTCCTGTCTCCCCATTTCAGTTATTTCTGTATTCACTAGAGGTAATGTATTGGTGATTTGGAATGTACCTGCCATACTTCTTCCTGTGTGTTTATTTACACATGTATGAACCCAGAAAAAATTTAAAGTATTATTTTTTGTTTTATTTAATTCTCTATACAAGTGATATAACATCTTATGTATCATTCTGGTATTTTCTTCTATGATTTAATAACATGCTTTGACAGTATTCCATGTTAGTACAAACAGGCATATCTCATTCTTTTTGGTGCTGGATAGTATTTCATAGAATGGATATGCTGTATTTTATTTGGCTATTTTTCTATGAAGACATTAAGGTATTTCCAGTTTTTGGGTGATCTCAACCTCTTTGGCAGCTTCAGTTACCATCTACACGTGGATGATTCCCAAATCTCCAGCCCAGATCTCTAGACCAGATTATCCAATTGCTTACAACCCCACTGGGATGTCTTGCAGCCCCCTGCTTTTTCTCACTTGCTCCTTCTCCAGTGCCCAATCATATACATTATAGACAGTATGCAGCGGCTAAAGCCCCAAACCCAGTAATGATTAATCATTCCTTCCTTCCCTTCCCACGTCTGACAACCAGTCACTAGGACTTGTCCTCCCTACCTCCTCAGTATTTCTTGAATCTAATCATTTTCCCTCTCCATTGCTACTGCCCTGTACGTTAGTTTTTAAATTTATAAAAGAGTACTTCTGAGGATTAAGTGAATTAATATATATAAGATGCTTAGAATAATAGATTGGTACCTACTAATTGCTATGTGAATCTTAGTTGTTATTATCATCATCTTAGTTTATATAATCCATTATCATCACTGCTTCCAGTCTTAATTTTATTCACCCCTACCTCCATTCCAGTCTCCACACTACAGCCAGAGTGATCTTCATAAAATGGAAGAATGGGCCAGGCGTGGTGGCTCATGCCTGTAATCCCAGCAATTTGGGAGGCCGAGGTGGGAGGATCGCTTGAGCCCAGGAGTTCAAGGCAACATAGTGAGACCATGTCTCTACAAAAAATAACAAATTAGCCAAGTGTGGTGCTGGTGAACATCTGTGGTCCCAGATACTTGGGAGGCTGAAGTGGGAGGATCATTTGAGCTTGGGAGGTTGAAGCTGCAACGAACTGTAATGATGCCACTGCACTCCAGCCTTGGTGACAGAGGGAGACCTTGTCTCAAAAAAAAAATAAAGTAAAATGTAAGAATGATTGCTTAAATGATAATTCTCCTGCTTAAAAAGATGTCAGTGAGGCCAGGCGCAGTGGCTCATGCCTATAATCCCAGCACTTTAGGAGGGAGGCCAAGGCAGGTGGATCATCTGAGGTCAGGAGTTCGAGACCAGCCTGGCCAACATGGTGAAACCCCATCTCTACTAAAAATACAAAAATTAGCTGGGCGTGGTGGCAGGCACCTGTAATCCCAGCTACTCGGGAGGCTGAGGTAGGAGAATCACTTGAACCTGGGAGGTGGAGGTTGCAGTGAGCTGAGATTGCGCCATTGTACTCCAGCCTGGGCAACAAGAGCGAAACTCCATCTCAAAAAAAAAAAATGATGTTAGTGATGTTTCCATTGAACTGCTTTGTGTTTTGGAGACAGAGTCTCTGTCTCCTGGGCTTGAGTGCAATAGCATGATTTCGGCTCATGCAACCTCTGCCTCCCAGTTTCAAGCGATTGTCCTGCCTCAGCCTCCCAAAGTGCTGGGATTATGGGTGTGCACCACCATGCCCAGCTAATTTTTGTTATTTTTAGTAGAGATGGGGTTTCACCATGTTGGTTAGGCTGGTCTCGACCTCCTGGCCTCAAGTGATCTTCCCACCTCAGCCTCCTGAAATTCTGAGAGTACAGGCGTGAGCCACTGCACCCAGCCTCCATTGAGCTTTTAATGACTTCATTTTATTGAGATACCTGATTTTTCTTTTCTTTCCTTCCTTCCTTTTCTTTTTCTTTCTTTTTTTTTTTTTTTTTTTTTTTTTGAGTCAAAAGCCTCGTTCTGTCACCCAGGCTGTAGTGCAGTGGTGTGATCATAACTGACTGTACCGCTCTGGGCTCAAGGGATCTTCCTGCCTCAGCCTCCCCAGTAGCTGGGACTAAAGGCATGCGCCACCACACCTGGCTAATTTTTAAAAAAATTTTTTGTAGAAACGAGGTCTCACAGCTGGTCTCTGTGCCACTGCACCCTGCCCCTGCTTTTAAATGCTATCTCTTCAGACAGGTCTTCCCTTGACTATCTAATGATTCTAAAGTATCTACCCATATGCTTTTATTAACATCACCTGATTTTAATTCTGTGATCGCACTTATCAATATATTATAATTTTCTGGTTTATTTACATATTTGTTTATAGTCTTCTCCAATTAAAAGAGAACAGGAATATTGTCTTTTTTTTTTTTTTTTTTTTTTTGAGATGGTGTCTTGCACTGTTACCCAGGCTGGAGTGTAGTAGCGCCATCTCGGCTCATTGCAAGCTCCGCCTCCTGGGTTCATGCCATTCTTCTGCCTCAGCCTCCTGAGTAGCTGGGACTACAGGCGCTAATTTTTTGTACTTTTAGTAGAGACGGGATTTCACCGTGTTAGCCAGGATGATCTCGATCTCCTGACCTCATGATCCACCCGCCTCAACCTCCCAAAGTGCTGGGATTACAGGCATGAGCCACCCACCGCACCTGGCCTTTTTTTTGTTTTGTTTTGTTTTGTTTTGAGATGGAGTCTGGCTCTGTTGCCCAGGCTGGAGTGCAGTGGTTCGATCTCGGCTTACTGCAATGTCTGTCTCCTGGGTTCAAGCGATTCTTGTGCCTCAGCCTCCTCAGTAGCTGGGATTAGAGACGTGTGCCACCATGCCTGGCTTAAGTTTTGTATTTTTAGTAGGAACAAGGTTTCACCATGTTAGCCAGGCTGGTCTTGAGCTCCTGACCTCAAACGTTCCGCCTGCCTTGGCCTCCCAAAGTGCTGGGATTACAGGTGTGAGCCACTGTGCCTGGCTGATATTGTTTGTTTTATTCATTGTTGTATTCCTAGCACCTAGGACAATGTCTGACACATTATTGACAATACTTGTGAAGTGAATAGTAAAACAACTTTCTTTGTCCTATTAGGCCCTTTTGGCCTCTCCAGCATCATCTGCATCAGTCACCTATCTTGACCTTCCCATCCTCCAGCTCATGACATCTCTTTAGATGTGCTTTCTTGCTGCAAGGCCTTTGCGTGTGCTCTTCATTGTGCCTAGAACACCCTTCCTCCCATGCTCTGCCACTGCCTGGATATCTCCTATTCATCATCTAAGTTATAGCTTAGTATACATATAACTTCACCTGATTAGCCTTGATCCTACAACTCTGCATGCATTGCCATTAATTATCATATGTATTGTAATTATTTTGTTGTCTGTGTCCTTCACTAGACTGTAAGCTTATGTTGTGCTCACCATGAATTCCTAGTCAAAGCTTATCAGCAGTGGCTAGAAGGACCTTTGAGGTGGGGCACTAGGGAGGGGGATAGAGTATTGGGGGCAGCACCTGAGGTCTAGGAAGCTGTGCTTTAGGATGTCAGGGTGAGTTTTAAACACTGGCCCTTGGTTCATTGTCATTCTTCCTATTTCGTCCATCTTTGGTAATTCCCTTGTTTGCCTGGATGAACCATCTAAAATGATTAAGTCATATCCATGAAACCAGGGTAAGCCTGACACAAAACACTTGCTCATGAAGGGAGCATGTGTCCTGAGGATAAAGGTTGAGAATCTGGGTAGGCATATTATTAACTTCAGGTAGCTGAGGGCAGAATAACTGACAGCGGAGTAGAATTCTAAGCAAGGAAGGAAGCAAAAGGCCTGAAGGATAAGATGAGACAAGGCTGAAGCAGGATCATTAAATCATAAACCTGGAGCACCTGGATAGTGAGTAGAGTGTAAGAAGGAACAGGGCAAGCAATTCAGGATTAGAGTCATAAATAATCTTGGGGATTACTTAAATCATCTTTTAGCATTCTTACCTCTTTAGTTTGGAACCAGCTTTTGGATTATAGAAAGGATCAGATAGTTGACATACAAGGATTTGAGTGAGAGTGTATATTACTTTCTCTGTATTTTATGGGCTCTTTACTTTAAAATGAAATCCCCAGAAATCCTACCTTAACTTTTCCCCCACCTAAATTTCTGCTGCCAAGAGCCTATCCATTCTTTTAAATATGTCAGGTTCAACTCCCTTATCTTTGAAACAAGTTGCATGTACAGAAGCCTGCAGTAGTCCTGGAGCTTCCTTCAGACAGGGTGAAGGGAGTGAGCTCTCTTCAGGCTACCTCCTCCCACTGAACCAGGCATAGGAGCTGGCCTCAGCAGCCTTAGGAGTTCAGGACTCTGTTCAACATGAATCTGTGGAATTTCTCTCTGAATTTTGGGGAGAGAGTATTCTGTAGAATATAGTACGGGACTCTGTCAGTGAGGCATAGCAAAAAGTACTGGAAGACTGGCTGGATGTGTGTGAATGGTGGGATCCGAAGGTATGTAGGAGTGGGCATCAAGGTTTCTGACCTGGCTCTTAAATTTTGACAGCGTTAGGGGGCACTCATGTGCCAAGTAGAGAGTCTTGAGGGGTAGCGCTAGTCCCTGGCCCTTAGAGGTGTTCTGAATGTTTTTGTATGTAGCTCAGAGCTCTTTTGCAGGCTGATGGGGATTCATGAAGATAGAGTACTTACTGAGGAACGGTGTGTTCTGTTTTGAAGATTGGATGGAGTGGTTATGTGCACAGACTGGGCAGTCTATGGCCTGGTCATCTAGTCTCTGTGAGGTGAGGCACCTGCATTTCCTTCCTAGGGCCATGCTGGGAAAACCAACCTAAGAGAGCTGGAGATCATGACTATTGTTAGTGATTTCCCTGAGACTGCTAACTGTCTTTGCTTGCTCCTTCTGTTCTCTTAAGTCCCATGGCTGTAATGTCCTGCCTTCTATTTTCTGCTTTGGGACCTTCAAATTCCATAATTCATTCAGACTTCTCTTTCTAGAGACAAGGTCTCGCTATGTTGCCCAAGCTGGAGTGTGGTGGCTGTTCACAGGCGTGATCATAGCACACTACAGCACTGAACTTGAGCTCAAATGACCCTTCTGCTTCAGCCACCCAAGTTGCCGGGATATAGGTGTGCACCATCACACTTAGCTCAGACTGCTCTGTCTAGATTACTTAATGCCCAGCTTGACTCTGGCTTTACATAGTACTCTAATTATGACATTGACAGCCAGCTTCAAGTAAGGGCCTTTCTTCATTAGCCTTGTTCCTAGAGCTATGGTTTTGAAGCTTTAGTGCATCAGAATTACCCATGAGGGTGAGAGAGGGGGCGCTGGATACTTGTTTAAAATGCAGATTTCCTGGTATCAACTGCTAGATACTCTAATTGAGTAGGTTTGGGGTGGTGACCAGGAATCTGCAGCTTGATCAGCCTGCCAGGTGATTCTGACACCAGTCATCTGGTCTCCAGATCATATATATATGTATTTTTTTGAGATGGAGTTTCGCTCTTGTTGCCCAGGCTGGAGTGCAATGGCACGATCTTGGCTCACTGCAATCTCTGCCTCCCAGGTTCAAGCAGTTCTCCTGCCTCAACCTCCCAAGTAGCTGGGATTACAGGCACCCGCCACTATGCCCAGCTAAATTTTTTTTTTTTTAATTTTTTGTATTTTTAGTAGAGACGGGGTTTCACTATGTTGGCCAGGCTGGTCTCGAACTCCTGACATCAGGCAATCCACCCACCTCAGCCTCCCACAGTGCTGGGATTACAGGTGTGAGCCACCGTGCTCAGCCAAAGATATCTATGATATCTATTTTCTCCTTTTTTTTTTTTTTGAGACAGAGTTTTGCTCTTGTCACCCAGGCTGCAGTGCAATGGAGTGATCTCAGCTTACTGCAGCCTCCATCTCCCAGGTTCAAGAGATTCTCCTGCCTCAGCCTGCAGAGTAGCTAGGAATGCAGGCGTCCACCACCACACCCAGCTAAATTTTTTGTTTTTATTTTTGTATTTTTAGTAGAGACAGGGTTTCGCTATGTTGGCCAGGCTAGTCTTGAACTCTTGACCTCAGGTGATCCACTTGCCTCCCAAAGTGCTGGGATTACAGGTGTGAGCCACTGCACCCGGTCCTCCAGACCATATTTAGAGAAAAGGCAGGGAAAAGATTTGAGTTCTTTACTTGGATCCTGCAGTATCTGGTCCTTGCATGTTTCTCAAGTCTCATCCCAGGCCCCTTCTTCCCTACTGCTGGCACCTTCATCTGCTCACAGTTCGTTGACCCCTTCTCCAGTAGTTTCTGGCCTGAAGGCCTTTGCAGTGCTGTATAGCCTCTGCCTGGAACACTCTTTACTGTGCATAATGTCTCAATTAACTATCCCTAGGTTTTTTTTTGTTTTTTTTTTTTTTTGAGACAGAGTCTCACTCTATCACCCAGGCTGGAGTGCAGTGGCATGATCTCAGCTCACTACAACCTCTGCCTCCCAGGTTCAAGCGATTCTCCTGTCTCAGCTTCTCAAGTAGCTGGGACTACAGGCGTGCGCCACCATGCCCGGCTAATTTTGTATTTTTCATGGAGACGGGGTTTCTCCATGTTAGCCAGGCTGGTCTTGAACTCCTGACCTCAAGTGATTCACCTGCCTCGGCCTCCCAAAGTGCTGGGATTACAGGCATGAGCCACCGTGCCCGGCCTGTCCTTTGCCTTTAATTGTCAAGTAAGCATTATCTCCTTTTGAAGGGCTTTTCTGGCCGCTCTATATAAAGAAACTGTTAGCACCCCATTTGTTTACATAAGACCACTTAACTGTTTGTCTTTCTCTCCTGGTGGGTTTTAAGCTCTGTGAGGGCAGGGAACTTGTTCCTGGTTATGTATCTTCAGGGCCTAGTATGTAGAGACACTCAATAACTACTTGTTGACTAATCCACATTTTTATTTTCATGTTAGTATCTGTGTTGTTGGATCGTGTGTCTGCACAACTTTTTAAAATTGAGACAGAGTTTCGCTCTTGTTGCCCGGGCTGGAGTGCAGTGGAGCGATCTCAGCTTACTGCAGCCTCTGCCTTGCAGGTTCAAGCAGTTTTTCTGCCTCAGCCTCCCAAGTAGCTGGGATTACAGGCATGTGCCACCACACCTGGTTAATTTTGTATTTTTTTTTAGTAGAGACGGGGTTTCACCGTGGTGGTCAGGCTGGTCTCAAACTCCTGACCTCAGGTGATCCAGCTGCCTCGGCCTCCCAAAGTGCTGGGATTACAGGCGTAAGCCACTGTGCCCGGCGACTATGCCCAACTCTTGCCCTTTGTATGTATTGTTGCCTTTGCCAGAAACACCCTTTCTCATGTCAATTTGGCAGATTCCTTCTTGTCCTTTACTACTTCTTTAAGCATTTCTTTGACTTCTGAGACAGTGCAGGTTCAACAGAGACAGCACTTTGTCCTCTTTAATAGGCTTTTTTTTTTTTTTTTTTTGAGATGGAGTCTCACTCTGTTGCCCAGGCTGGAGCGTGGTGGTGTGATCTCGGCTTACTGCAACCTCTGCCTCCTGAGTTCAAGTAATTCTCATGCCTCAGCCTCCCGAGTAGCTGGAATTACAGATGTGCGCCACCACACCCAGCTAATTTTTGTATTTTTAGTGAACATGGGTTTTACCATGTTGGCCAGGCTGGTCTCAATTTCCTGAGCTCAGATGATCCGCCTGCTTCGGTCTCTCAAAGTGCTGGGATTACAGGCATTAGCCACCACACCTAGCCTTCTAACAGGCTTTTCAACCATATATTGTGATTTTACCTGTGTAGGAGATAGATGGTAGCGTCTGTCTTTTACAGTTGACAACCCAGAGGCTCTAAGACAGGTGTCCCCAACCCTAGTCTGTGGCTCATTAGGAACAGGTTGCCCAGCAGGAGGTGAGTGAGTGGTGGGCGAGTGAGCAAAGCTTCATCTGTGTTTTTACAACCATCACTCGCATTACTGCCCGAGCTGTGCCTCCTGTCAGATCAGCGCAGCATTAGATTCTCATAGGAGTGGGAACTCTATTGTGAACTGAGCAAGTGAGGGATCTAGGTTGCATGCTTCTTATGAGAATCTAATGCCTGATGATCTGTCACTGTCTCCTATCTCATCTAATTGCAGGAAAACAAGCTCAGGGCTCCCACTGATTGTACATTATGGTGAGTTGTATAATTATTTCATTATATATTACAACATAATAATAATAGAAATAACGTGCACAATAAATGTAATGTACTTGAATTATCCTGAGACCATTCCCTCCCCTTTGTCCATGGAAAAATTGTCTTTCATGAAACGGGTCCCTGATGCCAAAAAGGTTGGGGACGTCTGCTCTAAGAGATTAATTAACTTGGAAATGGCAGAACTGATACTTGAACCCTGATGTATCTAAGGAGCCCTCATTTCTACCTCACTATGCTCCCTCTAAGAAAACCAATCAGTGTGCATACCTATGTAACAAACCTGCATGTTCTGCACATGTAGCCCAGAACTTAAAGTATAATTAAAAAAAAAATTCAATTTACCATAAAAAAAAAAAAAAAAAGAAAACCAATCAGCAGACTGAGAGACACTGAAGTGAAAGAGGTGCTTTTAAAAAAATTAGTTGGTGGGCCAGGCACGGTGGCTCACGCCTGTAATCCCAGCACTTTGGGAGGCTGAGGTGGGCGGATCACGAGGTCAGGAGATGAGACCATCCTGGCTAACGTGGTGAAAACCCTGTCTCTACTAAAAAAAAATACAAAAAATTAGCCGGGCGTAGTGGCGGGCGCCTGTAGTCCCAGCTACTCAGGAGGCTGAGGCCAGGAGAATGGCGTGAACCTGGGAGGCGGAGCTTGCAGTGAGCCGGGTTGGCGCCATTGCATTCCAGCTTGGGTGACAGAGTGAGACTCTGTCTCAAAAAAAAAAAAAAAAAAAAAAGTTGGGTAATAAAACTTAAAAAAAAATTTCTGGCCAGGTGCGTAATTTCTGCCAGTAATCCCAGCATTTTGGGAGGCTGAGGTGGGAGGATCACCTGAGGTCAGGAGTTCAAGACCAGCCTGGCCAACATGGTGAAACCCTGTCTCTACTAAAAATACAAAAATTAGCCGGGTGTGCTGGCAGGCGCCTGTAATCCCAGCTACTCAGGAGGCTGAGGCAGGAGAATCGCCTGAACCTGGGAGGTGGAGGTTGCAGTGAGCCGAGATCATACCGTTGCACTCTAGCCTGGGGTACAAGAGCGAGACTTTGTCTCAAAAAAAAAAAAAAAAAATTTCTTCAGAGTAAAGGCGTGGTGGTTTACACCTGTAATTGTAGCACTTTGGTAGGCTGACACAGGCTGTCACTTGAGGCCAGGAGTTCCAGGCCAGCCTGGCCCACATGGCAAAACACTGTCTCTACAAAAAATACAAAAATTAACTGAGTGCAGTGGCGCGTGCCTGTAGTCCCAGCTACTTGGGAGGCTGAGGCAGGAGAATCGCATGAACCCGGGAGGTGAAGGTTGCTTGAACCCAAGAGGTGGAGGTTAACTCCAGCCTGGGTGACAGAGTGAGACTCAGTTTCCTCAGAGTTAAACACGTAAAATGAATAATTTTGACAAGAAATTTATAAAGACAGCAGAGTGTAAAGGGTGACCATAGCATTGAGAAGATGATGTGTATTTCATGTATTTCCTTGATCATATCCGTGATTCCTTGTGGTACTGATAAAGCCAACACATACAGCCTGGTAGAAATGAGCTTGGCCATGCGTGTTGGCTCACGCCTGTAATCCCAGCACTTGGGGAGGTTGAGGTGGGCAGATCACGATCAAGACCATCCTGGCCAACATGGTGAAACGCTGTCTGTACTAAAAATACAAAAAATTAGCTGGGCATGGTGGCATGCGCCTGTAGTCCCAGCTACTCGGGAGGCTGAGGCAGGAGAATCGCTTGAACCTGGGAGGCAGAGGTTGCAGTGAGCTGAGATTGTGCCACTGCATTTCAGCCTAGCCACAGAGCGAGACTCTGTCTAAAAAAAAAAAACAAAACAAAAAAATCGTTTTACTGGCTGGGCGCAGTGGCTCATGCCTATAATCCCAGCACTTTGGGAGGCCGAGGCGGGTGAATCACTTGAGGTCAGGAGTTCAAGACCAGCCTGGCTAAAATGATGAAACCCCATCTTTACTAAAACTACAATAATTAGCTGGGCGTGGTGGTGCATGCCTGTAATCCCAGCTACTTGGGAGGCTGAAGCAAGAGAATTGCTGGAACCTGGGAGGCGGAGGTTGCAGTGAGCCGAGATCACACCACTGCACTCCAGCCCGGGCAACAGAGCAAGATCCTGTTTCAAAAAAAAAAAGATACATAATGGATGGTTGGTTGCAGGAAAAAGAAAAATGACACAGATATACATAAACAAGCTGATGTGGAACAATCTCCAAGATCTGTCATTAAGAGAAAACTAAAGAAAAGTGCAAAATTGTATTTATGGTTAGTGTGCTAGTGTTAGCATTTATATGTAAAAAGAGGAGAAACTCTGTATACTTGTTATATACCCATACTGTTTCTGAAAATTTTCTTTTTCTTTCTTTCTTTCTTTTTTTTTAATAGAGATGGGTTTTCCCTGTGTTGCCCAGGCTGGTCTAGAACACGTGGACTCAAGCAATCCACCTACCTTGGCCTCCCAAAGTGCTGGGATTACAGGCATGAGCCACCATGCCTGGCCTTTTTGTTTTTTAATATCCTTCTCTGTTGCTGAATTTTTTTTTTTCACATATGAACATTACCTTTTTAAAAAGAGTAGTTGTGAGCTGGGCGCGGTGGCTCACGCCTATAATCCTAGCACTTTGGGAGGCTGAGGCGGGCAGATCACCTGAGGTCAGGAGTTTGAGACCAGCTTGCCTAACATGGCAAAACCCAGTCTCTACTAAAAATACAAAAAAATTAGCTGGGTGAGGTGGCGCACGCCTGTAATCCCAGCTACTCGCGAGGCTGAGACGGGAGAAACACTTGAACCCAGGAGGTGAAGGTTGCAGTGGCAGGGAGCCGAGATTGTGCCACTGCACTCCAGCCTGTGTGACAGAGCAAGACTCTGTCTAAACAAAACAAAACAAAACAAAAGCAGTTGTAAAAAAACACACATAAAATTTACCATCTTAACCATTTTTAAGGGTATGAGAAATTGTAAAAAACAAACGTAAAATATGCCATTTTAACCACTTTTTTTTTTTTTTTTTTTTTGAGACGGAGTCTCGCTCTGTCGCCCAGGCTGGAGTGAAGTGGCGCGATCTCGGCTCACTGCAAGCTCCGCCTCCCGGGTTCACACCATTCTCCTGCCTCAGCCTCCCGAGTAGCTGGGACTACAGGCGCCCGCTACCACGCCCGGCTAATTTTTTGTATTTTTAGTAGAGACGGGGTTTCACCGTTTTAGCCGGGATGGTCTCGATCTCCTGACCTCGTGATCCGCCCGCCTCGGCCTCTCAAAGTGCTGGGATTACAGGCGTGAGCCACCGCGCCCGGCCTTAACCACTTTTAAGTCTTTACATTTTGGTAGTCTTAGGTATATTCACATTTTGTGCAGCAGATCTCCAGAACTTTTTCATCTTGCAAAACTGAAACTCTGTACCCATTAAACAACAACTCTTCTTGCCCTACCCCTCCTTTCTCTCTGGTACCACCATTCTACTTTCTGTTTCTATGAATTTGGATACTTTACTACCTCATATAAATAGAGTTATACGGTATTTTTGTGTGTGTGATGGGCTTATTTTACTTAGCATAATGTGTTAGGGTTCATTCATGCTCTAGCATGTGACAGGATTTGTTTCTGGTTTAAGGTTGAATAATAATCCATTTTATGTATGCATCATAGTTTAGCCATTCATTCATCAATACGTTGCCTTTTTAAAAATTTTAATTTTTAATTTTTTTGTAGAGACGGAGTCTTGCTATGTTGCCCAGGCTGGTCTTGAACTCCTCACCTCAAGCGATCCTCCCGTCTTGGCCTCCCAAGTGTCAGGATTACGGGCATGTGCTATCACACCCAACCTGATACATTGCCTTTATAAATTTTTTTTTCTTTATTCTAAAAACCAGAAAAAACAAAACTGGATACATGTGCAGAACATGCAGGTTTGTTACATAGCTGTACGTGTGCCATGGTGGTTTGCTGCACCTATTGACCTATCCTGTAAGTTCCCTCCCCTCACCCCCACCCCCCAACAGCCCTGATGTGTGTTATTCCCTTCTCTGTATCCATGTGTTCTCAATGTTCAGCTCCCACTTATGAGTGAGAATGTGTGGTGTTTGGTATTATGTTCCTGTGTTAGTTTGCTGAGGATGATTCCAGCTTCATCCATGTCCCTGCAAAGGATATGATCTCATTGCTTTTTATGGCTGCATAGTATTCCATGGTTTATATGTACCATATTTTCTTTATCCAGTCTATCATTAATGGGCATTTGGGTTGGTTCCATGTCTTTGTTATTGTAAATAGTGCTGTAATAAACATACGTGTGCGTGTCTTTTTCTTTTTTTTGAGACGGAGTCTTGCTCTGTCGCCCAGTGGCATCAGAGTGTAGTGGCACGATCTCTGCTCACTGCAACCTCCACCTCCCAGGTTCCAGTGATTCTCCTGCCTCAGCCCTCCTGAGTAGCTGGGATTACAGGCGTGCGCCACCACGCCTGGCTAATTTTTGTATTTTTAATAGAGACAGGGTTTCACCACGTTGGCCAGACTGGTCTCAAACTCCTGACCTCAGGTAATCCACCTGTCTCGGCCTCCCAAAGTGCTGGGATTATAGGCGTGAGCCACCTCGCCTGTCCTGAGTGTTTTTTAAAAGTACTTTGCTTCACCTTATAAATGTGATCCTGAAAAGCTGGGTATAAACATTGTACGTATATATATGTATGTATGTATGTATGATGGATAGTTTAAGGGGTGGTTAAATAATATCTTAGTTAACTTTACAGCAAAGAGGAGACTCTTTTTTGTCTTGTGAATGATCCCCAACTTTATGTCTCAGATGTTTGTATTAGAGATTTTTCTTGAAGTAAAACCTACCTCTACTAGGAATGGAACCAAAAAGGGGGAGATGTGGTTATTTGAAATTGAAGATAGCTGTATATACCAGGACATCCCATCGTTTGTCTTACTTTACCCACTTCTCCATTTGTTTTACCAGCATCTCTGTTTTCCTGTTCCATGCACTAGAAATCCTGGAGCCCTCTTATTATTTTATTATTTATTTATTTATTTATTTATTTATTGAGACGGAGTCTTGCTCTGTCACCCAGGCTGGAGTGCAGTGGCGCGATCTCGGCTCACTGCAAACTCCGCCTCCCGGGTTCACACAATTCTGCCTCAGCCTCCTGAGTAGCTGGGACTACAGGCGCCTGCCACCGCGCCGGGCTAATTTTTTTGTGTGTATTTTTAGTAGAGACGGGGTTTCACCGTGGTCTTGATCTCCTGACCTTGTGACCCACCCGCCTCGGCCTCCCAAAGTGCTGGGATTACAGGTGTGAGCCACCGCGCCCACCTATTTTTTATTTTTTGAGACGGAGTCTCACTCTGTCACCCAGGCTGGAGTGCAGTGGCACGATACCGGCTTACTGCAACCTCCGTCTCCTGGGTTCAAGCGATTCTCCTGCCTCAGCCTCCTGACTAGCTGGGATTACAGTAGAGACGGGGTTTCACCATTTTGGCCAGGCTGGTCTTGAACTTCTCACCTTGTGATCCACCCGCCTCAGCCTCCCAAAGTGCTGGGATTACAGGCGTGAGCCACCGCGCCTGGTGAGCCCTCTTATTTTTATAACATGCTTCCTATGTGTTGATTTTGTTTTCCCTATTAGGGTAAATTTTTGAAGGCAGGAGGCATCTCTTATATCCTGTAGTGATGAGCATAATACGAGTTGTTCAATAAATACACATTTGGCAAAGATGAGAGAGGTGGAGAGAGAAAGAGGTTCCTCTGCTGAAGAAGTGTGATTACTTTTGGGTTTTGTCTACCTCATGTGGTACCCATTTCTAGCAGGGAATTTCTTCCACTTGCAGACCAAGTGTGTTGGGGACTTGAGATGCGTACATGAGTGTGATGTTTCCTGCTGAAAGCACAGGTAAGAGAGCTGAAGCCAGATTGGGGCCTGAAGAATCAGACTTGATAGTTTGTAGACTTCTGTGATAACCCTGAGGAGAGAATCTCAGGTTTCTATCCTCTGCTTAACAACAAGCCTGAATATTTAACTATAAGCAGGGCAGCTGGACCTGAATGTGCTTTAGGCGTCTTAAATTCAGTAGTACATAGTAGGAATGTTTGATAAAAGTGATTTTACTTTTTTTGTCAATAGTGTATGAAAGCACTTAACACAGAGCCTGGCTTATAGTTGGTGTCCAAGAGGTGACAGAGAGTATGTGAGAAATGTTTTGAAGTAGTTGAGTCTTTCCCTGAGTGCCCTGCCTCCACTCATGTGCCTATACCCCCCACCCCAGGCTAAAGATACAGGCACCAACAATGTGGATTTCACCTTTGGGAAGTTTCCAGTTCCTTGTTTGTGGCATTATGCTCAAACAAGAAGTGTAGTCTGCTCTTACATATGTAAGAGCAGATAGATCTGAACCCTGGCTACCCTCACCCCAGACTGAAAATGTTTGAATCAAACTAACATGTCTGGTCACCCTCGGCAGCTTTCCTTCGTAGGGACTTAGTCTCAAGAACCTTAGTGGGGAAATCTGTGAATCTCTGCGGTAAATGGGCAAGGCGGTGGATATGGGGGGTTGAGCATGAATTAACTTAGCCAGGATAGCTTATGAGTACAGGCATGGAGGAGAGGACATGGTAGGGGCCAAAAAGGGCTTGACTCTGTCATTTCTGCTCATAGAAAGATGTAGGCCTTGTGTGCCAAGGGTAGAGCTCTGGCCTCCTGTGGCCTTTCACCTCCATATGATGAGCCAGGCTTGCTCCCAGCTGTCCCTGCAGGGCATCTTGGGTTTTGTAGGGGATGAAAATAGGGAGTCTGAGTCAGGTGGCCTTGCTTCAAATCCTGCAGGTGTGCAGGGAGGAGTTGTGCCTCCCCAGGATCTGTTTCCTATGTATTGAAATAAGAGGAATCCCATCCAGATTCTGTGGAGGTTTCCTTCCATCCTTCTTATGTCCCTTTTTCACACTGTCACTGGCCTGGCTTCTGGGAAGAAGAGAGAAAGGATTAGAGAAATAAAGAACTTGAGGAGGTGTGTAGATTTGCTGTCCTTAAATTCTTTCTGGAGCAAAGTATAGGTATTGGGAGGAGGATCAGTGAATGGGTGCGTGAACAGATACGCTGCTTATACTGTTGCCTGGCACTCAGCCTGGACCCTTACTCAGTATTATTAATCTTGTTAGATGTTGGTCTACTCTCCCAGTTGGAATATGAGCATATATATGTGTAATTTTATATCAATGGAGTCATATCTTGTTACTGTTTTACCATCTTTTTTTCACTTGATTTCACTTGATTGAGGACATTTTCATGTCAATAAATACAGAATAAAGGGCTGAATTATAGTTCAGTGAGTGGATATAATACTGCTATTATTCTCTAATATTTAATCCATTTATTTTATCTGTTATCAGTGGGGTCTTCTTTGACTCCCGTAACAAGATAACAATCCTCCTTTCTTCCCTATCTCTCTTCCCTTCTATATTTTTCTCTATAGCATTTAGCATCATCTGATATATACTTTTCTTATTTATTTGCTTATTGCCTAACTTCCCTCCATTAGAATATAAGCTCCATGAAGACAGGGATTTTTCTTTTAAAGATTGTTTTATTATGCTAGAATCAGGCAGCATCTCATTCTATATCATAGAATGAGTGTTTCTACCCCTTTTTTTTGGAGACAGGGTCTCGCTCTGTCACCCACACTGGAGTGCAGTGGCATGATCTCGTCTCACTGCAAACTTTACCTCCTGGGCTTAAGTGATCCTCTTACCTCAGCCTCTCAAGTAATTGGGACTACAGGCATGTGCTGCTTCACCCAGCTATTTTTAAAATTTTTTTCTAAAGATGGGGTCTCAATGTGTTGCCCAGTCTGGTCTCAAACTCCTAGGTTCAAGCAATCCTCCCTCCTCAGCCTCCCAAAGTGCTGGGATTACAGGTGTCAACCACCACACCTGACCCTTTTTTCTTTTATCCATGCTCTATACTTGGTATTGAGAACAGTTCCTGGTACATCACTGATGCTTAATAAATATTTGTTGAGTGAATGAATTTGTTGGACATTTGGTATACTTATTGGGCTTTTTATTTGCAATATTTTGATTATTGTGAGCATTCTATGATAAACACTTGATATATACATCTTTGCATGCTTGTGCACTATCTCTTCAGGATAAATTCCAAGAAATTTGCCAGCTGAGTTAAAGGGTATGCATATTTAAAATGTCAATTCACGGAGCCAAACTACCCTTAAGAATATAAACTTCTATTAGCACATGAGATTGCCTGTTTTCCCATGTTTTTAATAACATTGGGTGTTGTATTTTTTGTCTTCCTCATCTGACAGGTGAGACGTGGTCTTGTAACACAGTGGTTAAGAATGTGACTTTGGAGCCAGCCTGCTAGGGGCTGAATTCTGACTCAGCCATTTACTAACTGTGTGACCTTAGGTAAGTCATTTACCTTCTTTGTCCCTCAGTTTCATCTCGGTTAAGTAGGGATAATGATAGCACCTATTTTATAGGGTTATTGTGAGGAATAAATCCAAGTAAAATGCTTAGAATAGTAACTGAAACATAGCACTCATTAGGAATGCTTTAATTTTCATTTATTTGAGTATTAAAGGTTGAATTTTCAGAGGTATTTTGGACCTTTGTATTTTTTCTTTAAATCACTTATTCATGACTTTTGAACTTTTTTTTTTCTTTTAGAGACAGGGTCTTGGTTTGTTGTCTAGGCTGGAATGCAGTGGTGCAATCATAGCTCACTGTAGCCTTGAACTCTTGGGCTCAAGAGATCCTCCTGCCTCAGCCTCGTGAGTAGCTGGGCCTACAGGCGCCTGCTACCACACCTGGCTAATTTTTTATTTTTTGTAGAGATGGGTTCTTGCAGCCCAGACTGGTCTTGAGCTTTGGCCTGAAGTGCTCCTCCTGCCTTGGCCTCTCAAAGCATTGGGGTTACAGGTGTGAAGCACTGCACCTTGCCTACACATTTTTTCCAATAATTTTTTTTATTAATTTGTAAGAGTTAACATGTCGACTATCATATATAACATAGAATTGTTCCCATTTTGTCATTTCCTTTCAACTTTGTCTATGTAGCTTTTTTTCTGTGTGCAAATTTTACATTTTTAGGTAGTCAGAAAATCTCTTCCCTTGTAATTTTTTCTGCTACTAGACCAATGTTTAGAAAAAAGCGTGCTTCCCCACCTCAAAATTATAAAAATAGTTACTTGTTCTTTTTGAGTACTGTGTGTGTTTAAATCTTTAATCTTTAAATTTAAATCTTTGATCCATCTGGTATTTATTTTGATATGAAGAGAGTGGTTGGGATCTGGCTGTATTTCTTTTTTCTTTTTTTTTCTTTTTTCTTTTTTTGACGAAGTCTCACTGTTGCTCAGGCTGGAGTGCAATGGCATGATCTCGGCTCATCACAACCTCTGCTTCCTGGGTTCAAGCGATTCTCCTGCCTCAGCCTCCCGAGTACCTGGGACTACAGGCACTCGCCACCATGCCCGGCTGATTTTTGTATTTTTAATAGAGATGGTTTCACTATGTTGGCCAGGCTGGTCTCGAACTCCTGACCTTGTGATCTGCCCACCTCAGCCTCGAAAAGTGCTGGGATTACAGGCGTGAGCCACTGCGCCCAGCCTTGTATTTTTTTTCAGTTTGGGTAGCTGTCCCTAATTCATTTGTTAAAGGAGAAGCAAGAGCAAGAACCTTTAATCTGTTCTCCTCTTCCCTAATTTGAAAGTAGCTTGTTATTTTGAATATCACTTTCTCTGAAATAGCACATCTCCATCTCAGAGAATGGATTTAATGTTTGGATACAGCCAAAAGTCATTTCATTACCAAACCATGGGGTGAATATACCATGTAAAGCAGTTTGGGATCAGAACTCACAGTCTGAATTGTAAGTGATGAGACTGCTGTCTCTCTGCTACAGCTTCTTGGCTGGCTCTGAAGGCTCTTTGAAGGCAGATCCTAACAAGGGGACTGCTTTGAAGGGCCATTGTTCATTTGGAATGATAAAGTCTATGTTGTTCAAAAAACAAATGCTTGTAGCAGGTATTTTTTCACTCCAGACTGAGAATATTGGTGGGATATTGATAAGGGGTACTGAATGGTAATAAACATGTGCTCTAGCTCTGTGCTAGTCAGCTTATTTCAGAACTCTAGTTTGATTCAGTTTCTTGCCTCTGACTCAAAATGGAGGGAGAGTGATTTTTACATAAGAGAACACACCCACATATCCTTTTGGCAGCAGCTACCTGCCAGAGATGTTGAAGAAGAGTAGCCAACCTTTACACAGCAGATATTGTGTGCCAGTCATAGTCCTAAGTATAATACCTTACATGTATAAACTTCTTATAAGGTTGGTGCTCTGTACCGAATTGAATAGTATCCCCCAAAATTCATGTTGTCCCAGAACCTATGAAAGTGATCTTACTTGAGGGAGGGGGGAGGGGGGAGGGATAGCATTAGGAGATATACCTAATGCTAAATGACGAGTTAATGGGTGTAGCACACCAGCATGGCACATGTATACATATGTAACTAACCTGCACATTGTGCACATGTACCCTAAAACTTAAAGTATAATAATAATAAAATAAAAAAAAAAAAGAAAGTGATCTTACTTGGAAATAAGGTCTTTGCACATATGATCAAGTTGAGATGAAGTTGTACTGGAAAGTCTGTCTAGTGACTGGTGTTGTCATAAGAAGAGAGGGACACAGAGGGAAGATGGCCACATGAAGATGGAGGCAGAGATTGCAGTTATGCTGCTGCAAACTAAGGAATGGCTCTGGCCCTCCAAGGATTGCTGATAACCACCAGAAACTAGAAGAGACAAGGAAGGATTCTTCCCTAGAGCCTTCAGAGGGAGCATGGCCCTACTGACACCTGGATTTCAAACTTGTAGCTTCCTAAACTGCAAGAGAATAAATTTCTGTTGTTTTAAGCCATATAGTTTGTGGTAATTTGTTATGGCAGTCCTAGGTAATTAGTGTACACTCTTACCATCTTCATTTTCAGATAAAGGAAACTGAGGCCCAGAGAAGTCAAATACTTTGAGATCTCTGTAGGCCCCTACTGTGCTGGCTGTGCATAGATTCCATACCTCCTGCTGTTGCTGTTGTTGGGTCTCCACCTTTACCATGGCCATCACCTCCTGGCAGTGCTGGAGCTGAGCTGCTGGAATAACTTGTTTTTCTTTTTTCTTTTTTTTTTTTCTTTTAAGACAGAGTTTTGCACTGTCCCCCAGGTTGGAGTGCAGTGGTGCGATCTCGGCTCACTGCAACCTTTGCTTCCTGGGTTCACGCCATTCTCCTGCCTCAGCCTCCCAAGTAGCTGGGACTACAGGCACCTGCCACCACGCCCGGCTAATTTTTTGTATTTTTAGTAGAGATGGGGTTTCACTGTGTTAGCCAGGATGGTCTCGATCTCCTGACCTCGTGATCTGCCCGCCTCGGCCTCCCAAAATGCTGGGATTACAGGGGTGAGCCACCATGCCTTGCCTCTTTTTTTTTTTTTTTTTTTTTTTTGAGATGGAGTCTCGCTCTGTCACCAGGCTGGAGTGCAGTGGCGCGATCTCGGCTCACTGCAACCTCTGCCTCCCGGATTTAAGCAATTCTCCTGCCTCAGCCTCCTGAGTAGCTGGGATTACAGGCACACGCCACCACGCCCAGCTAATTTTTGTGCTTTTAGTAGAGACGGCATTTCACCATGTTGGCCAGGATGGTCTCGATCTCTTGACCTTGTGATCCACCTGCCTTAGCCTCCCAAAGTGCTGGGATTACAGGCATGAGTCACCACGCCTGGCCTATGACTTGTTTTTCTAACACACCAGGCCATAGCCTTTCTTAATGTTTTGCCTGCTTCATACTGTAAATCAGAAACTCCTCTCGGGAGGCTTCTGACTGTAGCCTGACCATCTCACCTGATCTCTTCTCCAATCCCTCTTCCCCTCTCCCCTTTATTTTCCCTTTGCTATTTTTACTTTTCATGCAGTGTCAGAGAAGTGTAGTGACTATGTCGGGGGAGGATCCCCCAGCTGCCTCTGGTAGTTGGTTTTATACTTCCCACTTTTGGCGTGCTGTACCTTCTAGAATTTCTGTCAGTAGACAATTTTGTGTTTTTCTTTGGAGCTTTCAAGATCTTGCACATAGCTTATATAGTTACATGGCTGTGAACAGAGAACGGGCAGTTTCATGGTGGCATTGGCTGTGAGGGCACTTACATTGATGAATTCAACCCACCACAGTGGCTGTCTCCCCTGTCAAAGTGAGTGAGGGGATGAGAGCATTTTCTGAACCAGCTCATCTTCCTGAATAGCTTCTTGCATGCCCCTGGGCTTTTCTGTTGGCATTTAATTGCTGGCTGTGGAATCTTGCCTGTTTTCCAATATAGACCTTTGGCTTTAGATCCTGTTCTTGTTCTTACCCACTCTCACTAAACTGAACTCCAGGAACCACATCTCTTTTGTTTGCTGCTGTATCCCAGGACTGAGCAAAGGCCTGATGCTTACTAACACCTCAAGAAATATTTATTGAATGAAGAAATGAATATTGACCTGGAAAGTTCAAACTCTTGGTTTTCCTTGCTTCTTCCTGAAGTCAGGGGCCAGATTAAGAATTTGTTTAATAGTCTTAAGCAATAGAAAAATTATTATGTCCCTCATACTTTCATCCCTCCGTATGTATTTTAAAAACAGCGTAAATGCAAAACAAGTATAAAGAAACCTAGCAAAATATAAAGAAAATGCAGCAAAATTCTGATTTTTACCTTGGTTACCACTTTCATAAATATAAAGTAACTTAAAATATTTGTTGTTGTTGTTGTTCTTGTTTTGCCAGTTCCCTGAGCACATGCTGTTGAGTAATCCTGCCTGGACCAGTACTTCCCTCACCCTAGACTTCACCTTCAGTTCCCCTTTATACCACCTGCTGAAGCTGCCAGCCAGCCTTTTCGACCACCCTCCCTCCCCCAGGGGTGTTTGGCTTCTCAGACCCCAGCCTGAGCTAGTGCCCTTGGCTTCCTAGGGTCTTGCCAGGAAAGCAAAGGAGAACATGCATACCGCCAAAGAGTACCTAATAATAAGAACTCCCATCCTGAATTGTGATTTATAGTCAGCATAGCACATGTGTCAGGTGATTATACTTAGGCTGATTTTAGCCTTAATAATCTGCTTCTGTGATCCTGTATGTGGGAAGCCTAGAAATTTCTCTGTGATCCTCCTTCCTGGATCACTAAGAGACAAGTCAAGACATAGGTCCATTCTACCACCTGTGTTAATCTGGGCCTTGTTGAGACCATTTAAAGAAAGGCGTGATGCTAGAAGTAAGGTCCAGGCCTCCTGCACACTGTTTCAAGGCTGTGACCATAGTCAGATCCTGTTGCTTGAGTCCAAAGAGTTTAAAATAGTGTTGGAAACCTCCTAGGGAAAAAACAAAAAACAAAACACCACATCTTCCTGGGTAAGGAAGTGACATGTGCTGACTAGAGCAGGAGGGGTAGCCAAGGCTCCAAGTTCTATTCTGGACCTGTTGTTGATTTGAGGTGTGACATTCAGCAATCTGAGCTGATGTTCTGTAGCTCTGATTGGTTTCTCATCTTCTGCAGAGAGAGTGAAAGAGGCTGTGCTTGCAGGGGAAAAGGTGAACACTGGTCTCCTGTCCTTTAGGAGAGCTTCACCATTACACGTCCTGCCTCTCATTTGAATTTCCAGGCTTTTTTAGAGTCTCGCTCTATTGCCCAGATTGGAGTGCAGTGGTGTGATCTCGGCTCACTGCAACCTCTGCCTCTGGGTTTAAGCGATTCTCTCACCTCAGCCTCCCAAGTAGCTGGAATTATAGGTGCGTGCCACCATGCCTGGCTAATTTTTGTGTTTTTAGTAGAGACAGGGTTTCACCATGTTGGCCAGGCTAGTCTCGAACTCCTGACCTCAAGTGATCCACCCACCTCGGCCTCCCAACCAGGCTTTTTTAAATGCAGAAACCGCCCGCCCCCAGAGTTAATATGGAAACCCAGCAATGTTGTTTATGTTTTACTTGAATTCGTTTCATCAGAATTGCATTCCTTTTAACAGTGTGATTAGATCAGCTCTTAGAGGGGATGGCAGCTTCAGTAGGGTTTAGGAAAGGAAAGGAATATTTGTGTGGGGCACACACTTTGGCTTTGATAGCTTGAGGATACCAGGTACATGATAATTTAGATGGATAACAGAAACTTGTGTCCCTTGAGAGCCAGGCATGTATTAGATGCTTTCATACATTATTTAATTGTAATACAAACCAATAAAGTATTCCCATTTTTTGCACATGGGCAAGCTGAAAGTCAAAGAAGTTATGTAACTTGCCCAAGGTCACACAGCTAATAAAAAGGCTGAGCTAGGATTTATTTCTCCTCAAGTCTGTACAACGCCAGAGCCCATGCTGTTTTCACAGAGCTTTTCTGTCCCTGGTGAGATTTAGGAAAGGAGGGTAGGAGAAAGAAGGGTGATGAGATGCCATTTTTACCCACCTTGCGATTTTGCTTGTTGGGACGTGTTTAGCCAGAACATTCTGTTTATAGAATACTAGATTCTATATATAGAGATGCTGCAGCAACATATGTGGGAAAGATACCAATTGGCTGTAGGTGAGGATTTCAAAAAGCCTTTGTTCTTCATCACAGCATAGGCCACACGTGTCAAAACACCACTGGTAATTGGTTTACTGCTTAAGTGGCTCTGTCCTATCATCTACATAAAATCTGTTGATGTGGCTCACAAAGTCAGGTGTGATGGGGCCAGAGGTGAGGGTGTGGTGTATCCTCACTGCATGTACTGGAGCTGGTGGCACCTGTTGTGTGACTACTGCAGTGAATGATTACTGAGTAAATAAGAGGTGTCTCAGCCAGGCGTGGTGGCTCACGCCCGGAATCCCAGCACTTTGGGAGGCCGAGGTGGGCGGATCACCTGAGGTTGGGAGTTTGAGACCAGCCTGACCAACATGGAGAAACCCCGTCTCTACTAAAAATACAAAATTAGCTGGGCGTGGTGGCTCATGCCTGTGATCCCAGCCACTTGGGAGGCTGTGGCAGGAGAATCGCCTGAATCCGCGAGGCGGTGGTTGCCGTGAGCCGAGATCGTGTCATTGCACTCTAGCCTGGGCAACAAGAGTGGAACTCTGTCTCAGAAAAACAAAACAAAACATTAGGTGTCTCCTTTTTTCTTCTCCAAGGGAGACCAGATAGCAGTGGGTGCTGGCACACATCCAGGGATCCTGGCCCCTGGGCTAGCAGAAGAGATGGCTTGAAGGTGTCAGGTGATGGAATAAAAAGAGCTGGTCTGTCAAGTGGTATAATTTCAGGGGACCAAGAATGTGTCCTGCCCCTCAAAAACTTGCCCTAGCTGTTTGCTATTGCTTGGGATCCCACAATTGAAATTTCTTTTTCTTGATTTAAATCTTTGAGACCCTATTAAAAATGAAGAGACTCCAGGAAGAGTTTTGATTGTGAAACATTTTGGTCATGTTAACTGGAAGTATGAATGAGTTTATAAGATTGATTTCTGAGAACCAGACTGAGGAAGGGATAGGGAGGAGAAGGCACTGTGCCCCTAGTTGCAGGGACAAGAAGGAGACACCAATGAGTTTGAGATAAAGGCCTTGAAGAGAGATGCTGGGTCTCTAAAGAAATACTTGGTTTCCTTCACAGTTTTGTCTGAGAAAAGACAAGCAGCTGACAGTGCTGGTTATGGAGGCCCATGACCCCAAAAGAGGTTGTGCTGAGTAGATAGCCCACCAGCATGTTCGGATGGAGGCACAATGTTGTCTGGAGAGCAGCTGACAGCTATAATGTAACCAGGAGTGCTGGACCTTTGGGTCTGTGGTTTACTGTGATGTACTGAGACAAAGACTGTCACAGATCTTAGAAGGGGGAGGCACAGCTTCCAAGAAATGATGCAAAATGGTGGCGCAAAAGAGGCCACCAGTGGCAACAAGGGCAGGGCATTTCCTTTGTGGCTGGTGGTCACGGACAACTTCTGGTCTCAATTTCCCAATGAGCTATGCTAAGAAATTTACCAGAAAGCAAAATAAGCCATGCAAAAAGCGATGACAAAGCACTTGGGGTATCCATGCAAAGGTGCAGTTCCCCCTTGTCCACTAATTTTGTGGAGCCAAAAGAGCTGATCCAGAAGCTGCAAAGATAGTCCCTGTGATTAAGACATACAACTTTTTTTTTTTTAAATGCGAGACTCTGTCTTACTCTGCCACCCAGGCTGGAGTGCAGTAGAGCAATCTTGGCTCACTGCAACTTCCACCTCCTGGGTTCAAGTGATTTTCCTGCCTTAGCGTCCCAAGTAGCTGGGATTACAGGCGCGCACCACCACGCCCAGCTAATTTTTGTATTTTTAGTGGAGATGGGGTTTCACCATGTTGGCCAGGCTGGTCTTGAACTCCTGACCTCAGGTGATACACCCGCCTCGGCCTCCCAAAGAAGGCATACAGCTTTTTTGGCCTGAGTTCTTCCAAAGAGAGACCCTTCCTAGTTGACTTGGCATCATCTTTCATTCACCAGTGTTCTCTAACTGCCTTTATGATTAGAATTCTCACAGCGTTTTCTCCCCCAAGGGCATATTTTACAGAGGCAACTCAAATCTCAGTGCCTTTCTGAACTCCTTACAATTGGGTTTATAGATGCCTCCACCCTGAGGTTCAATTTCACTGTCCATATTCCTATTCTAAGTCTGGAGCACTTTATTTTTGATCCAGACTTTTAGCTTCACTGAGGCCTCTTGGGTTCTAGCTAATTTTTTTGGACACATTTCCCTAGTGGGCAGCCTAGGAATGGCCTGTCCTCCCTATCCCCCAAAGTTTGGCAAGGTCTGTACCCCCTACCTTAATGGAATCAGCACTACTTGAGATTTCTGAACATCCTACACCGTTTCCTCTCCCCTCAACCCCTGCAGCCTCATACACGAGGTCTAGTGGAAAGCAGGATCTGCTGATCACTAGGATATTAGAGCCAGTGTCTCCAGTAGGGAAGAACTCCTGGGCATGTGTTCTATGCCCTGAATGACAGCTCTCTGCCTATCAGTTTCTGCTTTCCCTCCATCTCACCTTTATTTTGGCTTTTACCTAGAAGTACAAACTTTGTCTTGTTCCTCTGCCTGGACTTCCTAACCCTGTCCAGGACTAAAGCCCTGCTGTCAGTCCCTCACCAGGGACTTTCCACACTTTCCCTGGCCAGGTCACTTATCTGATACTAGAGCCTTTTCTTGCATCTAGGCTTTAGTAGGTAGAGTTCTGTCCATGCACAGATCTCCCTGTGTTGACCACCTTGAACTTCGCCTAGTGCTCTTTGCGCTAATTAGATGCCATGCTAGTCTGTCCTGCTGCCTTCTGGAACAAGGCTCTTAGCTTTGTTGAGCTCTTGCCCTGGATTTCATGTTAGCTGTCCAGCTGCCTGCACCTCAAAAAGAGCTTTTAATATGCATTATAAAACTCCAAAAGGGAAATAGAATATATAACATTTTTCAAACGTATTTAACTAGAGATCCATTTTTTTTTTCTGAAGGAATATTTATTAAAATCTTACAGAATATGTGTTTGGTGGAATACAGTTTTGGAAAGAGTGAATCTTTATCCCAAAGGAATGGACATCAAATAGAGTAATTCCAGATGAAGATAATGTTACTATTACCTTCATCTGAAATTCCAGATGAAGGTAGTAATCACTATTTCCTGTGTGTCTGCATAAGGATAGCTCTAATCCGCAGTGGAACTCTAAAATAGGGAGGAAGGAAGAATTCTGCATTCTTTCTTCCACTTTGAATCCTCTTCTTCCCAATGGAAACAGGAAGTGGTAAATGCAATGGTGCCATCACGGCCATGGTCGTCACTGGCTTCTGGATACAAGATAGGAGGGCTTCTCTGAGGCTCTCTTCCCTAGATTGGACCTCTCAGAATTTCTCTAGAGTGCTCCTGAGCACCCTTCCTTCTACTCTGGGACTATATTCATCTCAGCATCAGTCTCAAGTTTAACTGCTAGTTCAGGATTTTGATGTTACACATGGGGATCAGTGCCAGATGGGATGTAGCTCATTTTTATGGAATGAGTATGACATAAATTTTCTCCTTTCCCTATTAAATTTCTCTTCTATATCTTGTGGGCAGTCCAGACTATAATTTTTTTTTCAATCCTTGAATGGAGATAAGCTCATGCTCTGTGGGCAGGGCGGTGTTACAGGTGGGTCGCCATTTAAATCCGACTGGGTGGGTGACCACGTACCAGGAATGGAAGTTGGCTTAGCTAGTAACCAAAGAGCAAGCCAGTTACTTCCCCTGCATGCCATTCCCAACCAGCACAGCTGGGGAAAGACCACCTGAAAGAAATCTCTAAGACTTCTGATGAAGAAATTACTAGGTCCTCTTGAGACCCTCATGTATGTGTCTTTATTGTCGTGAGTGAGATCATTAGTTGGCTGATCTCAGTTGGCTTAGCTAATCATAAACTAGATGGAAAGGCTCAGCTTTGACCATGACCTTAAATATGGATGGACCATGTCCTTAGGTATGTTCTTTGAGCATCCAGTAAGCAGCATTCTCCGTAGACAAGCCCCACCCTTGGGGCCTTAGCCTATGGCATTTGTCCATTTTTGCCATTTCTTCTGAAAGACTATGGTTTTAACTGAAGACCAGGGAGTCAGCTCGCTTATAGGAAGTGGGAAGAGGGCTTGAAATGGGCATTCAGAGATCTTAAATAGAGCTTGTAGTTTATTTGGTCAGTCTACAAGTATTTGCCACGTTAGTTTAGTTTAGTTTAGTTTAGTTTTGAGTCGGAGTCTCACTCTGTCACCCAGGCTGGAATACAGTGGTGTGATCTCGGCTCACTGAAACCTCTGCCTCCCGGGTTCAAGTGATTCTCCTGCCTCAGCCTCCCGAGTAGGTCAGATTACAGGGGCCTGCCACTGCGCCCGGCTAATTTTTGTACTTTTAGTAAAGACGAAGTTTCACCATCTTGGCCAGGCTGGTCTTGAACTTTTGACCTCATGATCCACCTGCCTCGGCCTCCCAAAGTGCTGGGATTACAGGCGTGAGCCACCGTGCCCAGCCGGTATTTGCTAAGTATTAATTGGCTTATAACTGTGGAAAACTTGTTAACAGCTTTAGGAAGGCTGTTAGGGAAAGTCTCAGGTTGCAGTGAGCTGAGATCAGGCCATTGCACTCCGGCCTGGGTGACAGAGCAAGACTCCATCTCAAAATAAATGAATAAAAATTTAAAAAATAAATAAAGAGACAAAGTCTTGCTCTGTCACTCAGGCTAGAGTGCGGTGGTGTGATCACAGTTCACTGCAGCTTCAAACTTCTGAGCTCAAGCAATCTTCCTGTCTCAGCCTCCCTGAGTAGTTGAGATTACATAGGTGGGTGCCACTATGCCCAACTGTCTCTACTCCCTCTATATACTGTCTCTAGATGATGCCATCTATATTTATTGGTTCAGCTACCACTGATACATCAAGTACTTTAATACCATCATCCTCCACCTAGATTTTTCTCTCTTCTGAGTTTCTTACTCATAATAGCCAAACACTATTGGCATTGTAACCTGGATAGCTCTTAAGCACCTTAAACTCAACATGTCTCAAGCCAAATTATATTGTTCATCACACCATTCTCTTTCCCTTTCCAAACCTCCTCCTCCTCCTCATTTCCTTGATTTAGGAGCATCACTGTCTGGCGTCATTTGTTAACATGCTTTTGCATTACTGTTTTCTATTCCCCCACTGGGAATTTAATAGTCTCCGGTTGTAATGTAAGATGTTTAGGATGTGGTTCTTTCTTTTCTTATTCAAGAACAATTAAAGGTTAAGCTGAGATTCAGACTCTAAGTAAAATGGAAGTCGTGGAGAGGAAGCATCTGAGGGCTAGAACCTTGGAAGAAAACTTGAGAGTTGACTAAGGCCACCCTTAGGTGCAGTAGGGGCCAGAAGACCTTTTTAGGAGCATGCAGAATGGAGAAGAGGTGGGGCATATGATCCTCAGTTTGTTTCTTGTGCAAGCAGAGTAATTGGCACCTCCCCTGCTGGCTGTTTGTGTAAATCACTGTGGAACCTCATGTAATCTGGTTTAAACGTCTAAGGATTGAGCATCCTAGTATAACCCATCAGCTAGCTGGAGTCATCCTTCTCCTTAAAGTTTTGGCTGAAAATGTCATTCTTCAACTTACAGCAAGTTGTTCTGATTCCTTCTTCAGATTTCTTCAAATTCCCAGGAGCTCTGATTTTGAGCTCTTGCTTCCATTGAATTTGTTTAGATTATGGATGGTTTACTAGATCAAGTACACTGACCCTGTTTCCATCCACAATGATACAGATGTAGAACTCCCAGCTAAAGCCTTTATATGCGTTGCAGACTTTATCAAAGGTTTGGGATAATGGAGAGAATTCAACATTGCAACAAAGTAAGCAACTTGAATTCTAATACTGGTTATTCCTGTTCCTCAGAGTACTTTTGCCCACCCCTCCACTAGGGATTTGTCATTATTCATATCACCCACATATGTTGGCTTTGTTTTTTTTTTTTTTTTGAGATGGAGTTTTGCTTTCGTTGCCCCGGCTGGAGTGCCATGGCATGATCTCGGCTTACTGCAACCTTTGCCTCCCACGTTCAAGTGATTCTCCTACCTCAGCCTCCCAAGTAGCTGGGATTACAGGCATGTGCCACTATGCCTGGCTAATTTTTGTATTTTTAGTAGAGACAGGGTTTCTCCATGTTGGTCAGGCTGGTCTCGAACTCCCAACCTCAGGTGATCCGCCCACCTCGGCTTCCCAAAGTGCTGGGATTACAGGCGTAAGCCACCCCACCCAGCTGGCCTTGGTCTTTTATAATCTTATCTTTCTCTCCTCTGCAAACTCTCCTTAGCATATTACCACTAGAACTCCAAATACTTCTGTCATTCTATTTTGCAAGCAATTTAACTCTCTCAAACTCTTCCTCCTAAAATCACTTCTGGGTTCACTTCTGTGTGTCCAGAGCCTACCAAGGGGGAATAAAGAGCTTCATACGCTTTTTTTTCCCCCTTGAGACATGGTTTTGTTCTGTTGCCAAGGCTGGAGTGAAGTGCTATGATGTGGTCATAGCTCATTGTAACCTCAAACTCTTGGCCTCAGGCAATCCTCCCACCTTAGCCTCCTGAGTAGCTAGCACTTACAGGTGATCACCACCACACCTGGCTACTATTTTTTTTGTCTTTTAGTGACAGGGTCTTGGTATGTTGCCCAGGCTGGTCTTGAACTTGGTATGTTGCCCAGCCTGGTTGCCCAGGCCACTGGCCTCAAGCAATTCAACTTTCTTGGCCTCCCAAAGTGTTGGGAATACAAGCATGAGCCACTCTGCCCAGCCTTCATGCATTTCTTTAGCTACACAAAGAATAATATGTAGACCCTCTGATGTTTACTTTTCCATTATCTTCCATCTTTTGAAGGTATTTCTTGTTTTGAGTAGCACTTACTGCTTATCTGCATAATGGTTTTACATTGAAGGATCTATGGAGGAAAAATAGGAGGATATTCTAGGTAAAAGCAACAATAAAAGCAGCAACCTTCACAAAACCTGTTGTGGACAAATGAAAAACTAGTCCAACTGGGCAGAAGAATTCTTGTCAAGGAGGAGAGCTCACAATAGATTAGAAAATCCAGAAACAGACCTAGGTTTCAGCAGGAAAGGATAGTGTTAGGACAAATGATACAGGACAGCTGGCTGACAAGAAAAAAAATTTCTGTCACCATATAACAAAATTAATTCTAAATGGATTACAAGTTTTTACATAAAAACTAAAGTAATAAATGTACTAGAAGATAATTTTTTTTTTGAAGTATGGCACTAAAGGCAGAAACTATAAAGGAAAATGTGTGATGAATTAGCTAAAAAAAAGTAACAGCATAAGCAAAAGTACATGACAAACTGGTTAAAAACAGTTTTCAACATATCTCTAATGTACACAGAGCTTTTACACGTTAATAGGAAAAAAAATACCACAAAAAAATGGGCCAAAGTCATAGAAGAATAAATTCAAATGTGACTAACAAAGCATATAGAAAAAGGCTATTTCAGCCAGGCGCAGTGCCTCATGCCTGTAATCCCAACACTTTGGGAGGTTTTTACAAAAATGAATTAGCCAGGAGTGGTGGTGCACACCTGTAGTCCCAGCAGTAGCTCAGGAGGCTGAGGCACGAGAACGGCCTGAATGCAGGAGGCGGAGGTTGCAGTCAGCTGAGATCACGCCACTGTGCCCCAGCCTGAGTGACAGAGCAAGACTCATGCCTGTAATCCCAGCACTTTAGGAAGTTGAGGCAGGCAGATTGCTTGAGCTCAGGAGTTTGAGAACAGACTAACAAGTCACTGATTATGCCAAGGTGTTTATCTACACCAAAATTGGAAGGTTACCTATCATGATGGAAATGGGGCTAACTGGAAAGGGGAGCCACTCCTCTAGAAGGGGAAGATGGATTTGTTTCCTGGAGTTGAATTTGAAGAGCTAGAGGTACATCCAAGAGGAAATGTTCCATAGGCTGGAGATTTCCATTTAGAGAAAAAAATTACTTCTAAAGTAGAAGCAATAGGTGGGAGTGGAGACTCCCTAGATTTGGCACCTTTGACAGGCTTGGAGGGGAGGTGGTATTTTGGTTCTTCCCTTCCTGCCAGAAGTCTCCTTGAGAGAGACTGGAGAGGAGTGTGTGGTCTCAATTAGAACCTGAAGAGTAGAGACTGGGGAGAGGTAGGAGTGGGCAGTAATCATAAACAACAGCCACAACAGCATTTAAAAATTACTTTAGGCCAGGCGCAGTGGCTCATACCTGTAATCCCAGCGCTTTGGGAGGCTGAGGTGGGAGGATCCCTTGAGCCTAGGAGTTCGAGGCTGCAGTGAGCCATGATCGTGCCACTGCACTCCAGCCTGGGTGACAGAGTGAGTCCCTGTCTTGGAAAAAAATAAAAATTACTTTAGAAAGTGACACTATAGTGACTTAAGTAACAGAATCCTGTGTGTTTTAGATTATTACTTTTTTTTGTTTTTTGTTTATGTGTACACTTCCAATTTTGGTGTAGACAAACACCTTGGCATTATCAGTGACTTGTTACTCTGTTCTCCTCTTCCTGCCTGAGAGACTGTCAAATCAGCACTTATTCTATAAAGTGTCTTTAGATTGATCCATTTCTTTATAATCCCACCCGCCCACGCTAGTTGCTACCTTATTATTTCATACTTGTATTGCCATTACAGCTTACTAACTGGTTTCTCTAATTTCATTTTCTGCTTCATTCATTTTGCATGCTACAACATAAAACCTGCCCTGATCACTGCTTTTATCACCACTATCTGCTCAAGAGCCTACAATGGCTCTTCATTACCAAGCCCACCAAGGTAAAATAATTTTGTCCGGTTTCAGCCCACCCACCATATTCAAGTAACAGGGTGTCTCTTTTTCTGCCCACCTCTTCACTGCTCCTAGCTCCAGGCTGCAGCTTTTGCTCTGTCTGCCCCTCTTTGGAAAATTCATCTCTAAGAGACAGGGAGTGGAGAAATGAGAAATGAACTTTGAGGCTGAATATCTGAAAATGCAGAATTAGGATTCAAACTCAGATATTCAGCCTCAAAGTTCATTTCTCATTTCTTTATTGAATTCTGGCTTCATTTCTTTGAAAGTAATACAGTAAAAGCATGAAAGTAATACAGTAAAAGCATATTGACTTAGACCAGTGATAGAAGGGCTTGAGTTAGTTAAATAAAAAAAAAAATTTTGTGAAGTCATTAGGTTTGTTTATTTTTGGAATTCCATGGTACCTCCACTTGTGTATTTGCTAGCTGATAGAGATCCTGAGAGGAGCTACTTTAATGAGTAGAAAATCAAGAGTCCCTTAAGTCACTTCAGTTTTCCAACTGGCAGTCATACTTATGGGATTAAATTATTTAACTGACTCATTCAGATAGCATAAACACAAAATGTAATTATCTCGTATGAGGAGTCCAGAATCAACAGGGTCAGTGTTAACAGAAATTTTCTTGCAATTGCTAGACTGGTGTCTGCTAAGAATCCTGCAAGGCATCTTGCACCTCAGTGCTTGGTGGGCAGTCAGAAAATGATGGTCAAGTAAATGAGTGAGTGAGTGAAGAACTAGTGGAATCTTTTTCCTTGAGGCATGTTGAGCTGTGTGAAACAGTCTTCCCACAGCCTCACACTGTAGTTTTGCTGGGTTGTTTAGGGACAAGTCATATTGCTCAGATTTTATAGTGAGGGAGGAAATGGAGGCACCATAGGACTTTTCTGCTCTGTGAGCTGGTAATTCCACAGAGGAGTGTTTTCAGAACTGGTAAGCTGGTATCACTTGAGTCCCAGTCACTGGATCTCTCCTCCTAAAAGATCAGGCTGCTGAGAGTCCCTGGAACAATTGAGGAGGCTCATGGAGGTGGGAGATTTCCTACTGGCAACCTGGATCTCGCCCAGAGAGGGCCCCTACTTTATAGGTCCGCTGTAGGAGGCTCTTCACCTCCCTTCCTTCTCATTGCTTGGATTCTAAATCCGGAACTTCTCTGGCACATCTCTGGTTTTTGCTTACACAGCCTGGCCCTGCCCTCTGGCTGTATGCCATTTGTGATTTTTAGCCCTGCTGGAAGTTACACTCTCTACAAGGGTAAAGCAAACTGGGAGGTGCTGGTTCTGGCTCCAGAGGGACTGGGGTCTGGGGCCTGTCACCTGGTCCTGCCTGTGTTTCCTGGTGAGTATTCTTGGCCGCCTTTTTACCCTTAGCACACCAACTCAAAGCCCATAATTCTGACTGGGTAAGGATTAGAAGAGACTACCTTCTTCAGAGGGTCTGTGGGGGCAGGAATGTTAGTGCTTTGGAAGAAGCTCCTGACAGCAACCGCCACATCCTGCCTTGGGAGAATTGTTGGTCTCATACAGATGATCTAACAGTTATATTGGAGGTGTCTGTGGGCAGTGGTATCATACCACAGAAGGATTTCCCACCAGGTTCTTTAAGTATTGGACCTGCTTTTCAAAATAAAATCTGATTTTCTTTCTTTTTTTTTTTTTTTGAGACAAAGTCTCGCTCTGTCGCCCAGGCTCAAGTGCAGTGGCGCAATCCCTGCTTAGTGCAACGTCCACCTCCCGGGTTCAAGTGATTCTCCTGCCTCAGCCTCCTGAGTAGCTGGGACTACAGGCATGCGCCACCACGCCTGGCTAATTTTTTGTATTTTTAGTAGAGACGGGGGTTTCACCATGTTGGCCAGGCTAGTCTTGAACTCCTGACCTCAGGTGTTCTGCCCGCCTCGGCCTCCCAAAGTGCTGGGATTATAGGCAGGGTTTGCAGTGAGCTGAGATCATGCCATTGCACTCCAGCCTGGGCAACAAGAGCGAAACTCCGTCTCAAAAAACATATAAATAAATAAAAGATAGCCAGTGTCTTAGGGACAGAAGCATTGCTTTCCTTTTTTTTTTTTTTTTTTTTTTTATGAGATGGAGTCTCGCTGTCGCTCAGGCTGGAGTGCAGTGGCACGATCTCGGCTCACTGCAGGCTCCACCCCCCGGGGTTCACGCCATTCTCCTGCCTCAGCCTCCCGTGTAGCTGGGACTACAGGCGCCCACCACCTCGCCCGGCTAATTTTTTGTATTTTTAGTAGAGACGGGGTTTCACCGTGTTAGCCAGGATGGTCTTGATCTCCTGACCTCGTGATCTGCCCGCCTCGGCCTCCCAAAGTGCTGGGATTACAGGCGTGAGCCACCGCGCCCGGCCAGCATTGCTTTCCTTAATCACATTCTCAGTGTCAGAAGACTGCCAGTGAGTGTATGGGAATTGTTTCAGGCTTGTTACATAGGCTTTACTTAGAGCTGGAGAGTTGATATAGAGAGATATAATAGAAATTTATTTAAAACAAAAAATGGCTGTGGCCAGTTCTTCTTCTAAAGAGGGGTGGCTTAATTCATATTCATAGGGGAAAAAATTATTCCATTCCCTTTACCACTACAGAATGGTGGTAGTGAGTGAAAGTTCAAAACTTCTTTTTGTTCCTCGGTGCTGATCAAGGGTAGAAAGGGTAGAACCTGGAGTGGATGGTTCATACTATGGGTGACTCCAGCTATGGGTCATTGGAAGTCAGAGAAAAGGGAGTGGAGAGCTAAGTTGTTTTGAATAATGTAAGGGGGATTTCTCTCCCGCCCTAATACACAAACACAATGTGAGAAGCATTTGAAGAGGATAAAGGGGCCAAGCAGTGTGGTAATAACCCCTCAGTCTTTTCATACCTTCAGGAAAGTCTGATGGGCACACAGTGTTTTGAGTGAGTGCATATATGTGTGTGTGTGTGTGTGTGTGTGTGTGTGTGTGTGTGTTTTCTGTTTGATAAAGCATGGAAAAGGGGGACTGAGTCCTGTATCTGGGACAGCTTAGAGCAGAGGAAGAGATCCGCCTCAGGAGGTGAGAAGTGAGTGAGATAAGAAGTCCAGCAAGAAATGGAGTCAGAGCCAAAGGGACTATGAAGAGCATTAGCTCCTGGGATTTGCAGAAATTCTGGGAAGGCCTTTGGACTTCTCATAGAACTTGGGATAGGGAGGTTCAGGGAGTTTTTAAAACATGCCCAAGGACAGGGTGGTTGTAGCTGATATCTGATTGCTGTAGTGCTGTGTAACTCATACAGTGTTTAACAGTGGTCCCCAAGATCCTGCTCTGTGTATGCTTCAGGAACCATCATGTTATTCCTCTCTCTATTCAGACTCCAAAGGGGGACAGCAAACTTCCCAACAAAGGACTTTGTTATACTCTTCCTGCCTTATGAGTTACACAGAACCTGAGGATGCTAGTTAAAAAAGTCGGAGAGCTGCAGCCTCCTCAGCCACACCATTGCTGAGTAGGATATATCATTAGGGGTAAAGAGGTTGGGCAAAGTCTTACACAAAGTCTTGGGACTTGAAGACTGCTCTCAGCAAGGACCTAAGCAAAATAAATTTTTTTGAGATAGGATCTCACTCTGTCACCCAGGCTGAAGTGCAGTAGTGCAATCATGGCTTACTGTAGCCTTAACCTCCTGGGCTCAAGCAATCCTCCTGCCTCAGCCTCTTGAGTAGCTGAGACTACAGGTGCATACCACCATGGCCAGATCATTTTTTTTTTTTTTTGTAGAGACCAAGTCTCGCCAGGTTGCTTAGGCTGATCTCGAACTTCTGGTGCTCAAGCAGCCCTCCCGTGTTAGCCTCCCAAAATGCTGAGATTATAATTGTGAGCCACCACACTTGGTCTTAAGCAAATATTAACTCCAATCACTATCCTAAGCCAAGGTGTCTGAGCAGCTGAGGGAGGACCAGAGTGAATGCAGCTAGTGCCACACTGAACAAACCACTCTTGCTCATTCCTTAGGGAGGAGGACCTGGTTGATAGAAGAATTTATCTCGTAGTCTTAACATCCACTGTAATTCCAAACTTTGAGGACGATAGAGATCAGTGGGCTTTGACTGCCCAGCATGCAGTCTCCATTCTTAGGTAAGAACACTTTGATTTTCCTTTTGGGTACCACATCCTTCCCCACTCTCAGACCAGATTCTGGTGGGATAAGTCCCTTGGAGGACACATGACTGTGGTCAGAGAATAGCAATTGACGTGGGCATGGTTCCAAATCCAGGCCAATCACGACTCTGGATTTCTGTTGGAACTGTTAAGAAAGTGACCTCATTTCTTTTCCAGGTGGGTTCCCAAGCCTGTAAAATGTAAGCCTTATGCTGCTGAGGGCCATCTTGCCACCCTGAGGGAAACGCTGCCTGAGAATGAAACAAGCATAAGTAAAAGCTGAGCTGTGAGATGGAGCAAGATGAAGGCCACATGACATCTTTGGAGCACCTGGATCTAACTGTGCCTTAAGCTAGTCTAACCCTGAACATTTCATCATTTCATTGACATGAGCCCAGGTTTTCTTTTTTTTTGGATGGAGTCTTGCTCTGTCGCCCAGGCTGGAGTGCAGTAGCTCAATCTCGGCTCACTGCAAGCTCCACCTCCCGGGTTCACGCCATTCTCCTGCCTTAGCCTCCCAAGTAGCTGGGACAACAGGCGCCCACCACCACTCCCAGCTAATTTTTTGTATTTTTAGTAGAGACGGGGTTTTACCATGTTAGCCGGGATGGTCTTGATCTCCTGACCTCATGATCCGCCCGCCTCGGCCTCCCAAAGTGCTGGGATTACAGGTGTGAGCCACTGCACCCAGCCCTCAGGTTTTCCCTTTTTTTACCCCTCCTTTTGAAAATTTGATGTGGAATTTTGCCACCTGCAGCCAGAAGAGTTTTAACTAATCAGTGCCATAAATTTTATATAGTTCTCCTTGCAAAATGTGGATCAGCCTTTCTCAGCAAATCCTTTGTCATAAAGTGCTGAATTGTAAGTTTGTCATGAGAATCACATGAGATCATGCATGTGAAGAACCTGGCATTATCCTCCTCATAGAAAAAAACCAGTAAATATTAACTACAGGAAGCAAGGAAGGAGTGGGGTGAGGGGAAGAAGAAGGGGTACTGATTTAAAAGAACCCTGGAGTCCTAAGGATAATCTAGGAACCCTCAGACCCAATCCGATACCCCTATTCTAAATGCTCCTAGTGCCCTGTACCTTCCCCTCATAAGCCTTCATTATCATTGTAATGATATGTTTATGTAATATTTTGATTAATGTCTCTCCTTCACTGACCTAGCAGTTCTAGCAGGGCAGTGATTTTGCTGTGTTGCATCCCCAGCACCTAGTCTGGTATGTGGCATTCAGCATATGTTTATTGAATGAATGGCCATGTGGTTATTCAGATCCTCCTTGATTATTGGGGTTAGGATTGTGGCAGAAGTGGCAAAATCAGGGAGAGTAGTCCCTGTCCCCTCTGTATCTTATACACTGCCCACACTCCCAACACACATACACATACAGAGAATTTTGTCTCAATTAGATAATTAACTTCTGCTTGGTTGTAAACCAAACCACTGGTTCTTAAACTTTCATTGGATCATTTTATTGAAGAATTAAATAGTGTGGTTCTGGCCTAATGTCTGGAAAGCCTTGCAGAGGAGTGGATTAGGTCTTTGTGATAAACAGGCAGCCTTCCCTGCTCCTGTGTCTTTATAAAATCTATTTAACTGGAGTAGTCCACCCTCCCTCAGGCTCTTACAGGAATATGTTGGAGGCTGTAGGAAGGTGGGAAACCGAGAGGGAAAGGACTGGGCCGCTGGAGACTTCACTCATTCCCTAGCAAGAAACAAAAGCAGTAAAAGGTGGCCCGAGGACAACCTGAAGCTCACTCCTTCAGCACTTTTGGCTGGAGGTCACTTGTTGGAGCCCCACTCAGAGCTCAGCACACCACCCCACCAGCAGCCTCCTCCTCCCAGCTGAGGCTGCATTTCATCCCTTCCCCCAGCCTGCTTTCCCTGAGATAGGGGAGTGTTTCCCAGGGCCCATGTGACTTCCACTGGCAAGTGACGATTACCAATGGTTTACTAGTCAGTGAAACTACCAAAGGCTTTTGTGCTGTAGTAATCCTTTTCCTGTTTAAAACTCTGGGGATTTTCTAATGTTGCCAATAGTTTTTCAAGTCAGCAATTACTGTGTGGATTATGTAATGGCTCGGTATTAAAAATAGAAAAGACTGGAGTTTGCATCTATTTTAACCAAATCTTGAAAACAGAGCAAAGGGAGGGGAAGGGTGGAGAGGGAGAGACCAGAGGAGGAGGGAGAAAAAGAGATCATGTGACTGGATAAGACAGCTCACAATTCACTGTGCCTTTCTCCCACCATTTGTGGCCCAAGGACCTGTACTCCCTCCTCAGCCTCCTCTAGGGAGGGGTCCTTGATGAGAATTCTGAGGACACAAGACCCCTTGTGGATATTTCTTAGCTCAGCCTTGGTGTGCTTACCTGCTTCTGACAAGCAAAGTGGCCAAGTAGGGGAGGGAGTTGAATCTGATGTCCTCCACTAAGTCCAGGACTCCTATTTTGTTTTGTTTTGTTTTTGAGACGGAGTCTTGCTCTGTCACCAGGGTGGAGTGCAGTGGCACAATCTCGGCTCACTGCAACTTCTGCTGCCTGGGTTCAAGTGATTCCCCTGCCTTAGCCTCCTGAGTAGCTGGGACTGCAGGTGCGCACCACCACGCCTGGCTCATTTTTTGTATTTTAGCAGAGATGGGGTTTCACCATGTTGGCCAGAATGGTCTCAATCTCCTGAGCTTGTGATCCACCCACCTCAGCCTCCCCAAGTGCTAGGATTACAGGTGTGAGCTACCGTGCCTGGCCGAACTCCTGTTTTTGTTTTTGTTTTTATTGCCAATGTCTTTGCACTCAGCTTGTTTCTCTTGCTGGAATGGTAGTCAGGGCGTCACTTATATGTCTTTAGCATCCCAAATTTCTGTCAGTCCCTTGGCCAAAGTTATTCCAAATAAATATTCAATGTAATTACCTGCCACTTCCCTGCCCCAATCCTCTTTCTGCTGGATTGCCACTCCTAAGCCCCAGATACAGAAATTGCAGGCTTACAATGGGTTTGCTCTCGAATGACATCACACCAGTCCCCTACCCCCTACTCTGAGTTGAGGGATATTTGTATTTTAACAGAGAGCCATTGAGTAACTTTAGGGCCTCTCTGGTGGTGGAAGTTTAGGTGCCAGGGTTGATATTTTGGGAAGGAGAATTTATTTTATTTATTTATTTTTTTGGAGACGGAGTCTCTCTGTCGCCCAGGCTGGAGTGCAGTGGCACGGCCTCAGCTCACTGCACCCTCCGCCTCCTGGGTTCAAATGATTCTCCTGCCTCAGCCTCCCGAGTAGCTGGGACTACAGGCTCGTGCCACCACGCCTGGCTATTTTTTGTTGCGTCATCCCATGGTGGAATGTAGAAGGGCAAGAAAGTATACATGCGCAAGGGAGGAGGGGGCCAGACTTATCCTTTTATCAGGAACCCAGTCTTGTGACTATGACATGAATCTATTTGTGAGAGCACAGCCCTCATGACCTAATCACCTCTTAAAGATCCTACCTCTCAACACTGATGCATTGGGGATTAAGTTTCCAACACATGAACTTTGGTGGATGCATTCAAACCACAGCACCAGGGTTCCTACTATGTCACCTCCAGAGGCACCCAGAGAGGAAGGTTTTGAGTTAATCACATCATAATTTATAGCCCTTGAGCCATCAGAGAGCCCATGCAGAGAGCACCCTATTTCCTAGGTCTCAGGTGGCATGGAGGGGTGAGTACGTTGAAGAAGGTGCTTGCTAATTTCCAAAGACTCAGCGCAAATAAGTTCAGTGGGGTTCATGGGAGAGAGACCTGAAATGAATCAATTGTGGGTAATACTAGAAAGTTGTCTTCTCGTCATTACTTCCATCTATTTCCACACCTACCCCATCACACTCCGTTCTCAGTATCTTCATCTGTATTGGGGTGGAAAAGAGTGCCAACAGCTCAGAATAATGCTGGTTCTAGCTGCACCCAGCCTCACCCAATGTGGCCCAACCTAGTGGAACTGCAGTGAAAGGAAGCGAGAGTTCTAATTATGGGTTTTAGGTATCATTTCACTAGATATGTTGGAGGATCTGAGGACCTTTCTTAGGGACCTTTAATTACAGTACCCTGGACTGGGAAGTGCCCATGATGTGGCACCTCTTTCTTACCCTGTAGGGTTTTCTTGACTACATAATTGAACATACTTATGGGGGTACATGTGATATTCTGATACATACAATGTATAATGACCAAATCAGGTTAATTAGCATATCCATCACCTCAAACCCTTGTCATTCCTTTGTGTTGGTAACATTCTAAATCTTCTAGTTATTTTGAAACATGACAGATTATTAACTGTAGTCACCCTTGTGTGCTATTGAATACTAGAACTTATTCCTTTTATCTAACTATATGTTTGTAACCATTAACCAACCTCTCATCAGTCTCTCTCCTACCCTTCCTGGCCTGTAGTAACCACCATTTTACTCTCTACTTCCATGAGATCACCTTTTTTGTGCTTGATTTATTTCAGTTAACATAATGGCCTTGGTTTTATCCATGTTACTGCAAATGACAGAATTTCATTCTTTTTTAGGCTGTATTTGTATATATACCACATTTTAATCCATTCTTCTGTTGATAGACTCTTAGGTTGATTCCACATCTTGGCTATTGTGACTGCTGCTGCAGTAAACATGGGAGTGCAGATATCTCTTTAATATACTGATTTCCTTTCTTTTGTATGTATTATGCCTAGCAGTAGGATTGCTGGATCATATGGTAGATATATTTTTAGTTTCTTGAGGAACTTTCATACTACTTTCCACAGTGGCTATACTAACTTACATCCTGCTCCACCCCCCGCTTTTTTTTTTTTTTTTTTTTTTTTTGAGAGACAGGGTCTTGCTCTGTCGCCCAGGCTGAGTGCAGTGGCCAGGATCTTGGCTTACTGCAGCCTGGACCTCCCAGGCTCAAGTGGTCCTCCCACATCAGCCTCCTGCGTAGCTGGGACTACAGGTGCACATCATCACGCCCAGCTAATTTTTTAATGTTTAAATTTTTTGTAGAGGCGGGATCTCACTATGTTGCCCAGCTGTTGTGAAAATCCTGGATGCAAGTAGTCCTCCTGCCTCAGCCTCCCAAAGTGCTGGGATTACAGGCGTGAGTGTCCACACCCAGCCTGCTATAGCTTTGTAGTATGTTTTGAAGTCAGGTAGTGCGATGCCTCTAGTTTTGTTCTTTCTGCTCAGGATTGCTTTGGCTATTTGGGGTCTTTTGTGGTTCCCTAGGAATGTTAGGGTTGTTTTTTCTATTTCTGTGAAGAATGTCGTTGGTATTTTGGTAGAGATTGCATTGAATCTGTAGATTGCTTTGGGTAATATGGGTATTTTAACAGTATAAATTTTTCCAATCTATGAGCATGAGATATCTTTTCATTTTTTGTATCCTCTTAAATTTCTTTCATCATTGTTTTATAGTTTTTATTGTAGAGATCTTTTACTTTGGTTAAATTTGTACCTAAGTATTTTATTTTATTTTTTTTTGCTATTGTTAGTGGAATTCCTTTCTTGATTTTGTTTTGTGATTCTTTGCTGTTGTATAGAAATGCTACTGATTTTCGTATGTTGGTTTTGTATCCTGCAACTTTACTGAATTTCTTTGTTGACTTCTAACAGTTTTTTGGTGGAGTCTTTAGGTTTTTAGGTTGTTGTAAACAAGAATAATTTGACTTCTTCCTTTCCAATCTGGATGCCCTTTATTTCTTTTTTTTTTTTCTGATTGCTCTGGCTAGGACTTCCAGGTCTATGTTAAATAAAGGTAGTGAAAGTGAGCATCCTTTTCTCATTCCATATGTATATATATTATTATTTTGAGATGGAGTTTCACTCTTGTTTTCCAGGCTGGAGTGCCCAAGTGATTCTCCTGCCTCAGCCTCCCAAGTAGCTGGGATTACAGGCGTGCGCCATCATGACTGACTAATTTTTGTATTTTTAGTAGAGACAAGGTTTCACCATGTTAGGCTGGTCTTGAACTCCTGACCTCACGTAATCCACCCACCTTGGCCTCCCAAAGTGCTGGGATTATAGGCATGAGCCACCGTGCCTGGCTGTTGTTCCATATCTTAGAGGATGACTGGGAAGTGCCCATGATGTGGCATCTCTTTCTCATCCTTACAGGTTTTTAGTTCTCTGATGCTAGATTCCAATCCATATTCTTACCAGAGGCTGACTTTGGTAAGGAGCACAAACTTCTGGTATGGTCCATATTTTAATTCTTTCAACCCATTGTGTCCATTAATGCATTTGGACATGCCTGGTCAAGTGTCCTGGCCTTTGGTATGGTCACAGCCATTGCAGCATCAGTATCTGTGTATCTGGATAGTCAGGCTACTCCAGACCATTTGTGTCAGCAGAAGCTGGAGTTCACAGAGAGTATCTGCTCTCCAAATCTCACCCCACCTTCCAGGCTTTGAGCAAGGTAGATGGTTTACCAAAGCACCTGCCTGAGGGGCTGCTAAGGGCTAGCATCAGTCCAGGAGTAAATCATTGGCACGATCCACAAAAGAATCCTTTCTACATAAACCCAACTCTCTGTTGTGGCCTCCTTTCCTCCCACCCCATGGATAGAACCATAAGGAGACATCAGAACTTGACCACAGCAATGTTGGGTACACTGGTCATCTCCATCCTTTTCTTTCCCTTCTCTTCCTCCTCCTCCTCCTCCTCTTTTCTCTTTTTCTCTCTCTTTTTTTCCTTTGGAGATGGAGTCTTGCTGTGTTGCCCAGGCTGGCCTTGAGCTCCTGAGATCAAGTGGTTCTCCTGCCTCAGCCTCCTGAGTAGCTGGAACTACAAGCATGAGCCTCCATCTCCTGCTCCATACTTTTCCTGAAGGAGATCACTCTTTCTATCATTAAAATATTTAATGCATTTCTAATCCCCAACACACACACATTCACATGCATGCGTGTATGCGTGTCATAATGATGGTGCTTCTAGTGTCTGTCTAGTGTCTGTTGAGATAATACAAGTGGTTATAAGCTGGTATGAAAATAATAACAAATTTAAATATATTTAATTTTTATACATCCAATCACATTGACAAATTTGAGACACAATAGTGTTTATATATGTGGAACATTTATTTGAGCTACAGACAGTGCAAGGTTCAAAAGGTGGATCTTTTGCATTAACTCTAGTACCAGGGCTCAGAGCTATGACATCTGTCACCCTTTACTGCATACCCTTCCCTTCCTAGACCTCTTCTGTGTCCATGAGATCAGACTTAGGAATGAGTTTGGGGAATGGGGCAAGACAGGCTGAGGGTTAGGCCTTAGAACTCCACCTATTTGCTGCAACTCCTCTGTCTGGAAGTTTCAGGAGGTTGGGGTAGGGAGGGGGCGAAATGTGGGGAGAAGTGGTGTGGCACCCAATGACACCAGTCACACCTGGAGCTACAACTGTCTTCCAACAGAAAATAGGGGAGGCAGGGAAAGGAAAGAGGATTGAGAAAGAGGGAGAAGAAGTGAGGAGAGGAGGGAAGGAGGAAGAGGGTTAGTGAGAAGGGGATTGTGGTCAGGGCAACCTTGGGGCTGAGCCAGATTGACAGGGGTGCTGCCCCTTGGGGAGGCAAGTAGGAGATTTCTTGGCATCCTGGCTCAGCCCTGGAGTAATCTGACTCCACAAGGCAGTACCGGCCCCTCTCTGTTCTCTCAGCATCTCCTTTCCTTCCAAACCAGAGTGACAGGCCCAGGCTGGCAAGAGCCATCTCTTTTGTCACAGAAGACTGCAACTAATGAACGACTTACTAGTTCTGACTGCCTTGACGGGTTTGCACTTTATGAGGAGATCCTAGTATATCACTTCTGCTGCCACTATTAAGTATTACCCAAACTATTCTCCTTCTCATCCAGTCAATTTTGGTAATTTTTATTTTTTTCTCAAAAAAAGTTTTTAAATTATTGGAATAAATTTTTCATAGTCTTACTATATTTTAAAGCTTGAGTTTATCTTCCATTTTTCATGCTAATATTATTTAATACTTTAGCCTTTTTTTTTTTTTTTAATAGTGACGGGATTTTGCTTTGTTGGCCAGGTTGGTCTTGAACTCTTAGCCTCAAGCAGTCCTCCTGTCCTCGCCTCCTAAAGTGCTAGGATTACAGGTGTGAGCTACTGTGCCTGGCCTCAGCCTTTTTTTATGATCTGTTTTACTAGTGGTCTGTCTTTTCTTTGAGGACCTTTTTTGTCATCTCTATTGTTTGTCTTCTATTTCATTAACTTTTTCTTTCTAATATTTAAAAACTAATTTTGCAATTGAAAAGTAATACAGTGGGTCACTTTCACTTACAAACAATTATAAAAAGACCAACAATCCAAAATAATAGAAAAAAGGACTTTTAAAAAAGAAATCTACATGGTTTATAAATGCAAGAAAATACTTTATTAGCAAGTACAACCATGCATCTTTTTTTTTTTTTTTGAGACAGAGTCTTGCTCCGTTGCCCAGGCTGGAGTACAGTGCTGCATTCTTGGCTCACTGCAACCTCTGCCTCCCGGGGTTCAAGTGATTCTTGTGCCTCAGCCTCCCAAGTAGCTGGGATTACAGGTGTGTGCCACCATGCCTGGCCAACAATGCATCTTTTAATGGTGGACCTCTAGGCCTGAGTGGAGAAGAGAGGCAGCTTCAGAGAGGCATCTACTGCAGAGAGAGAGTGCCCAATGGAGGGAACCCTGGGCTACAGCCGGGAGGTCACCCTGCTCTCAGCCCTGTCTTTTATTTACTAGTAATCAGCAAGGCATAGACCTCTCTTCCCTCCCCTGCAAATCATGACTAATAAAAAATGTCCCCACCTGCTTTGCCTGATTGGCTGTTGTATCACATCAGATTCAGAAGGTGAAGAAGACAAGACACCTGAACTCCTGCTCAGGCCCTCGCCCCCATCTTTCTTCTCCCACATGTGGCAGTGGGGAGGGGTTGTCGGTGAAACCAGCCTGTTCTGGCGGGACTACTTATCAGGCCCTGCCCTTAAAGGAAAATTATTTTGAAAAGAAAGAGTGGATCTTATTCTCTTTCTAGCTCATTGTGCTTTCTGGCTTATCTCTTCTTTAGTTTTGATTTTGATTTTGTTTTTAGGATTTTATGATTCTGTATTCTGTGGAGAAGCATGGGAGGGGAAGGTGTGTTGGAAACTGGGCCTAAAAACCAGGAGGCAGAAATGGATGTCCTGTATCAGCAGTTTTGGTCTCAGGACCCTTTTATACCCTTTTTCCTTCTTCATTTTTTTTTTAGCTTTATTGAGTTATAATTTATACACAAAAAATAGTATGCATTTAGTTTATGTGTCTTGATGAGTATACATCTTGGCAAGTTTGAACATGTGCATACACCCATGAGACCATCTCCACAACCAAAATGCTAAACTTATCCATTACCTCCAAAAATTTGCTTGTGTTATTTTTTTTTTAAACAGGGTCTCACTCTGTCATCCAGGCTGGAGTGCAGTGGTGCGATCTCAGCTCACTGCAGCCTTGACCTCCTAGGCTCAAATGATGCTCCCACTTCAGCTTCCTAAGTAGCTGGGACTACAGGCATGTGCCACCATGCCCCCACTAACTTTTTTTTTGTTTTTTGTAGAGTTGAGGTCTCACTATGTTGCCCAGGCTGGTCTCAATATCCCAGACTCAAGTGATCCTCCTGCCTTGGCCTCCCAAAGTGCTGGGATTACAGGCATGAGCCACTGTGCCTGGCCTGCTTGTGTTTGTGTGTGTGTGTGTGTGTGTGTGTGTGTGTAAGTGTGTGTGTGTGTTTTGGTAAGAACACTTAAGACAACATGTATTAGGCCTGGCATGGTGGCTCATGCCTGTAATCCCAGCACTTTGGGAGGCCAAGGCAGGCAGATCATGAGGTCAGGAGATTGAGACCACCCTGGCTAACACGGTGAAACCCCGTCTCTACTAAAAATACAAAAAAATTAGCCGGGCATGGTGGTGGGCACCTGTAGTCCCAGCTACTCAGGAGGCTGAGGCGGGAGAACGGCATGAACCTGGGAGGTGGAGCTTGCAGTGAGCCGAGATCGCACCACTGCACTCCAGCTTGGGTGACAGAGCCAGACTCCATCTCAAACAAAACAAAACAAAACAAAATGTATTGGCTGGGTGCGGTGGCTCACACCTGTAATCCCAGCACTTTGAGAGGCTGAGGTGGGCGGATCACGAGGTCAAGAGATCGAGACCATCTTGGCTAACATGGTGAAACCCCATCTCTACTAAAAATACAAAAAAAATTAGCTGGGTATGGTGGCACACTCCTGTAGTCCCAGCTACTCAGGAGGCTGAGGCAGGAGAATCGCATGAACCCGGGAGGCGGAGGTTGCAGTGAGCCGAGATCGTGCCACCTCACTCCAGCCTGGTGACAGAGAGAGACTCTGTCTCAAAAAAAAAAAAGTATTCTCTTAACGTATTTTAAAGTGCACAATACCGTATTGTTAACTATAGGTACTATATTGGACAGCAGATATCTAGAATTTATTCATCTTGGCCGGGCGTGGTGGCTCACACCTGTAATCCCAGCACTCTGGGAGGCCGAGGTGGGCAGATCATGAGGTCAGGAGATGGAGACCATCCTGGCTAACACAGTGAAGCCCCGTCTCTACCAAAAATACAAAAAATTAGCCGGGCGTGGCAGTGTGCACCTGTAGTCCTAGCTGCTGGGAAGGCTGAGGCAGGAGAATGTCGTGAACCCGGAAGGTGGAGCTTGCAGTGAGCTGAGATCACGCCACTGCACTCCAGCCTGGGTGACAGAGCGAGACTCTGTCTCAAAAAAAAAAAAAAAAGAATTTATTCATCTTGCGTACAGAACAATGGATGAGGAAAATGGTATGTACACACCATGGAATACTATACAACTTTAAAAAAGAAGGAAATCCTGCTATCTGTGACAACATGGATAAACCTAAAGAATACTGTGCCAAGTGAAACAAGCCAGTTACAGAAGGAAAAACACCATGTGATTCTACCTATGTGATGCATATTCCACATACATAAGAATGGAATGGTGGCCACCAGGGACTGGGGGAGGGAGCAATGGTGAGCATTCTTCAGTGGACATACAGCTTCCATTATATAATTTAAAAATTTAAAAAGCTGTGGTAAAATACACATAAAATTTTTAAGTATACTGTTCAGTAGTATTGAGTACATTTATATTGTGCAACCATCACCGCTCTTTATCTCTAGAATTCTTTTCATCTTGAAAATTGAAACTACCCATATGAAATGAAAACTCCCTATTCTCCCCTCCCTCAGCCCCTGATCACCACTAGTACCCTCTGTTCTCCATGCATCTGATTAGGCACCCCAAGTAAGTGGAATCATATAGCACATCTCCCTGTGTGGCTTACATCACTCTGCACAATGTCTTTTTTGTTTTTTTTGCCCAGGCTGGAGTGCAATGGCATGATCTCAGCTCACTGCAACCTCCATCTCCCAGGTTCAAATGATTCTCCTGCCTCAGCCTCCCAAGTAGCTGGGATTACAGATGCGTGCCACCACACCGGCTAATTTTTTGTATTTTTGTAGAAACGGGATTTCACCATGTTAGCCAGGCTAGTCTCAAACTCCTGACCTCGGATGATCTGCCCACCTCTGCCTCTCGAAGTGGTGGGATCACAGGCATGAGCCACCGTGCCCGGCCCACAACATCTTAAATGTTTATATTGTAGCATGTTTCAGAACTTCCTCTTCATGGCTGAACAACATTTCATTGTATGTATACACCACATTTTGTCCATCCATTCATCACTGATAGACATTTGGGTTGCTTGTACCTTGCTTGCTATTGTGATAATACCGCAACAAACATGAGTGAATAAATAACCTCTTCAGGACTCTACTTTCAATTCAATTGTATATATAACCAGAGTGGAATTGCTAGATCATATGGTAATTATATTTTTAATTATTTGAGGAACTGCCATGTTGTTTTCTCCAGCAGCTACACCATTTTGCATTCCCAGTAACTCTACATGAGGGGTTCAATTTCCCCATATCGTTGCGACACTTGTTATTTTTGATTTTTAAAAAATGTGTGTTTTGACAAGTAAAAATTGTATGGATTTATGGTATACAACATGATGTTTTGATATATATTGATATATATATATATACACACACATTGTGGAATGGCTAAATTAACCTATTGAACATATGCATTGCCTCATATACTTCCCATTTTTTTGTGATAAGACCACTTAATTTATTCTCAGCAATTTTCAAATATACAATATATTGTTACTAACTGTAGTCAGCATGATGTACAGTGGATCTCTTGAACTTGTTCCTCCTGTCTAACAAATTTTGTGTCCTTTGACCAACATCCTTCCAATCTCCCCACCCGCCACCCTCTGGTAACCACCATTTTACTCTCTATTTCTATGAGTTCAACTATTTTATACTCCATATATAAGTGAGGTCATGTGGTACTTGTCTTTCTGTACCTGGCTTATTTCACTTGACATAGTATCCTCCAGGTTCACTCATGTTGTCACAAACGACAGGATTTCCTTCCTTTTAAAGGATGAATGGTACTCCATTGTGTATATGTACCACATTTTCTTTATCCATTCATCTGCTGATGGACACTTACATTGATTTTATATCTTGGCTATTGTGAATAATGCTGTAATGAATATGGGAGTGTGAATATCTCTTCAACATACTGATTTCATTTCCCTTAGATATATGCCCAGTAGTGGTATTGCTGGATCATATGGTAGTTCTACTTTTAAATTTTTGAGGAACCACCATAGTGTTTTCCTTAATGGCTGTACTAATTCACATTTGCGTCAGTAATGTGCAAAGGTTTCCTTTTCTCAACATCCTTGCCAATGCTTGTCATCTTTCCTCTTTTTTGCAATAGCCATTCTAACAAGAGTGAGGTGATATGTCATTGTTTTGAATTGCATTTCTCTGGTGATTAGTGCAGTTCAGCACCTTTTCAGATTCCTGTTGGCCATTTGTATGTCGTATTTTGGGAAATGTCTGTTCAAGTCCTTTGATCATTTTAAAACTCTGGTTATTTGTTTTCTTCCTACTGAGTTGTTTGAGTTTCTTATCTACACTTTAGATCATAACAACCCCTTCTCAGATACATGGTTTGCAAATGTATTCTCTCACTCTGTAAGTTCTCTCTTCACTGTATTGTTTCCTTTACTGTGTGGAAGGGTTTCAGTTTGATGTAATCCTATTTTGCTTTTGTTGCCTGAGCTTTTGGAGTCATATCCAAAATTTTTGCCCAGACCAATGTCATGAAGCTTTTTCCCTATGCTTTCTTCTAGTAGTGTTACAGTTTCAGGTCTTATGTTTGTCTTTAATCCACTTTTATTTGATTTTTGTATATGGTGTGAAATGAACATCTAATTTCATTCTTCTGTATTTGAATATCCAGTTTTTCCAGCACCATTTATTGAGTAGGCTGTCCTTTCCCCAGTGTGTGTTCTTGGGACCTTTGTTGAAAATCAGTTGACTGTAAATACATAGATTTATTTCTGGGTTCTTTATTTTGTTCCTTTAGTCTATGTGTCTGTTTTTTGGTGGTACCATGCTGTTTTGGTTACTACAGCTTTGTAGTATATTTTGGAGACAGACAGTATGATACCTCTAGCCTTGTTCTTTTTGCTGCAGATTGCTTTGGCTATTTGGGGTCTTTTGTGGTTCCATAGGAATTTCAGAGTTGTTTTTTCAATTTTTGTGAAGAATTTTATTAGTATTTTGATAGAGATTGCTTTGAATCTGTAGGTCATTTTGGGTAGTATGAGCATTTTAATATTAATTCTTCCAAACCGTGGACACAGCATATCTTTCCATGTTTTGTGTGTGTCCTCTTCAGTTTCTTTCGTCAGTGTTTCAACAGTGTTTTCCATGTACAGATCTTTCATTTCCTTGATTAAATTTATTCCTAAGTATTTTTTATTCATTTATTTTATTTTATTTTATTTTATTTTATTTATTTATTTATTTTTGAGGTGGAGTCTCACTCTGTAGCCCAAGCTGGAGTGGCGTGATCTCGACTCACTGCAACCTCCGCCTCCTGGGATCAAGTGATTCTCGTGCCTCAGCCTCCTGAGTAGCCGGGACTACAGGTACGCACTATGACACCTGGCTAATTTTTTGTATTTTAGTAGAGATGGGGTTTCACCATGTTGCCCAGTGTGGTCTCAAATTCCTGAGCTCAGGCGATCCTCCCACCTTGGCCTCCCAAAGTGCTGGGATTGCAGGTGCGAGCCACTGCGCCCAGCCTATTCCGAAGTATTTTTAAATAGCTATTGTAAATGAGATTGTTTTCTTCATTTTTTTGATAGTTCGTTGTTATTGTATATAAACACTACTGAATTTTGCATGTTGATTTTGTTTCTTTTTTTTAAAAAAATACTAACAGACAAGCAAATGCATGTTGATTTTGTATCCTGCAACTTTACTGAATATGTTTATCAGTTCTAACAGTTTTTTGGTGAGTCTTTACTATTGTCTATCTAAAGATCATGTCATCAACAGACAGACAATTTAACTTTTTCCTTTGCGATTTGGACAAATTTTATTTCTTTCTCTTGACTAATTGTTCTGGCTAGGATTTCCAATACTGTTTTCAATAGAAGTGTCTGAAATAAGCATTCTTGTCTTATTACTAATCTTACGAAAAAAACTTTCAATTTTCACTATTCAATATGATGTTAGCTGTGGGCTTATCGTACATGACCCTTACTGTGTTGAGGTCCATTCCTTCTGTGCCTAATTTATTGAGAGTTTTTAATCATGAAAGGATGTTTAATTTTGTTGAATACCTTTCTCCATCAATTGAGATGATCAGGTTGGGCGTGGTGGCTCACGCCTGTAATCCCAGCACTTTGGGAGGCTGAGGTGGGCAGATCACAAGATCAGGAGATGGAGACCATCCTGGCTAACATGGTGAAACCCTGTCTCTACTAAAAATACAAAAAAATTAGCCAGGCATGGTGGTGGGCACCTGTAGTCCCAGCTACTTGGGAGGCTGAGGCAGGAGAATGGCATGAACCCGGGAGGCGGAGCTTGCAGTGATCTGAGATCACGCCACTGCACTGCAGCCTGGGTGACAGAGCCAGACTCCGTGTAAAAAAAAAATTGAGATGATCATAGGGCTTTTGTCCTTCCTCCTGTTAATGTGGTGTATCATATTTATTGATTTGTATATGTTGAACCATCCTTGCATCCCAGGAATAAATCCCAATTGATCATAATGGATTATCTTTTTTTTTTTTCTCCCTTGGTGGGGACAGAGTTTCACTCTGTTGCCTTGTTGTCCAGGCTGGAGGACAATGGTGTGATCTCAGCTCACTGCAACCTCTGCCTCGTAGGTTCAAGCAATTCTCATGCCTCAGCCTCCTGAGTAGCTGGGATTACAGGCATTTGCCACCATGCCTGGCTAGTTTTTGTATTTTCAGTAGAGATGGGTCTTCACCATGTTGGCCAAGCTGCTCTCAAACTCCTGACCTCAAGTCTGCCTGCCTTCGCCTCCCAAAGTGCTGGGATTACAGACATGAGCCTGGCCTGGATGATCTTTTTAATGTGTTGTTGAATTTGGTTTGCTGGTCTTGCTTTGTCACCCAGGCTGGAGTGCAGTGGCATAATCTTGGTTTACTGCAGGCCTTAAACTCCTGGGCTCAAGTAATCCTCCTGTCTCAGTCTTTTAAAGTGCTGGTATTACAGGTGTGAGCCACATTGCACCTGGCCTTATTGAGGATTTTTGTATCTATGCTGATGTAGTCCCATTGGTCTATAATTTTCTTTTCTTGTAGTGTCCTTGTCTGGCTATTGTTCACGAGCATGTTGTTCAATTTCTTTGTATTTGTGAAATTTTCCAAAATTCTTTTTATTATTTCTAGTTTCATACCATTGTGGTCAGAAAAGATACTTGGTATGATTTCAGTCTTCTAAAGTTTATTAAGACTCGTTTTGTGGCCTAACATGTGAGTTGTCCTCAAGAATGTTCCATGTGCACTTGGGAAGAATGTATTTTCTGCTGCTGTTGGATGGAATGTTCTTTATGTCTGTTAGTTTCCTTTGGTCTAAAGTGTAGTTCAAGTTTGATGTTTCCTTTTTGATTTTCTGGCTTTATTGAAAGTGGACTATTGAAGTCTCCTACTATTATTATTATTATGGAAATGGAGTCCTGCTTTGTCACCCAGGCTGGAGTGCAGTGGCAAAATCTCGGCTCACTGAAACCTCCTCCTCCCGGGTTCGAGTGATTCTCCTCCCTCAGCCTCCTGAGTAGCTGAGATTACAGGTGGGAGCCACCATGTCCAGCTAATTTTTGTATTTTTAGTAGAGATGTGATTTCGCCATGTTGGCCAGGCTGGTCTTGAACCCTTGAGTTCCAGTGATCTGCCCACGTCAGCCTCCCAAAGTGCTGGGGTTACAGGTGTGAGCCACCACACCTGGCCTAAAGTCCCCTACTATTATTGTATTATAATCTCTCTCTCTCTAGATGTATTGATATTTGCCTTATGTATCTAGAAGCTTTGATGTTGGATGTATTTACAGTTGTCCCTTGGTGTGGGATTGCTTCCAGTACCTCTGTGTGTAACAAAAGCTGCACCATTCAAGTCCCACAGTTGCCCTGCGAAACCTCTGTATATGAAAAGTTGGCCCTCCATGTACATGGGTTTCCCATCCTGTGAGTACTGTATTTTTGATCCTCATTTGGTTGGAAAAAATCTGCATATAAGTGGACCTGTGCAGTTCAAACCCGTGTTGTTCAAGGGTCAGCTGTATATTTACAGTTGTTATATTGTCTTGATAAATTGATCCTCTGTCATTATGTAATGATGTTCTTTGTCTTGTTTTACAGTTTTTACTTAGTCTGTTTTAAGTATAGCTACCCCTGCTCTCTTTGGTTTCCATTTGCCTGAAATGTCTTTTTCTAGCCTTTCACTTTCATTCTATGTGTGTTCTTAAATGTGAAGTTAATCTTCATAGGCCACATATAGTTGGGTCTGTTTTTAAATTTTTGATAGTATCCAACCTAATGGGTGTGAGGTGATAATTCTTTGTGGTTTTGATTTGCATTTCTCTAATGATTAGTGATGTTGAGCATCTTTACATATGATTGTTGGCCATTTGTGTCCCTTCTTTGGAGACTATTCAAAGTCCTTTACCCATTTTAAAAATGAAGGCATTTGCCCTTTGTTGTTGAGTTGTAGGAATTTTAAAAATATATTCTGGATAGTAAATCCTTTTCAGATATAAGATTTGCAAATGTTTTTTCCCATTCTGTGGGTTGTCTTTTCACTCTTTTTCTTTTTCTTTTTTTTTTTTTTTTTTTTTTGAGACAAGGTCTTGCTCTATTATCACTGGAGTACAATGGCGTGAATGTGGCTCACTGCAGTCTCGACCTTCCTGGCTCAAGGGATGCTCCCACCTCAGCCTCCCAAATAGCTGGGACTATAGACACATGTCACCACATCTGGCTAATTTTTTATTTTTTGTAGAGATGAGATTTCACCATATTACCCAGGCTGTTCTTGAACTCCTAGGCTCAAGTGATTTGTCTGCCTCAGCCTCCCAAAGTGTTAGGATTACAGGTGTGAGCCACTGCACCCGGCTGCCTTTTCACTCCTAATTGTATCCTCTGTTGCACAGAAATTTTTAAGTTTGATGTAGTCCCATATGTCTCCTTTTTTTTCCCCATGCTTTTTATGATTTCTAGCATCTTTTTGTGGGCTTATTGTGCTTGTATATCTTCTTTGGAGAAATGTCTGTTCAATTCCTTTGCCCTTTTTTGAATGGGGTTGTTTGGTTTTTCTGTTGTGGAATATTTAAATTTCTCTATGTATCCTCAATGTTAAGCCATACTAGAGATATGCTTTTCAAATATTTTCCCCCATTCTGTGCATCACCTTTTTTACTCTGCTGAAAGTGCTGTTTGATGCAAAAAAGTGTTTAATTTTCATGAGGTCCAATATATCTATTTTTTCTTTTGTTGCCTGTGCCTTGGGTGTTATATTCAAGAAATCATTGACAAATCCAATGATATGCTCTTCTACACTCTTAAAAATTATAGACAACCCCAAATAACTTTTATTTAGTGGTTTTAACAATATTTACCATGTCTGAAATATGATAAACATTAAAATTAGTATTTTGGAAAAATGCCATATTAGAAACTGATGATTTAAAAGTAACAACAATGAATCCATTACATGTGAACATACTGTTTTTTTGTTTGTTTGTTTGTTTGTTTTGAGACGGAGTTTCACTCTTTTGCCCAGGCTGGAGTGCAGTGGTGCGATTGCAGCTCACTGTAGTCTTCGCCTCCCAGGCTCAAGTGATTCTCATGCCTCAGCCTCCTGAGTAGCTGGGATTACAGGTGCTCACCACCACACCCGGCTAATTTTTGTAGAGATGGGGTTTCACCGTATTGGCCAGGCTGGTCTTGAACTCCAGACTTCAAGTGATCCACCCACCTTGGCCTCCCAAAGTGCTGGGATTACGGGCATGAGCCACTGCACCAGGCCAACATACTTTTTATAAAAACAGCTGTCTTCTCTAAAACAACAAAAAAATGTAGATAATAGTAGTATCATTTTATAGTTTTGCAACTCTCTTTAATGTTTGGCTTAATAGAAGATAGTTGGATTCTCGTATCTGTTTTTGTATTCAGTCTGTTGTGTATGTTGTTTTGATTGAAGTAGATGAAGGAAATCCAGCTACATACAGATTTGGAGTTGGAAAAAATAGTATTTTAATAACCTTTTTAGATCATGGTGGATACTCTTCTTTGTTATGTCATCAAAATTAGACAAATGGCAGTTTCTGAAAAATTAGTTGTAATGTGTGTAAAAAATTAGTTGAATCCATATCAGTGAACTCATACTTTTCTATATTAAACTTCATTGCTCTATCTTGCACTTTGAATGGGTCTTTTATTCATGCCTGATTTTGTAACATCATGCATTCGTCATTTTGAAAATGATGGTTCAGTGAATTATTCACATCTTCTAAATGTAGGCACATTTCAGTCTATAATATCAAAAACATATTTGTCAGTGTTACCACTGATTTCATCAGAAAAGTCTTGAGGTGTTAAGAAGTCTTTAGGTATCTACCAGCATGGATACACATTTTCCAAAATTTTAAATCTTCACTTGACAGCTCAAATTTTACAGTTGGCAACAAATACTGTCAGTTGTTTTCTATGAGGTGACAGGTTCACTTAATTCATTTTTGAGAAAATGTTTGCCAAATACCCAAGTCTGAATAATCATAGTTTGTTAGTCATTTTTTTCCTAATAAAAATGATGTTCTATGAAAAAGCAAGTAGTCAGCTTGTAATTCAAACAATCAGGTAAGTGCTTCCAGTACTTAGGTATTCAGCAGAAGTGCTTTGTGTACAGAGTATTAATAAGACATGTATTCAAGGGATAAGTTTTAATAAAATTAATAATTATTACTCTATCATGGACATTTTTACATTAAGTTTGCCTTTCTGTTGAACTGCAAGTACATGGGGGTGAAGACTGTGACTCCTGGTGCAGTTTGGTGCCTCTTCATTGACTTAAGGCTCTAGAAGGCACCAAATACTGTTGCTTTTGCATCATCAGTGCAAATGTCCGCAAAGTGAATGCTGCAGAAAAACTCTTGGTATTATTATAAAAATGATGTTGACCTTGGCCGGGCGCGGTGGCTCACGCCTGTAATCCCAGCACTTTGGGAGGCCGAGGTGGGCGGATCATGAGGTTGGGAGATTGAGACCATTCTGGCGAACACGGTAAAACCCTGTCTCTACTAAAAATACAAAAAATTAGCCGGGCGTGGTGGCGGGTGCCTGTAGTCCCAGCTACTCGGGAGGCTGAGGCAGGAGCATGGCATGAACCCGGGAGGCGGAGCTTGCAGTGAGCCGAGATTGCACTACTGCACTCCACCCTGGGCCACAGAGCGAGACTCATCTCAAAAAAAAAAAAAAATGATGTTGATCTCTTGGATCCCCCGGGAAGGGTCTTGGGGACCCAGGAGTCCAGGGATCATAATTTGAGAGCCATGGCCTATACGACCATGGGTACTAATAGCACATGCCTCCAGCACCCTCCATCAGCCTCCCTCGGCCTCATTTTCCTCAGTTGTAAAGGGAGGCCTGGGCAGGCTCTGTTTCTTCACACTGTTGGACCCTGTTTGCTAGCCCCCGAAGCTGCTTCTCCCTTAGCGGTGATGCTGCTTTCAGCTCCTGCTTTTCCTCCCTCTCTCATGCCTCCCTTTCTCTCCGTGGCTCCTCTTCCCCTCACTCTTTACAGGTTGGCATTCTTCTTGTTTCGTCTCCTCCTCCTTTCCCTGGATGATCTTATTTCCTCCCTGGTCTTTAACCATCACCTGCAGGCTGACAGCTCCCAAATCTCTATCTTCAATCCAGATGTCTGTCCCGGGCTCCAGTTTTGTGGTTCCACCTGAGACCTTTCCACCTATATGCTTTACAGGCAAGTCAAAGTCAGCATGTCTAAACTGGTTTCTTCGTCTTCCCCTACACATTGCTTCCTCTTCCAGAATAGACAGTCTTGGTTAATCCATCATCTGCTCAAATGCTTAAGCCAGAATCCCAGGAGTCCTCCTCCCCTTATCTGGCTCCCTCCCTTCCCTCATCTGCTCACCTGGCCTATCAGTTCTGCCTCCTAAACATTTTCCCAATCTCTCCCTGCTCTCCAGCCCCACCACCACTGCCTCAGCTCAGGCGCTCATCCCTTCTCACCTAAACGATTGCAAGGGTCTTCTCCCTGGCCCCCTGCCCCCTGTTTTCAACCTGTACTCTACAGTTCTGGTTGGAAACCACAAGAGTTATCTTCTCACACTTTTTTTTTTTAACTTTTAATTTAGGTTCAGGGGTACATGTGCAAGTTTGTTATATAGTTAAACTCGTGTCACAGGGGTTTGTTGTACAGATTATTTCATCACTCAGGTACTAAGCCTAGTACCCAAGAGTTATTTTTTTTGCTCCTTTCCCTTTTCCCACACCCCCCACCCTCCACCCTCAAGGAGGTCCCAGTGTGTATTGCTCCCCTCTGTGTTCATGAGTTCTCATCATTTAGCTCCCACTTGTAAGTGAGAACATGTGGTAGTTGGTTTTCTGTTCCTGCATTAGTTTGCTAAGGATAATGTGTTTTTCATTAAGTAAATACATATCGAGTACTTACCATACCAGGCTCTGTGCAGGCTGTGGGAATACAACATAGGACATAACAGATACTGTCCTGACCTCCAGCACTCACAGCATATGAAGGAGGAGAGAAAAGGACAGGGCACAGGTCATTAGGACCCAGTGCAGTGGGGAAAGATGGCAGAGGTGCTTGGGAACCCCTAGAAGTTTTGACTGAGGGCTGAGTCTGAGGGTGTTCAGGGAGCACTTCCTGGAGGAAGCAGCTCTCATGTTCAGACTGCAGCCTGGGTGGGAGTTAACTAAAAGAGATGGGAGTGTTGTGGTGAAAAACGTTACTGGAAAGTTTGATCATTTAATTTCCCTGTTAAATACTTCTCTTGTGAGCTTCACCACTGCCTGCAGGATCAAGTCCAAATTCCTTATCATGAAACACAACCTTTGTGGCCTCGTTGTCTGCCACTCCCCTGTATTCATTGTCATCAGCTTGAACTGCTTTCAGTTCCCCCCAACGCTGCTTGCTCACTCTCTCAGCTCCAGGCCTTTGCACATGCAGTTCCTTGTGCCCTCCACCCTTGCCACGCAAATCCCTACTGCCTATCTATCCAACTGTGAATCACCCCACGTCAGCTGTTCAGGAGACCTTCCTGGCCCCTCCCCTGTAGACTTTGTGGCTCCCTCTCTTGTGCTTCCCACCTGTACACACACCTGGACTCTTGTGCCCTTATCACGTCCTTAGAGCTTTTCCACTTGTGTATCTCCCGTGCCCCTACTTGACAGTGTGGGAACTAGACCCCTGTCTAGTTCACATACCCTCATCCCATGAGCATTTTGGGCATCCCCAGGGTGTGTGACTCTCCTGTGCTAGTGGACAAGGTTAGACAATTACCATTACCTTTTCGTCTTTTCCCCTCCTCCAGCTCTGTGACTTCCCTTTGCCCCTACCACACCCCATGTAGCTATCAGTTTTGCTGGACACGGCCACACCCATCAGGCACCCCATACCTGCTGGGAGTCACGGACACTCCTATAGCAGCAGTGCTGTGGGGCTGCTGGTCCCTGCATTGCCTTATAGAGCCGTGGGGCTTCGCCCTACAGATACATCTAAATTACAAATACCAGTCCAGCCCAGAATCAGTTCTTGCTGTTGAACGCAACTGTCTCTGGGTCAGCTTGTTGTGCCTGTTTTCCTTCTTCCCTTAGAAAGAGTTATTTCCTTCAGAACCTTTCTACCCCTCATGAAAATAGGCTTCCCAAAGGTCTGCCCACCAGCCAACTAGACAGATGTGGCCTGCATTGTCCCCCTGGAGGCAAAGGATGTGTGGGTATTTATTTATTTAAGATAGTAAGTTATGGCCAGGTGTGGTGGCTCACGCCTGTAATCCCAGCACTTTGGGAGGCCGAGGCGGGTGGATCACCTGAAGCCAGGAGTTTGAGACCAGCCTGGCCAACATGGTAAACCCTGCCTCCACTAAAAAATACAAAAATTAGCTGGGCATGGTGGTGCATGCCTGTAATCCCAGCTACTCGGGAGGCTGAGGCAGGAGAATCGCTTGAACCCAGGAGGCGGAGGTTGCAGTGAGCCAAGATCGTGCCACTGCACTCCAGCCTGGGCAACAGAGCAAGACTCCATCTCTAAAATAAATAAATAAATAAATAAATAAATAAATAAGACAATAAATTATATAAGCAGTGCTGAATACAGCTTCATCATTTAAAAATCCAAACAGTTTGGAAATATATAGACAAGTATATAAATGCTCTTCTTGCACCCCTTCCCCCATCCTAAAGCCTACCATACAGGTAGGCACTGTTAATTATTTGGTGGAAATGTTTACACTTTTTGCTTTGCATTTACACATGTGAGTGGCAGGGATAGTATCTGAGAAATTAATTTTTTTCTCTCCTGAATTTTCTCTTTTTCTGCCCTCACATTTATGGAGCTCATTACCTCCAGAGCAGCTTTTCAGGTTAGAAAACTGAATTTATCTTCAGGCATCTCTGGCTTTTGTGTGCTGAAAGCTTAAGCATTTAGGGCAACTCCAGGATTTGCTGAGTGGCTCATCAAAGGATGAGGATTCTCTTGCACAGACTGAATGCCTTGACTGGAAACGATGGAAGAAGGATTTCCTTGGGAGTGGAAAGGACCCCAACCCTTTTAGCCCTGTCCTCCCCAGGCTGGCTGGGGGCAGGACTACAATCCCAGAAGGAGGCAGTCATATGGTAGGGCTAGCCAGGGGTGTCCAGTCTTTTGGCTTCCCTGGGCCACATTGGAAGAAGAAGCATTGTCTGGGCCACACCTAAAATACACTAACACAATAGTTGATGAACTTAAAAAAAAAAAAACACACAAAAACATTTCATAATGTTTTAAGAAAGTTTACAAATTTGCATTGGGCCACATTCAAAGCTGTCCTGGGCTGCATGCGGCCCACAGGCTGTGGGTTGGACAAGGTTGGACTAGGCCGTGAAGACACAGGCAACCTGATCCAAGGTTCCTGGCTGCCTCTGCTGCCAGACCTGGCCTCTGCTGACTTCATCGGCAGCCTCATGCCTGGCACTTCTGAATATTCTGGAGAATTCAGACATACCTGAAATTAAGTTTTCTATTGTCAGGATTGAAGCTTACCATAATCAATGAGTTGAGTTATAGACTAAAATTTGATTTCTTGCACACCTGGATTTGTGAATGGAGATTCGTTCCTATGGCTTGTATTATATTACTCATATTCTGCCACTTAAAAAAATTAATAAGAAATCTTGAAAAATTTTCCACAGCAGCGGAAATGAATGAATGAGATAGATTTATCTCATTCAAAAGATGAATATTATTATTAAAAAAAAAATAGACCGGGCACGGTGGCTCATGCCTATAATCCCAGTACTTTGGGAGGCTGAGGTGGGCAGATCACTTGAGGTCAGGAGTTCAAGACCAGCCTGGCCAACATAGTGAAACCCTGTCGCTACTAAAAATGCAAAAATTAGCCAGGCGTGATGGAGCGTACCTGTAGTCCCAGCTACTCGGGAGACTGAGGCACGAGAATTGCATGAACCCAGGAGGCAGAGGTTGCAGTGAGCTGAGATCACACCACTGCACTCCATCCTGGGTGACAAAGTGAGACTCTTTGTCGCTAAATAAATAAATAAAAATACATACTCATAGTAGGAGACTCAAAACAATATCAAAGGAGAAAGCAAAAGTTCCCTGGTCCTCCAGTCCCACTCCCTAGATATAATGAGCTTCTTGAGGGATCTAGAAACTTTCTGTGCAGTTAAAGTCACATAGCTATTTATACATAGCTCTTTTTATATGCAAATAAGCTCAAATGATATATACTTTTCTGCATGTGTATCATCTATATTATAAAATTTAGCACAATTTTTCTATTATATATATATTCATATTTATTACTTATTATTAAATACGCTCTACTTATTTAAGTAGATATAGTTCTTTTTTTTTTTGAGGCAGGGTTTCGTTCTTGTTGCCCATGCCGGAGTGCAATGGTGCGATCTTGGCTTACCACAACCTGCGCCTCCAGGGTTCAAGCAATTCTGCCTCAGCCTCCCAAGTAGCTGGAATTACAGGCATGCGCCAACACGCCCGGCTCATTTTGTATTTTTTTAAAGTAGAAACGGAGTTTCTCCATGTTGGTTAGGCTGGTCTAGGACTCCTGACCTCAGGTGATCCACCCGCCTCAGCCTCCCAAGGTGCTGGGATTACAGGCGTGAGCAACCTGCGCCCGGCTTAAGTAGATAGCGTTCTACTTCATTTCTTTCAATGGCTACCCAGTATTTCACAGAATGGATATGTCACATGTATTTAACCAATGATTGGCATTTAAATTCCCAGATTTTTAGCTAGCATTTATTGACCACAGACTATGTTGTTGGAATATGGTAAGTTACATAATCTTTGTAGCAGCCCAAGAGATAGGTCCTTTTACTGCCTGTATGTCACAATGAAGGAACTCTGTTGCAAAGAGGTCAATAACTTTCCCAAGATCACATACCTGGTAGGTGGTAGATCTGGGACTTGAACCCAGGCAGCCAGGCCCCAACCCAAGGCTGCACTCTGGATTAGTATGCCACAGCCCCTCTGTAGACCCCGAGCACTTGTGCTGGTATAGCCATAAAATACACTCATAGCAATGTACCTGCTAGGTCAAGGGTATGTGCATTTTACACATTAATAGCGCTAAATGATCAGGATGTTATTTTATGTAAAGGGTAATGGGCTTCTTTTTATGACCAAGTACAGATCCCACTTGCTTCCTGAGAACAGAGGGGCTGCTGATGTTCTTGTACCCTGAGGCTCTATGAAGTAAGGGTGTTCTCTCTGCTTTGGCCAGGGCTTCAGCTCTGAATCCTATCTGGCCCTCTTCCCTCTGGGCTGGACTGGGCTCCCATGAGTCTTGGTGTCCTCTTATGCCCTCTAACCGAGGCCAAGGCCACTGGGTGCTGGAGAAGGCTGCCCCTGTACCCTCTTGGTCTCCTAAGTTTGAAGGTACCTCCCAGCTAGAAGCCACCTAGATCCCATTTTCTTTCCATCTGCAAGAGGGAAGATTTACACCCACCTAAGGAAACAGAATTGGCCTCCTTTGCCTCCTCATTTGCAGCTCCTACACCTAACCGTAGGGGGCCCCACTGTGGGACCTCCAGGCCTTGGTCCTCCCAGACCTTTGCGGAGGTGGGAGGTAAGATTGTGTGTCCTGGCTTCTCTGTGGCTGTGGCTTTTATAGGACTGTATCAGTGGTTCTCAAACAGGGACAGTTTTACCCCCCAGCCCCAGCACAGGACACCTGGCAATGTCTGGAGATATTTTTAGTCGTCACAACTTGGGGTGTATGTGTGTGTGCGCACATGGGCATGGGCATGTGCATGTGCACATATTCTACTGGCATCTAGTGGGTAGAAAGAGGCCAGGATGCTGCCAAACATCCTACAATGCACAGGACAGCCTGGCCACAAAGAATTATCCAGCTCAAAGTGTCAATAGTGCTAACATTGAGAAACCCTGGGCTATCGAAGGGCAGACAGTGCCCAGCACATGGCTCTCCCCCATGGCTCCTGAGTCTCTATGTAAACAGGGGCTGAGGGGTGGGTGGTATCTGGGTTGAAGGGAAGTGGCTTGAAGGTGTATTTACAAAAAGCTTTTTATAAACAATGAGTAGATGCGAATTTCCCTCTCAAAGAACAGGAGAATGGCTAGTGAAGTTTGGGGGTGGGTAGTGGGATAGATTGTCATTCTCTACATGCAGTCACAAGCTATGGAGAAATTAAGGATGTTGAAGACACTACAAAGTTTACTAAATGTGGCTCAGCTATTCTCAAAGAAAAATGCTTGGAATTAAATGCTTTATTATTAAACCAGATAGAATTTAACTGAGCAAGTTGGACACTCAAGAAGCAAGACAACAAAAAATAAGCTGACAAGAAGGAACTGGAGCAAATTAAGATAAAAGAAGTTAATGAATTAGAAAACAAGAAAATCTGTAACTTTAATAAATACATTTAAGACAAATAAAATTGACAATTTGGCATGCGTGTCAAGAAGACAACAGAATTAGATAAAAGTGGATGTAGAAGTGGAACAAAAACATTGATAAAAGAAACCACAGGCTGGGTGCACATGGTGGCTCACTCCTATAAGCCCAGCACTTTGGGAGGCCAAGGTGGGAAGATTGCCTGAGCCCAGGAGTTCAAGACCAGCCTGGGAAACATAGGGAAACCCCGTCTCCACAAAAAGTTTAAAAATTAGCAGAGTATAGTAGCTTGTGCCTGTAGTCCCAGCTACTCAGGAGGCTGAGGTGGGAGGATTGCTTGAGCCCTGGAGGTCCAGGCTGCAATGAGCTGCGATTGCCACTGCACTCCAGCTTGGGAAACAGAATGAGACCCTGACTCAAAATAATAATAATAATAAGAAACCATAGTGGAACCTCTCTGTGTGAGGGTGGCATGGGCTTGAGGGAGGGCGATGGACACTGCAGCATCTTCATGCATTCATTTAACAGCTATTTGCTGAGCACATACCGTGAGCCAGGCACTATTCTAAACACTGGGGGTACAGCATTTAACAAAATAGACAAAAGGCAGTGGCATTCTGAGCCCCAGTGAGCAGGTAACAACAGACGGGGACCAGTGACATCAATTCACCTGAGGCCCAAGGCTGGTTCAAGTGCCTGGAACCAAGATGTTTGTTGATTGAACAAGAAAATGCTGAGGCTTAGGTGAGGAGATAGAGCAGGAGACGAGAAGAGGTTTAACTTCCTTTCAGAAAGTCTAGGTTCAGAGGGAAGAACAGATTCTACCATATAAGAAAATGAATGTTTCTTAATGACTCAGGTAGTCTATCTTCTTACCAAATACTGATGTGTCTGAAGTAGTGTCCTGCCATGAGACCAACTGACTAGCACTCAATTACCCCACTTCTTTTTTTTTTTTTTTTTTTTTTTGAGATGGAGTTTTGCTGTGTTGCCAGGCTGGAGTACAGTGGCACGATCTCAGCTCACTGCAACCTCTGCCTCCTAGGTTCAAGCGATTCCCCTGCCTCAGCCTGCTGAGTAGCTGGGACTACAGGTGTGCGCCACGGCACCTGGCTAATTTTTTGTATTTTAGTAGAGACGGGGTTTTACCATGTTGGCCAGGATGGTCTGGATCTCCTGACCTCGTCATCCGCCCGCCTCGGCCTCCCAAAGTGCTGGGATTACAGGCATGAGCCACCGCGCCTGGCTTACCCCACCTCTTAAAAACAAGGACTCCATCTGGAGTTGGTCCCTATTCCTCTTCTGCTTTTCTATCTCAGACTTTCAGGCTACAGAAAAGAAACCTTTCCTCCAAGAATTGGAGCCTTGGCCAACCCTCACCCTTAGAAGACTCCGTTTGTGGCAGATGGCTCTCCCGTAAGCCAGTGTGGGATTCCTCTCAAACACCCTGTATTAGTCCATTTTGTGCTGCTATTACAGAATACCACAGACTGGGCAATTTATAATGAGCAGAGATTTACTTCCTACAGTTCTAGAGGCTAGGAAGTCCAAGATCGAGGGGCTTTGCTGCGTCAGCCCATGGTGGAAGGTGGAAAGGCGAAAAGAGTGGAAGAGAGAAAAGGGAGCCAAATTTGTCCTTTTGTGAGGAACCCACTCCCATGATAATAGCATTCATTCACTCTGCCCCATGGCCTGATCACTTCTCAGGCCCCACATCCCAGCACTTGCATTGGGAATTAAGTTTCCAACACATGCTTTCTGGGAGAAACATTGAAACCGCAGCACAACCCTCGTTTTAGGCCTCTGGCAGCCGTCATGGCCGGCTGGGCTCTCTCAACACCCAAGGCCCTTGGTGGGCTGCTTGGAGAAGAGCTTCCAAAGGAATGTTCTGTGGCCAGTAGCTGTCTTCCAGCTCAGCTACAGCCACTTCTTTGGCTTCTAAAGCACCTGGGAAGGGACCTTGCTCTCATGCCAGGCTGTGTGGAATCTTTCTTCACAGAGAGAGCAAGAGAGTGCTCAGGGGACTCAAAAGATGACATTTTCAAAAGGCTCCCTCTGCTTTTGTTAACAGTGGCAAACACTTGTGTCCTGTTCACCTTGGGCTGGGCAGTGTTCTACGTGCTTAACATCCATTAACAACCACTCTGTGAGGCAGGTCCTCTATGATCATCCCATTTTACAGATGAGGAAGCTGAGGCACAGAGCTGTGAAGTACCTTGGCCAAGGTCCCCATGATGGAAGTCTGGGCTTGGCCTCCATAAAGCCTCTCACATGTGCTCATGGCAAAGACTTCAGGACTTCTCTCCTCCGTCCACTCCTTCAAGAACCTTGTGAGCACCAGACACATTCACACATACACAAGGAGAAAAAGAGGCAGTTGTCTGGCCTCTTCCTGATTCTGACTCCCTCTCCAGAGGATTTAACTCATTTTTCTACAGAGGATTTAACTGAAGTGAGTGCTGATTGCAGAGATTATCGACAACTATAAACATTTACTTTTTGAATTTGAATGAACAAACCGTCTGTCACCCCTGCAGTGGTCTCTAGGGTTCTTTTGGCCTCTGGGCCTATAAACTGAGCTGGTTGGATAGTAGATTTGCTTGGACTTAAGAGCATACTCTATCACTCAGAAGGACGAGGGGGAGCTGGTGAAGCTGACTTTAAACACCAGGGACATAGGGCTATTCTGATCAGCCCCCCAGTTTAAGAAAGGAGGTACTTTCTCAGAAGAGGCCTCCAACAGCAAAGATGTGAAGTTGTAGATGGAGGGGAAGTGCTCCCTTGGATCAAAGCCAACTTTGCACTAGAGGCAGGAAGAAATGCTATGGGCTCATTAATTACAGGATGCCACAGGATTGGCTTTGCCTCTGGATGTGAGGGCAATAACCTATGCTTTAAACAAGCAGCCCCATCACTCTACAGTAATTAGCAGGACAATAGGCATCTTCATAGAACTAGATTGACAGGTAGCCCACAACATGCAGCCTCAAGCTGGCCTAGAACTGAGCTCTTTCAGATGCCACACCTGTGGGGCCAGCCAGCCCACGAGATCTTGGGCACAGAAGTGACACATTCTTTCTTAGGCTGTTTGCTGTGAACTTGCTATGTAGTAGGCAGTGTGAAGAACACACAAGAAATGTGAGACACAAACCTTACCCAGTCTTACCACAGCAAATTGAGGAGGCAAGATTAAGCTTGAAAAGTTAAAACAGCAGCACAAGAAATAGCATTTATGTCTCATACAAAGGGTATCAATGCTCAGAGCCACAGGGTAGCTCTGGACAGGGAACCCCACCAGGTAGATGGAAAGGTGGGGGTATGGTGGGGTCTGCATTACCTGCGGGGTCTCTGCCAGTGCACACTGCCATGTTTCTTACAAGAGAAGTAGGAAACAGAAAAAGAAAATTAAAAATCATGCTAATATTTGTCAGAGATACACATTGCTATGGTTTTGGTTATATCCTTTAAGATATTTTTTCTGTGCATATATATTTTATTACATAAATGGGTTCATACTGTACGTCTGTTCTATGACTCGCTTTTTATACTTAGCAATACATTGTGAACATTTTTTCTTGTCAATGAAATTTTTATTGATCGCTTATATTTCACTATGAATTTACCATGATTTAACGAATCCCTTCTTATTGCCACTTTAGGTTATTAACAATTGTGTCCATTATATATAATTCTGACTCTGTGCACATCCTTATTATTATTATCATTATTCTTTTTATGAGATGGAGTTTCGCTCTTGCTGCTCAGGCTGGGGTGCAATGGGGAGATCTTGGCTCACTGCAACCTCCATCTCCTGGGCTTAAGCGATTCTCCTGCCTCAGCCTCCTGAGTAGCCAGAGTTACAGGTATGTGCCACCATGCCTGGCTAATGTTTTTGTATTTTTAATAGAGACAGGGTGTCACCATGTTGGTCAGGCTGGTCTTGAACTCCTGACCTCAGATGACCCACCTGCCTCGGCCTCACAAAGTGCTGGGATTATAGGTGTGAACCACCAACCCCAGCCACATCCTTATTTTGATCCCCTTAAGTAGAAGGGGATCTACTGCTTTAGCCTCCCAAGTAGCTGAGATTACAGGCATGCACCACCACATTGGCTAACTTTTGTATTTTTTAGTAGAGACAGGGTTTCACCATGTTGGCCAGGCTTGTCTTGAACTCCTGAGTTCAAGTAATTCATCCTCCTCGGCCTCCCAAAGTGCTGGGATTATAGGCATGGTTTCTGTCTTTATGTCAGTTTCAGAAAGACTTCTGCTACAGAGTTTATATTAATATATTCAAACAAACTATCTCAATACTTTAATTTTTTTTTTTTAATTTAAAAAGTTAAATAGAGTAGATCAAGGAGTATGCACACTTTCAAGGATTTGGTACATATTGTCAAATTGCCTTCCAGGAAGGATGTATCAACTTAGGCTCTTGTCACCAATCCTATGAGAGTGCCTCCTTCACTATGTCCTTCCCAACACTGGGGATTAGCATTTTTGAAAATTTTGCAAATTTGATAAGCAAAAACAAATAGTATATCATTGTTGCTTTAGTTTGCTTTCCTTTTCCTTTTCTCTTTTTATTACTTGGACTCTTTTACAGGCCAGCCGTTGGTAATTCTTTCTGATGAATTATCTGCTTATGTGCTTTATCTAGTTTTCTTTTCTTTTTCTTTCTTTTTTTTTTTTTTTTTTTTTTTTTTTTTGAGGCAGGGTCTTGCTCTGTTGCCCAGGCTGGAGTGCAGTGGCGTGATCACAGCTCACTGCAGCCTCAACCTCCTGGGCTCAGGTGATCCCCCACCTCAGCTTCCCAAGTAACTGGGACTATAGGCGCATGCCACCATAGCCAGCTAGTTTTTGTATTTTAAGTAGAGACAGGGTTTTGCCGTGTTGGCCAGGCTGGTCTCAAGTTCCTGAGCCCAAGCAATCCGCCCACCTCGGCCTCCCAAAGTGTTGGGATTACAGGCGTGAGCCACCGAGCCCAGTCAGTTTTCTGTTTTCTATTGATATATTTCTCCATTTTTCCCACTTCATTTGTGTAGTTTATTATTATTATTTAGTGTGGTATATTATTTTTTTCTTATTTATTTTAAAGATGTATTCAGGCTATTAACTCCTTGTCTGTCATATATTACGTGTGTGTGTGTGTGTGTGTGTGGTTTTTTTTTTTTTTTTTGGAGATGAGGGTTTCACTATGTTGCCGAGGCTGGCCTCAAACATCTGGCCTCAAGTAATACTCCTGCCTTAGCCTGCCCAGTAGCTGGGATTACAGGTGTGAGCCACCTTGCCCAATTCTCATATATTACAAATATTTTATCCTAGATTATCACTTGTCATTTAGTCTTGTTCATTTTTAAAGCATTCATGAATCTAAAATATCCATGTAATCAAGGTAGTCTGTATAGGCTTTCCAAACCATGAGGCTAGAGGTGGCCATGACTCGAAGCAGGGAGGCCAGCAGGGAGGCGGCTCCTGCCAGAGTGCAGATGTGGCAGGATGAGGCCGAAGGTGGGGCAGGGCTAGAGAGGAGGCGAGCGGGGCCAACTCAAGGCAGATGAGAGAGGGGACCAAGATGTGGTGACCTTGGGTGGGAGAGGGAGGAAGGAGGAGGAGCCCGGGGTGACTCACAGGTGCTGACCCGGAGGAGGGCAGGGTGTGAGCAGGTAGAGGATGAGCCAGGATTGGGACTGTAGGAAGGGGAGTGGTGGGGGTGGGGTGCAGAGATCGTGACAATTCCCTTTGGGATTGTTGTGTGGAGGCTCCTGGCCAGATAAGTCACTGGTATTTGGATCACTAGGACTGGGCTGGTTTCTGTCTTTTTTTTTTTTTTTTTTTTTTTGAGACAGAGTCTTGCTCTGTCACTCAGGCTGGAGTGCAGTGGCACGATTTCAGCTCACTGAAACCTCTGCCTCCTGTGTTCAAGTGATTATCCTGCCTTAGCCTGCCGAGTAGCCAGGATTACAGGCATGCCCCCACCACACCGGCTAGTTTTTGTATTTTTGTAGTAGAGACTAGGTTTCACCATGTTGGCCAGTCTTGTGTTGAACTCCTGAGCTCAAGTGATCTGCCCTCCTTGGCCTCCCAAAATACTGGGATTATAGGCATTGTTTCTGTCTTTATATCAGTTTCAGGAATACTTCCGCTGCAGAATTTATATTAATATATTCACACAAATTATCTCAATATTTTAGTGAGTTTTTTTTTTTAATTTGAATCTTAATCTAGCTGGGCACAGTGGTGTGCACCTGGAGTCCCAGCTACCTGGGAGGCGGAGGCAGGAGGAATGCTCAGGCCTAGGAGCTGAAGGCTGTAGTGCGTTGCGATTGCACCTGTGACTAGCCACTGCACTCCAGCCTGGGCTACGTAGTGAAACCCTGTTTCCAAAAAATAAAATAAATATTAATCTAGATGGAATCTGTAGTATTTTTGTGAATTGTGAAAGTTAAGGAGTTAACTCACTGTCATTGACCTCCACCTGGGGCAGCCCCCAGTCCCTGGCCCAGAGACAGTCCTGTGGGCCCTCAGAGTCCCTGTGTCGCTGCTGCTGTTACTGCTATGGCTCTTGGCCTGTGCCCGACTGCTGACTGCCATCAAGCCCACTGTGTTGGGGTTTCCTGTCAGTCATGCCCGGAGCCCTGCCTCTAGCCAGTGCCCTCTCCCAGCCTGGTTTCTTTCGAGCATTTCCTGCGGGTTAGCTCTGGGGATCTTTTCCTAGCCTGTTCTTACCTGTGTTATTGCCAGAAAGAAATCTTTTTTTTTTTTTTTTGAGACGGAGTCTTGCTCTGTCACCCAGGCTGGAGTGCAGTGGCGTGATCTCTGCTCACTGCAAGATCCGCCTCCCGGGTTCACGCCATTCTCCTGCCTCAGCCTCCTGAGTAGCTGGGACTACAGGCGCCCACCACCGTGCCCGGCTAATTTTTTTTTGTATTTTTAGTAGAGACGGGGTTTCACCGTGGTCTCGATCTGACCTCGTGATCCACCCGCCTCAGCCTCCCAAAGTGCTGGGATTACAGGCGTGAGCCACTGCGCCCGGCACCAGAAAGAATTCTTCACAGTTGCTGGCATTTTTATGGCCTTTCCCCAGTTTCTTTAGCAGATGCATATTTTTCTCTGTTTCAGATTTGCTAGGTTCTTTTTTTTTTTAAGTGACTTTTTAAAGGATCTTTTCTTATTGGGGAATGACAAACATAAAGTCACAAATCCTAAGCATACATCTCAGTGAATTTTTACATAGGTATTCACTATGTCCCCACTACCCTGATCAAGAGACTTCTTTTAGCGTTAAGAAGCTATTGGTGGGAGGTTGGGTGGAGAGGGAAATCATAAATGTGTCCCCACACTGCTTTTTTTTTTTTTCTAGAACTATCAGGAAATGGTGTGAGGAGGGGAGCCACATATGAATTTCGGCTTTATAAAGGGGTATGGAGAGCACAGCGGTTAGAAGTCAGGCTGGTCATGAGCTGGTCCTGCCCCTCACTAGCCCTGAGACTTTCTATGCCTCAGTTTCAACAACTGTAAAATGGGAGTAGAATACAGCTCCTGTCTCATAGCATTGTCATGAAGATTACATGAGGCAGTGCACGTAAGTGCACAAAAAATGTCAATTGTTGTTTCTCTTGTTATTAATAACGATGAGGAAGAGGCGGCCGTAACCGTGGTTCTTAACTAGGAGTATGTGTCAGAATCACCTGGGGCACTTTTGCAAAAATACACATGCTTGACCCGGCCAGATCAACTGAGTCAGGATCTAGATTTTAAATGCCTCCCCAGGTCATTCTGTTGCTCATCTGTGGTTCAGTGCCATCGGGCTGGAGGTGGCCATGACTGGAAGCAGGGAAGCCAGCAGGCGGCCCCTGCCAGAGAGCAGGTGTGGCAGGAGGAGGACGCAGCTGGGGCAGGGCTGGCGAGGAGGAGAGCAGAGCTGACTTGAGGCAGACAGGAGAGGTGGCCAAGACATGGTGACTTTGCACAGGGGAGGGAGGAAGGAGGAGAAGCCCGGGGTGACTCACAGGTGCTGACTTGGACAAGTGTGGTGGAGGATGAGCCAGGGTAGGGACTACAGGAAGAGAAGTGGTGGGGGCAGGGCACAGAGATTGTGACAATTCCTTCTGGGCTCCTGGTGAGGATAAGTCAGTATTTAGATCTCTAGGCCTAGGTCGGTACTATGGTTCTGGGAGATGTTGGTGCGGAGGAGATGGATAAAGCCATGGGCTTGGTCATTGAGTAAAATGTAGAGGGCAGAGGAGGGCCAAGTTCACAAGCATCCTCCTCTGCAAAGGCCTGCGTCCATTTTTTTTTTTTTTTTTTAATAGACTGGGTCTTGCTCTGTCACCCAGGCTAGAGTGCAGTGGTGCGATCATAGCTCACTGTAGCTTTCAACTTCTGGGCTTAAGCCATCCTCCTGCCTTAACTTCTCAAAGTGTTGGAACTATAGGCGTGAGCCCCACACCCAGCCTCCTTGTGTGTCCACTTCTTATTCTGCCTTACCTAGAAATAGAGAAGAGCTTGTTTCTCATGCAATAACCCCTGCTGAGGACTGTTGGAAAATAAACTGTCCCCTCATCTGAAGATGAATAATAACTTTGGGTCATTTTCTTTCTTTACAGGTCACAGAATTTTCCACACTCCTTGACAGAGGTGCTTAACCCTTATCCATCAGCATTCTCAGACAGCACCTCCGGTTAGGGACAGTATCTGACCGTCCGACATCCCTGCAGCCCCCATGTGTCACACAGACTCAGCCTCAGGTAGATGGTTTCCGTAGATGGTGGCTTTCTTTGGACCCTTGACATCAACCAGTTACTATTTGGTAAGAACTTAAGTCATTCCAGTGCCTCTCTCAGAAGCATTTGCATTTAGAATTTCAGGTGTCATAGAAGTAATGAAAGACGTTGCATTCCTGAAGGAATGAATAAATTATTCATTTTGTTGTTCTGGAACATCACTGCCCACTAGAATTTACCATGATGATAGTAATGTTCTCTGTGCTGTTCCATGAAGTAGCTACTGGCCACATGTGGCTATTGAACATTTGAGATGTGTCCAGTGTGACTGAGGAACTGGATTTTTTCATTTTAATGAATTAAAATTGAATTTTTTTTTTGAGACAAGGTCTTACTCTGTCACCCACGCTGGAGTGCAGTGCTGTGATCATGGCTCATTGCAGCTTTGACCTCCTGGGCTCACATAATTCTCCCACCTCAGCCTCCCAAGTAGCTGGGACCACAGGTGTGTGCCACCACACCCAGCTAATTGTTTTTTTTTTTTTTTTTTTTTTTTTGAGAGATGGGGGTCTCCCTATATTGCCCAGGCTGGTCTCAAACTCCTGGGCTCAAGCGATCCTCCCTTGGCATCCCAAAGTGCTGGGATTACAGGGGTGAACCTCGACACCCCACCTTAAAATTGTAATTTAAACTGAAAAAAGGAAAACAGGCACTATGAAGTTGTATTCTCTGGGTTGGTGAGAGCTAGGGATGTTATGCTGATACCCCACCTGACTGCTCCACTACCAAGTGCTCCCCAAAGAGATTTGGAATAAAGGAGGAGGAGGCCTTGGTTCTTAACTAAGGATGATTCCAACCATCTGCAAAAGCAGGCATCAAGTAGAAGATTACTTGGCTGTTTCCACATCGAAACCAAATGGGCTTTCTTTCTCCCCCTAACGCTGGCCTCAGCCCTCATTCTGCCTGCATGAGAAGGCGGTGTCTAGTACTGCCCCTCCCAGGCCTCTCCAGGCTTCCTTCTTCCTGCTCTTCCCACCTTGGGACAATTGCCCCTGCCCTCCCTTCTGCCCTGTGTCCCTCTTCCTGCTCCCACCACAGCAAGCCCCACCTCCTCCAAGAAGGCTTCCCAGACTCCTCTGTCCCTTCCAGGTGAGGCTAGTTCTAGGGCCCTGAACAAATTCCATTTGGCTTCCCAACTGAGGGTAAGGTGGCAGGGATGGGTCTTAGGAAGATCAACTGCAGGATGGATGTGAGTGTAACCACTGTATTTCTGACTTCTTCGACCACTGCTTATGGTGAGAAAGATATCTCCTGTCCCAAGCAGGACACACCTCAATGTATGGATACATAGCACTGAAGCAAAAGTTTTTTTTTTTTTTTTTTGAGGCAGAGTCTTGCTCTGTCACCCAGGCTGGAGTGCAGTGGCGTGATCTTGGCTCACTGCAAGCTCCGCCTCCCGGGTTCGCACCATTCTTCTGCCTCAGCCTCCCGAGTAGCTGGGACTACAGGTGCCCGTCACCACGCCTGGCTAATTTTTTTTTTGTATTTTTAGTACAGACGGGGTTTCACTGTGTTAGCCAGGATGGTCTCGATCTCCTGACCTCGTGATCTGCCTGCCTCGGCCTCCCAAAGTGCTGGGATTACAGGTGTGAGCCACTGCACCCGGCCGCAAAAGTTTTGTCAAAACAATATTCACCCTGACTACATGTGATGTGCTTGGATATTATTCTGTTTAATTAATTAATTAATTAATTTATTTATTTATTTTTTGAGACGGAGTCTCGCTCTGTCACCCAGGCCGGAGTGCAGCGGCGCGATCTCGGCTCACTGCAAGCTCCGCCTTCCAGGTTCACGCCATTTTCCTGCCTCAGCCTCCTGAGTAGCTGGGACTACAGGTGCCTGCCACCACGCCCAGCTAATTTTTTTTTTTGTATTTTTAATAGAGACAGGGTTTCACCGTGTTAGCCAGGATGGTCTTGATCTCCTGACCTCATGATCCGCCCTCCTCGGCCTCCCAAAGTGCTGGGATTACAGGCATAAGCCACTGCACCTGTCCTATTCTGTTTATTTTTTTAAAGAGAAAGGCTGGTTGTGACCCACTAAATTGATTTCATGACCCAGTAGCAAGTCACAACCCACCAGGTGAGCAACATAGAGTGAGATCCTGGCTGCATCTTTGCCCCAGCTGTGACAGCCAGCCCTTCCCAACTCAGAGCAGCTCCAAACACAGCCCAGGCTGCCCGTTACTGTACCGCCCACATGCTGCACCCCGGGTTCCTTGAAGAGCTAGCACATGATGAGCTCATCCAAGTGGTCTCCCTGAGGGGCTCTGCTCTTTCCCAGACTCTCACTGCTCCGTTGGTCATGCTGTAAAATGGCCATGGCCACAGATGCTGTGTCAGGAGGTTGAAGTCTATAGAACACACTAGACACGTAAGAGAAGGATGCCAGGTCAGGGCCAGGGACACAGGCTGCACATCTCACCTCTCTTGATCTCATCCCTCTTAATGGGACCTCTCAGGTCTAGGGGTCTCACCAACGCTGCTCATCTAGCAGGGCCACACATAACAAATAGAAGCAGAGCAAGCCCTGGAACTCCTGCCTGACAGTGACACGACGACAGAAACATCTTACCAGTCAGAGGACCATGAGAAATAGATTCAAGGAGCATTCCACGTGCAAGTGAGTCTTGGCCCCATCTGCCTTTGGATTTTAGCCGTGAACTGGAAGGTATTGGAAAGAAGACCCTCAGAAATAGCTTAATCAAAATCCCTGCGTCTGAACCAAGTGCCTTATTTCTCTGTGGGCCTCAAGCTTCGCTGACATCTGTGGAGCACACTGTCCTAACAGGAGTGCTGTCTGATTTCCCAACGCTCTGCAAAACAAACAGCCTGGAAGGGTGGCTGGTGGAAGGTGGTTTTTAGAGAGAGACTTGTAGATAACAGGAAAGTGAAGGCTGTAAGGAAGGTTGTAATTAAACAGCACATGGAAACACAATCACATTATTGTCCCATTCCATAGGGATAATGATGACCACTTCAGTGGGAAAAGGAGAGGTTTTAAGTCATTAGGGACTATGGGCCACCTTTTAGGAAGATTTATTTTCAAAGGTTAAAATAGTGTTTTGGCAATTCAAGTTTCATTTTCAGAAAATGTAATTGATGGGAACCTCAGTGACTCTGGATGAATAAGATGCTGTTGAGTGGCTCTGACTTGGGCCAGCCGTGCTTCTCACAGGACCTTGGAGACCAAGGTCACTGTGATCTCAGGTTCAGGGGGCAAGTCCTCTCCACACAGCCCTAGTTGGCCTCACAGCTGAAAATGTCTCCCTTACTGTTGGACTCCTTTGTTCACCCACATGAGTTTGTGAATAAATCCTTTCCAGTCTGAAAGCTTGCTGACACTTGGAGACAGGTGTGGAGAGAGGACTCTGAGCTGGACACTTCCTGGGGATGGCAGGCCTGGTGGGATGGCCTAAGTAGCCATGGGACAGGACACAGCAACTCAGATGTGGGCTAGGGGTGCAGTTTGTGGAGCAGTGGCGGAGGGGTAGGCAGGTGTGGGCTTGAGGACAAATTCTGCCCTCTTCGCTACGTGGCCTGAGCCAGGGCAGCCCACTTGCCGAGGCAGGGCCGGGTCTCTGTTTCTTTGGTAGCCTGATTCCTCCCCACTCCCTGGCCACGTGGTCCCCAGATCTGCTTCTGTGAATCACCCTGAGTGACTGCAGGGGTGCTTCAATCAGTGAGGGGATCTCAAAGAAAAGCCAGGTATTTCTTAGACAAGGATTCTTAGATAAGGTTGATTTATTCCTCACCGTCTGAGAAAGCAACAGTCTAGTAGAAGGCAGTGGGGCCCAGGGCTCTGTCACCTCACCAGGAGGTCTCTGTCTTGACAATAGATTACTACGTAATGCACGTGTAATGCATTGCACATCCTATTGTTGACATTTTGCAAATCTAATTTAATTACAAAATGATGAAACCATTTCTCCCAAAGGGGGAGGATAACATGAAATCACAATAATAACCTAAAATAACAATATCAAAGTTCTAGGAAAAGATTTTAGACAAACCACTCTGTGACATGTCCCCAAGGCGAGAATGGAGTAGGGCTTGATCAAAATGGTGGTCTCAAACAAGCTGCCTAAAGGAATTATTATTTCAGTGGGATTAGAATAATGTGAGGGGTAGAGGAAAACCTGCCAGGCATAAGCATTCCACCTAGTGGAAATTAGATTTTGATGATGAAATCGCAAATGATTTTAACAGGGAGGAAGGGGGCGGGCAGCAGCCAAGGAGAACAGATGAGTGTAGGTTTTCAATGAACCTGCTGGGTTTTCACACTGCCTGATGCCTTGGCTGTGATATACCATGGGTATGTCAGAATGTCCAGAAGGACCGAAGTCTAGAATTAGCAACGATTGTAAAGGAATCCTGGTCAGCACCAAAGTTGTTTGTTTGCTTCCTTATTGGTCTGTTTGGAGCAAGAGGATGGACAAGGCAGCGACTCCCCTCGGCTAGGCGAAGACGCCGAGTAGAGAGAACAAAAAAGTGCACAATTCCCATTTTGTTTCCAATTCTACTTCCCTTGAGAATAGTCCTCACACTGGCAGAAAAAAAAAAAGTGGAACAAAGATCATTAAGAGTGAAATGAAGCCCCTAACAGAAGAGAAAATGTAAAATAGAGCTCTCTCAACTCTGTCCTAGAAAACGACCCACTTGTCACATTCCCCATAGGTGGTCACATTCCCCACAGGTGGTCACGTTCCCCACGGGTGGTCATCCAGGTTGGCCAGAGCCCCCAAAGCAGCACTTCTGGAGAGAGGTGGCATGACCAGAGACAAATCCATTTATTAGTCCTAAATTTCAAGACAGAGAAGAGAAACTTGCTGAGCAATGTGTTTTTTCTCTTTTCCTTTTTTTAAATAAAGCCCCGCAGTGGCTCACGCCTGTAATCCCAGCACTTTGGGAGGCCGAGGTGGGCGGATTGCCTGAGGTCGGGAGTTCAAGACCAGCCTGGCCAACATGGTGAAACCCCTCTCTACTAAAAATACAAAATTAGCCAGGTCTGGTGGTGCATACCTGTAATCCCAGCTACTCGGGAGACTGAGGCAGGAGAATCGCTTGAACCCGGGAGGCGAAGATTGTGGTGAGCCGAGATTGGGCCATTGCACTCCAGCCTGGGCAACGAGAGTGAGACTCCATCTCAAAAAAATAACAAATAAAGCCCCTGAAGGGAGGCTTCTCTGGGCTGCAGGTGACCCAGCCCCCAGAGGAACAATAAATGACTTTGGGGTAACAAAGTCATGACTCAAAGTAGTCTTGTCAGGGTGGAAAAAAGAAGACATTTTACAAGGGAAAATGTAACATTTTATATTTGGGTTCACTAAAATGATTCGTTCAAATACATAGTGGAGGAGCGTGGGGGCCCAAGGGGACTGGTTTTCCATGGGTTCCTTATGGACCAAGAGTGTGAAGATCAGGAGAGCCCCCACACATGGGAGGCAAGGACCTAGCACAGGGAGGGCCGCAGCCTTTCTCCATCCCCGCTTCTTGGGCCAACTGCCCGTGTGTGGGGTGCAGCTCTCAGATCCCAGCCAAGTAGGAATTCCCCAGGCAGGTCACCAAGAGGAAGGGGGTGTGGGGGCAGAGCAGTGGTGACGATGCAGGGGCTGTTAGCCAGAGGAGAGGTGAATTTATATAGCTGAAAAGCCACCAAAGATGAGAGAGGGACCGTTCTTTATGTCCAGCAGGCCACGTTTGAGGAGGCTGGCTGGGGTCCCATCTGAGATGAGTGCCGGTGTGGTGCGGAGTTCCCTGCCAAAGGAGGGTCTACACAGTCTCAAGATGGCCTCTCTGCCAGGGTACACCTCAGAAGGGATCTTAGAGGCTGCGTATGAAGGTGGCCCGAGGGCGCCTAATGTCCCTTCCCAAGAAGTTGATGATTACCATGGATGAGGAGTCAGTAGGAGAGAAAGTGTCCTTGTCCAGGCAGCTGGGAGGAGTGGTTAAAAGGGAGGCCAGGTGTGGTGGCTCACACCTGTAATCCCTGCACTTTGGGAGGCCAAGGCAGGGAGATGGCTTGAGTCCAGGACTTAGAGACCAGCCTGGGCAACATAGTAAGACCTCATCTCCACAAAACATTTTTTAAAAAATTAGCGAAGTGTGGCAGGAGGCTCAGGTGGGAGGATCACATGAGCCCTAGATGTCGAGGCTACAGTAAGCCCTGATCACACAACTGCACTCCAGCCTGGGCCGCAGAGTGAGACCCTGTCTACATAAATGAACAGGCTGGGCACAGTGGCTCATGCCTGTAATCCAAGCACTTTGGGAGGCTGAGGTGGGAGGATCATTTGAGGTCAGGAGTTCGAGACCAGCCTGGCCAACATGCTGAAACCCTATCTCTAATATAAATACAAATATTAGCCGGACATGGTGGCGGGGGCCTGTAATCCCAGCTACTCGGGAGGCTGAGGAATGAGAATCGCATGAACCCAGGAGGTGGAGGTTGCAGTGAGCCAAGATCTCGCCATTGTACTCCAACCTGGACAATAGAGTGAGACTCTGTTTCAAAAAAATAAAATAAAATAAAAATACATAAACAAACAAAAATAAAAAGGGCAAACCAAGGCACCGGGGTTCAAGCCCTGCCTCTGTCACTTTGTATGACCTTTGGCAAGGTACTTAAGCTCTCTGTGCCTCAGTGCCTTCATTAAAAATGAGGATCATGGCAACAGGACACACCTGCGAGGATTTCCGTGAGGGTTAAAAGAGTTAAATGAAGATTCTTAGCACTGTGGCCACACCCATGGCAAGGGCCATGTGCTGGATAGCTGCTGCAACTGTCATTGTCACCATCATCATCATCACCGCTGATTTAACATGCAGTTACTGAACCCTGTCTATGTGCCAGGGGAGTAGAGACCAGTAGGGTGGGTCCCCGCCTTCAAGAAGTCACAGCCCAGCATAGAAAGCACAGAATTGTCACATGCAGAGATGGGTTAGGGGCAGCACAGGGTGTGGTCACATCACCTGGGTGGGGCCCAGGAAGGCTCCTGGGGTTGGCGGGCCAGTGCCTCTGAAACCATGACGTGGCTCAGAAGCATTTCAGCATCTTGTTTTCCCGTGCTCATCAGGCTGTTTACTCTGGGGGCGGCTGTGCACTTAGTGCCCCCTCCACGCCCCAAATGAGCGCCGGGACTGGCCAGGACTGGCAGGGCTGGCTGGGCAGGTCCAAGGGCTCAGGGACCCGCCCCAGGGCCTCCTGGGCACACCTGGGGCCCACAGCCCCCCATTCCTGGGCCTTAAGGCCTGAACTCTGAGGCCCCCCATGTACGTGCACCCCTCTGTGCCAAGCACTGTCCTGTGCTGTGCTGTGGTGTTGTGTCTGATCCTGGGAGATGGGTGGTGTCAGGGTCATTCTCATTTTACAGCTAAGAAAATAGGCTGGGACATTAAATGTCTTATAAAAGGCCCAGCCAGGACTTGGAGCCAAGGTTTCCAATGCCAAAATCAGGTGCCGTTTCCATACCCCACCCTGGGCAAGACCAGAGGTGACTCAGCCAAGAACCCTGCCCTCCAGGAGGAGATGGAGCCAGAAATCTGAAAACTGACCCTCCAGCCCGGGAGAAGTGTGGCGGGGCTGTGAGAGCCCTGCCCTCTGGGCCCTATCCCCTGCCCATGCAGATTCTTGCAAAGTGGCCCCTGCCTGCTCACTCTTCATGGAAGCATCTCCTGGTCAGTGGTTGTTTTAGAGAAGGAAGGCAGTGGTTTAGGAAAAAAAAAGTGTTCTTTAGTGGTGGCAGCCTTTTTGTCAAATAAAATTTTATCAGAATACACTCAAAATTGGTAACAGGAGAGCCGTTCTGGGTACAGAGATTGAGGGGAACCTGTGTGTGACCTCTTGCTTCCTGACCCCTCCCATCCTACTCCAGACTCTTCTGCAGAACCCCATGTTGACCCCTGCTTTGAGGTGGCAGAGTTAACACTACTCTTCGTTATAAGCTCTCGTCTGGGGCAACTCAGAAGAACGTAAGTTCCATGGGGAAGGTTTTTGTTTGTTTCTAATTGTGGTAAAATATATATAACATAAAATCGACCATTTTAATGATTTTTGAGTGTACAATTCAGTGACATTAAGTATATTTACAATATCATGTAACCATCAACACCATTCATCTTCAGAACTTCTTCATCTTCCCACACTGAAACTCTCTACCCACTAAACACTAACTCCCACTACCCACCAAACATTTCCCTCCCTGCAGCTCCTGCAACCACCGCTGTACTTTCTGTCTCTATGAACTTGACTACTCTAGACACCTCATGTAAGTAGAATCATAGAGTATTTGTCCTTTTATGTCTGGTTCTTTCACTTAGCATAATGTTTTCAAGATTCATCCATGTTGTAGCATGTGTCAGAACTTCATTGCTTTTTACGGCTGAATAATATTCCATTGTGTAACTGTACCACATGTTCATCTGTTCAGCCATGCGTGGGCGCTTGGGTTGTTTCTTCCTTTCAGCTATTGCAAACCAATAATGCTGCTGTGAACATGGGTGCGCAAATATCTGTTTGAATCCCTGCTTTCAGTTCTTTTGGGTCTATACCTAAAGAAGTGGAATTGCTGCATCATATGGTAATTCTATGTTTAACTTCTTGGGGAACCACCATATCATTTTCCACAGTGGCTGTATACTACTTTACATACCCACTGGCAATGCACACAGATTCCAGTTTCTCCACATTCTCCCCATTGTGGCAGGGGTTTTAAACCTCTTCATCACGGGTGCACCCCCGGAGACTAGGGCAGTGCCTGGCACATTGTAGGTGCTTGATAAGTATTTGTTGGATGAATGAATGGGAGGCCTTGGCCTCAGAGCAGCTGTACCTGGGCACTCTCCTACCTGAAGGTGGCACCCAGTCAGTAAGTGTCCTACCCACACAGGGTCCAAAGACCTTCCCATTCCAGTCCCTGTTCAGCTCTGAGACAACCATCCTTTATTTGTTATTTATTTATTTATTGAAACAGGGTTTCACTGTGGTGCAGGCTGGAGTGCAGTGGCAAGATCATAGCTCACTACAGCCTCGAACTCATGGGCTCAAGTGATCTTCCCACCTCAGCCTCCCAAGTAGCTGGGACTACAGGCATGTGCTGCCCGGCTAAATTTTTTTTTTTTTTTTTTTTTTGTAGAGATGAGGTCTCACTTTGTTGCCTGCACTGGTCTAGAGCTCCTGGCCTCAAGTGATCCTCCTGCCTTGGCCTCCCAAAGCCCTGGGATTACAGATGTGAGCCACCACCCCGAACTGATTTTTTTTTAACGTGAATGTAAAAGTCCATCCAGGGCAAAGATAAGAGTCAAGAGGCCCAGAGGAATGGGACTGAAGTGTCAGGGGCCAAGGATAGCCCACCGTGGGTTTCCTGTGATCCTGGGGCTTGGCTGTTTGGACCAGGGATGAGGGATAGGAGAAGGGAGACAGGAGATGCCCAGAAGGATGTAGCCTTGGGGAACATCGCGGCTTCTGTGTCTGGTGCTGTAGTGAAAGAACCAGGAGGGGATGGCGATTGGCCTAGTGGTTTGCTGTGTTTCAGAACTCCTCCTCCCAATGCCTTCCCCTCACTCAGGCCAGACTTCTCACGCATTCCCACCCCTGCATCTTCGTTCCGGCTGTTCCCTGATCCCTTTTCCGGGAGCAGCATTCCTACTCCTCCTTCCTAACCCAAGGTGGCTCATCTCTCAAAGCCCAGAGGAAGGTGCACATCCTCTGCAGGGCTTTCTCCACAGTTCTAAGCCCCCTCTCTGCCAGGCCCCAGACCCCACAAGGCAAGGCTGGGGTGGACAGCATTGCATAGTATGTGTTGTGTACTGTGCGACAGGACGCCTCTTCAGCTCCAGCCAGAGCAGGCTGAGAGTCTGCCCACTAAGTGACCTCCCAGTCCTTTCCCACTCTCCTGGCTCACAGTGAGACGTGTGCACAGCTGGAACCACAAATGTCCCAATGGGTGTGATCAAAGCAGACACAGCAAGGTGACACCTGGCCCAGCAGGGCAGCAGTTAGGGCCCCCTAGAAAGGGGTCTCATGGTTCTCTTGTCCCCCACCATCTGGATTAAAGGGTCCCCAGGTCCTGAAGAGGAGCTGGTACTGCTATCAGAACCCAGGGCAGCGCCTGTGGTCTGCTGCATGAACGAGGGTCTGGGAAGTTGTCATCCCACTTCCAGTGTGGGCTCCCTCCTGCTCAGCACTGCTGGGCTGGGGACACAGACCTGAGTTATAGAGCCTTTGTAGGTGTTCCCACATGGATGTGCTGGTTTGGGAGGCCTTGACCTACCCCAGAGGGCAGCCCCTCATGAGCAGATTCCATTCTGGGCATACTTGTGTCTCTCTGAGCGAGGGGAGTGCTCACTGCTGCCTTCTCAGCTGCTAAGCAGAGGGGTTGCTGGGGAGGACCATTCCCCCTGTTAGCTAAACTACCCACTGCCATGTGTCCTGGGCCTCATGTAGATAGAGTTGCCCATGCAGGAAGCAGGCTCAGCTATGAATCTACCTGAGGGCAGAGCTTTCTGCACTTGTGTCTTTTGATTGGGATTCATATTAGACGCCTTGCTTACTTGTTCATGGGCAGGCATATATGGATGGGCACATCTGTGTCCCACTCAACAGTCTGACAGGCCCCCTGCTCTGAGTCTCCATAAGTCAAGGATGACTGCTTCCTTCTCTGAGGTATTCCCCCTGTCCCGACAGTGAGTTTTTATTACTGCTTGCCACATAGTCTGCGTTTTAAGTCTGGCCATTCCAAACTTCCCCTCCAAATTCGATGAGCCGTCTTGCCAACTGTGATTGCACAATGCCGAGACGGGTGAGCAGAAACGGTTGTGCTTACGTAGGTGTGTGGTTCTTTGTGATTTCTGTGGCTAACACTGCCATCTGCTTCATGTCCAGGGCTGGGTTCCATGTCTGTCTGAGCTCTTCACCACCTCGTCTACAGCAGTCTGTGACCCAAGGTAGTAATTGCTTAATAAGGCTCATGGTCTCAGGCGCCAGAAAGTTGTATTCATCTTTCTATCCTGGACCTGCACAGGAAGTCAGTGCCCCATATGCATTTGTTGAATGGAAGGAATTTTAAACTTCTTGAAGTTTCCCTTTCTTACTAGTTCTATATCTCAGCCCAGCCCAGAGCTGAGCCCATAACAGGGCTGATGGGTTGGCCAATGGATGGAACTGCTGAAAAGTTTCCTAAGTCTAAGTGGATTTTGATCCCCAAGGACACAAAGAAACCCAAAGGCTTGACACAACCAAGTATCTGGAGTGACTGTTGGTGAAAGGCCAGGGCCCATCACATGTGAGCCATGATCATGGGGCCATGGGAAGGGGATTTAGTGAGATGGGAAGAATGTGCGTCATGAAACAAGGGAAGGACTTCGCATGAACCAGTGGCGATCAGGTGCCAGGAAATGAGGAGTGTGGCTAACTCAGCAATCTGTCCCTGAGGTCTGATTCCAAAAGAAAGAGAAAAAAGGGAAGGAAGGAAAGAAGGGAAGGAGAGAAGGAAGGAAGGAAGAGAGGGAAGAGCAAAGAAAAGAGCGTAGGTTTGGAAGCCAGATAAAGCTGGACCTGGGCCGGGCGCCGTGGCTCACGCCCGTAATCCCAGCACTTCGGGAGGCCGAGGTGGGCAGATCACAAGGTCAGGAGATCGAGACCATCCTGGCTAACACAGTGAAACCCCGTCTCTACTAAAAATACAAAAAATTAGCTGGGCGTGGTGGTGGGTGCCTGTAGTCCCAGCTACTCGGGAGGCTGAGGCAGGAGAATGGCGTGAACCTGGGAGACAGAGCTTGCAGTGAGCCGAGATTGCGCCACTGCCCTCTAGCCTGGGCGACAGAGCGAGACTCTGCCTCAAAAAAAAAAAAAAAAGCTGGCCCTGACAGGAGTTTGAGACCAGCCTGTCCAACATGGTGAAAACCCGTCTCTACTAAAGATACAAAAAAACTGGGCGTGGTGCCAGGCGGCTGCAATCCCAGCTACTCGGTAGGCTGAGGCAGGAGAATCGCTTGAACCTGGGAGATAGAGGTTGCAGGGAGCCGAGATCGCAATATTGCACTCCAGCCTGGGTGACAGAGCAAGACTCTGTCTCAAAAAAAAAAAAAAAAAAAAAAAAAAAAGCTGGACCTGAATCCCCTTTCTATCTCTTTTAAGTGTGGATCTATAGACATGGTCTCTATCTCTATGTCCTAGTTTCTGCATCTGTAAAATGAGAATTAGATTAGATTAATGTGTGTGATGTGTCCCACACTGTTCTCAGCACATGGTAGAACTCAGTGTATTCATGCTGTAAATAATGGGGATTATTATTACCATAGCTCAGGTTTTGCATGAGGTATCAGTTTGGATTTAATGAACTTAAGCCAAAAAGAGCATTTATTTAAAAACTTCTGGCTGGGTGCGGTGGCTCACACCTGTAATCCCAGCACTTTGGGAGGCTGAGGCAGGTGGATCACCTGAGGTCAGGAATTTGAGACCAGCCTGGCCAACATGGTGAAACCTCGTCTCTACTAAAAATACAAAAATTAGCTGGGTATGGTGGTGCACCCCTGTAATCCCAGCTACTTGGGAGGCTAAGGCAGGAGAATTGCTTAAACCTGGGAGGTGGAAGTTTCAGTGAGCTGAGATTGCACCACTGCACTCCAGCCTGGGCAACAGAGTGAGACTCTGTCTCAAATAAAAATAAAAATAAAACCTCCTCGTTCATAGAGTTGAAGAAAGGGTTGAATCCCAAGACCTCAGGAAGGCTGGGAAAGGAGGGACTGGGGTTTCAGGAATAGGAAGACTGCTTCTGGGCAGAGGCAGTGCTAGTCTCCTTGTGTGACCTCCAGGTTCAAATCTCTCAGACAGTCTTACTGGCTGGCTTGGATCCTGGGCTGACAGCCCCACCAGTACCATGATGGAACTGGGGGAGAAGTAGTTCCCCCTCAGAAAAGTGAGGTGCTGTCCAGAATAAGGGAAGCAGAAGTTGCTGGACAAGCAGAACTGTTGACCACCGCACATGAGAATCCCTCACCTTCCCACCTCCACACCAGTGCCCGCTTAGGCCCTCCAGGTCAGCCCTCATTCACAGAACTGTGTAATTACTGCTCCCCTACCCTCCCCCATTCCTCAGATTCCTCCACCAATTTTAATTTCAACACACCATCTCCCTGCCTGCCACATCCAGCCCAGCCCAGCTCAGCCTAGCTGGGCCCGAGCAGGAGGTGGCAGCTTTGCCCAAAAGGCTGCCCTGCTCTGAGGCCTCCTGCCTTCTGGTCCCTCCCTGAGAGTCCCAGGCCAAATCCTCACCTGCTCTTCACAGAATTCCCTATGCCCTAGGGAACAGAACTCAGGCCAGTGCTGAAATCCCCATTTGCTTCTTCCTACTTCTGCCTTTTCAAAACCAGCTCTTCTTTTTACTTTGCTCTTGGCCAAATCCTGCAAAAATGTGTTCATGGGGAGGCCACTAGAACTTGAGCATCCAGTACAAGACGCTCCAATGAGAAAAAGACAGAAATACTCAGGGTTCCAGCCAGACATGGTGGCTCACGCCTGGAATCCCAGCACTTTGGGAGGCCATGGTGGGCGGATTGCCTGAGCTCGGAAGTTCAAGACCGACCTGGCCAACATGGTGAAACCCTGTCTCTACTAAAGATACAAAAATTAGCCGGGAGTGGTGGCACACACCTGTAATCCCAGCTACTCGGGAGGCTGGAGCAGGAGAATCACTTGAACGCTGGAGATGGAGGTTGCAGTGAGCCAAGATCACACCACTGCACTCCAGCCTGGGTGACAGGGCAAGACTCCATCTCAAAAAAATAAATAAATACTCAGGGTTCCAGAGGCCCCCACAGGGTGAGGGGAGGGGCCCATCTGCCAGCCTTGCTAGCCCTTTCTGCTCCAGGGTTCTGACGCAGCGATGCCATCTGCTCAGGGCATCTTAAAGGGCTTCCAGGTCTGAGGGGCCACACTTCAGAGGCCTAAGGTTTTGTGGTGACCAGCTGCAGGCCTGAGAAGGGGGGAAGCAGCCCCCAGGACTGCCCAGCCTGCATGACTCTGTCTTCCCTGCTCTGCTTGACGACTCCTAGTGCCCAGTGTCCTCCTGTCCTCACCCAGGTGCGTCTGTCCCATGAGGCACCAGTTGCCGCCAACCTCTCCCTTTATTTTTTTCTTTAGTACAGCTGGTACCTCCTGTGCCTCCTCCCCTTTCAGCTACCCATATGGCCAGAAAGCTCTGATCAATTAATTCCCACATAAGTGGTCAATTTAAAAATCTTAGAAAACTTATTTTTTGAGACAGGGTTTTGCTCTGTCACCCAGGCTGGAGTGCAGTGGCAGGATCACAGCTCATTCCAGCCTTGAACTTCTGGGCTTGAGTGATCCTCCCTCCTCAGCCTCCCAAGTAGCTGGGTCTACAGGCATGTGCCAAGAGGCCTGGCTATTTTTTTTTTTTTTTTAGTAGGGATGAGGTCTCTCTCTCTTGCCCAGGCTGGTCTCGAACTCCTGGGCTCAAATGATCCTCCTTTATAGGCATGAGCCACCATGCCTAGCCTTAATAGAAGAGATTTAATCACAGAGTGTCCACTTCAAAGGGTAGCTCTGAAGAGTAGATCCTTGTTGTAAGGCCTCCTGAGCATTGCAGCTCTTGTGCCCGATGGATGGAAGGATGGATGGATGGATGGATGGATGGATGGATGGATGGATGGATGGATAGATGAGAGGGAGGGAGAGAGGAAGGAGCCCGTAGGGAGAGATTTGCAGTTAGGATCACTTCCTCAGGGCCCCTTCCATCATGCAGATGGCCACCTGCTCTGCCGACATAGACCTGGCTCTGGGGTTACAGGCAACTGGGCTCTACCAACCTGTGCATCATTTAAAAGTAGAGAAAATAGCCGAGCATGGTGGCTCACGCCTATAATCCCAGCACTTTGGGAGGCCAAGGCAGGCGGATCACTTGAGGTCATGAGTTCAGGACCAGCCTGGCCAACCTGGTGAAACCTCATCTCTACTAAAAATACAAAAAAATTAGCTGAGCATTGTGGCATGTGCCTGTAAACCCAGCTACCCAGGAGGCTGAGGCAGGATAATTGCTCGAACCCGGGAGGCGGAGGTTGCAGTGAGCCGAGATCGCGCCACTGCACTCCAGCCTGGGTAACAGAGTAAGACTCCATCCCAAAACAAACAAACAACAACAACAAAGAAAACCTTTTCTCCTGATTATAAACATATTTCTTTGTGTAAAAATTTATAAATGCATTTAGAAGAAACTATGATTCACTCTAATTATATGATCCATTTGTAACTACTCTTAATATATGGTACATAGTTTAAAAAATTTTATTGAGCTTAAAGTGTATCTAGTTTTGTGTCCTAATTATTCTGCTTAACCTTCTATTGTAAGCATTTTCCACGTCAATAAATATTATAATGTAATACTTTCTGTCCACTTTCTATCATCATTGGATGCAGCATAATTTATTTAATCTACTTACTGTTCTTGGACATATAGATAATTTTCATACTTTTTTGTAATTATCACAAGTGGTGCAATATCCTTGCAAGTAAAGGATGTCCATCTATTTCTCTGATAAGTTTAGATAAAATCTTAGAAGTGAAATTCTGGGTAAAAGAATGTGAGCTTTAAAAAAGACCTTTTATTTTAAAATAATTTTAGGCCAGATGCAGTGGCTCACGCCTGTAATCCCAGCCCTCTGGGAGGCCAAGGTGGGCAGATCATCTGAAGTCAGGAGTTTGAGATCAGCCTGGCCAAAATGGAGAAACCCCATCTCTACCAAAAATACAAAAATTAGCCAGGCCTGGTGGCGGGCGCCTGTAATCCCAGCTACTCGGGAGGCTGAGGCTGGAAAATCACTTGAATCCAGGAGGGGGAGATTGCAGTGAGCTGAGATCTCTCCATTGCGCTCCATCCTGGGCAACAAGAGCGAAACTCTGTCTCAAAATAAATAAGTAAATAAAAAATAAAATAATTTTGGATTTATAGAAAGTTGAAAAGATAGTAGAGAGAATTCCCATATATCTTTTATCCAGCTTCCTCTAACGTTCCTATCTTACCTAACCAGGGTACATTTGCCAAAACTAATAAACTAACATTGGTATGATACTGTTAAGTAAACTCCAGATATTTTGGGATTTCATCATTTTTTCCATGAATGTCCTTTACTGTTCTGGGATACATTCCAGGATAGCATGTTGTATTTAGGGTGTGAATATTTGTGAGACTTCTTAGATAAATATACACATACATACACATTTGTATGTATGTGTGTGCATGTACACTTGAAAATCATATAAATTTATATTCCCACAAATAGCATTGCAGGGAATGAGAAAAAGACTTTGCCAACTTAAAAGAGAAATAGCAATAATAACAATGTGGCTTTAGTGGGCATTAATTCATTGCTAATGAGTTTACGGATTTTTTCATCTGTTTGGTGGCCAGTTGCTTTTCTTTGTTTTTGATTTCTCAATCACCTGCAGGAATTTTTGTCAGTGTTTAGATCTTTAGCTTCCACTCAAGGTGACACACAGCCAGAGTCAGGTGAGCATCTAGAAGCTGTGACTGGTGCTGCATCCTACTAAGTCACTGAAGGGGCCATGGGGGAGGGCAGGCTGCCCACGTGCTCCCTGTACAGACTTGGTTTCTCCCTCGGAGGCCTGCCCAGGTGGTGGAACCCAGCGACAATGAGGCTCCCTGCTCTCTGGGGCAGGCCAGCGGCAGGGGGAAATCTCATTCTATTTTCTGAGCCCTAGTTTTTTCACCCATTAAATGGGCACAATTTAGGCCTGTTCAGGTACTAGAAGATGATCGTGAAGTCACTGTGTAAAGCATCCTCCAAGTGGGTGATGGTGTTGTAGAGAGCAATGTGGTGAAGGGGACTGAGCAGTGCCTCGTATGGAGAGCGTGGAGCTTAGTCCACCAACCCAGGTGGCAGGAAACGCTCCTGAAATCAACTCAGCTCCAACTCTGAGCTCCCATGGTGCCTGAGGAGGAGGAAACTTCATCTTGGTCATTTTTAGGCCCCATCCAGTGAGGGTCACCCAAGAATCCAGGAGGTTGCCCAGAAATGTGGACAGGCAAGGGGCCTGTCACTCTCAAGGGCCTCATGAGGCTGAGACTCTGCCCCCAGGCCATTTTGGGGGCCTTTGTGCCCAGTTTGAGGGGGGTCCCATGTCCAGGGCTGGCCTCCCCACCTCTGTGTCCTGCCCCTCCCAGAGGGACATAGTACAGGCCTCTGCCCTCTTCCCACTCCCCAGTTCCTCCTCCCCTCTCTGTTCTCATTTTCTCCGAAGACTCTTCCCTCAGAGACTACAAGGAGCCCAGACACTGAAACAAAGAGGCAAAGGAGAGAAGGGCCTGGGGTGGCTTCTGCCTGGTCCTGAAACTCAAACGTCCCTGGCCGGGCGTGGTGGCTCACACCTATAATCCCAGCACTTTGGGAGGCCGAGGCGGGTGGATCATGAGGTCAGGAGATTGAGACCATCCTGGCCAACATGGTGAAACCCCATCTCTACTAAAAATACAAAAATTAGCTGGGTGTGGTGGCATGCACCTGTAGTCCCAGCTACTCAGGAGGCTGAGGCAGAAGAATCGCTTGAATCCAGGAGGTGGAGCTTGCGGTGAGCCGAGATCACACCACTGCACTCCAGCCTAGTGACAGAATGAGACTTTGTCTCAAAAAAACAAAAACAAACAAAAAACACGTCCCCTGCAACAGGGACACCCAAAAGAGGACAGGTCCAAGACCTTCTTGGAATGGGAGGAGGAGGAAAAATGCAACCATTGAAACACACATGAGTATCTAAGGAAATAATCTGGCCACACAGAGAAGAAATATGAAGATATGGCCTCTTGTCCAAATGGCACAGACCTGCCGTGTGGCCTCTGACAAGTCACCCATCGTCTGGGAGTTTCCTCAGTTGTGCAATGAAGGGGAGGGTTCCATGACCTCTGAGGCAGCCCGGCTCTCCTGTCCACGGGCTGCTACCACCTTGGAGGGCGCGAGGTTTGCTTCCGGTGTTCGGGGCCTTTCCCAGTCACTGCCTCACCAGGACACCCTCACCCGTGTCAGGCTGGGAAAGGGCTTTCTTAACCTTGTCATGCCTTGCTGTGGCTTGTCGTTGGTGTAATCTGTGAGGGCTTTTGTAGCTCTGCGTAATCATCAGGGTGAACGGGAGGTAGCTCTGGGTTTGGCCTAAGGCTGTTATGCGTTATCTCCTTTAATCCGCATAACTGCTTGATGGGCTGGGCCTGTCGTTTTCATTTTGTGAAGGGGAAAATGGGGCCCAAAGTTGTTTTCCTAAGGTGGCCTAGTGGGTGAGGCAGTGCTGGTCCCATTCTCAGACTGAGCTCCCTGGCCCTCCGGGTTGTGTCCCCTCTATGGGGCAACTATCCAGGGATGAGTGTGTGACCACGCTCAGAACCAGCCTGGGAAAACTTTCCCCAAGGAGACTCCCCTGGAGGCTTGGAGGGGTGGAAAGAGTGTTGGGAGAGTACAGAGCCCCCTGGGGAAGAAGCTTCTCTGGGGGTTGGAGCAAGCATTTCTCAGAATGCTGGGATCACTGCCTGGCCTTAAGCCCCAAGACTGCCAGCACACCCGCCCTGCAGAGGGTTGTAGCCAGAAACAGGCACCTGGCCAGTTGCATTTGTGCAAAGGAAGCCCATAGGGCCCCAGCCTGCTTCCTTTATGGGCTAGGGCAGGGTAGGGGATGTCTGAGTTTGAATTTAGTGTCTAGGGGATCCATACCCACACTTGTCATTCACCACCCAAGGGCATGGACCCACTTCTGGGGCTCATGACCTAGAGGACAGGCCAGACAGCCTGGAATGACACAACTCAGGGTGACACCAACAGGTCCCACTGGCTACTTTGTCACCTCCTTTTCTTCACTCCCCCCTCTGGAGTTACTAATTTCCACTTTGTGACCCTCCAAAGATGCATTCCACCCAACTTTCCCATTGAACTAGTGGGGAAATGGTACTTTCTGTATCCAAATCTTAGCTGAAACCAGAATTGGGGTTATATTGACTAAAAGATCATTTGGGGCCACTTCTTTTCATTTGTATTTATTAGGCCCCTCCTAGGTGGTAATGGGCCAGGTAGAGTGAGAGTACAGTAGAAACCCAAGACGAAATTATCCAGGAAGGTCAACCTTCATTTTACAGATGGAGACACGATAGTTCAGAGATGCAGAGGACCTCGCCCAAGGTCACGCAGATACCGGGCCAGTCTTGGGTTTGGAACATGAGGTTCCTGCCTTTCAGCCCCGTGATCTTTCGACAGCATCTTACACAACTTACAGAATGGTGGGGGAAGCAGGAATCGCACCTGCAAAACAATGACGGAACCCTGAGGGGGCAGGGCTCCCATTGCCAGTGACTTCCCACCCACAGTGGCTGTCAGTGCCTTTATGTTGTTTACTTAAATGTGCTTGTCTGGAGGTTGTCATTTTCTTTTGAGACACTGGGAATTCCCATAATTTTTTAAAAAAGTTCAGTAAAATTGAATTTCTACATTTTTGCCCAATTTTTTTCCTTTTTATTTTTTATTTTTTTTTACAGAGTCTCACTCTGTAGCCCAGGCTGGAGTGCAGTGGTGCAACCTCCTCCTCCCATGTTCAAGTGATTCTCCTGCCTCAGCCTCCCGAGTAGCTGGGACTACAGGTGCGCGCCACCATGCCTGGCCAAGTTTTGTATTTTTAGTAGAGACGGGGTTTCACCATGTTGGCCAGGCTGGTCTCGAACTCCTGACCTCAGGCGATCCACCTGCCGCGGCTTCCCAAAGTGCTGGAATTACAGGCATGAGTCACCTTGCCTGTCCCATTTTTGCCCAGTTTGTGTCTCCTCGGTGTATGAGTGTGTGTGTTTTGTCAGGGGCACTCTGTTCCTATAGGTTGGTCTGATTTGGGACTCTCTCTGTGTGTGCTTTGATGGGGGCACAGTGACAGGAGATGGTGGAAATAAGGCGTGGAGAGGCTGTATTGTGCCATCATACCTTACCAGGACACTCTGTGCCTGGAGGGGGAAAGGGAGGGGGCCAGCCATGCCAGGCTGAGAAAGGGCTTTCTTAACCCACAAGTGTACAGGCCTTGAAGGCTCATGACTTAGGGTCATTGTCACCCATTCATTCAGTCAAATCTGGAAAGCATTCAAAAAATAATTAAAAAATCACCTCTGGGGAAAAGTCTGGTGTCAGGTTCAGAAAGGATTTGTTTCATATCCAGAGCCATGTCTGGGTTGTGTTCTCTGCTATCCAAGAACCCGAGGGCTCTCATTCAGCCTCAAGGGCTATGGAAGTGACTCCTGGTAGGTGGCTCCAGCACTGACTCTGGGCCCTCAGGGTCGAGGTTGCGGTGAAGACTGCGGTCTGCATCGCCTCCTGCCCCAGATCGGATTGGAGGGAGCCAGGTGAGCGTGAGGAGGAGGCAGTGTGGGGCTGGGCCTGGCTTCCAAGGAGAACTACAAGAAGACCAAAATCAGATTGGGATCTCATGGGAGGGCAGCACTGGGTCTGGAACGGAAGGCTTTGCCCACCTGGCCTCTACACGGACCACGTGGCCGGAGGGTTGGGCCTTCCAGGGCCATGCACCTGGGAGGGACAAGGCTGGGTGCGGTTGGGTCACATGTCTAACTTGTGTTCCTTTGAAGCTGTGAGTTGGACAGATTTTATCTTGCCTGTTTTGACCCTCTGTGAGCTAACAGCTGGGGGTGGGGTGGGGAAGGGGAGGACGGAGAGCAGTAAGCGTGCTGGTTCTTCTTTTGGTCTGTTTAGCAACTTCCCATGACTTTTGAGCAAGGAACAGGTGTAACCCCTTGCACCCTGAGGTGTGCAGTTGACTACATATGCCTGTGGCCTCAAGGCCATGTAGAAATTGTCCCTGGTTCAGCCAAAGCAAATTCAAAACCAAAAGCAAATTCACTGACCACGGGGGAAAGAGTAGGAGATATTAAACAAGCAGCTCTGCCTGGCCTTCCACTCACATGGCCATGAGGCCCATCATTCAGCACATCATCTCGGCCCCTACTGCGTGCTGGGCACTGTGAGGAGCTTCTGCCTCCTGTCTCCTTCACGCTCCTTTCCTTTCCCCTCCATAGCTCAGCAAGGCCCACATTTTCCCGGTGAAGCCACAGAACCACAGGGAGAAACCCATGGACTTCGCCTCTCTCTCTAGGCAAGTGAATTTGGTGGCAAAGTCTCTTGGCAAATTCAAATTGTACTTGCTACAGTCTTTTCCTCAAGTAATTCTGGGTGCTTTCCAAACTTACCAGTTCCCTGAAGTACATGGGAGGAGGCAGGGAAGCTTCTCGGGGGAGGAGCAGCACCGGCAGGGAGGCCGAGGGGCAGCAGTGCGGACAGGGAGTCAGGTGACGTGAAAGGAAAGGTGGGTTGCAGGCTGGGCTCTTGCTGTCTGTGGGCTCCATTCAGAATCCCCCACTTCACCTAGGACACTCTGGCCTCCGTCCAGGCATCACTGCCATGGAAATCCCAGATACATTCAAGTCCTCTGTTAAACACCTGCCTCCACATCCCCTCCAGATCTTCTCTGTCCTCAAAAGGAGCTCTGCCCTTCAAGGGAGGGGCTGGGGGCTTTGCAGCTTTCTGTGCCTCTGGCCAAGGCTGATCCTCCTTCCTCCTGCCTGAGAATCCAACCTTAGCCTGGAGCAATCCCAGAGGAATATGGGTGTGGGAGTTTGTCGCGTGTGACCCACAGTCGGCTCTGGGACCCCTGCCCCAGGAGCTCTGGAGGACTGTCAGACACAGCTTGTTGCAGGGAAGCTAGTTGACAGAAGATGTAACAGGAGTGTGAACATGCCATCAGCCCATACCCCGACCTCCAGGAACAGCCTAGCCTTACGGTTCTGTGCCCTCCTCAGCCCAGGGACTCTTCACCCACCCAACATTGTCATTACCCAAAACTATTTCACCTCTGCTCTAAACAATTCCAAAATCCCCATCCTCTGATCCCAGCCTTCTTCCTGTCCAGAGTTCTCATCCACAACTCCTGCCACCCCAGGGTGAATGGCGAAGCCCTCCACCAACATGGCAGCCCACAGAGGAGCAGACTGGAGAGAAAGAAAATGAGTTCAGTTTCGCTGATAGATCTGAAAAATATACATTGGGCAGGGCCATCAGGTTTTGGAGAGCCTTTTGAGGGCCCTGCTCAAGGAAGAGCTGGGCTTGGGGTTCAGATCCAGGTGTGCTCAGATCATACCAGTTCCTATGAGCTGATTGTTAAATCTTCAGGAATTTCATGAACCAATGGTTAAACCCAGCTATTATGAAAAATTAAATTATAAATTAAATTATATAAACTTACAATTAAATGAATTATATTAAGGCAAAAATAATAAATTTTCAAAAACCATCACTTCCTAATAATTTTTTTTTTTTTGAGATGGAGTTTCACTCTTGTTGCTCAGGCTGGAGTGCAATGGCACGATCTCAGCTCATTGCAACCTCCGCCTCCCAGGTCCAAGGGATTCTCCTGCCTCAGCCTCCTGAGTAGCTGGGAAAACAGGCATGCACCACCATGCCTGGCTAATTTTGTATTGTTATTAGAGACAGAGTTTCTCCTTGTTGGTCAGGCTGGTCTCGAACTCCTGACGTCAGGTGATCTGCCCGCCTCGGTCTCCCAAAGTGTTGGGATTACAGGCATGAGCCACCATGCCTGGCAATAATTTTATATTTTATTATTCTTTATTCTTTTAAGATTATGTACATCTATTACATCTGTGGAAATACTATATAATGTTGTGTTACTGTGCTTTTTCCCCAAGTCTGCATTCAGTGACATCATATTGGTGGATTGAAATCAGCCACAGTGGGAATATTTACACCACAGAAGTGGGCAGCAACCACCACAAATCAGGGCTTTATTCATTATTTGGTTGACTATCTAGACTTAAGAAGGTTATGGAGAAAATGCTAATAATGCACATTAAACTTAAATGTATGTTTTGCCAATGGCCATTGCATTGTGAATGGCACAGAAAAATGAAGGAAATATTCTTCCAGTATTCAAAAACTATTCTCTGCTTCAGTAAAGAAATTGCTAACACCATTGACAAACAAGTAAAGTTCTGGCCAGGTGCAGTGGCTCTTGCCTGTGATCCCAGCACTTTGGGAGGTCCAGGCGGGAGGATTGCTCGAGGCCAGGAGTCCAAGACCAGCCTGGGCAATATAACTAAACCAGTTCTCTACAAAAAATAAAAAAGTTAGCTGGGCGTGGTGTGCACTATCTGAGGCAGGAGGATCTCTTGAGCCCAGGCGTTTGTGGTTACAGTGAGCTATGAACATTCCACTGCACTCCAAGTTCTGGGCAACCCATTCTGTAAAAAAAAAACAACAAGTGAAGTTCCAACATCTGTCTTTCTGGCTTCACTTTTTTCTTGCTAGTTGGTACAAACAAAAATATCAGTTAACATTCATGTTGGAACTACATTCATTTATCAGTTACAACTGTAGGCTGGTTATAGATTCAGCAGGTTGGCAAAAATCAATGAAAGCATCCTGTAAGACCCAACTGGCCATATGCAATTTACAGTAAAGAGTAGTATATATTTTTTATTATTTGTAAATTATTAGCCATCCTTTATGTCAATAAAATTTATCATAAATGTATGTATGTGTATATATGCATGCATTTTCCCCAGAGAGCTCATTGTTAATTAAACATCTACCAGCATACTACTGGGCAGGTTGCCTTAGTCTGAGGAGTGGCCAGAGATTTGACTCTGGAAAGATTCCCAGAAGAGGGTGGGAATGGCTGATGGAAAGAGGCTACTGAGGAGGTTGGAGGGGGCCTCAGGTGGAAGGATTAGCCTGGCCAGGCACAGAGTCCCTGAAAAGGGATGAGAAGTGAAGAAAACCTGGGATAGGGTGGAGTGAGAGCTCGCCATTTCTCTGCCAAGCAGGACGCAAGCCATCTTCTGCAAGCAGGAGGTGGAGAAGTGAGGAAGGGTGAAGGTTTGGCCTGAGTAGAGTAGTCAGTGTGGGGCCAAGAAAAGGGACCAGGGAGGACGAGGAAGAGTAAGGAGGACTGCAGAACACTCATGAAAACCGAGAGGACGGCAGGCCCGGCGAATGGCTCACGCCTGTAATCCCAGCACTTTAGGAGGCTGAGGCAGGCAGATCACCTGAGGTCAGGAGTTCCAGATCAGTCCTGCGAACGTGGTGAAACCCCGTCTCTACTAAAATTACAAAAAATAGCCGGGCATGGTGGCGGGAGCCTGTAATCCCAGCTACTTGGGAAGCTGAGGCAGGAGAATCACTTGAACCTGGGAGACAGACGTTGCAGTGAGCCGAGATCACGCCACTGCACTCCAGCCTGGGCGACAGAGCAAGACTCCATCTTGAAAAAAAAAAAAAGGGCCGGGCACGGTGGCTCACATCTGTAATCCCATAACTTTGGGAGGCTGAGGCAGGAGGATCACGAGGTCAAGAGTTGGAGACCAGCCTGACCAACATAGTGAAACTCCATGTCTACTAAAAATACAAAAAATTAGCCAGGCGTGGTGGTGGGCGCCTATAATCTCAGCGACTGGGGAGGCTGAGGCAGGAGAATCTCTTGAACCCGGGAGGCGGAGGTTGCAGTGAGCCGAGATCGCGCCACTGCACTCCAGCCTGGGTGACAGTGTGAGACTCCGTCTCAAAAAAAAAAAATGGTAAAGAAAACCTAGAAGACAGCAACCGAATCACAGCCATGAAAGCAAGAGGGTCGAGTGTAACCAGGTGCAGTACTGGCTAAGCCCCATGGTACGGATTGCTTGAATAATCTCCCAGGACAATCCTAGGAGGAAACCAAGGCTTGAAAGAATTAAGTCATTTGTCCACAGCTTGCAGCCAGTTAGTGGCTGAGTCAGGAGTTGAATTTAGGCAGCCTGGCCCTCTTGACAAGGCCAAAGACTGCGCAGAGGCACCTTTCTCCTCAGCAAAGCTCCCCCAGATGATGCAAGTTCAAATGCTCCAGGACGGAGATTGGCAGGGCTGGCTTGGCTACATGTCAAGGGCTTGTGGGCATCCTAAGGCTGGCAAAGCCGCCTCACATCTCCGGCCTCCCCAAACATTCTTGCACCTGATGCTCTTAGCACCCCGCACTGTCTGTTGAATCTAATTATAATGAATCTAGACTTGCATTTTTAAATATCTTTGTTATTTTACCTTCAGATAATTCATTCTTATTGTGTTTTTAAATAGTAAAGTATGTGACAGATTGGAAATTTACAAAACGATCCTGCGCCTTAGAACATTTGAGAGGCAGGGTCCTAACGTTCTATTCTAATCACATTGATCCCTTGCTGGGAGCCCTTAGTCATCCCTGCTGGCTATAGCAGTTTTCCAAATGGTGGGTGGGGATCAATTAGTGGGTTGGGAGATTAGTTTTCAGTGTCATTAAAAGAGTTAAAAAAGAAGTGGCCCCAAATAGAAAATATCAGAGTATATTACACATAGTAAATACATTTTGTTTTAGCTACATATATCTTCATGGATATGTGTACTGGATTATGATGAAAAATGTCTTTCTTACTATGAGTACAGTAAAAAAAAGCAACTTTTTTTTTTTGAGGCAGAGTCTTACTCTGTCACCCAAGCTGGAGTCCAGTGACATGATCTCAGCTCACTGCAACCTCCACCTCCCAGGTTCAAGCAATTCTCCTGCCTCAGCCTCCCAAGTAGCTGGGATTGCAGGTGCCCACCACCACACTTGGCAAATTTTTGTATTTTTAGTAGAGACAGGGTTTCACCATGTTGGCCAGGCTGGTCTCGAACTCCTGACCTCAGGTGATCTGCCCGCCTCGGCCTTCCAAAGTGTTGGGATTACAGGCATGAGCCACTGTGCCCGGCCAAAAAAAGGCAACTTTGAATGCTGCTCATCTGCAGTTAAAGAGCACTGCCAGGCCTGATATTCAAAGCCATCGAGGCAGAAGCAATTGCTGAGGAAGATCAGGCAATGCTTCATGGGAAAAAGGTGAGGACAGCCTGGGCTGGAGGATGTGCAGGTTGTGGATGAGACCAAAGGCCAAGAAACACCGGGACTTTCATGTTTAGACTGTACCAGTGCTGCAACTCAGAGAGGAGCTGGGCCTGGCAGTCCCTTATGATAGCACCTTAGAGGAGGGAGACCCTGAGTTTGCTAGGGAAATCAAAGGAGACTTCCTGGAGGTGGTAGTGTCTTAGTTGACTTCTCAGTGTTTGCCAGGAGAACAGGGGTGTCAGAGGGCTCATCTGGCTGAGTGGCTTGTGAAAAGGTATGAGAAAGCCCGTCCTGTTTGGGGAGCTACACGCCATTTTGTATAGGTAGAGCATGAACTAGGGAGGGGGACTTCGTGAGTCTTGTTGGGTGTCAAGATTTTATTTTGGGATGAAGAGCCATGGAGGAATTTTGAGCAGAATGGCATGAGCAGACTTACATCTTTGGAAGATGACTCTGGTGGCCTGAGGAGGGTGGATTAATGGAGAGGAGGCAGGAGGCAAGGAGTCCTGTAGGATGACTACCGACCTCAGCAGGGTGCCCTGAGGCCAGGGTGTGAAGAGGCATGGAGGCAGGAGAGAGACTCAGGAGGAGGAGCTGAGGGCACTGGCGACCCAGCAGTCCAGGTGGGGCCGTGAGAAAGGGGTGGAGGTGAGGAAGCCCCCTGTGTCTGTGACTCCGAGGGCTGGCTAGATAGTAGTGCCATTGCCAGATAAAGAACACAGAGAGCCAGGTGTGGTGGCTCATGCCTGTAATCCTGGCACTTTGGGAGGCCAAGGCGGGAGGATTGCTTGAGCCCAGGAGTTAGAGACCAGCCTGGGCAATGTAGGGAGACCCTGTCTTTACCAAAAAAAAAAAAAAATTTAAGAGAATTAGGCAGATGTGGTGGTGTGCACCTCTGATCCCCTCTAAGGTGGAACTGGAGCTGAGGTGGGAGGATTGCTTCAGCCCGGGAGGTCAAGGCTTCAGGGAGCCATGGCATTTCAGCCTAGGTGACGAAACAAACAAAAAACACAGGAGGCAGAGGGTGTCTGGTGAGAAGACAGCATGTTCACTGTTGAAAGTGGACTCGTAGGCAGACATGTAAGGTGGGCAGCTGGGGCAGTGGGGAGAGGATGGGTAAGCGGTGCAGAGAGGGGTGTCCCTGGCCTGGAGAGTGTGTGGAATGAGGGGGAATGGCCTGTAGACAGAGCCTCAGGGAGCCACATCTGTGAGTATCCAGGGAGAGAGGAACCCACAAAGGACAGAGGGGAGTGGTCGTAGTGGCAGAAGACCCAGAAACTTGGGATACAGAAACCAAAGGCGCAGAGAAGACCTAGGAGGAAAACAGCAGTGCGAGGGCTTCAGAAGGCCAGAGTCCTTGAGGCTGAGAGGGCCAGACTGCAGCCTCGGGGAACCGCCAATGTCCCTGGCAAGGCTGACGGCAGAGGGCGGTGAGGCTTTGTGTGTGAATGGAGGTAACACCATGAGGCAGAGTGTAAGCGGGCTGCCTCGGACCATGCCACACCGTGTGCAAATTAGAAAGGGGCACCCCTTCCTCCAGGCAGATTCAACCCCTCGTTCTGGCACATAGGCTTGGCAAGAGGAGTGCAGGCTATGCCTCAGCCTCCACCTGCCCCACAGTGGGGCATCTGTGCACCTTGGCCCTGTGAGTGTGGACCAACCCTTCTAGAAACTGCCTGTCAAGGAAGGCAACAAGTGGTCATTGACCAAGGAGATACAGGATCATGTGAGGGTTTTCTTTTTTAAGATGTGAAAGTCTCATGAGTGCTAATTTGGATAAAGGCAGGGAACCCACGGAGAGTGAGAATTTGGAGATTCAGGAAAAGAGTGTACATGACACGAGGCGGGAGGGTGCAAGGCTGGAGCGGCTGCCCTGGGAGACGCCCATGCTGCAGGGGAGAGTCCGTTCAGCAGCCGCCACACAGACCAGGGACACTGAGCCACAGTCGGGACTGCTTGTCCCCAGCGACCAGGGGTTCCAGTGCCCAAGACTCAGGCCCATGCAGACGGCCCAGGAGTGGGCCAAGAGCTGGGCAGACCAGGCTGGGGAGGGTCTTGGCACAGCCTTTGCTTACTTATTATTTACTTTTTACTATGGGAAATTTTCAAACACACCCCAAAGTGGTGAGAAACTCAAATAAACCCTCTTAGATCTATTTTCTAGCTTTAACAATAATTAATATTGCCAATCTTATTTTATGGACCAGTTTTTTTTGTGTTTGTTTGCTTTCCAAGACAGGGTCTCACTGTGTCATCCAGGCTGGAGTGCAGTGGTGCAATCTCGGCTCACCACGACCTCCACCTCCTGGGTTCAAGTGATTCTCCTACTTCATCCTCCCAAGTAGCTGGGACTACAGGCATGTGCCACCATCCTCTGCTAATTTTTGTCTTTTTAGTAGAGACAGGGTGTTTTCATGTTGGCCTTGAACTCCTGGCCTCAAGCGATCTACCCACCTTGGCCTCCCAAAGTGCTGGAATTACAAGTGTGAGCCACCATGCCTGGTCGATGTACCAGTTTTTAAAGCACCTTTTAAAAAACTTAAAATTTTAATAGACTTTATTTTTAGAGTAGTTTTAGATTTCACAGCAAAACTGAGTGAAAGGTACAGAAGTTTCCTATTTATTCCCTATTAAAAAACTTTATTTGGAAATTATTTTTATTTTTTATTTTTTTGAGACAGAGTCTTGCTCTGTCACCCAGGCTGGAGTGCAGTGGCTCTATCTTAGCTCACTGCAACCTTCGCCTTCTGGGTTCAAGCAATTCTCCTGCCTCAACCTACCAAATAGCCAGGACTACAGGCATGCGCCACCACGCCCAACTAATTTTTGTAATTTTTAGTAGAGCCAGGGTTTCACCATGTTGGCCAGGCTGGTCTGGAACTCCTGACCTCAGGTGATCCACCCACCTCAGCCTCCCAAAGTGTTGGGATTACAGGCATGAGCCACCATGCCTGGCCTATTTGGAAATAATTTTAAGCTTACAGAAAATGGCAAGAACAAGTTTTCTTAATTTGAAATAACTTTTTCTTATTAGAGGATATATTTACAGAATATCTGTAGAAGAAAGTTAAGATCATTCATGATTCTACTACCCCAAAATAACCACTGTCATTGTTTTGGTGTCTTTCTTCCTAGTCTTTTTTCTGTGTTCATAGACACTGTTTCCATTTTACCCAGAGACTATCCCAATCTCTCCGAGGCATCCTATCCTGTGCGTCCACATGCACTAACTCATTCTCAGGGCCTTCACTATCCACATCCCCCGCTCAGATGGTTTGCCTTTAGCAACAAAAATTAATCCAAGATTTTGGTCTGTGGATGCCCTTGTTCCCTGGTTTCAGGGCTACTGCATGTTTCCCCTGTAATATTCCTTTCATGTTTGTTTTTCTCTGGTGATACTGGCTGATACCTGGTTGCGGGAGTTGCCTGAGGCTCCTTGGGCTGCCATCTTGCCCGGAAGACTCCAGTGTGCCCCGCACCTCCTATGCTCATCCCTGAGTAGCTAGGTTGGAGTCTGTCTCTCTTACTTATCTGTGAACTCTGTGAGGGTAGGGCGCAGGTCTGATTCATCTCTCCAAGTGAGGCGGTGTTGGCCTCAGTAAGTATGTATGGAATTGAATCAACCCACCTATTTGGCATTGTCCATTCCTGTCTATGGCACAGACTCTCTGAGTGCCTGACACTGATTTACAGCCACGAGCATGGTGTCTGGCACACAGTAGGTGCTCAATACATGTGTGTGGATGGTGCGCCCAGCCACCTGGAGATTTCTATACATGTAAGGGCTCTGCTGTTTTTCCGTTTCTCTCTCTCCTGCCTCTCCCACATCTTCTGGATCACTTTGACATGCCAGAGGGAAGGTACCCCCTCTCTGTCGCCGCCCCCCATCTTCTGTATGTTAGGAGCAAAGCTAGGTTGGCAGTTGATTGAAAAGACACAACTTCCTGTGCTGAGGATATTTGATAGGTTTTAATTGCTCACAATACTAGTTATCATTAGAGACAATTCAAACTATTTCCAGATTAGTTCAAAGCTGCCTTTGAGGTATTTAAGTTGGACAGAAGCCCTCTATGTGTTCAGCTCTAAGCCAAGTTTCCTGGTGTCATTAGAAGCCCACTTGTAGTTGGAGATTACCCAATCTGAATGTTTTGATTGCCTGAATATTTCACTAATTGCAGGGGTGTTTGTCAAAAGTGACTTAATGTCCCCAAAGCTGTCTGGAGACCTGTGTTACAAGTCCCACTCCCAACCTCAGTTAAGCAGAGGGGACCCTGAAGAGGGGATGGGAGGAAGGGAATCTGCATAGGGTCTTTCCTTAGAGCCAGCCCCTCTTGCCAGGCAGGGCCCTGGCCCTCCGTGGCAAGGATGGGGCAGGAAAGGATGACGGCTTGGTCTAGGGTGGGGGCACCAGCAATTGGGAAAAAGGCAGAAACCCAATTCGGAGGGCTGGGCCCTGAGGAGGTGACTGAGAAGGCCTTCAGGACATCTTAGTAATCTTCATCTTTGATTGAAAGATAAAAACAGGGGAGAACCGGTTTTGGCAAATTGGACTTCTAGGAGTTAGTCAGCAACTTGGTCTGACCAACTCTTGGTTGGTCCTGGCCTTGACCCCAGGCCTGGAGGCTTGCAATGGCACTGGGGCCAGGACCACTGCTCCCCAAACACCTCCAGGACCCCCCAGGGTTGGGACTTGCATTAAGCATTTTGCTGCCTCCTGACATAGTGGATTTGGCTGGTGGGCTGCGCTGGGCCACTTTGGTTAGAGGGGTTCTGAGCTAGGGGCAAAGAAGGGTAGGAGGGAGACCCAAATGGGAAGAACAGGTTCTGGAACAGTGGCAAGCTGGGGAAGGGCCCTGCAGGCAGGAGAGCTCTGTCCTTCAGCGGTGACACTGGCCTACTGGGTGAGGAGTGTGGCAGGAACGCTCATGTTGAGGAGGTTTGGCAGGGACCAAGATGGGGGTCCAGTCAAGGTCAAGCTGTCCTGCCCGTGTGCCCTTGGCCATGACTGACTGTGAATGCTGGGTGGTGCCCAGCTGGGTGGTAGGAGCAGGCATGGGTGGTCTGGGGGTTTAGGTTTGGGGATAAGGAAACTGCAGGTGCCTTGGATTTCCAAATGTATCTCGCTGTGGTCAAAGCTCTTGGCTCCTGTGCAAGCTGCCACTGTGTTCTGGGAAGTCGTCAGGCCGCAGGAACAATCTGAAGCAAACGTGTCCTGCCCGCTTTGAATGTGGCCCAACACAAATTTGTAAACTTTCTTAAAACATTATGAGTTTATGAGTTTTTGTTTTTGTTTTTGTTTTTGTTTTTTTTTTAGCCCACCAGCTATCGTTAGTGTTAGTGTATTTTATGCATGGCCCAAGACAATTCTGGTGTCGCCCAGGGAAGCCAAATAATTGGACCCCTGGTCTAAAGTGTTTGAGGTGGGCCAGGCATGGTGGCTCACGCCTGTAATCCCAGCACTTTGGGAGGCCGAGGCGGGTGGATCACAAGGTCAGGAGATCCATCCTGGCTAACACGGTGAAACCTGTCTTTACTAAAAATATGAAAAATTAGCCAGGTGTGGTGGTGTAATCCCAGCTACTCAGGAGGCTGAAGCAGGAGAATCGCTTGAGCCCAGGAGGCAGAGGTTGCAGTGAGCCGAGATCACGCCACTGCACTCCAGCCTGGGCGACAGAGTGAGACTCCATCTCAATAAATAAATAAATAATAAAGTGTTTGGAGTGAACTCACTGCCCACCAAGGGCTTCAGGTCTCAGGAGGCCCGATGGGCCCAGTCTTGGGCTTGTCTTGATGGGCCCAGTCTTGGGCTTGTCTTGATTTGCCCAACTGGCCTGAGGGAGACTAAAGCAGGCAAAGGATCCAGGTGAATATAAGAAGTGAAACAATTTCAAAAAAACAGCAGAAAAGAAACAGCAAAAGGGAACCAGGGAGCTGAGAAAGAATTGGGCTGGTTGAGCTCACAGCCCAGAAATCTCAGTGAGGGGGCGTGGAGGGTAGGGAGCCCCACTCCTTCCTGTTTATTGTCCTGCTTTGCTCCTGCAGGGTTCAGTGCGGTGTGCTTGCTTCAGGGTACACCCAGGAGACGCTAATGGGTGATAATGAGGGTGTCCCGCCCCAATACCTATACTTGTCAATAATTAACCATGATTTCCTAGGTTCTGGGAGGAGGTAGTGGCACCTGGCCTGCCCTGGCTGGTTTAGCTCATGGGGCACCTCTGGCGTAGCCATTCCAAGGTCTCTGTGTGCTTCCAGGCTGTTCTAGGGATGGGTACCTCCCAAGGCATAAGGGAACTTGAGAACTGACCTTTACCCATGTTCCTGATCCTAGCCAGAGACAGACTCCCAGACTCGGCCAGAGGCTGATGCCAACTCCTTCCAGCTCTCACGGTAACCATGAGGCCCCTGCGTGTTTCTGTTGTGGAGGTCCCAGAGGGAACTGTATGGACAGACACAGCCCGAAGGGCCATCTGCCTCAAGCCACAGCAGCACAGAATTCTAAAGATTGTGGGGAAGGATGGGGCCAAGGTGGGCTTGGGCTCCTTGGTGAGAGAGGTGATTTGGGCCCAAGCAGCTAAGCAGGGGTGGAGGTTACTATAAACTTGTTCATCACCAGCCACAGTGCTTTGCCTGCCCTAGAGAGTCAGTGTGACCAAGGCTTCCATGCAGGGGTGTGATGGAACTGGCATTCCAGAGGGGGAAAAAGTCTTGATTTAGCATTTGCCAATTTTGGTGATGTAAATACTTCCACCAAGTCTGATTTCAAGTACCAATTGGTTTAACAATTGACTCACCAAATTCCTGAATATTTAACAAGCAGCTCTTTGTCCACTGCCCACCAGACCCCTGCCCCCGGCGCCTATGCTATACCTCTCTCAGCCCAGCGCTTCACCTCCCTGTCCTTGCAAAATCCCCTTCTCTGGCCGCTGGAAAGCCTGGGACCTGAGGCCATTGAAGCTCCTGTGCTCCAGGGTCCTGGAGCGGAGCTGGTCTTCTTCCCAGGTTGTTATACTCCTCATGGAGGTGATGTGTGTAAAATGCTTTGCCAATGTGAACACCAAACCCACTCAAATGAGGTCCCAAGGGACCACCGATTTCTAGTCTAAGGGCAGTAGGGAGATCGGAATTCAACATCTACCACTATGGTTTGAAAAGCCGGTTCAGGGCATTTGGCAGTCCCAGCTTGTCAGCTGACAAGCCACCTGCCTCGCTCCTCCCTTGGTCGCATGCTAACCTCCTCACTCATTTCCACTTCCAGGGGACCAGATGTGCAGAGGTAATGAATACCAGGGAATCAGGAAACCACTGGATCAGTTCTTTGAGCCACAGAACAACACTCATCCCAGCAGCTGGGAAGCTATCTGCAAAAGTCCATCTGCAGAAAGGGCTTCCTGGTCTTGCGTGTGGCTGGGCCATTTCTCTGGATGCAGGTTTTTCATTATACAGTCTTCTCAAAGAACCACCTGCTCTCAACACCTTCTCGGTGACTCCATTTCCCCTCCTCTGGGCTCCTGGAATGCCACAATGGCCCCACCTTAGCCAGGCAGCTGTGATGAGAGGTGTTGACCCAACTGCCTCTCTGCTGGCTCACTGAATCAGGTGGAAGGGGCTGGGGACAGCACAGTCTTGCATTGTGGTTGGGGACCTGGGCCATCCAGAGGCAGGACTGTCCAAAGGCAGGGTACTGCTGGGATTCCGCCAGGCACTGGGTGATGCATGGCATAGGGAGCTGAAGAGGGACAGGCTCTTGGCCAGGAAAAACAGCCCCAGAGCCACAGGTGTGCCATCGAGTCTTCCTCCTCTCCCATCCTTAATCACTCCTGTTTGGTGACAGCACACAGCTAGGCCTGGAGCCCAGCAAAGAGCCCCTGGGTCCCAGAGGAAGTTGTTCTGGGGGCTGGAGACAATCACAAATGCCAGGTTTGTGAGCCCCAGACTCTGGTTCATAGCAAGAGGCAGACTTGTGAACAAACCACCAGATCACACCGTAAAACACGCTCAACGAGGAGTGGGTGCCCTTTCTAGGGACAGGCAGAAGGCTCCATGGAGTGACCTTTGAATGGGGACATAAAAGTGGATCCCTTCAACAGCCCCTGCACAGCCCCAAGTCAGGCCTCCAGCCCTTGGACTCACAGATGTCCTCTGTAGACGACTGGATGTCCTCCCGTGCTACCCTTTACCCCTGCAGCGAGGGGCACAGAGCCAGAGCCCTCCAGGTCCTCACCACTGGCATCACCAACATAGTGGACATTTTCCCTCTCAGAATGAAAAGGGAGTGAAATTTCCCGTGATCTTTCCACAAATGACCAGCTTGGGGAGTGGGAGAGGAAGTGCTGCAGTGCCTGGGGAAGGGGCCCTGGAACAGTTCCTGGAAATGGAGAGGGGTGGATAGGGTGGAGACAATGCTCATGGAGTGCAGTATGGGGCCTACCCAGAGTTGCTTGGCCACCCCTCTGCCTCTGAATCAGGGGTGATCAATGAAGGAAAATTACTGCAGCAGTTGAGTCCATGTAAGATGATTGTGCACGTGTGTGTGTGTGTGTGTGTGTGTGTGTGTGTCCTCACTCACTTAAAAAAGACCATTTCTGTGCATTCTTTATGCTGGAACCCTCCTCTGCCTCCCTCTCCAGGAAATCCCATAGGATCCCATACCTGCTTTAGAATGTGTGTGAGACACTTCCCAGTGCCTGGCATGTGGTAGGAGCTCAGTACATGTAAACTGTTTTCCTTTGACCACTCAAAGTAGTCACTTGTTGGGGAGGCCAATGGCGGCTTCCCCGGTCTCTGAGCTGATGGGCGTCTGGTCCCTGCCTCCCCTTCCTTCACTGGCTGATGACAAATACCTGAATGTCATCACATCCTCCGTGTCCTCATCTGTTATTCTGGAACACAGGCCAGGGAGGGTACAGGGTAGTCCCCCTTCAACAGAGGCTGGCCTTTCTTGGGATGTGGGCTGGCTGGTGTTGGTCCAAGGATGGATGCAGAGGGTGAGGCACCCATCCTGCTAGTCCGGCCGGATGCTGGCAGGAGGGCGGGGTGAGGAGGGGCGGAGCTTCCAGAACAAAGGAGAATGGGGAGCCCAGGGGCCAGCCTAGGCATCAAAAAGGCTCTGCAGAGTGAACAGGCCACAGCACTGCCTGCCTCTGCCCCAGCAGTCAGCCAGCCGACCGCGCCTGCTCCCTCCTGCTTGCCCAAGGCCGGGCAAGTCATCCCCACTCTGCTTCGAGAGGCCCCGTTTTCCAGCGTGATTGCGCCGACACTGCTCTGTGGGTTTCTCTTCTTGGCGTGGGTTGCTGCTGAGGTTCCAGAGGAGAGCAGCAGGATGGCCGGGAGCGGAGCCAGGAGTGAGGAAGGCCGCCGGCAGCATGCCTTCGTCCCGGAACCTTTTGATGGGGCCAATGTCGTCCCAAACCTCTGGCTGCACAGCTTTGAAGTCATCAATGACCTCAACCATTGGGACCATATCACCAAGCTAAGGTTCCTGAAAGAGTCCCTCAGAGGAGAGGCCCTGGGTGTCTACAATAGGCTCAGTCCCCAGGACCAGGGAGACTATGGGACTGTGAAAGAGGCCCTCCTGAAGGCCTTTGGGGTCCCTGGGGCTGCCCCCAGCCACCTGCCCAAAGAGATCGTCTTTGCCAACAGCATGGGTAAGGGCTACTATCTCAAGGGGAAGATTGGCAAAGTGCCCGTGAGGTTCCTGGTGGACTCTGGGGCCCAGGTCTCTGTGGTCCACCCAAACTTGTGGGAGGAGGTCACTGATGGCGATCTGGACACCCTGCAGCCCTTTGAGAATGTGGTAAAGGTGGCCAATGGTGCTGAAATGAAGATCCTGGGTGTCTGGGATACAGCGGTGTCCCTAGGCAAGCTGAAGCTGAAGGCACAGTTCCTAGTGGCCAATGCGAGTGCCGAGGAAGCCATCATTGGCACTGATGTGCTCCAGGACCACAATGCTATCCTGGACTTTGAGCACCGCACATGCACCCTGAAAGGGAAGAAGTTTCGCCTTCTGCCTGTGGGAGGGTCCCTGGAAGATGAGTTTGACCTGGAGCTCATAGAGGAGGACCCCTCCTCAGAAGAAGGGCGGCAGGAGCTATCCCACTGAGAAGCCACCTTTTCTTTAACCTCCTAAATATTGGTGGGAAGACCCACCGCTGTGGGGGGGGTTGCATATCCTCATGGGGGTCACTGGGCTTGGCCAGTCTGCTTATCAACTCTTGCTCTTCTCTCCCCTTTGCCTCCCTCTGCAGGGGCCTTAATCTGCCCCTGGTAGGGGAGGCTTCCACTGAACAGGCACAGGTGAGGGAGAGCAGGCTGGCTTAGAGGGACAGGGTCCCCATGGTCATCAAGCTGCTGTTGATGACAAAGACTCAAAGGCTGGAAGAGCTCCCAAGGAAGCTAGAAATGCTTGTCTTTGAAAGAACTGTGGGACCCCTTCAGATTCCCTGAGGTATGGCTTGGTCACTCTCAGGTCCTCAAAGCCTGTCTTAGTTGGGCTGGGTCCTAGCTGCAGGGTCTTTGTGAGGGTCACAGTTGCTCTGGGACACCTCCCTGAAGAGCCTTTCCACCTGTACAATCGTATTTTCTTTCTGTCATTTGCTTTGAAGCCCATTGTGCCTTATGCCAATAATTCAATTGCTGCAAACACCAATAAAGATTGATTCATGGAAAAACCATGTAATGTGTTGATTGAGGATGAGAGGAATGTGAGAGGGAGTCAGCATCAAAGACAAGGGAGATTCACATGTCTACTGAGTGCCTAGCTGGAGGTATAAGAACATATACACAGGGATGACAGGTCTTGGATTTTCTAAGACAGTCTCAGCATAAAATATTTTGACTTATTCCCTCCAGAATTGCTCTCATTATTTTGAATCGTCATAATTCCTCTACTTATTTCAATCTGTAGTATTTTAGCATACAAATTGCCTCTATACCCAAAAGTGACCCTAAAGTTTTATGTGAGATGTCTTGATTGGGGATTGGGAAATTATGGTTATGATAAACAAACAGGAAAGTGTCTGCTGGGCAAATAGGTTCTTACAGCTGTCCAGGAGCGAGAACTTGGAGGCAGAAAGCAGGGCCAGGAGACAAGTGTTGACCTGTGTGGGGCAGCCCAAGGGCATGCTGGAGGACGGGGGAGGCTGTGGCAAGGCAGGGTCCCGGCGGTGGGAGGTCAGCTTCTTCTTGGAGGGACTTGGAACAGAGCCTGAAACTAGATGACCTGATGGAGGGGAGGACATTCCCAGATCTGGGAATGGGGTGTGCATCTCTTTTAGGGGTCCATCTCGTATTTGCTTCCAAATTTCTGTTTCTTTTTCTGGAGTGCAGCAGGGCTGGGAATCTGAAACTCAAAGGGAGGAGCTGAGTGGACAAAAGTCTCCACAGAAGAGCCAGTTTGTTCCAAATCTCAGGCCTCCCCACCAAGCACATCGGGCGAGCCTGTTCTCAGGGGAGGGTGGCCTGCACCCTCCAAACTTTGGGCCCAGGAAGATTGGCGCAAGGTCAGAGACTCGAACGTGCAGGGATCCCAGACCTCTTGATGGAGGCATGAAGGACCATTTTCCATCCTCCAGGGTGGAATGAGCCTCTTGAAGTTCCCACCTGGACAGCTCCTGAGGGAGAGACAGAAGGCAGGAGTGAAGCCCCTGGACTTTTTGAAGCTGATCTGAGCCAGGATCAGCTGCCCGTCCCTGGCCCCTTCTTCCCTCCGATTCCAGCTGTGATTCTCCTGGGAACTGAGGCATGGCTCAGCCCCTAATCCTCGGGGTTTACCGAGGCCCCTTCCCTGGGCAGCCAAGCATCTTAACTGAAATTAGCTCCATCAGCCCCAGGGCACCTGGAGGAAGGACAGGTGTGGGATCAGGAGGAAATCTATTTCCAGAAAAGTGATGCCTAGAGAAGTGGGTGGGAGAACTGGAGAAGGGGGTGAGAGAACTGGAGAAGGCGATGGGGGAACTGGAGAAAGGGTGGTCTCCGGATGACTCCCAGATCCTGCATCCCCCTTCTCAAATTTGATTTTCAGCCCCACTCTCTGTGGCCTAACGCATGCTGCTCTCTCATGGGCCGAGCCCTCTCCCGAGGGAACAATCCAGGTGGCACCTCCCTGTGACTTATTTTCCTCCAGGTCCTTTGGATCCCAGCCACGTGCTGGGTAGAAGGAGGGAGGGTAAAGAGTCTGTAAGTGGGTGGGTGGGGAGCTGGGGAGGGGACTAAGGAATTGGTGGCCAGGCCAGAATTCCAGAGCAATACCCCAGCCTCCCTGCCCTTTCCCACACACCACACGGAGTGGAGCCCTGTCCTGGGTGATTGCAAATGGGATGCTGTGTCCCAGCAGCAGACACCTTCTTCCCCTGCTCTGAGTGAGGAGAGCCTGTCTGAGCCCCCAGGTCTCCAGCTCTCAGCCAGTTTTCTCTCCTAGAGAAATGTGGGCCCCCCGAGAGGGCACAGTGAGGGGTGGGGTCTGTGACATCTGAAGCATGGCCCCCATGGAGGAAGGGACCATGTGGTGCTTCTTACTGGGAGACCCGAGTGAGGCTGAGACCGCTGCTGCATGCGGGTGAGAGTGATCACAGCTGCAGATGCGTCAACGTGGAACCCAGCTGCAGGACTATGAGCAGCTGCTCTCTGGGAAGTCAGGTATCAAACAACAGAGAAGCCCGGGAGAGAAGCCAGAAAAAGTGGGTTGTGGCCACACCACAGAGGGCTTGCTGTCTGGGTGAGGAGTTCACACCTGCCTCCCACAGTGGGCGTTTGAACCATGGGAGAGCAGGAAGATTCATCTGCCTTCTGGGTATAGGATGGAGTAAAGCAGCAGCAAAGGCTCTGCTGGGACACCATGGCAGTCCTTATACCTAAGGTCTGCTTTTGCAATGATGGAAAGGAGGATGCAGGATCAGTGTGAAGGTTTAGCCTTTGGAGCACATGATAATCACCAGAGAAGACCCATGAACATCAGTTCCTCCAGTGGTCCCAAAGTGCAGCAGGCTTGGGAACCCATGGTCTAAATTCCAGTGGCATCTACCCCTGTACTGCCCAAAGGGTGATCCATGAACCAGCAGGAAGGCGGCATCAGCATCACCTGCGAGCCTGTTGGGAATACAGACTCTCCATCCCCACCCAGACCAGCGCCAGAATCTGCAGTGAGCAAGATCCCCAAGTGATTCTAGGGGACATAAGAGTTTGAAAAGCCCTGGCCTAGAACATTCTAATACCTCTAGTTAAGGGGGCCCTACAAGCTGCCTTCTTCTCTAATAATGACCACCACAAACTGAATGCATGCCAGTTCCCCAGACCATACTAGATAATTCTTTATGCTTTTATCCAGAAAATCTTTAAGTCTTAATTTGAGACTAACAGGAAAGTTGCAAGAGCAGTACAAAGAATTTCCACGTTTCACCCAGTTTCCCCAAATATTAGCATTTTTCCAATTAACTTCATCATCTCTCTCATTCTCATTCCTTTTCTCCTATCTATATATATAGGAACCTTTGAAAATCGCAAATATGATGCACTTTTATCTCTAAATACTTCAGTGTATATTTCCTAGGGGAAAACAACAACAACAACAAGGGCATTCTCTTATATAACCATGATGCAGTTATCAAAATCAGGAAGTTCACTGATGTAATACCACTATCATCTGATCTTCAGATCTTACTCCAATGGTTCCAATTATCCCAACAAGAACATTGTTGGCCCCCAGATTATTTTCTAGTCCAGGACTGAATTCAGCTACATATTGCATTTAGTTGCCGTGTCTCTTTCATCTCCTTTAATCTGAGTAATTCCTCTGTCTTTGTTTTCATGACCCTGATAGTTTTGAGGACGCCTGGCCAGTTATTCTGTAGAATGTTCCTCAGTTTGGCTGAATCTGATGTTCAGTTGTGGTGAGATTCGGGCTGTGGGTTTCGGGCAGGAATACCCAGAAGTGATGGTGCATCCTCAGTACATCGTATCAGGAGGCATATGTTGCCGACTTGTTTCATCACTTGGTCAAAATGCTGTTTGCCAGGTTTTTACTCCATAAATAACTATTTTACCCCCGTCATGAGTAAGTGTCTTGTGGGGAGACACTCTGAAGCCATATAAATATCTTGTTTCTCATAAGACTGTCACCACTAGCCTCAGCACCCATTGGTGATCTTTGTCTGAATTGTCACTGTGATATTACCAAATTACCAAATGATGGTGATTTTCTAATCTCCTTCTTCTTCTTCTCCTCCTCCTCCTTCTCCTCCTCCTCCTCCCCTCCTCCTCTGCTTTCTTCTTCTTCTTCCTCTTTTCTTCTTCTTCTTCTTCTTCTTCTTCCTCTTCTCCTTCTCCTTCTTCTTTCTTCTTTCTTCTTCACAGGGTCTTGCTTTTTTGCCCTAGCTGGTCTCAAACTCCTGGGCTCAAGTGATCCTCCTGACTCAGCCTCCAAAGTAGCTGGGCTTACAGGACTAATTCTATCCTTCTATACCTATTAGCTGGCCCTCAACTCTACAGAAGAGCTTTCTCTACTCATTTATTGGTTGATTTATACCATGTGGACTTAGAGATTCTTATTTTTCTATGAGTTATACTCATTTACAATCATTATTTATTTTGATGCTCAAATTGTTTTAGATTTGGCCATGGGGACAGCTTCAAACTGGCTCCTGTCTCCTTGGGACGTGTCCCCATCATCATAAGAGCCCTTCCTTATTTTCTGGCACAAGATGTTCCAGGCTCATCTTGTCCCTTCCCTGTACCAGCCCTGGGATCAGCCATTTCTCCAGGAGCTCTGGTTCCTTTGAGTGGGGTCTGATATTCAGAAACAAGGATCTGGGTGTCAGGTGTGTGTGCTTCTTGCTACTGGCATGCCATCACTCCTAGGACCTCTCAGTGGTCAGAGCTAAGAAGAAAACCATAGAGTCCACTTCTCTATATTTCTCTCTCTCCCTCTCTCTATTATGAGTTCCTGCTGATACTTCCAATTCCAACCCCACACTCTAGGACTTAGTCTAACCTTCCCCTTTATTTATTATTTCTCATGTCACACAGCTACTGTGCCGATGTTGTAGCAAGGTGCGAGGTGGCACATCACACACGCTCCTGCAAACATCCAATCATCACGCTTACAAGCTACAAAAGGATCGTAACCTTCCCCTTGAGATTTGTGACTTCTTTCTCTAATAATGAGAAACCTGGCTCCAGGTTACTTATTTGCCCAGTTCTAAAATACCCAGAAAGTTGTTTCCGAATTGCTAACCCATGCACCTATGGAAGAGAAGCTTAGGAGCGCCCACTCATTCAGATCTCCCACCCAGTGCCAGGTGTGGGTGGCCATTGGCAGCAAATGAGAAAGACAAATGAGGAAGCCGAGCGCAGCTGCTGGCGGGAGAGTGGAGGTCTCCCAGGTGTGCAGGGAGTGCCTCGAGGGCCAGTGTCAAGGTGTGTCCTTATCTGAGGACACGATGTGTCCATCAAGAGGGCAGCTGGAGTCATAGACTGAAGGCCATGAGTCCTGCCCTTGTGGCCATGCGAGGGAAGGGCCAGCCTCCACGCTCCAGGGAGGTGACCTGGTCTGCCCACCTGGTCCTCTACACTGAGGAGATACTGGGGCAGCTGTCAGACATGACGCCACCCCACGTTCCAGGCCCATCAGTCACTGCTCCTGTATTGAGTCCACCGTTGCCAAGTAACCTCGGGTAAGGAAGCCTCTTGGCTGGGTAGCAAGAAAAGCTGTTATGCTTTTCACTGTGGGCTAATCAATTGGCTCTCAAGTTTTGACTGCTTGATATTGTGGGTCAGTAACCCCCAAGCCTGGAGAACTGTGTAACTCTGAGCTGGACTGTGGTGACTTCTCCAAGGCACATGTGGTGCTCTTCCTGTCTCTAGGAGTTCCTAGCAGAGCCTCTCCCTGCACTAGGAAGGACGTGAAGGGAGCCCTGTCCTCTAGGACAGTCTGGGAGAGGGAGGCAGGCAGGGCTTAGAGTGACCCTGTGCTGTGACCTCCTCCCCACTCCTGTGCTGGGTGGGACATTGTGCAGTCAGGGACAGCTCCCTAGAGATCTTTAAGTTGAGTCTTTAAAGATGAATGAATGGATGTTTCCCGGGAATATTTGGGGTGGAGGGAGGAAAGGGAAGAAAACAGGGAGGCAAGGACAAGCCTGCTGGTGTTGGCTAACAGAGACAGGAGGAGAAGACGGGGGCCAGCATGGATCCTCTCATATGGACTTTGAGGAAACTCCAGGAGACCAGGGAAGGAGATGCTGCTTTTATTTCAGCTCTAAAATGCACTCAATTCAAAAGTGTGTTTTAAGTTTATTAATATTCTTGGAGGAAACAACCACCACCTCTGCGATGCAAATGTATCTGCCAATGGTATATCTGGATCTAAGAAGCAGTAAAATGGGGAAATGGGGGTAAAATAGAGAAACTACTTGCCTTCTTAAGGACCAGCTCAGACCCATGTGGCTGCCTAGTGGGCAGTGCTGCAAAGGATTCTGGGACTGTATTCAGACACAGCCAGCAAGATGCCATGATTGATTAGTGATGTCTGGCCTGGAAGCAGGAGTGGAAGCTGAGCCCCTGCTTCTTCTGTGGTGGGCCATGAGGAGCCTTCATTCTCAGACAATGGAGAGCCAGGGCAGGGTTGGAGGCAGGGAAGTGACTTGATGGCATCTGCATCATGAGATGCATCTGAACCTCAGTTTACAAACTCATAGATGCTGATGTGAGAGATGTCATTTAAGAAAGTTTTCCATAATTAAAGTGAATTGGCCAGGCATGATGGCTCATGCCTGTAATCCCAACACTTTGGGAGGCAGAGGCAGGCAGATAACCTGAGGTCAGGAGTTCGAGACCAGCCTGGCCAACATGGTGAAACCTGTCTCTACTAAAAATACAAAAAAAAAAAAAAAATTAGCCGGGCATGGTGGCGTGTGCCTGTAATCCCAGCTACTTGGGAGGCTGAGGCAGGAGAATTGCTTGAACCTGGGAGGTGGAGGTTGCAGTGAGCCAAGATGGTGCCACTGCACTTCAGGCTGGGCAACAGAGTGAGACTTGCTCTCAAAAAAGAAAGAAAAAAAAGAAAAAAAAAGAAAATTAAGTCCAACTCTGAGTCCCCATTCAGCCAGGCATTTGAGAAATTCATTCTCAGTCACTTTGGTGAGCTCTTTTTACCCTGGATTGGGGGAAAGGTCCCAGAAACTTATGCAGCAGTGAAGCATTGGAGAAAGAGGACCCTGCAGGTCGTAACTGCCCAGTCGCAGTCACACTGTGTCCATGGAAATGCCCAGCGTCCCTGCACATGTGAGCCCTTCCGGCCACAAAGTTGTGCTGCTTTCTGTGCCATGCACGGGCACAAGGAGGCCCCGTCTTATGTCCTCCCTCTCTAGGGACGCCAGGCACCCACCCCATGTGCTGTCCCGCCACTTGCTTGGAGTGAGGCTGCTGAGAGGTGTGTGGGTGCCAGTTATCCCCAGGACTGACCACTGTCCATCCCCTGTCAAACCAGATCTGCCCTCTGCATATTCCCTTACTCTTCCTGAGACCACCCACAACTCCCTGTCCAGAGCACTGGGTCATACACTGATCCATGGTTTAGGCAGGTACAGAAGATGGGGAAGAAAAGTGTCTTGGGTCTTACACGCAACAGTGGCTTTTGGCCCAGTAAAATGAAAGTCCTGGCTACTTGCCTGAGCTGGGAGAAACAGGAGAAAATCAAAGAGCAAAAGCAGACCTTCATGTTTTCATGTCTCACCCCGCTGTGCAGCCCCTGGAGGGAGGCAGGGCAGAAGGCCTGATGGAGGGAGGTTGCCCTGGGGGTTCTGTGCTGCCCTGGTACGGGCTGAAGGGCTAAGCCAGCTAGTAAGAAAGGGGAACTGATTCCAAAGGTAACATGGAGGACGAACCAACAGGACTTAGGGGCATTTGTTATGGAGGTGAGAGAGGGACAGGTCTAAGGCAGTATTGGCAATGTCTGGGGACATTTTTGGTTGTCACATCTTCCAGGGGATAGGGGATGGGGGGGACTATTGGCATCTAGTGAGTAAAGGTCAGAGGCTGCAAAACATCCTGCAATGCACCAAACAACCCACACAATAAAGAACTATCCAGCCCCAGATGAGGTAACTCACAGCTTGCTTATGTGGCAATCTCTTTTCTCTTTTCATTTCCTTTTCTCCTTTTCTTTTTCTTTTCTTTTCTTCCCTTCCCTTTTCTTTTTTCTTTTCTTTTCTTCCTTTCCCTTCCCTTTTCTTTTCTTTTCCTTTCTTTTTCTTTTTCTTTTCTTACAGGATCTTGCTGTGTCGTGCCAGGCTGGAGTGCAGTGTCACGATCACAGCTCATTGTGGCCTAGACCTCCCAGGCTCAAGCAATCCCCTCATCTCAGCCTCCTGGTAGCTGGGACTATAGATGTGGGCCACCATGCCTAATTTTTGTATTTTTTGTAGAGACGGGGTTTTGCCATATTGCTCAAAATCCTGGGCTCAAGCAATTCTCCCGCCCAAAGTGTTGGGATTACAGGAGTGAGCCACTGCACCCGGCCAGGCAATTTCTTTCTAATTCTCACAAAACATCTACAAAGTAGGTTTTATACCCATTTAGTAGATGGGGGAATTGAGATTGGGAGAGGTTAATTTGCCCAGTGTTGTGTAAATGGTAAGTGGCTGAACTGAGATTGGAATTTAAGCCGGCTTGACTTTGGAGCACTCAATTTAGTTAGCTGGAACAGTTTGGTCAAACAAAGATTTTATTAAAATGAATTTAGGTTGTTTTAATCTATTATAAACAGAGCAAGGCAAGTGGGTGAAAATGAATTTGAAAAGCTGAAGTAACCAACAACTAGGTCTTTGTTAGCTAAGCAGTGTATAAGTTATTAACAAAACTCAAAAACAGTTAACTGTGGTTGGAAATATTCATTCTAAAAATCAATTTATGAAAATAAAAAACTCACCAAAAAAATCATCAAGTAAGTAGAGGAGACATAATTGGCTGAAAATAAACTAGGAGAGAAAAAACCCCTAAAACCCCCCTAAAACTCCAAATCCTCTTTTTTGATTGTTCATTTTTATTGCTTTGTTTATTCTTTCATGGTTCAAATTCCTTTAGTATTTTTTTTAATTGCAAAAGCAATGAGTGAGGCTTGCGGGAAAAGCAGAAACGTTGGTCAGTCTATATCTAGAGCTACATATCATATCTATCTATCTATATATATGTTTATATATAGATATATATATGATATGTATGTGTATATATATGATATGAGTGTGTGTGTATAGATCTATATATATAAATATACATATAGATATACACACACACACACACACACACACACACACACACACACTCACTTTTTTTTTTTTTTTTTTTGAGATGGAGTCTTGCTCTGTTGCCCAGGCTGGAGTGCAGTGGCGTGATCTCGGCTCACTGCAAGCTCCGCCTCCCGGGTTCAAGTGATTCTCCTGTCTCAGCCTCCCAAGTAGCTGGGACTACAGGCACCTGCCACCATGCCCAGCTAATTTTTGTATTTTTAGTAGAGACGGGGTTTCACCAAGTTGGCCAGGATGGTCTCGATCTCTTGACCTCGCGATCTGCCTGCCTCAGCCTCCCAAAGTGCTGGGATTACAGGCATGAGCCACTGCGCCTGGGCCACACACTCGCATATTTTATATACATATATAAGAACCTTGAACCCACTTACCCTGCTTAGGTCAAACACGGTGTATTTTTCCAGACCTTTCTCTATATACACTCATATGAATGTATTTTCTTTCATTCTTTCTCTTTCACTCTCTCGTTCTTGCCTTTTCTTTCTTTCCTTTTAACAAAAATAGGATTACATGGTAATTTCTGTTTTGTAAACTTTCATACTTTACTAAACCAATCCCCTATTTTATTTTTTATTATTTATTTATTTATTTATTTATTTATTTATTTATTTATTTATTTTTGAGACAGAGTCCCACTCTGTTGCCCATGCTGGAGTGCAGTGATGTGATCTCAGCTCACTGCAAACTCCACCTCCTGGATTCAAGTGATTCTCCAGCCTCAGCCTCCAGAATAGCTGGGACTACAGGCGCCAGCCACCATGCCTGGCTAATTTTTGTGTGTTTAGTAGAGGCGAGGTTTTCACCATGTTGGCCAGGCTGGTCTGGAACCCCTGACCTCAAGTGATCCACCCGCCTTGGCCTCCCAAAGTGCTGAGATTACAGGGGTGAGCCACTGCGCCCAGCCTCCCCTATTTTTTAACATTTAGATTGTTTCCAACATTTTGCTGTTATAAACCTCACAGTATGGTAATGAAAAGGAATGTACTGCAACCACACAAGAAAAACGAACGTCACAGTGTTGAATGAAAGAAGTCAGACACAAAACATACACAATATGATTTCATTTGTGTAGTATTCTCAAACAGATTGTCAAACCTAAAGCCCAGGCTTAGAGATGCATTCTTAGGAGGCAAGAGGACAAAGGCAAAAAGGACACGGTTACCCCAGCAGCAGGGTGGCTGTGTCCTTCAGGGCTAAAAAGGGTGCTGTGTTGGGAAGGACACTCAGGTGTACCTGGGGGCCAGTGATGTCCTGGCTCTTCACCAGTTGTGTTTTTTTGGGTGCTTACTTTATAATAACTATTAAACAGCACCTTTATGTTTTATGCACTTTTACATCTATATGTGCTGGCCGGGTGTAGTGGCTCATGCCTGTAATCCTAGCACTTTGGGAGGCTGAGGCAGGTGGATCACCTGAGGTCAGGAGTTCGAGACCAGCCTGGCCAATATAGTGAAACCCCATCCCTACTAAAAATACAAAAATTAGCTTGGTACGGTGGCAGACGCCTGTAATCCCAGCTACTCGGGAGGCTGAGGCAAGAGAATCGCTTGAACCCGGGAGGCGGAGGTTGCAGTGAGCTGAGATCGTGCCATTGCACTCCAGCCTGGACGAAAGAGTGAGACTCTGTCTCAAGAAACAAACAAACAAATACATATGCATGTGCCAAATCATGATAAAAAACATTAAAAATGAACAGAATGAAAATAGTTAACTAAAAAATTAACTAGAAATTTAAAGCCCAGGGTAAAACTAAATATGCCGAAATGTAAGCAAAATACTTGAAAAGGCACAAAACGATGCAATTCACCTTCATGCTGCATTAAAATTCTAATTTTTGAAAAATAATGTGGAGTATACTTTTAGACCAAATTGTCCTTTGGGCTGAATTGTTTCCTCTGCAGCTTGTTCTCAACCAAATTGTTTTCTGTCCAATTGCTTTTGTTTTTGAACCAGTCACCTGGATTTTTCCAAAACCCGGGTATTTTCTGTGGCCCTCACTGTACTGTACAATTCCGATGGTGATCAAGGCCAGTGATTAGTAAAAACCTCACTGGCTGTGTTTCATCACCTCTGCTTGGGGCCATATGATACTGGAGACTCTTGTCCTGCCTTAGCTCTGAGCCTAAAGTTCTCCTCTGTCTCTCTTAAAAAGTGTTAATTCGTTCGTTCATTCGTTCATTCATTCATTCATTCATTCATTCATTCATTCGCCCATCCATCCCCAAGTGGCCATCGCTGAGCACACACAGGCATGGTCCTGGGCATTGGGTCAGAGCCGCAGGGGGCCTGCAGGGTCTGCTCCGGCAGAGGTCCGTGTGAACATCAAGCAGGTAAAATACAAGGTGTCATGTGGTGATAAGAGAAAGTGAAATGCATCACTGCGCGGACAGCGGATAGAAAGTGACCAGGGAGCTGCGATTTTATACAGGTGGAGTCGGGGGTCCTCAAGGACACGGGGACGTTTGCACTGAGACCTGAGTGAAGCGCAGTCCGCCGCGAGGTGCCGGGGGGAGCGGCCAGGCAGGCTCCCCAAGTGGGGGCCCCCAGGTGTCCAGGGAAGAGTGAGGAGAGGGGTGGGGTGTAGACAGGGCCTGATCAGGTGGGGACCCGCCGCGGGGGAGGCCTGAGTGCTGTCAGCCGGACGGCATTCGCGGGAGGGCAGGATTTACAGGGGAGGCGGGGGGCGTGGGCAGAGCGGGAGACAGGGAGAGGACCTCGGAGGCTTCCGTGGGGTCCGGTGGCCCCGGAGGCAGGGCAGCCCCCTCCCTCGGGGCCTCTTCCTGAGACCAAAGGGCTCCACTCTGTAGGAGCAGCCAGCCCCCTTTCCTCCAGGGCGAGCTGCGGTATTCAGCACCGCCCTCCGTGGCTGCAAGCCTTCCCAGCCAGCCCGGAGCCTCCACTGATCCCTCCTAAAGGCATCTGGTCCAAGCTGCCCCCACTGCGGCCTGTCAAGCACTTTTGGATCCTGGTTCTGTCAGGCCCTCAGTGCCATCTGGCAACCACGGGGTCATCCCTAGATGTAGAGAATGTGCCATCCATACCCGACTGCAAATGGATGTATTGACGTTGAGTGGAACAGGCTGAGGACAGTGTCCCCTTCATGCCGCTGGACAGCTTCCTGCCGTGACCTGTCTCTGCTAATCAAACCTTGGTGGGGCCGAGGATGGTGTAATAAAATACTGAAATTTGCAAGCGATTAATTTTGATTGTTTGTTTGAGACAGGGTCTCACTCTGTGGCCCGGGCTGGAGTGCGGTGGTGCAATCGTGACTCACTGCAGCCTCCACCTCCCTGGGCTCAAGCAATTCTCCTGCCTCAGCCTCCCAGGTAGCTGGGACCACAGGCACAGGCCACTACCTCGGCTAATTTTTTTTTTTTTTTGAGAGACGGGGTCTCCCTCTGTCTCTCTGGCTTACTCCTAAAAAATCTGTAACATCCGATTCAAAGCTAGTTCCATAGAACCACTATTCTCATTTACTTGCAATCCAACGAACTTTCTCCAGTTGAGGAGAAAGGGTGGCATTCCTTCCTGTTTCTGGCAGGGGAATCAGACCCAGGTCAGCACTGCCACTGCCTCTGGCCTCTGCGGATATCCCCAAAGGAGCCCCAGTTCTTCTAGACAGGAGGGATTATTTCCAGCCCTGGGGCACCACCCTCCTAGTCCTTGGCAAGTTTGTTTCCATAACCAAACAAACAAACAAAAAAACCAAAAACCCCTCACATTCACCTTCCCTCTCCACACCCTTGACCCCAATAACCTCACTCCTGCTTAGTCAACCTCACTTCCGTCTGCTTGCAAAAGCATTTTTTATTTTACACTGTGATTCCGCATGGCAGTATCCTCTTGTTCTCTACAAAGGTGGATCGGAAGTAACTTCCAAAATTACAAATACTAAAATAGGAAAGATGTTGAGTAAAAGCCAAGGCCAGAGAAGAGACTAAGGGGAAACTGGGTCACAAACATGCACATTACAGGTTCTCACAAAATTACTAAAGGTGAAGTGTGAATTTGGCTCTGAGTTTCCTGACAGCCAAAGGGAGAAGAGAAAGATGATCTGTTGCATGATTCACTGTTTCCCTGAGGTAAACACACCTGTTTTTCAGGGGAAAGCAATGGGATTGCTGCAATGAGTTCCAAAAGAATACTTTTCCCTAACATTATAAAGTGTGGTGACAAGAAAGCAGGGCCAGGTTCCATCCTGATTATCTCTTTACTCTTCCACTGATACCTCTTCTGGGCCACACACTGTTCCATGCCCTGTGCTAGTCTGCATTGACTGGTAGCTTCTTTGACCAAAGTTATTAACTGCAAAGTAGCCAAGAATCATCACAACCTCTGCAGTTGCTCAGAGGTCATACTTGAAGTGTGGAGTTGTCCCCGTCTGGGTAGAGCTCTACCTACGGTTGTTCTGAATTTGCAGTGCAAAGGTACGTGTGAATGCGGGAACTGAAGTCATTTGGCCTCTTCTGATGAGATACTTGCAACATATGGGCATTTTAGCAAGGGCTTCCCTCTGTCTCTCTCTCTGAGCCACCTCTGTATGATCTGGTCTCTCTATGAGAGGAACTGCCCTGTAGGGCTGGCGGGGTCTTAGGGTCGTTTTGACCTTCCGAACAGCACATAGGTGAGATACTACCTGGAAAATAGCCACCCCTCCACTGTCAATGCCCACATTCTGTCCCTGAGTCACCCTCTGCTCCCCCTTTCGGTTTAACCACTTCCTGCCTACTGTTTGTTGTCTAAACAGCACAGTCAGAATGACATATTTGAACACTTCCCCACCCTCTAATGTAATTTTCCCTTCCAAGCTTATTTCTTCTCTGAGTGTTGGAATTTTGTATTCTGAAAATCCAAGTCACATGCCAGACAGTGTTCGAACGTTCTCTCCTTGGCTGGGAAAATGATTATAATTGCTCATATGTACTGAATGCTTTCTGCATGTCAGGCATGGGGAAAAGCTGTTTGCATACTTTACCTTACTTAATCCCCCTAGCAGCCCTGGGAAGTACATGCTGTTATTATCCTCACTCTACAGACCGGGTCAGCAGAGTCCCAGATACTTGCCTGGGGTCACCGAGGGTGTTAAGGGTGGAGTTGGCATCGACCCTTAGCTCCATTTGACCAGAGTCTGTGCACGTGACCATCACCCAGGACCACCTTCCGGGGTACCTAGGGGACATGGGCACTCCCCCTGAGTTTCTATTTCCACTTGGCCAGCCTATTGGTCTCTGTTGGTCATTACTGGCTCGAATGCTTCACAGCAATGGTTTTTTCCGCCTTCTGGGGGATGACAGTATCAGCGTGGCAAGGCGAGTGTGTTGGATGTTCTGCTTGTAACTAAACAGATACTGGTTCTCCCACGCCCACTGGTCCCTGTGCATGGCTGGGGGCTATCTCCAGGTGTCACCCAGCCCGGCTGTCTGGCTGGCCAATGGTGTTGGTTGGCCAGTGCCTTTCTCTCTTTCCCCTATCCCTAAGGCCCTCCCAGGTGCCTTCTCCTCCAGGATGGCTGCTTTCTTTGAAGGCAGACGTATTTCTGACACAGAGCTCCCTGCGTTGACTGTCTTCCTCACCTCTGCCCCCAGGCAAGGCCAAGAGCATCCTAGAAAAGCCCCTGCCCTTTTCTCCAGGGCCTGAGTGGGCCTCTCTAGCTCCAATACCCCCAGTCCACCCGCTCAGACCTGGCCTCAGGTGCATGCCCTTGGCCTCCGTCCTGGCTCTTCCTGTGGTCATCCCTTTGGATAAGATGGTTCGCCTGTCCCATTACATCCCTAGCCTGCCTTCACCAGACACGCTGCCTTCACCCACAGCCGGGGAGGCTCCCGGAAGCTTCAGCCAGTTAGAGCCTGCCCTGCCGTCTGCCTGAAAGTGGGTTAGTCACTCTGTCCCAACACAAAGCTTCCCTTTCCTCTGGGCAACATGTTCAACCCAGCCAGCAGCCAGCAGCCACATCTACCTCATCTAGTCTCCACAAGGACACTCGCAGAGGCAATGACTCCAGAATTCTGCATGGAACAGAGTGGGCAGGGAGCTGCCTCGCCACCCAGTTTGGGCTGAGCCCTGAACAATACTTCCTGCAGAGACCCTGCCTGTGGGACCCTTGGCCACTGGAAGCTGAATGTCCTTTACTTTTATATATATTTTAAAATAATTCCAACTTTTATTTTAGATTCAGGGGGTGCATGTGCAGATTACGAGGGTTTGTTTTTCTAGTTTTAGTTTTTTGAGACAGGGTCTCTCTCTGTCGCCCAGGCTGGAGTGTAGTGGTACAATCATAGCTCAAAGAAGCTTCGACCTCCTGGGCGCCCATCCTCCCATCTCAGCCTCCAGAGCAGCTGGGACGACAGGCCTACGTGTCCTTTATTGATGGGAAGGCCTAAGTGGGCAATGGGCCTTCCATAGTCTCTTGGCAGAGAGCCTTGGTGTGGCCCTCCTCATCTAGGTCATAGTGACATCGAAGAGGTGAGTCAAAGCTGCACTGGGTAATGGGGACTCCAGGGCCTAAGTAGAAGTCATGTACGGTAAATACTGGTTGAATAAATAAGTGATGTCACGGGGTTCGCCACCAAGACGACATGGGATAGAGAGAGTGTCTTCCTTTGAGAGCATGCTGGTTTATTCCCACTAGATCCCCAGGAGGATCAGCAGTAGAGGAGGGGGGGTCCTTCTTCACAATAGGCACAGAGGGAAGTTGAGATTGAGAGGACAGCCATGGCCTAGTAATTGTATTGTGAATTCCCATTTTTCTGCTCCACTGTCTGGAATATAAGGTCCCCTCCAAAGAAAATAGGTAGCCTCGTTCAAAGGCTTAAAAAGGAAAAGATGCCGTATATGGAAGACTGATGACAATTTGGCACAGCTCTTGCAAAAATTGGGGCAAGGGAGTGTGGGGCTCAGCAGCCCGGCTGCTGACGCTTCCAGTCCCACCCCTCACTAGCTCTGTGGGTTTGGGGCAAAATGCCTCACTTCTCTCTCCCTCAGCTTCCTTACCTGTGAAGTTTGGATAATGCTAGCGCTCCCCTCCCGGGGCCAATGTGAAGGTTCACGGAGGCCCTGCAGTGGCGCACCCAGCCCTTAGCACTCAGTAAATGTGGGCTGACCCTCGTTATGACATGGGCCCATACAGCATAACAAGTGACATTTTTTCATCCAGCTACTGTGAACAAGTCAGGAAACTTCGGAAATAAGATTTGTCATCTTGTGGGGGAGGCTATTTTATGTGAAAGCTGTCTTTCTAATTATCTACAGTTCAAAGCTTCCTCTCCGCAACCACAGTAAACAAGGGATCCTGATGCTTTAGAGAACGTAGCTTTTGTTGAGGTTGTGACCAATGCACTATTAGGTGGGTTCCATTTGGGGCTTGTCCACAGTGATGGATCCTAGAATCTCACATCCTAAAAGGGCCCAGCTGCCACCCCTACTCTTTGGAGAAAGCAGACAAGGCAGGCCACTTTCCAAAGTAGAAGTACCAGGAAGTTCCTTTTTCATCAGACCTGCAGGCAGAATGCCAATGCAGTTAACTTAAAAACCTTTCAAAAATTTTAGGTGGTTTTTAGAACAAGAAGTCATTGGTCAACAAGGAGAAAGACAACTTTTTCCTCCTCTTGACTCCGAAAAAGTGCTCTCCTGGTGTAACAAAAACAGGAAGACAGACTGCACTTGGCGAACTTGCCATGATGAGGACTTGAGCGCCAATGAGACTCACGCTGGAAAGGTGGCAGCATGAGGCAGGGGTTTGTGTGCTGTTCTTAGATGTGTCCTCACCTCTAGGACGGAGCCTGATATGGAGCAGGTACTCAAGCCGTATTTGTTCAGTGAATGAATAAATGTATACTAACCAGATGGGTTAGTATGTAAAGGAACGGACATCCTCAGCCAATGCCTCTCTCCTCTCAGTGAGTTGTGCAATCCACAAGGTCTTTCCTTTGACATGCCCCAGGTCCAGGCCACACCGCAGCCCCACGAAGCTGGACTCTGCCTGAGCACCTGCCTCACTGCCCTGGATGTTCTCCTTCCCAGCAATGCTCCTTTCCCAGCAAACACTCACTCCTCCTCCAGGGCCCAGCTCGAATGCACCACCTCTAACTTCTCATGGAGCTTTCCCACACAACTTTATTCCACAACTAATTACACTGCATTAAATTGTGTGCATATCTTTCCCAGCAGGCTACAGGCTGCTCAAAAGATGCAGAAGTCTTGGCAGTGCTTACAGCCTGCATCATTAGAGGCACCCAAAACAAAGGGCAAGTCAGCCAAGAATGAGTCAACGAGCAGGTGAAACCAGTAGGTGGGATGATGGGGCAGTGGAGAGGGTGGGACTGTGGCTAATTCTGATCAACAAATGGGCTCAACTGGAGCCACACAATCTCAATCCTCATCACAGGCTCCAAGGGCTGAAAACTTTTAGCTAGTGAAGTTTCCCTTAAATTAAAAGAAAAAAAGAAATCTGATGAACGCAGTTCTGCAAGGACAACCACGAAAGGGTAAATTGTGATACAAAACATCAGAAAGACCAAAATTTCTTTAATAATGAAATAATTTATTATTTGTTAACAGTTGAACAATACAGTTTACATATACACAGCAAAGATTCTCTAAAACATGTAGTAGTTTCTAAAAATGCATGTGCTAACTGTAGTAAAAAGCACCATTCTCTATGATCTTGACACAGGATTTACATTGGCGTCATATTTACATAAAGAAACATCTGGAAACAGAATAGCATACCCTTTCATCTGCTGCTCCCCTGTCAGGCTGTGTGTAGCATTAGGAAGATGGCCCCCCAAAAATGATGGTAACAGCAATATTCCAAGAGCACCAATTCTAGGGATGGGGTAAAGGCAAGTTTGGTTGTCAGGTAAAAGCTAAAATGAAGAATGCTCCCTCAACTTGCCACCCCACAGAGAGAAGAAATCAAAATGTAAAAATCTGGATAAATCTTAACATTGGGTGCCTTATGAATTCTCACTTTATGATTTTGAGAGAAGGTCAAATACTCAATCTCTTCAGCCATTCAATAGCTGAATCTAGCAGTGCCTGTCAATTTCTTCTTTCAGAAGAATCTGAGAAAATCATCCATGTAATATTGATAATGAAAAAAACCATGATAAATCACCTATTGCACACCCCACCCTCTAACCCAGTTATCTTTGAAAGCAAAGCATCCTACAGTCTATAGAGATCAGAGGATGTAGAATGAGAAACCACCTCATCGAAAAGGGTCTTTGGGTTGTCTTCTACCAGGAAGAGTTTTTAAATAGGAGTAGCCAGCTACTAGACACGCTAAACACACTGCATCAGAGTCAAACATAGAAAAAGAATAGATTGACATGCAAGAAATTGCGTTTAGCCTTTTACTACCTGATGTTCAACACTCAGGGAAGGCAAAGGGGGACAGACAAACTTGGGGAAACAAAGAAGAAACAGAAAAGACCAGGATGTTAAAGTCTCCTGTGTGGTTCATGAAAAAATAGAAAATAAAAAAAGACCAAGACTTGGGGGAAGAAATAGACTGTAAAGGACAATGATAGTGGTATTCTCGCCAATACAGTATGGTATAAAAACCTAAATAATAATATGTGTGTGTGTGTGTGTGTGTGTATATATAGATACTTTTCAAAAATAAGTTCTCTCTTGAAAGGATGGGGAAGAGGCAAGAAGAAATAAGCCCACAAAATCTATTCTCAAGCTCCAAGATATTGCTAGATGGTTATTTTGAGCATCACAATCCTACCTAGTTTACACTTTTTTCTTATCCCCCAGGATTTGCTCTTGGCCGCTTTGGGGATGCAGAAGAGAGGCCCATAGGAAACTCAGGTTGAGGCCCCTTTGTTGCTTTTGAAAAAGTAGAGGTTAAAGGAAAATGCCCACCTTAAAAAATAAAAACAAAACAAAACACTCAAGTGGCCAACTGCAGGACGAGGGCCTACTTAATGTTCAGTTCTGAATCAACACTGAAATTATTTTCATCTTAGGTTGACAGGGAAAATCTAGGTCCTGCCTAAAAATGTGATGCATTTTGAATCACTAAACTAGCATTAGGTGTGTGACTACAGAAAGGAGCCAGCAGTTGCTATCAGCACCTTGAAGAATTCAAGATCTCTGCTTAGCAAAAGAAAACCAAAATACAGACGACCTGGGTGCTCGGCCCACCATTCAAAGCCAACAGGGGATGGAAAGCTATGTTTTCAGGATGTTACAGAAGCACACATATATATTTTCCCACTGCATGAAATTAAATTAGACTGCGTACTCTTATTTTTCCCACTTGCGTTATGATGGTATCAATAAGAGTGCAGTTTAGATTTTTTTAGTTTTTTAAAATCAACTTTCACATAAAAATATGCATGTGCCTATATTTATACACATCTGTATTTACGTACAATTGTCAAAGTCTTAAAGGCTGGGGTTTATATCTCTGCCCATCCCCTCCCAACCCCAAAATCCCTAATAGAAAGGTTTTCATCTTGCTTAAAAAGACAAAACAACTAAAAAGACTATAGCTCTTAGCAGTCAGGCTGGTGGATCAGTGAATGAGAGAGGACAAATTGGCGAATCAGGGCTGCCGATCAGCCGCACGGGGCGCGGAGGATGGGGTTGGGGGGATTAGCTGCCTTGGGCTGAGTTTGCTGGTCCTGAAGATTACAGTTTTGGTTAGAGAGAGAAGCCTGTCTAGCATGCTGACTCGGTCTACCTCAAGCTTTGAAAGTAATGTCTAACCCTGCTGCCAGTTTATCACAAGTGCATTAAAAATATAGAGATCTATCAAGTTCCACATTTATATGCAATCAAACTGAAAAGGACCAGACAAACAGTGCAAAGGTCAAATAATTACTGTTTTATATTGGGACAGTACATTTCAGATTTCAACCAAAAGACAAAAATGCAGTTTAACTCAAAGGCACAACAATTGAAACACAGAAAATAATGGCATCTCTTGGATGCCTTATTTCTAAATTAAACAAAGAAGTACACAAATTTTGTTCCCTTCCCTCCCCCAGTGCAAGCCCACAAGCTTTTTCCAAAGTCTTGAGCTTTTGATGCTGTCCCGCATTGTGGACTTGTGAGGCGCTTGGATGTAGCAATGAAACAAAATGCTTGAGAGGTCTAGTGAATGGCATTCAAAAGGGACCTCAAAGTGCAGACATATCTTTTTCAAATATGTTACAGGCTGAACTGGCTCTTTGAACACTATCACTCTGCTTAAATCCAGGAAGCAGGCTTTAAAAATGCAAAAGGCATACAAGTTGTATTTCAGTGCAAATCTTTAGCTGGTTATTGGAAAAGATTCCAAAAATTAAAAAAAAAAAAAAAAAATCCTTTGTGTCACCTGCCCCTCCCCCCACCCAAAGCCAAAATGAAGAAAAGACAGAACAAAACAAAAACAGAAGAATTACAGGTGACTTTGGAATCATTTAGGAATCCACTACTTCCAATCAGAATGTTTAGAAAAATACATTAAAGAATCATTTTTTAAAAAACACAAAAGTAATCTTGCTTTCTGAGACTGCTCTTCGGGTATAGAATGAGCTTCCGTGTGGAGTGCGTTTGAACTTTGACCTTAGCTGTGTGCGAGGTGCAGGCGCTGGGGGAGCTTCAGGCTGTGGTGTGCGAGTGACCGCAGGGGAGCGTGGGGTGGCTGCCCGCTGCCGAGTCAGCCGTTGAGCCCTTAGGTCGCAGTGCGTCCGTGGATTTTAGTAATGTTCTCATCACTTTGTGACACACTCTGCTTCAGCATCACAGATTTTACAAATGGTTCAAATTCAATGAAAAAGATTCGCCAGAGGCTGAAAACATCAAGACCTCAAAAATATGAATGCAAAAATATTCAGGGGAATGAACTAATTTTGTAGATACCTACATACAAAGTTTCTAGAACATCTATAAAACCACAAAGTCATAAGAATTTGTTTTCCATTACATTAGTTTATATAAAATGAATAAATAGTATTTATAGATTTAATGTGTCTTATGTACATATACATGTGCTCTGTTTTAGCTTAAATAAAAATGCTACAAAGTCGGAGACCACTTAAGGGAGAAATCATAACCAAAAAGAAAAATCAGCCTTTTAAACTATCAACCCAAAAGCCTCCATAAAGAAGTTTCTGGGTGTGTCCAAAAATAATCAATAAGGAGAGGAGTTCTAGTAACAGTGTACCATCCTCTCCTGTTCACCTGCAACAGAGAGTAGAAATGTGGACTTTTTCTTTCACTGATAATGGCTACTAGCTCTGCTAGTGCCACAGCTCAGTTATTGCTGAAAGTTCAATAGGAAAATAGATTATAATTGGACCAAATGTCACTATTTTGGGGGGGGAAAAAAGGATAATCACTGTGTTAAGTGGGAAATGGAGATCTCATTTATCTCTGAGGTAGGAAAAAAAAATGTTCCAGAGACAAGTAGCATTAACAAAGTTGGAGGGGAGAATGTGCCTCGAGATAGCAGAACACAGCGAGGTCCCAAGAACATCGCACAAAAATAGATTGTACCGTTTTGTTTGTGAGAACAAACAATTTGGAACTTTGATGAGCTGTGCAACCCCAGAGACACACTATCAAGGTGTCCATTTTAAAGTGAGAAATACTGCTCCCATCCACACGCGGCGCGTCGGGGGAATGAGCATGCGCGGTGTGAAGGGCGTGTTTTCTAGAGGTATTCCTGACTTCCTCACTGGTGGTGAGGTCCATGGTTAAGTGCTCTTAAATGCTGCTTTCAAAGCTTACTTTGGAGTTCTGAGATCAGGATCTCAATTTCAAAAGTTTGTTTCCTTCAGTTTCCTAAGTACAAGACACACTTGGACATTCCTCCTAGGCAAGTAACACAGTAAGCCAGAAAACTGGAAGAAAGGTCTGGGAGAGGACACGAGGAGAGCAAAGAGGGGGATTGCTGAGATGTGGACATTGCTTATTCGGTCTAAGAATTCTTGGATGCTTCAAATTGATTGGAATGTATAGTCTCTCAGAGACAAATTTTTATGGCGAGAAAAAGAGAAGCTAGTGGATGCAATCAGAAACCCACAATCCTAAGCACCTCCTTGAAAACAGTTACAAAGCTGATTTTGGTCAAGGTGGGACACTGAAGTTTACGTGCAAGGGAGTTGTGGGCAGGTCCAATACGTTACCTAATCAGAACCAACAGGGAGAACCTTCAAGGAGACAGCCGCAGTGCCCACTCTCTTAGAGACCAAGACACGCCTTGTGACTGTCCTGCAGCTTTATTCTCTTGATGCTGGTGCTGGAATAGCCCTCATCACTGCCGAGGCTCTGCATGCTGCCCCGCTCGTCAGAGTCGCTCACACTGCTGCTGCTCCAGTCCAGATCACCTGTGAGATAGTCCGTGCTCTCCACGTCAACGTCGATTTCTTCTGCAGGGAGGACAAGAGAGAAGGACATTGATGAAAGCGCTCTGCAGAAAGCTCAGGCGTGGTGGCTCATGCTTGTAATCCCAGCACTTTGGGAGGCAAAGGCGGGTGGATCACTTGAGGTTAGGAGTTTGAGACCAGCTGGGCCAACACAGTGAAACCCTGTTTCTACTAATACAAAAATTTGGCTGGGTGTGGTGGCTCACGCCTGTAATCCCAGCACTTTGGGAGGCCAAGGTGGGTGAATTACTTGAGGTCAGGAGTTCGAGACCAGCCTGGCCAATATGGTGAAACCTCATCTCTACAAAAATAGGAAAATTTGCCAGGCATTGTGGTGTGTGCCTGTAATCCCAGCTGCTTGGGAGGCTTAGGCAGGGGAATCGCTTGAACCCGGGAGGCGGAGGTTGCAGTGAGCCAAGATCACACCACTGCACTCCAGCCTGGGTGACAGAGCAAGATTCCGTCTCAAAACAAAACAAAACAAACTAGGCTGAAAACTGACACCAATCAAACTCTTCTGGGGTTGTCACCTAAGTGTTAGCAGGGAGAAGGAACCTGTCACTGGAGGTCACACTGTTCGACTTCTCTACATCATACCCAGTGTCTTAGTTCTTCTTACACTCTGCCTCCTGTCCGCAGTACTGAACCCCTGCTCTGGGGTTGGGGAGCACAAGGGAGACAGGGAGGAGAGTGAGAGAGGCTCACCCCTGTCGGAGTCGGAGCGCTCCGAGGAGACGGTGGAGCCGATGCTGTCCATCCGGATCCTCTCAATGCCCAGCTTCTCCAGCTGCCTCTTCAGGTGTCGCTGCTCTCGCTGAAGCTGGTCGATTTGGTGAACGGCTTTTCTGTCACAATCTTCAAGTTTCTGCAAGTCAAAGGGGTAGTTGTTGGGCCCCACAGGGAGATCTCTAAATGGGCAATGGCCCCCGCATCTTCCCTTCTAGCAGTGGAATGCGCCACACTTCCTCAGACGCCTTTCGGTGCCACTCATCAAGCTTCTCCCTGAGACAGGAAGTCGACTGGCCAGTGACTCCTGGCTTCGTCTGACTCTTCAGCATCGCCAGTGCTGGGGGTACTTGTCCTGTCACAGGGATTCTGGGGGTGAGCTCTCACATACTGGCACCCTGGTAGCCCTCAGTTTTAGTATCAGAAAGACTGCAGGCAGCAGTCCCCAACCTGATCTCCCTTGTTTGCAGCAATCCCCTGAACACCTGATCTCCGGACTAGAAAACTGCACTTGATGGGAGCTTAAGAAACACGCTTCCATTTAAAACTATGTTTATTCAAGTACATGTCCCAATTACATAAGCACTTTTTTGTGTCATGCCAAATCTCAATTAACTTCTGTTTGTTAGCAGGAAATAATAGTCCCTTTTGATGTCCTGATTCTAATTTGTCCAACAGAAGAGTTTAGAAAACACATTTCCATAGAATACTCATTTTTATAAATCTGCCCCCAGCTTCTCATATTCTTCAGATAATTAAGAAGATTGTTTAATTGTAGCTGTTTTGCTTTAAATAGAGGTTTTCTCCCAGAATTGTCATGAATGCAGGCTTCTAACCATAATTAAAGTAACATTTGTCCAACTATAATATGATTATACAAACATGCTAAACAGGGATTTTGGCTGTGGCTCTCAAGACTTTGAATCCAATTCCCCTTACCCTTTGCTATTCAGGTAGCAAAGAGAGTGTCAACTCTGTGCCCGATACCCTAGGAGGTGCTGGGGCTGTGAGGTGAGCACAAAGACCCAGTCCCCTCCCTCGTGGGGTGTATAGTCTAAGGATTGAGACAACACAATGGTCACACAAACCACTGTCAAATGTCAGTTATGACAGGGCTAAGAGATACCCAGTGATGGGACCACCTGTCACAGGAAGGAGGTCACTGAGTTGGGAAAGTCAGCGAAGGATTATCAGAGCTAGAGAGACTTGCACTGTGATCTGAAGAATAAGTAGAAGTCCTCTAGGTGAAGAAGAGAGAGGAAAGTGTACCAAGCAGAGGGAAGAGCATTGACAAAGGCCCTAAAGTAAGACAATATGACAGTGCCAGGGACTGGAAGAAGGGCTGGAGAAAGGGGAATTGGGGAACAAGATGGTGCTGCAGAGGCAAGTGAGGACCAGGCAAGGCAGAATCTGGGGCAGACCAGGTGACAGAGCTTGTCCTGAGCCACAGAAGAATTTTAAACAAGGTCACGTGTTGATTTGCACCTTGGAAGGACTGTTCTCAGGAAGCATGGAAAGCAGACGGGAGGGACCCAGAGGGATATAGGGAGACCTCTGAGGATTTTATTGCAGTAGACAGTGGGGATGAAGATGGAAGTAGACCGGTTGCAAAATATTTAGGCCTTGGAGATGGCCTAGATATATGGTTAAGGAGCAGGAGCTATCACGGACTCCTGAATTTCTGGCTTGTACAACTGGATGGAGAGTTGGATGGACCATTTAACCTCTGGTGCATGGGAGTGAGAAACACTCAGTTGGGTTTTGAATATGTTGCATTTGAGGTACCTGTGATTCATCCAATAGCTAGACTGGAGGAGTTCAGGGGAGAGGACTGTCCTGGAGATGTAACAACAGACAAACCCTCACTGAACAGGTAAAGATAAAGCAGCATCCCAACAATACACTTACCTTTATGTGCAATTTGGCTTTTGTTAATAAACTCAACGTAGTGTGTCGACTTGATTCGGGTCCAAGTGGCACCAGCCCCTTCAACTTCTCCAGGCACAAGCGAAGATGAGCCCGTCTATGAAAACAAGACCACAGTAGCATTTGAGAGTTTCACAGTGGGCCAGAAGCACCCCAGGCAGAATGAGTTCTCAAAGAGTGTGAAGTTGCCCAGGCCTTGCGATGGCAAATGCTACCAATGACCTTTTGCTGAATAAACATATTTTGAACCAGACAACTCTGGTGAAAACCAATGAGAAGCAAAATCCAAGGTTTTCGAAGCTAAGTCTATTGATAATACAAGTGCTGGGGTAGGGAATAATATCTGCTATTATATAGTCATTCACATGTGTAAATACTATATACAGTAATGGTCCCTGACTCATGATGGTTCAACTTACAATTTTTTAAATTTATAATGAGTTTATTGAAGTATTAAATGCATATTAGACTTGGGATGTTTTTTATTTATGATGGGCTTCTTGAGACATAACCCCATCATAAGTCAAGGAGCATATATATCTGTGGAGTTATTTGTTGAAGCTTTATTTGTAATAGCAAAGATTGAAACAACCCAAATGACCACCCAGGAGGGAACTGGTTAAATAAATTATGCTACATCCACACCGTGTAGTACTATGTAGCTATCAAAAAGAATGAGAATGTGCTTTATGTCCTATTAGGAAAGATTTTCCAGATATATTGTTAAGTGGAGAAAAGCAAGATTCCAAACTGTGAGTATACCATGCTATCTTAAAGATGGAGGAAAACAAGAATCTATATTCATGTTTTCTTGTATGTAGACAAACTCTGGAATGACACATAAGAAACTGGCTGGGCAGGGAGAAGGCAAGGAACAGTCAGACAGAGATAAGGAAGGAAGTGATGGGGGTTTTTACTGAGTCATTTTTTATACTTTTTGTTCTTGGAGTATGTCAGACTGATGCAATGGCACGGAGTGGGAGAGGGAGAAGGGCTGGATGAAGCAGCAGCCACGGCAACTGACTGAAGAGAGAGCACGAGAGTTGCTCCAACTGAGAAATTTACATTTCCTTGAAATGGTTTGTGCTTTATTCTAGAACCTGGAAAATTCTATGAATGTAAGAAGCAGCTGAGATTTGGGGGTTTTGCTTAAGCTTACCACCTCCTTAAAGCCTTCCCAAGCCATCCTAGCTCACAGTGATTCCTCTATTTTCTAAGCACCACTTAACTGTTTATATTATTCACTGGGAAGTTCACTGTACTGCCTGACTTGTTTCATATTTCTTACTTAACCATTCATTGCAGTCTCCTTAGAAAGTCAGGATTGCAGCTTAATCATTGCTGTGCTGTCACCGTGCCTCAAACACACACATGCTTAATAAGTGTTTGCTGAATGGATTATGTCATCTATTCAACTAGACTTTAAGCTTCTAGAGGACAGAGTCCATCTCTACTGCATCTTTGCACCTTCAGCAGTGCTCAGAGTCTTCAGGTTTTAGATAACATTCATTGCCCACACACAACCTACTTGGAGCAGAGTTCCCTGGGGTCTAGGAGGCTCCCCTCCAGCTGAATTGGGAAACAATGCAATGCCTTATAGGTTTGCCCTTTTTCCTCTTAAGAATTGTACTGTAATAGCAAAAGTTGAAAATATAGACCAAAGAAAGGAAATGGCTTCAGAAAGCTATAGGACAGGTGAATATGCATGATATTAATGTAAGAAGTCAATTCACACTCTCCAGGGAGACTTCAGGATGTTCCCCTAAGGCAGGGCTAGTAAGCAAGGCATTAGACTTCCTTCCTTCTGAGCCTCCTGCCTCTTCTAGGTCATGAGGAAGTTGTCCTAAACTCTCCAAGGGTGCTCTAAGGCTTGGCAAGCTTGGGGAGTACAGCATTCATTTCTGAGCTAGGAAGAGGTAATAGCACAAGGGCTTTACTATTTTGTAAGTCTTTCACTTCTTCTGAAAAACCTGTCCATGTGGCAGAGTCAGAGCAAAGACTCATGTTACAGGTGTGCTCCTCCCACTACTGCATGTGGTGGGGACCAGGGAAGGGAAGAAAACTTGTATGTAAAATATACTTGTTCATCTTGGATAATATTCTTCAAAAAGAGCCATGAAAATAGATCATGTTATTAGAAACACTATGAGAAAGTATAATTTATACATTTATAAATTTGTCTATTTCTTGCCATAAAACTTATAGACTAATTTTCTTTTTTTGTTTTTTTTTTTTTTTTTTTTTTTTGAGACAGAGTTCTTGCTCTTGTCGCCCAGGCTGGAGTACAGTGCCGTGATCTCAGCTCATGGCAACCTCTGCCTCCCAGGCTCAACAGATTCTCCTTCTTCAGCCTCCTGAGTATCTGGGATTACAGGCGCCCGCCACCACGTCCGGCTAATTTTTGTATTTTTAGCAGAGATGGGGTTTCACCATGTTGGCCAGGCTGGTCTCGAACTCCTGACCTCAAGCAATCTGCCTGCCTCAGCCTCCCAAAGTGCTGGGATTACAGGTATGAGCTAATTTTCCAATTAGAAGAAAAAGTTCAAAAATTAAAATTATATTTAGATATTTTTCAGCCAGCTTGTTATTTGCAAAGACTGCATGATTCAGAACAGTGTCATTTTAGTACTTTTATGATGTTGGTTTATATGCAGATATGAGTGTGTGAATTTTTTTAGGAAGTTTGTCCACTGATAAAAATATAATAAAGTCATCTTTTGATGCATTGTCATTTCTAGCCTTATAGGAGTCTTGCCCAGAAAGTGCAATTTTCACTACCCAAATGTGGGTTTCCAAAGAACACTCCTAGTCGTGAAACTAGAAATAAGCCATTTGACTAATTCCAGCTGAGACTAATACTTGTTCATTCAGTGTTTTCTGGCCTAGTTCTACAAAAATAGGACCAGAATTCTTTCTGGATTTTTGCAGAGACCCAAAGCCAACTCTGTCTTTGGCAGTGTCTGCCTTGGCCTTCTCCGGCGCCTCACTGCTGCAGCCTGATGGCTGCCCCCTGCCCACATGCCACTGCCTGCAGACATCCCCACACTGGTGCCCGGGCCAACCACAGGAGAGCAATGAAATATATTAAGTAGACTCAGTTCTATCATACAGTAGTGAAATCCAATCCCTGAACCAGATAAAAAAGCAAACAGACCCCTCTGTTATGTACAGCTCCTACCAAAGCTCTCCAACCCTGACACACACACACATACACAGACACACATACAGACACACAAACTCCTGGGATCTAGAATCCCTCTGCCAGCCCTGAGTACCCACGGAGCTCCCAGATCCAAAACAAGCAGAACAAACACCCGTCTCAGCTCTCTTTTCTCAGTTCTGACTACTCCTGTGCCCTGCTGTCCCATTTTAAACCAGGTCAAACTCCCATTTGGGGAACTAGCAGGGGTTTTGCCATATATCCTCAACAGGAAGCCACCCGACACCTCAGTGTGACCCAGGAAGTTGACTCTCCTCCCATCACATCTTCTTCAGTCTTCCCTCTGTTGCCAAGAGCTACCTCCCATCTTCCTGGCACCCGGCTGCCTCTTCCTTTAGCACTGATCCACACTGCTTTGTACCTAGGCCATGGACTAACAAACTTCACCTTCTGACTCTTCAGAAACATAACTTTAATTATTCTGAATAAGCTGATATACCTTTGGTCTACAGTGGCATAAAGAAACCAATCTTTGAACTATAATAAGTCATGCTCTGAATCAAGTATGGCCCATAACTAGTAATAACAAATTTAGATACAACTATAGATTCTATTCAGTAAGTTTTAAGTATCCCAAATTTTGTTGATTTTTAATTTTTTTAAAAAATTCTGACTCAGTCACTATGCAACCAAATATTAATGCAGTGATTAAGAGTAAATGTCTGGAGAAATGTGGTACATATACATAATGGAGTACTATTCAGCCATAAAAAGAATGGGATCCTGTCATTTGCAACAACATGGATGGAACTGGAGGTCATTAGGTTAAGTGAAATAAGCCAGGCACAGAAAGACAAACGTTGCATATTCTCACTTATTTTTTGGATGTAAAAATCAAAACAATTGAACTCACAGACATAGAGAGTAGGAGGGTTACCAGAGGCTGGGAAAGGTAGCGGGGGTGGGCAGGAGGTGGGGATGGTTAATGGGTTAAAAAAAAAATAGCTTAAAAGAATGGATAACACCTAGTATTTGATAGCACAACAGGGTAACTATAGTCAAAATAATTGTATATTTTTAAATAACTGGAAGAGTAGAACTGGATGGTTTGCAACACAAAGGATAAATGCTTGAGGGGATGAACACCACATTTTACTTGATGTGATTATTATGCATTGCATGCCTGTATCAAACACCTCATGTACCCCATAAATATACAGACCTACTACATACCCACAAAAATTAAAAATGAAGTTAATATTTAAAAAAGAGTAAATGTTTGAGATCCTGGCTCTGCCACTTACTCCCTGTGTGACCCTGGGCAAATTACTTAACTCTGTGTAGCCTCAGTTTCCTCATCAGTAGAATGAGGGTGACAAGCGCCTCCCTGGGAGGGCTGTCATGGGTATTGACTGAGACAAGGTATGGAAGCCCTTGGGTCAGGGTCTGACAGGGAGTACTCTGTATATGGTAGCAGTTATTCTTTCAATCCTAGCTTCCTCTGTAGAAGGAGAATTGCTGTGAGCAAACACAGATAATAAGAGCACTATGATATTCCTTTTACAATCAATAGGGAACTCAAAAATGTCTCACTAGGCAGACAGAGGCTATCTGGCAAAATCCACTTTTCTGAATACTTCCTTGAAGAAAATGGACATCTTTTGTCATTAAAATAATTAATGGAAAATCTAATCCATTTTCTATGGAAACACAGAAAGTGCTTATGCTAAAAGTACTATTTCTTTACATTTACAAAATTAGCAAGGGTTTTATAAGGCCAATGAATGCAAAATAAAAGATTCCTTTATTTCCTGTTCACATCATTGAGAGTCAGGGGTAGAAAGGATTCCAAGGTTGGGAGGGAGGCAGCTGCCTCACTTCTGCTTGCTGCAGGAGCAAGTGTCCTGAAGAGTCTGGGCCTCCCTCCTTGATCTCGACTGCAATGGCCAAAGGAGAATAAAAATAGAGGCAAATATGTATTGACTTGGGAAGTCCAAGCACAGAGATCTTCACATATCTCATGTGCAATAGCAAGAAGAAAGTATAACATATTGAGGAGCAAATTTAAAACAGGTTGGGAAGGATCTATGGGAAGAAAACTATAAAACTTTGTTGAAAGACACAAGAAAATTGAGTAAATGAAAAAAATAGCAGATTCCTGGATATGAATCCTCCAAACAAAAAATGTCAATGTTCCTCAAGTTTGTTTACAAATTTAACACAATTCCAAGAAAAAAACTCCCAACAGTGTTCTTTTTAACACTGGGACTACACTTCATCTAGAAGAATAGATGTGTGTGACACTGCCAAAATTTTTGAATAAGAAGAATAATGAGGAGGAATGTGCTGTACCAGATATTAAATTGTATTATAAAGCTTCAATAATTAAAAACAGTGTAGTACTAATACAGGAATAGGCAGACAAATCAAATGAATAGGATAGAAATCCCCAGAAACAGACCTAAGAATAGATAGGAATTTAGCACATAAAGGAGATAACACCATAAATCCTTAGGGAAAGAATGGATTATTCAGAAAATGGCAAGAGAGTGAGGAGGTTAACATCAAAATAAATTCCAAACAGATTAAAGATTTAAATATAAAATATATTCAGATACCACGTATTTCTGCTGTTAGTTTTCCTTAACTTCTTGCCAGCCATGAATTACGGAAAGTAAATATCCAAGTAAAGGAAGTTATTAATGAAGAAGGTGCCAAGCTGTTTGAGGCACCAGCTCCTACCAGAGCTTTGGCACTGATAGAAAGCACCTGGGCTAACTCAGACAATTCTGACTGTAGCTCTTCTTATTTCTGCCTCCAGACCATGCTTTCTTGATTCTATCTATGGATCTCTCTCAGGCTAGTAGATCTGCAAATTGGGGAATAGATTCAACAGAGTAGGATTATTAGGTAGATGGTGCTATCTGTAGATAGTGCCTCCTGCATTAAATATACTATCCTTAAAGTTCTTCCTGACTTGGATGTAATCAAGACCAGAAGTGGTACCAAATGAAGGGTGTGTGGGTATGTGTGTGTGTTTGAAGGAAGCACTGTTATCTGTGATTAGTTCTCTTTATTGAAAGTGTAACAGGCTGGGCCGGGCGCAGTGGCTCACGCCTGTAATCCCAGCACTTTCGGAGGCCGAGGAGGGTGGATCACTTGAGGCCAGGAGTTTGAGACCAGCCTAGGCAACATGGCGAAACCCATCTCTACTAACAATACAAAAATTAGCCAGGTGCGGTGGCACACATCTGTAATCCCAGCTACTCAGGAGGTTGAGGCACAAGAATCGCTTGAACCTGGGAGGCAGAGGTTGCAGTGAGCCAAGATTGTGCCACTGTACTCCAGCCTGGGTGACAGAGCAAGACTCCATCTCAAAAAAAGAGAGAGAACTATTATGTTATGTTCTGCTGCTTTCTTAGGTCCCAGGCTATATTTTCTTTCTTTTTTTGTCTGCATTGTCAACCAGGCTGGAGTGTAGTGGTGCCATCACAGTTTACTGTAGCATCAACTTCGCAGACTCAATCAATCCTCCCACCTCAGCCTCCTGAGTAGGTGGGACTACAGGTTTTTTTTTTTTTTTTGGTACAGATGGGTCTCACTATGTTGCCCAGGCTGGTCTTGAATTCCTGGGCTCAACTGATCCTCCCACCTCGGCCTCCTAAAGTGCTGGGATTACAGTTGTGAGCCAGTGCCCCCAGCAAGTCTTGGGATACAATATTGAGTAAGATCAAGTCCCTACCTTTGAGGTAATTAAAATTTAGTTGGAGTGCTCAAACGTGTAGATGAATTATTGCAGAATGATTTGTAGGAGCTATATTCAAACCCTGATAGATATCAGCTCTCACCTAAAGTTATAGAATGGGCTCTCCTTTGCTCTTACCAAACATATTCTTTCTTTTCCCTCACCCTCAAACATCCCATCTGACTTAACTTCCTTCCAAGTTTTCACAGCCTATCATAACCTTCTTTTCCTTTCCAAATAGATCACCCTCAACAGGGTAGCCTGTTTAACTCTGAGGTTTCACCATTTTATCACCTATCTTGGTGTGGGCCAGACTTACCCAATTAAATAGCATCTTAAATCCTATAAGATAATTGGAGTTTGAACAAAAATAATTTTAGATATGGGTATGTATGAGCTGTATAATAAGGAAAAGAAGGTATTTAGTATAGAGTAAGAAGGAACAAGTTTTATTAATGGGACTTGTAAAATTAATCCCTTAAAATGTCAAGGGTCACAGGAGATTCTGCATTGAGAACAAAGCCCTACTGGGTTAAACAGAAAAAAAAAAAATCCAGGTGAAGACTACAAGTCACACTTTGAAGAGGGAAAAAATACTTTCCTCCTTTTTCTAAAATGATCCCTTTATAAACAATTGCCAAGTGCATCATTATTACCAACTTAATTGGAACCCTAAAAGGTTTTGAAGATTTCTCACAATTGTGCTGATAAATCTTTGTAGAAAATACAAAGATAGTAATATACTCAGTGAATAATACATAAATAGCAGTTAACAGTGGCTACATTTTGGAGAGATAAGGTCACTTCATTATTAAAGTATGAAATACATAAGTACACCACATTAATATCTCCTTTTCAGAGCCTAATTTTCAAATACAACATATATATTATAATCATACCTGTTGGCTCTATCCCACTATTTGACTATTAATGCCTATGACAAAAAGTAAGGGAATAGCCCCAGGGTCCCAGGTAGGAGACTGGAAATTGGTCAAATGACCAGCATGTGTCTCTCCTCCAAGTCTTGCCAAAGGCAGGTGTCATCTACTCAAGGGTTATAGTACAAGGAAGATGATTCTTGTGGTACAAATGTGAGTTCTTCTCCAGACCATCAATATAGATTGGATTTATACACTGATCGCTGTGTCTCTCCTTCGTAATAACCTTACCCCATGTTGCAACAAACATGGACTTGTTACAACATCCCAGAGTGAAATCTGAATGTGGTCAAGAAAGTTCAGAAACAATAAGAGTGATGCAATGCATACCACAACTCAGGCCCAGTGCAAAAGTCAGGCCCCAGCCCTTCCCATATAAGGGACTTGGTCATTTGAAAAATCAAAACCCAAAAGGAACAACTATAGGGACCTGTAATCAATTAGAATATTCTTCCAGAAGAGACCTGACTGAATTGATTTCTCATGCCAGACCAGATGCCACTGAAATACTGTTTGACCAAATGGAAATAACAGCTTAGATTGGGCTGCAGAGTCTTCCCCATGGAGCACACACAGAAATCTTCTGTCACAGGGTCAGAAGACTCTGGCAGAGGTAGTAGCTCTAGACCAGGCACCTAATTCTAGCAAGAGCTGCATATGTACCACTCCAGAAAAATGGATGTCTACTATTAAAGGAGACGCCAGAGCCATCTTTTGAAAAAAGAGTCTATTCTACCACCTGGCTCCTGACCTATTGGCTGTAGCTTATATGTGTTTGCTCAGTCTCCATTTGCTGAGGGATTCATTGAAAGGCTTTGTTTTAAATTGGAGGAATTCTCAGTTAAGAGAAAGAAATAGCAGAATTATCATCAATAAAGGGTATGTAACAACAAAAGATTCAAATATGTTTATATTCCAACAATAATCAATTAGTTAACTAAGATGGGAAACCAATAGCAATCTAAAAATATATAAATCCAGGAATACCTTTTACAGGACATGTATAAGACCTGTGTGGAAAACTTTGCTACAAAACTTTGCTTAGAGACAGAAGAGAAATCTGAATAAATTAAGGCACATACCAAATCCTGGATGAAAAGATCTAATATATAAGCATGAACTTTTAAAGGTTAATTTATATTGGAATTATGCAATGTCAATTTTTAAACTCCCCAAAGAATTTAGGGGTTGGGGAATTCACAGATTAAAATTTTTTTCAGGAAAAATAAACTGGTGAAAATAGATAAGGGCATGGAAAAAAAAAAAGGAGAATGAAAGGGTATATATTGGCACAGGAAGAAGAGATGGATCAATGGACTGGAAGAATAAGTCTAGAAAGAGACTTAGCCATAAACAAAAATAAGTATACACCAAAGGTAGCAACTTGAATCAGTGAGGGAAGACTGATTCTGTATAGCTAAATGATAAACTGGACAGTTATGTGATAGAAAAAGTGTCAATATCTTTCATATATGTCCTTTATATTATGGAAACTTTTTAAAATAAAGAAAAAGATAAATTCTTTAGTAGAAAATTGGGCAAAGGCTATTTAATAGACAATTCACACAAAGAGACACACAGAGTCAAAGACATAAAAATTGTTCAACTATGCTAGTAGTATGAGAAATGCAAATTAAAACAAGTTGCCTGTGTGTTTTTTTATTTTTTACTTATCAAACTCATAAAGGTTTTAAGTTATAACATCAACTTGTGAAGTGCAGGGAAAATAATGCCTGTAACCTGCCTGGTGGACAATCCAGCAATCCTAAAAACGTGTTCACCACCAATTCCATAGCTATACATTTATCCTAAGGAAATAATTATGATGTTGGACAGAGATTTTTCTACAGGTGGTTTAAGAAAGCATTGTTTAGGTTCTGGGAAGAATCTAAACCAGGGGACTGATTATATGAGGTTTAACATATTCATATAATATAATACTGGGCATTAAGTAATGTTGAAAAAGGAGATTTAATGACATTGGAAAATGTTTATAACTGGAAAAGATGCTACAAATTATTACTATATGATCCCATGTTGGTTAAAAAAAAGTACACACAAAAGTCTAGATGGATATAGAACAAATGTTAGCAGGTGTTACCTCTGAGAGGCCTATTACAGGTGATTTTTATATTCTTTGTGCTTTTCTGAATTTTCTAACTTTCTACACAAAACTATATTTTCAGTTCTTTTCCAAAACAATTGGAAAGATATATTTTCAAGTTCCATTGGTTTTCTCTGAGTGCTAGAACTATGGACAATTTAAATTTTTAGTATTATTTTCTATATTTCTCAAAATTTTCTGCAAGATTAGTTTAAAAAAAGAAAAGAAAAACCACACACACACACACACACATACCCCACCCTCCCAAGGGTGTTTTCTTAGGAGATCAGACCCAGAAAATTAGCTAAAATGCAGAGAAACACAGGCCATGTGCTGACTGACAAACCCCCTGTAGAGTGATATTAATCTGAGCTCCTCCACAGCAGTGCGTAGTCTTTACTGGATTCTGTAGTCCCAGCACCTACTACACGGCATCTTAGGTGCTCAACACCTATTCTGTTGAGTAGAAAATACTACCACCACCACCATTCTAGAAGTCTTTTCTTTTATTGTCCCACCAATGCGAAGATACTTCAAAGTGTTGGTGTTGGGTATAATATCCTTACAGTGGAGTCCTGATAACATAGAGTAACACTAATTATTTACAATCTCTAAAGTGCCATAGAAAAGGTTTCCATTCAAGAAAACTAACCCAAGTATAATCAACTCTGCAATATCAAGAAAAGGGAAAATCCCACTGTTAGAAGTTCTTTTCCTAAGTTGTCTTTTCTTCTTCTTCCTTTTTTTTTTGAGAGCCATGGCAATCTTTTTACACTTGATTTTAGCCAAAAGGCCAAGAAGCAATGAAAGCCATGATAATCTTTTTATGCAATGTTATCAGGTAAAAAATGGCTAAAGTATATTAGCATTTACCCGAGTGGTATTCTTTTATAGAACTCAGCTACTAAAACCAGGGAGAGTACAAAAACAGCTGTTCAGCTGACCTCCAAACCCTGAAGTTCTTAAGCATCCATGCTAATAAGAGAGTGGAGCCCAGCAACTTTAACCTCCCCTGAACTGCAGCAACCAATGCTTGCTTAAATTAAGTAAACTGAGTCCTGATTTTCCTTCTGTTCTGTTCACATGCTCTAGACTAGAAAGATTATCAAGACCTTAAAAGACCAAATTCCAAAAAAGAAAAGAAGGAAACTAGATAACTAATCCTTCAACAAGCAAAGGTTGATTGGTCATATACAAGCAAGCTCAATTACAGGCAGCTTGCCTAGTGGTGACTTCACGTTCAGTTTTCCAGAATTTTTACCTCTAGCTTCTTGTGCACATCCCAATCTTAGCACTTAGTATATTAACTGAAACTGTCTCTGCATCTTTCCCATTGGACAAACTGCACATTTTTCTGGGATGGGGACCTTGCTGATTTAATACCCTACTATGAACGCATTTAATACCCAGTAACATGTACAAGTTCTGGGGCCACCATAGACAGAAAATAAACATCCCTGAGGTGCTATAATAAATAATACAATTGACATTCTGTGGCATTCCTGCAGAGGCAAAAGTCACAAAGTTTTAGTAAGTCTTTATGTGAAGCGATCAAATTTTAATAATAATAAAAATAAATACCAAACTAAAGTATTAGAGGGGCGAAGAACTAGAAGACTTTTCAGCAGAAATAGTCCCGGTTTACCCACATCACTGCAAAGGCAGGAAGAAGGGAGAGAATCTGAAGAGAAAATCTAAAAATGAGAAAGAGAAGCCACAACTGACTACCTTTCCCCTTTAAGAAGAGATACTTTTGAGTTTCTAGTTCATGATATGTAAATAGCTAAAGCATAAAGGAAGCTCCAACTTAAAACATGGTCAGTCACAATCATAGAACAATTAAAAGGGAAGACGATGGGATGAGCAGAAGCATATATGCAGTGAGGCACACTCAGCATCACACACACACACACACACACGAAATTCCATAGTGGAGTAAAGCTAACCGCCCTCTTCCCAGATTCTACCTGCCTGGGAAGGGTTTAGTCTGCCCTTTCACTGATTAAACATAAATATCATTCAGATCCTGACTTTCAGAGTCAGGCTCCTTTTTCAAAGAGGGTTGGCAGGAAATAACCACATGTCTTTATAGAGCCATCATTACACATCCTTTTCTTGTTCATGCAGGGCACTGAGAAAGCACTCAATTTGGATGGGTAGCCCGCATTTCAAATTGATGGGAGCTCAGAGACCAGAATGAGGCTAGTTCAATGGTTCTCCGCCATGGCTGCACATGAGAATCACCTGGGGAGCTTTTGAAACATACGAGTGCAGAGCCTCAACCCAAACCAATTAAATCAGAATTGCTAAGGGTAAGGTCTGGGCATTATTTTGTTTGTTTGTTTGTTGGCTTTTAAAAGCTCCACAAAAAGTTATCATTAATTTTTTTCAGTATGGTAAAAGCAAGTGGTTTTTTTTTTGTTGTTGTTTTGGGTGTTTTGTGTGTTTTTTTTTTTTTTTGGTGTTTACTAGAGATACAAGAAAATTTGCTTTAAAATACTTCATGGGAATAGGTGGTTTTGCTTACAGAAGACTGGCAAAATGTTGATAATTACTGAAGCTGGGTAATGGATACATAGGAGTTGATTACATTAGTCACTCTACTTTTTTTTTTTTTTTTTGAGACGGAGTCTCACTCTGTTGCCCAAGCCGGAGTGCAGTGGCGGGATCTCGGCTCACCGCAACCTCCGCCTCTAGGGTTCAAGCGATTCTCCTGCCTCAGCCTCCCAAGTAGCTGGGATTACAGGCACGTGCCACCACACCTGGCTAATTTTTGTATTATTAGTTGAAACAGGGTTTTGCCATGTTGGCCAGGCTGGTCTCGAACTCCTGACCTCAGGTGATCCACCCACTTTGGCCTCCCAAAGTGCTGGGATTACAGGTATGAGCCACTGTACCTGGCCAGATTTGAAATTTTCTATAATAAAAAGTTATTTTATAGAATCAGCAGAAATAAACCTTTGTTCTCTACCCTCACCAGAAAAATATACAAGTGTATGTGTATAATGTATTTAATATAAAAATATGTTTAAAAATACACAGAAAGCTTTGCAAGTGATTCTAATGTGCAACCAGAGTTGAAAACCACTCGGCTGCCTCACTGAAGGAGGGGCAACTTGATTTGGAAAATAAAGATTTAAGTAAGCAGCAAGAGGCAATCCAGGTGAGAGAGATTCCACTCAGGCTGCGGCAAGATGGAGCCCAGTGAGGGTGGCAGTCCTCCTCTAGTTAGGCACCATCTCCAATTTCTGCCATGCATACATTTGCCTGAATTTTGAGACTCTTCATTCACAAGTAAACTGCAAATACACATACATACACGTTAATACACATGTGTTAATATATACTTACATGTATATTATGTGTATATATATCTGTGTATATGTATTTTAGATAACACTGCCAATGATATTCAGTAGCATGTAATTTTTTTAAAAACACTATTTGTGGAAATGTTGCCTCTGACTAAAATGCTTTGGTCTGTGGAATAGTCATTCAAAGGCCTTCTTCAGGAGTGGGCTGGTGCGGGTGAGGGTTAGGGGTGTGGTCTTTTAACTGGCAAGCTCTACATCTACCTAAGTAATTTATGAGCGATGCTGCTTAGAGGGCGCTGGGTGAATTCTGAAATCAGGTGCTACTAGTGGGAAGAGTCAAAAAGAGCAACCAAGTTTGAACTGCATGAACAGAGAATGCAACAAAGCTCCCCGCATTCCACCTCCCAAATCCCCAACTCACCTATTCTTCTCCATTTCATTGTGAGTTGATCTGAAAGAGGGAACAATAAGAGAAGAATAAGATATTTTTGTCTTAAAGAACTACTTCAACACCAACACAATTCTTTTAACTTCTTTCTCTCCAAAGTTGATAGGAGAGATGTAGAAAGGCAGAAAAATTCACTGGGCTCTACTAAAAAAATTAGTCCATTTGAAGAGTTAGATAAATGTAAATCCTAAAATAGAGTTCAAGGTAAAGCGACAAACCAAGAAGCATGCCTTCTCTAGTGGAAAAATAATCCATTTTAAGACAAGAAATAAAAGGGGTCTATTTATACAAAAACAGCTGCACGATGCAATGTGAATTTGCGTTATATAATACGACAAAGCTTTCTGTAGGCTAAGGGTAGAACAGGGGAGGTAGCACCCCTACCCCACCCCTGCAGTTTTCCCTAGGGGTAGCATACACCAAAATTTTGTGTAAAGTTGCTTGACTATATTGTTTTAAATAGTAAAATAACCCCCTTCCCCAAACTTCTGACTCCCTGAAGTAACTATCATGTACAAGATGCTACTGTTAAATAGCAACCAAATGATTTTAGGAAGGGGTTTCCAAAGTTCAGCTCAATATAAAGATGATAGGTTGCTTAAAGCAGAAGTTAGTGAAATGTGAAGTCCAGCTTTGCCACTGATATACTGTGGAATGAATAAAATTCTTTACCATCCTGTTACTGGTTAACCTGTCTATAAAATGAGAATAAAAATAATTACGAATTATTTACTGAACAAGTATGGACCAATGAGGTAACAGCTGTAAAACTGATTAGAGAGCCTTGGATGAAAGGTGTGATGGATATGAAACCATATGATTAGTGTATTTATGGCTGACCTTAAAGACAAGGTCTGGCCTAAGACTTTATGGACAAGTTACCATAAAGTCATAAGAAGTCAATGTGGCCCCTTTAGTGTCCTCCTCACACAACCCCTTCCTAACCAGTTATAAATTTGGAAGAAGCTACCAGTATTATAAAGGAGCTGAATCTTGCTTGACCTTTCTATGAAAATTCTCTAGAATTTAACCAGCTCAGGAGTTTACTCCCTGGTTCAGCTCATGAATTCTGTGGGGCCATAATCAGCACCTTACTGGGCTTAGGAAATAAATTCTCACAGCAATCATGGAGGAATACCACCTCAAGAGTGCTCAGCCACTCATTTACATCAGGGGCACCAACATCAAGTTCACTCATCAGAGAATGGGGGTAAGGAGAGTGAATGTGGGGGGATGGCAGCGGAAGTGAGGAGGTTGTCTTGAAATGAGAAATTTCCAACCTAGCATTAAACTTCTCTTTCACAGGGATCTTAGGAATCAATTTTTATTCACGAAGAAAAAATAAATGAGAAAATGACAGTATTTTAAGTTTAGAATATTTGTTTTCTAGGTAAACAATATATGGACCTCATGTATTCAAACCAATCCAAAATTGGTTAACTTAAAAGTTTCAGGCTAGGCGCAGTGGTTCACATCTGTAAGCCCAACACTTTGGGAGGCCGAGGCAGGCGGATCATGAGGTCAGGAAATTGAGACCATCCTGGCCAACATGGTGAAACCCTGTCTCTACTAAAATACAAAAATTAGCCGGGCGTGGTGGCGCGTGCCTGTAATCCCAGCTACTCCCTTGAACGAGGGAGTTGGAGGTTGCAGTGAGCTGAGATCGTGCCACTGCACTCCAGCCTAGCGACAGAGGGAGACTCCATCTCAAAAACAAAACAAAACAAAACAAAACAAAACAAAACAAAACAAAACTTTAAAATGGTCAGGCATGGTGGCTCAGACCTGTAATCTCAGCACTTTGGGAGGCTGAGGCAGGAGAATTGCTTGAGCTCAGGAGTTGGAGACCAGTGTGGGCAACACAGCAAGAGCCCATCTCAATTAAAAAGAAATAAAAGCTTTACACTGATTCACTTGGTTATCCCTCAGCATTCTCCAGTCACATTGTTCTGAAGGTTTATTGCCTTCAATGGCCAACAGGATACTATAGTTAACAAGAATCTGGCATATACTGCAAACCTTTGGCTCTAAAGCACGTGGCATTTTAACTTTAACCGGGACTAGTAAGTTCAAAGCCTGACAGATTTTTTTAAATGGATGAAAGTAGATGGGCATAGTGGGATCCCAGCACTTTGGGAGGCTGAGGTGGGTGGATCACTTGAGGTCAGGAGTTCGAGACCAGCCTGGCTAACCTGGCGAAACCCCGTCTTTACTAAAAATACAAAAATTAGCCAGGCATGGTCACATACGCCTGTAATCCCAGCTACTCGGGAGGCTGAGGCAGGAGAATCACTTGAACCCAGGAGGTAGAGGTTGTAGTAAGTCGAGATGGTGCCACTGCATTCTAGCTTAGGCAACAGAGCGAGACTGTCTAAAAATAAATAAATAAATAAAATAAAATGGATGAAAGTATATGCCAACAGTTGGTTGAGATTACCCTCTTTAACTGTAGACAAGGACCACCCCTTGTAGGTGGAGGAGAGGAAAGTGAATAGGTTGAGAAGAGAGTAGAAAATAACAGCACACAGGAAATTCTTACCAAAATATTTCTGGATTCTTTGAAAATATATAAACTAATAAATAGAGTTATATACTTATGCAAAATTCTGAATCCCCAAAATAAACTTTTAAACAAACTCCATAGGAAGCACAACTTCTTCCAAAATTTGAACAAAATTTTTAAAACTACAGATTTTATTTGATTACTCGAGTGTTAAACACATGGTGCTTTTTAAAGGGGGACTTGTACTTAATGGCTAGAGCATTACTGAAGTGCATCTAGTTTACTGAAACTGAGTTATTAATAAAAAGCAGCCCTTTCAAAAATGATCAGTTCCGAGACTGCCAGCCACCTCCATTGATGGGTAAACATTTACGTTTTTAATTAAAGCACTGTAAGAACACACTGATACCTTGTGTCAAAACTATTTTCCATGTGATTATGGAAAACAATGGATAACTCTGGAATCACTGATAAAGGTCAAATTTCACCATTTAAAAATACACTCTAATAAAAAAAAACTAAGCCAAATTACGGCGTATCTGAGATAACCAGGAAAAATTCTTGGGTTCAAAAACACTCCTCATGTCAGGTCACTCTAGCCACTGTCTTATAAAACAACTGGGTGGCAAGTCCTGAACTTCCTCTTTCACGTGAGTGCCAAAGCTTGCTTTACTCATTGAACAAAACACACTTTTAAGAAGTTCTAGATTTCAATTCTAAATAATTAGTAATTGACTTCAAAAATCAGTAGGAAAGAAACTTCCATCTTCCCATATTCCAGCAGTTCTATGGATAATTTCAAAAACAATTGATATTCACAATTTCATTTTCATTTTTGTTGTTTTAATAAGCAACTAGAGAAACGTGAATAAGATCTGCATTTTCAGTTCCCAAGAAGTTTCCTATGTGGCAAAATCTTATCTTTTATTGTCCAAGGAAAAGTACTTCCCTAGACTCTACAAGCAAAAAGCACAGCATTTCAACCTGTAAGAACAAGAATAAACTGTTATCCAAGGGTTATGTAAACCAGCAGTAATCTCTCCCTATCCTTTACCTCAGTTCAAAATTCTGACCATACATGGCTGAGGATATAAAGCCGATTCAAACCATGGGGTCAAGCTGCTTTCTCCATTATGATTGCTTGTTCCTCAGAAAAGGAGCTATTCCAAATGAGTCATGAAGGAAATGATCACACTGAAAGAAAACTGCCTGCTCTTGCCTCACACGTTTGGCTGGTGCTACCTCTAGGTTTAATCATGGTCTCTCAGAAATCCTTACACCACTGAATATATTACACTAACTCACTATCAGTCAGGTGTATGGACAACTGTGATAATCCCGTCTCTAACCATGGAAAGCAAACCAACCCATTAACAGAAGGATTTGTAGCCTTTATTTTTTTTTTTTTGGCATAGTACTGATTATTAAAGAGAAGATACTAGAAAGAATCCATTTCTTGGCTTAAGATTCTTAACTACTATTATTTTTCTTTCCTAATCACCTTTTGGGACCAAGCCACTTCAACATCTCATTTTCTTATCCCCACTAGTGAACATCCCCTACAACCTTCCTGTGAAACTAAGGAAAAAAACAAAGTGTTAAGGTATTAAGCCTCAATAAGTAACTTGGACAATTCCTCTCAAATCATTAGTGGACAATAATAAAAGCAAAAATGGATGATGCTTTTCCAGAAAAATTAACTGAAAGGCCTCAAAATTCTTCTAAACAAAATTAAAAAAATATTGTAACAAAATGCAACACAGCTTAATTGGTTTTACACCATTGCATATTACAAGTCAGTATTAACATCTTTCTTAAAGTGCCTTCATACCCATGCACAAAACTACTGGCTACCACCTTCAGGTAATGCTAAGGTGGGAGGACAAGCAAAACCTACCAGGTAATTACCAGGTTGATCCTTCAAGTGCCATTTTTATTCAAGGGCATGGCACAAGTAATGCTGCTCACATCCTGTGGTTCCACTAACGATACTAAAGAGGTAAACCAAGTACAGAAGACGCAGCAAGAACAAGTGATTTTTAGGTTTAAGTGGGAAATTCCTGGTCTGTATTAAGCCACAGAGGATATCCAAATAGATACTTGCAAGGAGTTATTCATGAGGGTGAGGGAGGGATAAGGATTCTAAACTAGTGACGAAAAGGTCAATGCTTTTAATTTACTGGCAGGAAAGGTATAGTTGAAGGGATCTAATAGAACAAATTTCCTAGCCAACTATATTTTAAGGGCAAAGAAGGGGGGAAACGGGCAGCAACATTGATGGACTATTTGCATGTACCAGAAACTATGCATAGGACTTTAATATGTGATTTAACTGACCATGAACCAAATCTCCAGTGAGATTCACAGCTTTTAAGAACTACGGTATAAGATAATCGATAAGGCTAACATGGAAAAGTTGTAGCATATTAATATTTTGGTATTATATATTCCTCTATCACTAAAGAGGTAGGTTTTAACCTCAATCATTCCTCTTTGCCATTACAAATAGAGATGACAAATTAGAGTATCAAACAAACCACTGTATTTAATTTACATGTCAAGTATGAGATCCTATCACTTATGCCAAGTCAGGTACTTTAATGTGTTTATAAAATCATTACTATGAAAAGTAAAAGAAATGGATAATGTCCAGCATTTTGACTTATAGAAAACTTGCCCTGAATCTGCAACTTCTGAAGGGAAAATACTGTCACCATTGCTAATCTCACTTGAAGCTTCCACAGATTTTTTTGTTCCAAAAGGGAAGAAAAGTGAAATTAAATTTTGAATAAAGTTCATAAAGAAATGTAAAACATTTCTATTTTTCTTTTCAGTTCCCTCAACCCAAACAGAAACAGCTTCCTGCAATGGCTTAAGTCCATGTGTACATTACTGAATCATGACGGCCACAATGTAATTTTATAGGGTTATAATCACAACAGAAAACTTACATTCAGCAGTTTGTGTCACCTACAATATAATCTAAAAGACAGAAAGAAGTATTTACCAAATTACCTGCTACTGCTGTTATTCTTTTTGGATTTGTTCCTCCGTTTTAAGGCATCTCTGTCCTTGTTATTGTATGGTAACATGGAGGCATAACCATGTTCAGCTTCTAGAAAACAGGAGGATCCAGTTAATGAATGGGCCCAGAATATTTAATGCTCTCTCCTCTCTACAGTATTTCCTTTTTCCTTTATTTATCTTTAAAAGAATATTGTGGAAATAATTAAATGGAGTAAGGTGGAATTCTGAGAACAATGATTTAAAAAAAAATTGTGTGAATATCGTCAATTCGGAGCAGGTGTAAGGAGGATTCCAGCTGCTCATTGTTGAGAAAGACACAGTAGTGGCTAGGCTCACGCAGCCTGGGTTTCCCACTGGCTACATCCAGCAGGTTGGTGCGGGTTAAGTGGAACCAGCTCAGGCGAAGGTGCGGGGCAAGCACCGTGAGCCGGGGACCGGGAGGCGCTGCTCCTCTGCCCAGGAGACTGGGGCGCCGGGCCCACCTGGGGGCCGGCCGGGACCAGCCCGGGTGAGGTAAACCAGGGAGGCTATCGGAGGGGGCCCCGGCCACCCACTCGTGAAGGGCTGGGGAAGGGGCGGCGTTCGGGACCCCGGCGGGCGGCAGCCCCTTCTCCACCCCATTCATTGCTTTGGGGCAGCGGCGGCTTCCCTTCGGACCGCGCGTGGGGAGAGCCAGAGGGGTTGGGAGCGCTCGCGGTCTCCCCGCCTCCAACCACCCCCGGAGCGGCTGGGCGCCCGGACCTGAGGCCGGCCCCACAGGACCCCCGGCCTCGTTTCGAGTGGACCCCTCCCCGTCCCCGTGCACCTCTCTCCCGCCGCTCCAGATAGTCGGCCGCCTCCAGCAGCATCTGGATGTTCATCCGAACCGCCGCCGCCATTCTGCACCGGGGGCCGGAGCCACGGGACCAACCCCCACTGCCCACGGGCTCGCTGCCGCCGCCGGACCGCTGTGGAGCCCGCTATGGAGCCCGCTGTGGAGCCCGCTGTGGACCCCGCGGAGCAGGGCTGAGGGAGCCTCTCTGGCAACCACGCTCGACAAGAGAGGGAGGGGGCCAGTGAGCTGGGCACCGCCGACACAGTGACAGAACCCGGAGCAGAGCAGCAGCCGCCACCGCCGCGGAGTGTTTATCCCCGACTCACCATCTCCCCGCCCCCAGCCCCTTCTCTTGACAGGCCAGCTTCGGCCGCGTTCCTCATTGGGCCCCCCAAAGAATGCCCCGCCCCTACACTTGTGCGATTGGGAGAGGGCTTCAGGGCTCCACCCCGCAAAGTCCGCTCCTCTCGCTGGTTGGTCACACTTGACAAGGCCCGGGCTCCACCCCCTCTTTCCAACTGGTGACAGGATTCGCAACTCCGCCTCGTGCTCCTTCCTTGTTTCCCATTGGTTCTATACCAACAACCCGGGCCCCCTTTTGCTTTGTTAGTATTGGCCAAGAGCTGCAGAAGGCAAGCACCTCGCCGGTCTCCCATTGGTGAAGCCTTCGGAAACCTCCCAGCTACGATGATGTCACCTTTCTCCAGGCCAGGCGAGCCCTAAGTGGCTGATGGTCAGCAGCCTGGCTGCTCCTCACCGGGTCTGGCATTGGCTGGGAGGGCCGGTCCGGCGCTGGGCGGCGCTGATTCACCAGCCGCTGCGGAGCTCTGCTCCACCCGGCCTTGCCTCGGACCTGTTGCCAAGACCTGTCCCCGGGGAAAACTTCCGGGGACCTGCCAGGCGTCCATCGAATGGAAGGCTGGCACCTCGTGTCGCCTGGGCGCTCTGCCCCGCTTGGGTTCGGGGCCGGAGCCCTCGGTCTGGTGGCCGCGGCCCTGGAGGTTCTGGGCTTCGCGGAACTCGGGCTGGCGAGGGCCCAGCCTCGAATCCTCCCGAAGAGCGGTGCAGGCTAGTGGCCGGTGAGCCGGGAGCTAGGGCAGGCGCCACGTGGCTGCTGCGGGGCTTGAGAAGAAAAGCCGGCCGTTGTTAAATGCTCGCCGCTCGGCGTTTTTTCTGCCCTCAAGAAAGAGCTGGAATCGGGCTGCAGTATACAGCATTGAGCTCATGCGCCTTTTCCGCACCCCCCTCCACCCCCGGGAAGTGATGGAATAATTAATTACTTTCACGCGAGCGGCTTTTTAAAGCTCAGAGACTTCCTGAACCTACAGAATGGCATTAAACCCTAAGATTCTTTGCTTAAATCTCTTTTGGGGTTTTCCCCTCCCTTTTAATTCTAGATGAAAACACTCACAAGATTATTGTTTTTGTTTGTTTGTTTTGAAAGGGAGTTTTGCTCTTGTCGCCCAGGCTGGAGTGCAATGGCGCGATCTCGGCTCACTGCAACCTCCTTCTCCCGGGTTCAAGCGATTCTCCTGCCTCAACCTTCTGAGTAGCTGGGATTACAGGTGCCCACCACCACGCCCGGCTAATTTTTGTATTTTTAGTAGAGACGGGGTTTCACCATGTTGGCCAGGCTGGTCTCGAACTCTTGACCTCAGGTGATCCACCCACCTCAGCCTCCCAAAGTGCTGGGATTACAGGCGTGAGCCACCGCACCCGGCCAAGAATACTCTTTAAGACGTCTGCAAATTGTGTGTTTCCGCATGGGGTGGTACCAATATAAATGCTTAATAGAATGTTACGTATACAGAACTAAAAAGGTTAAAGATCGGTCCCTAAACCTATTAAAATTTTTGAAATGAAAGCTATCTGGCAAACCAAGCTACACTGCCAATGTACTGACAGACATCTCCAATTTTAAAAGTAGAAATAAAGTTCTTGGTAGGTTGAGTCCCCAAAATACAAATGAGTAAAGCATGAACATATTTCTTTTTTTAAAAGTTTATTATTGTTGCCAATATATAATAGCTTACTATGTGTAGGTATCCTACCTACATTATCTCTAATCCTCAATATAACCCCATGAGGTAGGTTGTGTTAATTACATTTTGCACGTGAAGAAACTGAGGCCCAGGGAGGCTAAATGATTTTCCCTGTCATGCATTCAGCTGCAGACATGGAAACTGAACCTATGTATGTCTCACCCAGAGCCCAAATTACCAATCCTCCTGTTGGTAGTTGTATAAAGACAAGGTGGTTTAAACAGATTTCCAGACTGAGTCACAAAACACTGACAACTCAAGTACTGAAGAAAAAGAAAGACAAAGGTGTAAATGTAATTATGGTGGGAAATATTAAACATGTATTTTTTAATGTCCACAAACCCACTAAAATTAAATCAACTCAATAAATAGAATAAACATGTAGTAAATCATGCCTGACATATAGGCATATTCTGGTTTCAGTGGTTAACTGGATCTAAAAACTGATTCTTTATGAAAATACTAATGAAATACACATACTGAAGGTAAAGGTTTTCAAAGCACAATACAAAGTTGGAAATGAAGGTAGAAATATAACAGTTTTTTTTCTCCATATCAGACAGGTAATGTACTAACGCTGTAACAAGCTCTTTGGGAGGCACATCTCATACATGCAATGGGAACACCTAATTACTATGTTTATGAACTATAAAAGGATCTAAGTTTTAAAAGAGTATTTTTAAATTGGATGTTATTTGTAAAACAAACTTCAAAATCATAAACGAGTGCAATTCTACTAAAGTACCCAAAGTGATAATACTAAAAATGCTTTGATTTCATTATCCTGACATTTTGGATTTTGTATATATTTATATTTTCTCTTTAATTTTATTACAAACATTTGGCATATGTCTTTAGTCTCTTACTCTCAACTCTTTATTTTAACCAAGTCCTATTTCAGTATCATGACCCTTCCTCTACAATCACCCTGACCAGAAAGTCACACTTATTTTTGTCTTAAAAAGGGGGAAAAAAGGTTGAAATCTGAGCCAGAAACAGCAAATAATTTAAATGCCAACAAGTCTAGCTTAGACTCCAAACAAAAATACTACATTATATAAAAATTAGAGAATCAGCTGAAGAATAGACCATGTTCGTTCCTTGGTGGTGGATGAAATTATCAATTAGCCAGCAACACCAACTAGGGATTAGTATAATGAAGACCTTCAAAGGGTGTTTGGTGCCATCTACTGGAAATGAAGTAGTAAGTATAAAACAAAGGTTTTGAGATTCGGAGTTTTCCTAGAAATTATTTTACACAGATGTATGGAATGACCAGTTAATTAAGAAAACCTGAAAGTATAAGTTTTGAAGAAAGAACTGAGAATCCTAAGATAATGAAGAAGTGGTGACTTTCAATACCTAGTGCCTCAAAGGCATGGCCTAAGCATTGACTGACTGAGAGTCACAGCTCCAGAAATAGAAGCTGGGAATTCTAGAATGTTTGAACCAGAATTTTATGACCAGAACTTTAAATAAAAAGTTATGTGTAATAGCATAAACATGGGATGACAATAGTTTATATCTTTGAGCACATATCAAGATAAACTAATTGAGATATATACTTGAAAATGGGGAATTACAAAGACATAAAATATTAGACTTGTCAGATAATCTTTACTGCCAAGTTAATCTCTGCCCAGTCTCCTCTGGGAGGCTTATACTCCAGATGGGCATAGGACAGTATATTAAGAGGTAAATGCCAATACTGAGCAAGCAGCAGGCTCATCACACACTATGGAGTTCTCTGCCGGAGATGCCGCTTCAGAGAGCACCCCAGAGTGGCAGGGAAGAAAACTGTTACCGTATTATAATCCTGAAGTGCCTAAAAAGTTCTATCACTATGGGAATTAAAGCCCCCTATTTATAACTGAGTTTGATACCTCCTAACTACTATGACATTAAAATATATTTTGTCTTATAAGGTTTTGAGGAATTGATTTTGTTCCTCGAAGCAGATAAATCAGGATTTCAAGTTTCTGGTTCAACAGTATCATCTCTTTCTTTGTGGCTATTTTGGACACACTAATATGATACCTAACATCATAATATTAAATTTTAAAAACCTTTAAAAACACTGTTTTGCAAAAATTAGTCACTCTACAAATCTGTGATTTAGAAAATGAGGCAACAGCCAGGGGCCGTGGCTCATGCCTGTAATCTCAACACTTTGGGAGGCTGAAATGGGAGGATCACTTGAGCTCAGGAGTTTGAGACCAGACTGGGCAACATAGTGAGAACTCACCTCTACTCAAAAAATAAATTAGCTGGGTGTGGTGGTGCAGCCTGTAGTCCCAGCTACTTGGGAGGCTGAAGCAAGAGGACTGCTTGAGCCCAGGAAGTTGATGCTCCAGTGAGCATAATTGCACCACACAGCACTCCAGCCAGAGCAGGTAAACAAACAAACAAACAAAAAGGCAATGGCTAAATTGTCATATGTATATCACACAAAACACTATGCAGCAGCTTTTTAAAAGGTAGATTTATATATACTGTCAAGAAAAGATCCCTAAGGCACAGTGTTGAGTAAATAGATTGTAAAATAACCCTTACAGCATTTTCTTTTTAAAGGCCCAAACTATGTATTTTCCCAATTTCCTACTCTGCTATATACATACAGGCATGGACAAAAGATACAAAGCAAAGGATTAGCAGAAAGAATGGGCAATATCATTCTGAGTACTGTTCGAAAGGAGTTTAGCTTTGTCACGATGTTTTAAGACTGTTACAAGAAAGACGCTTGCCACAAATGATATTTCCTAAAAGAAAAAAATGTAATATTTAACTTTTCTTCTGTTGAGGCAAGATAAGTCAACTGCATATATCATAAATAAGATTTTCTTACTTTACAAGAAGGAAGAACTGAGATCCTGTTTTTTGAATGCAAGTTAAATACAAAATAAAGTACTTGGGTAACTAAAGGTAATCAGATGTAAAATGAAGATCAAGGGACTAGGTTAGTGAAAAAAGGTTACAGAACTATATTCACAAATTCAAGACATGGGTTGAGCGTTGCACTCTGTGCCAGCCACTGTGTGGTGCTGGGGCTGCAGAGCTAACCAAAGAGATCCCCCACTTCTCCGAGCTCACTGTCTAATAGAAGAACCAGACGTAATAAAAGAATATAGGGTATGTCAGGCAGTGATAAATGCGGTGAAGACAAGTAAAGGAGGGCTTGGAGAGCCACACGGAGAAACTGGAACCCTCATATATTGTGGATGGGACTGTAAAATAGTGCAGCAGCTTTGAAAGACAGTTTGACAGTGCTTTATGTTTAAGTTAAACATAGTTTCCATGACTTGGTAATTCCACTCCTAAGCATACTCCCAAGAGAACTGAAAACATGTTCATACAAAAACTTGTATACAAATGTTCTGGCACCATTCTTTCTTTCTTTCTTTTTTCTGAGATGGAGTCTCACTCTGTCACCCAGGCTGGAGTGCAATGGTGCAATCTCTGCTTACTGCAACCTCCGCCTCCTGGGTTCAAGCAATTCTCCTGCCTCAGCCTCGCAAGTAGCTGGGATTACAGGCACACGCCACCATGTCTGGCTAATTTTTGTATTTTTAGTAGAGACAGGGTTTCACTATGTTGGCCAGGCTGGTCTTGAACTCCTGACCTCAAGTGATCTGCCCACCTCGGCCTCCCAAAGTGCTGGGATTACTGGCATAAGCCACCACACCCAGCCATGGCACCATTATTTCTTAATAGTCAATAAGTGAAAACAACTCACATGCCCATCAACTGATGAATTATAAACAAAAATGTGGTATAACTATAGAATGGAATATTATTTGCAGACAAAAAAGAATGATGGATGTACTGATACATGCTACAACACAGAGGAACTTTGAAAACATTATGCTAAATGAGAGAAGCCAGACACAAAAGGCTACATGTTGTATTATTCCATTTATATGAAATGTTCAAAATAGGTACATCTGTAGAGACAGGAAGTACATTAGTGGATTCTAGGGGTAGGGGGATGAGGAGTGATTATTAATGGATATGAGGTTTCTTTCTGGGGTTATGAAAACATTCTGGAATTAGGAATGATGGATGCATAACTCTGAGTATATTAAAAACCACTGAATTGTAAGCTTTAGAAGGGTAAATTTTATGGCATATAAATTTTATCTCAACTTTTTAAATGTTAAAAAAAAAAAGAGTAAAGCAGAGTACAGAGACAGGGAAGAAAGTTTCCTATTTTGGATAGGGTGATCAGGAATGACCTTAGTTTGAGCAGAGATCTGAACAATGTAAAGAAGCTACTCGTGCAAATCGGGGAGGTGGGGGAACATTCCAGAAGGAAGAAAGAGCAAGTGAGAAGACTCTGGGAGTAGACACAAGCCTGTTTTGAAAGAACAGCAAGGAGGCCGGCCAGTGTAGCTCAGTGCAGTGAGCAAGAGTGAGGCTGTAGAAAGCCAGGGTCTAGGTCATATGGAGGCCCTGTAGACCACACTGAGGACTGGACTTTATTCTAAATGATTTAAAAAAATCACTGGAGCCAGGAGCAATATGACTAGTTGCACATTTAATTAATTAATTAATTTAGAGACAAAATCTCGCTCTGTTGCCCAGGCTGGAATGTAGTGGTGAGATCTTGGCTCACTGCAGCCTCCGCCTCCAGATTTCAAGCAAAACTCCTGCCCCAGCCACCCGAGTAGCTGGGATTACAGGTGCATGCCACCACGTCCAGCTAATTTTTGAATATTTAGTAGAGATGGAGTTTCACCACATTGGCCAAACTGGTCTCAAACTCCTGACCTCAAGTGATCCGCTGGCCTCAGCCTCACAAAGAGCTGGGATTATAGGCAGGAGCCACTGCGCCCAGCCTTGATGTACATTTCAAAAGGTTCCTCTCTGATACTGGATGGAGAATAAACAGGCAGCAAGAGTGGAAGGAGGAAGACTTGTTAGGAGGCTACTGCAGTAGTCCAGGCAAGAGAGATGGCTTAGGTTAGCACAGGTGGTGAAAAGTGGTCAAATTCAAAATGTACTCTGACGTTAAAGCCAAAATAATCTGCTAATGAATCAGATGTAAGGCATAAAATAAAAGAGTCAAAGATGGCCCCAAGGACCATGGTCTGAGCAAAGGAGTGAATGAAAGGGCCATTTACTATGATGGGAAAGCCCCAAAAAAGAAGACTGGGCAGAGTTCTGTTCAGTTAATCTTAAATTTGAGGTGCCTAATAGTCTAGTTGCATATACATGACTGTAGTTCAGTAAAATGGTCCGACAGGAAGAGTATAAATTTGAGAGAGATGGCAGAAGGTGTTTGAAGCCACACAAATGGACACTTCACCAAAGAAGAGACTAGAGAGTCCAAGGACTGAGCCCTGGAGCACTTAACATTTAGACACTTAGAAAACTTGGCTCAATTTACATCCCCTATGAGGATGAGCCTCTTAGAGGAAGAATACAAGGATGCTGCACTTTGGTTATTCTTCCAGAATTAGATGATCTAATGGATAAAAAGTTCCTTCAAACCAAGACTTTTGGGATCAAAGGTATCTTTTCTCGATTTTTCAAAGATTTCCTCTTCTTCTATTTCTTTAGTGTTAGCTCACAGACAGCAGATCTGTTGACCTACCAGATTCTCTCAGATTATTTATCTGCAAAGTATGCTGCCTTAAGGACTTCAAGTCAAATCTCTAGTAACACAACACCAATAAAATGATAAGGCAGTACTTTGGTTTGGAGTATATTATTTTATCCTAGAAGATTTGGCTTCACTATTAAGACAACAATTAGGTCTGCTTTTCTTAGGTATACACAAAAATAGAAACAGTCCTTATGATGGATTATTTACAGATATATAGTATTTTGGTGGGTAGAGGCATGGGGAACTATTTAGCTCAGCTGGCAAAAAGTCCAAGCAAAACAATCCAAATGCCTAGAGTGGTGACAGTTGTGCAATGGGTACTTCAAAGCTGTACAACATTCAAATACTTAAACATTGAAGGCAGTAGGTAGAATAAACATCAAGAGTTTCTGCCTTTATGCTGAATAGCATTAGCTTTCTCATCTGGGAAATGGGAGATGGTAGTACCTGCTCTATTTATCTCATAAGGATTAAGTGAATCAAGGTGCTCTGCACCCTGTAGCATGCAATGCAGTCATTATCATTATTATTTTCTTTACAGGGAACTAACGTGCCAGGAAAGCTTTCAAAGAACTAAGTAGGCCAGGCATGGAGGCTCGTGCTTGTAATCCCAGCACTTTGGGAGGCTGAGGTGGGTGATCACCTGAGCTCAGGAGTTCGAGACCAGCCTGGCCAACATAGTGAAACCCCATCTCTACTAAAAATACAAAAATTGAGGCTGAGCACGGTGGCTCATGCCTGTAATCCTAGCATTTTGGGAGGCCGAGGCAGGTGGATCATGAGGTCAGGAGATTGAGACCATCCTGGCTAACATGGTGAAACCCCATCTCTACTAAAAATACAAAAAATTAGTCAGGCGTGGTGGTAAGCGCCTGTAGTCCTAGCTACTTGGGAGTCTGAGGCAGGAGAATCACTTGAACCCGGGAGGTGGAGGTTGCAGTAAGCTGAGATTGCGCCACTGCGCTCCAGCCTGGGTGACAGAGCGAGACTCCATCTCAAAAAAAAAAAAAAAAAAAAAATTAGCCAGGCATGGTGGCATGCACCTGTAGTCCCAGCTACTTGGGAGGTTGAGGCAGGAGAATTGCTTAAACCCAGGAGGTGGAGGTTGCAGTGAGCCAAGATAATGCCACTGCACTCCAGCCTGGGCGACAGAGCAAGACTCTGTCTCAAAAAAAAAAAAAAAAAAAAGAACTACAATAGGTGGTCAAATTTCAGATGCAATAGGATTTAAAAATCTAGTTAAAGATTTGTAAAAGGTACATGCAAGGATAACCATTACAGAATTGCTTAAAGTAGCAAAATATTAGAAATAACTTAAAAATAACTTGAATGTCCATCAACAGGGAATTAGTTAAATAAATTATGGTCCATCCTACCATGGATTGACTATAAAGCAGCCCTTAAAAATCTAGAGATAAGGCCAGGCACGGTGGCTCATCCCTGTAATCCCAGCACTTTGGGAGGCCAAGGGGGGGTGGATCATCTGAGGTCAGGAGTTTGAGACCAGCCTGGACAACATGGTGAAACCCTGTCTCTACCAAAAATGCAAAAATTAGCCGGGCGTGGTGGTGCACGCCTGTAATCCCAGCTACCAGGAAGCTGAGGCAGGATAATTGCTTGAGCCCTGGCGGGAGAGGTTGCAGTGGGCCAAAACTGCGCCACTGCCCTCTAGCCTAGGTGACAGAGTGAAACTCTGTCTCAAAAAGGAAAAAAAAAAAAAAAGAAATTAAAAAACTGAGACAATTTTACCGGTACCGATAAGAAACCATCACAAGATGTATAAGATGTATGTGAACAAAGACTAGGTGCAGAACAGTATGAAGAGTTTGCTTCTATCTTTATATACAAGACATATATATATATAGATAGATAGATATAGATATGTTATATATATATATGTATAACATATATACAACCATATATAAATATATGGTTGTATATACGTGGAATATCTCTGAAAGGATATACAATTAATGCATCACTAGATATCCTTTGTATCATCTGAATTGTGTTCCATGTTTGTAGTACTTACTCAGGAAAATAGGTTAAAACCTAGCCACACAGCCTCAACTACCAGCAAAGTCTACAACAGAATGGGTGATGGTTATTATCTTCAATAGAAAAAGAGCGTTCTTCAAATGAAAAAAAGAAAAGCTTGCCAAAAGACAAATATTAATAGATCCAAGATTTAAAATTAGCATGTTACAAAAGAAATATGGCTAATACATTTAAAAAATATTCATCCTCCCTAGAAATGAAACAAAAATACAAAACCAAATAGTACCATTATTTTACCCATCAGGTAGGAAACTTTAAAACAAATTTTACACTTAATATTTGTACATGTATCTGAAACAAGAATGCTCATACTTTACTGGATAGAGTTGGCTGTTACCTTTTAGCCAGAGATACCAAATGTCTTAAAACATGTATACATGGCCCTTTTAATCTCACTCAGCAATGCCACGTCTAAGTACGGACCCTGAGGAAATAATGAAACATACAAAAATATGTATGTAATGGAGACAGATAGTAGTCACAGTTTTAATTATAATGGCAAGTCATGGGAGGCAAGCCAATGTTTACCAATAAAACATTAGTTAATAAATTATGATACAACCAAGTAGTTACTAAAAGCTAAGTTTCCAAAGAATATTTAAAAGTACTTTTTAAATGTTCACAGTACATAGGAGAAAAAAGGGTTAAAGAAAGAACTGCATACATATTCTGATCTCATAGGTGGGATCAACCCAAAGAAGCCTGGAAAAACATATACCAAAATGTTGAAATTGATTATTTCTGGGAGTAGATAACAGGTGATTTTCTGCTTTTCTTTTACTTTTGTTTTCTCTGAGATCTTTTTTTTGCATGTAATGCTTTTATACTTGCGGAGAGAACCATAAATGGTATTTTTTTGGGGGGGGGCGGGCGACCACAGAAGATAGAAAAATCTAGTTATGCTTTTTCATTCTTCCCATTTTTAGACTACTAACAATCAAGATACTTAAATCTATGTGTGAAAAAAAAAAGAAAATGTCTGGGGAGATTCTTTAGTAATAAAAATATTTATCAAATCTAAAAGGGTAGAAATACTGCTTTATTGGATAAACTTACTTCCAAATTACTTTCATGTTTTTTAAGAAGTCCTAATGAGCATTCAGGAAGAAAACATATACTGCTTCCACAGGAATAAGGACAAATAAAATGGGGTTGACGCCTGCCACAAATGATATTTCCTAAAAGAAAAAAATGTAATATTTAACCTTTCTTCTGTTGAGGCAAGGTAAGTTAACTGCATATATCATAAATAAGATTTTCTTACTTTACAAGAAAGGAGAACTGAGATCCTGTTTTTTGAATGCAAGTTAAATACAAAATACAAAATCCACTCTCTGACCAAGATGAGGGGAAAAAAAATCATCCTTCAACACTTCAATTCTCATGCAATGAAATCCAAAGGTCTGTTGAATCCACCTTTTCGATTCATGTACTGCCTATGATGAGAAGAGAAAATTCATTGTTTTTTTTTAATCCTATACTCCTCTTATAAAAAAAAAAACATGCATCAGAGATGAAAACTATAAACCATCTTTATAATAGCAAAGTCTAGGGTAGAAACTATTCAAGGTAATTTAATGTATATTTAGAGATTATTTTACTTTCAAAATAAACCAAAGACTTTCAGATTTCTTTTAACTCCAGATAGCAGTATTGAAGTTTAATTTTGAAATTATTTGAGAAGATTTACAGACTTAAAAAAAAAATCAATTGAAAATCCTTATTTATTTTAGGTAACACGAAACATATAATTTAGAAATAGAAAAGAGTTCCAAAACAGGCACCCATTGAGCAAATTCAATTGCACACTGTAATGATTCTCCCCCTAAGACCTTATTTGAAGGTAATTTTACAAAAGACTGTCCAAGATGATTCTAGTACCTTAGCTTATAGCATTTTCAATCACATGATTCATAATCTAAATTAACTGGACTATTAATCTTTTATCAGCGACAAAGTTAGAGAGAAAGGCAATGTTTGAAAATATCTTGACTTTTTCATTCATTAAGAATTCAGTGAGATTTCATGTATGGATTGGTTCGCTCCAAAACTGTGGTACAAATAAAATATGCCTATACTTAACAGAAGAATATATTTACAGTTGAAATCCTTACATAATCAATCTAGTTTAGGAGGGATCTATCTTATACCTAAATTATAATGAAATCAAAGCCCATAGACTTGAAATTATGCTTTTCTGAGGAAATTACTATCTATAGTCCTAAAATATTTAAGCCAACTACCCTCTCTCTAATAGCTATTAGCTTACATGTAAATGGGAAAACAATTTTAACACACCAGAATATAAGCAATGAATATTTCATTCAAACAAGGAACAGTATGGAAAACTGCTACATTTCCTACAAACATGATTATCTCATAATAAAGTTTGAAGTAAAAAACTGATTTATTAGTTCAAACATAATAATGGGGGCTATGCATACCTGTACTTCCTCTTCTGAGAGACATTTATGGCATAGGCATTTACAGAGCCATCCACCTTCTTACCCTGAAGAAAAACAATAAACAAACAGACAAAAAACAGGAAGGATACATTAAATCAGGATACATGAAAGCAGGTGTGGTGGCAGTGGCATGTACCTGTACTCCCAGCTACTTGGCGGAAGGCTAAGGTGGGAGGATTGCTTGAGCCCAGGAGTTTGGGACTGCAAGTAGCCATAATCACACCAATGCACTCCAGCCTGGGCAACTGAGCATGATCCAGTCTCAAAAAAAAAAAAAAAAAAAAAAGAAGAAGAAGAAAGGAGGAGAAAGGAAGAAGGAGGAAGGAAGAGGGAAGTAGGGGAGAAGCGGGGGCCGAGGGGGAGGAGGAGAAGGAGAAGCAGCAGAAGAAGCGGCAGCGGCAGCAGCGGAAGGGGAAGAAGCAGAAGAAAAGCAGAAGAAGAAAAGAAGCAGAAGCAGCAGTAGCAGAATAAACAGAAGCAGCAGCAGCAGAAGAAACTGAAACAGCAGCAGCAGAAGCAGAAGAAGAAGCAAGAGCAGCAGAAGGAGCAGCAGAAGGAGCAGCAGAAGAAGCAGAAGCAAAAGAAGCAAGAGCAGCAGCAGCACAAGCAGCAGAAGAAGCAGAAACACAAGCAGCAGAAGCAGAAGAAGCAAAAGCAGCAGAAGGAGCAGCAGAAGCAGCAGAAGCAGAAGCAGAAGCTAGAGCAGCAGCAGCACAAGCAGCAGCAGCAGCAGAGGAAACAGAAACAGCAGCAGCAGAAGCCGAAGAAGAAGCAAGAGCAGCAGAAGGAGCAGCAGAAGAAGCAGACGCAGAAGCAGAACCAGAAGAAGCAGGAGCAGCAGCAGGAGAAGCAGCACAAACAGAAGCAGCAGCAAGAGCAGCAGCAGCAGCAGCGGAAGTAGAGGAAGGAGGAGGAGGAGGAAGAAGGAGGAGGAAGGAGGAAGGAGGAGGAGGAAGGAGAAGAAAGAAGGAAGGAGGAAGGAGAAGAAAGAAGGGAGGAGGAAGGAGGGAGGAGGAAGGAGGAAGGAGGAAGGAGGAGAGTCCAATGAGGCAGAGATAATTTCCAGATCCTATGAGCTCCCAAGTGGTATAACTCTCTGCTCACATTTTTACAATCGTGTATAAGCAATTAATATTCAAACCAACAAACATTCACAGTGTATGTACTATGTGCAAAGCATGCTGAGAAAGTAGGGTAGCAGAATCTAATCTTTTCTGGTCAAAGAATACCTTGAAACCAGATAAAAGGTATAATCTCCAGAAAAACTCACATTCACACAAAATTTAACTTACAACCTTAGCTAATAATATTCTCATATCATGGCTGGAATGGTTGCCATTCATCTAAATCCCATTTCTTGTACAACCCTTGCAATTTTTTGTTCATTTTAAAAATTATTATTTTTTAGACACAGGGCCTCACTGTCGCCAGGTTGGAGTGCAGTGGCGTGATCATAGCTCACTGCAGCCTCAAACTCCTGGGCTCAAGTGATCTTCCTGCCTCAGCCTCCCGAGTAGCTGGGACTACAGGCACATGCCACCAAGCTGGGCTAATTTTTAATTTTTTTTTTCTGTAGAGATGGGATCTCACTATGTTGCCCAGGCTGGTCTTGAACTCCTGGTCTCAAGCAATTCTGCTGTGTTGGTCTTCCAAAGTGCTGGAATCCCAGGCATGAGCCGTTGTGCCCAGCCCAATTTTGATCTTTAAATCAAGAATCAGAACAGAATAACAGACACAAATGCTAGGTTGTTATGTGTTACTCCATCTTGACCTTTCTGAATGTAGCACCCATCCTCTTTTTCACAAATTCTTGTTCAGGTCTTCTGATCAGCCAAGTCAACTCAACATACCCACTTTCCCCCATGTTGTTCCTCATGCCTGAATTGCCTTCCCTGCCTCCAACTTGAACTATCTGGTTATTACCCATTGTTCAAGGCCCAATTCAAACATTCCAGGTGCCAGGAAGTGCCCTCTTCTCTAACTGCTGAAAAATGTTAACTGTGCCTTCCTCACAGTACCCTCTATTTCTTTCTTTCTTTCTTTTTTTTTTTTGAAATGGAGACTTGCTCTGCCACTAGGCTAGAGTGCAGTGGCGCAATCTCGGCTCACTGCAACCTCCGCCTGTCGGGTTTAAGTGATTCTCCTGCCTCAGCCTATCGAATAGCTGGGACTACAGGCATGCACCACTACGCCCAGCTAATTTTTGTATTTTTAGTAGACATGGGGTTTCATCATGTTGGCCAGGATGGTCTTGACCTCTTGACCTCGTGATCCCCCGCCTCGGCCTCCCAAAGTGCTGGGATTACAGGCATGAGCCACTGCACCCAGCCCAGTACCCTCTATTTTCTACCCTATAAAACCATGATGTACATCATAAAGTTATTTTCCCTATGAGACTGCAAGCTTCTTGATGGAGGGATATGTCTGAGAGTCACCTTTGCATTCTCACATCCTAGGTCACTGCACTCCCAGATATTCAGAAAATGACTTAGATGAGTATCATCAGCTAACGTCGTGACACATACAAGTGACCCCCACCTCCTCCCTCTCCCATTACTACTTATGCAAGATTAGCCTATCTGTGTAGTGTACTTAATTAGATATTGGTGTCAGGGCAAAGACCGATTCTGACCCACTGGCCAAAAGGCATACACAGACGAACAGTATATTTGAAGTGGGGCTAAAATAAATGTATTTGGTCTTACTTTTCTATTCCTATTTTCATGTATTTTTTTGGAGGTGGAAGGTAAGTCCTGAACAAATTACTTGTGAGGTATATGATTTTGAACTCCCTATAATAGGAAGTAAGCATGACTTAGAAAGACTGGTCTTGGGCACAAAAAAGTAAATGATGATAACCTTTTTACAAAGTTCGATTCCTAAAGGTTTACTGATTTCTGGAAACTATTTGCAGAATTGCATATTATTAGCCCTATCCTCATTTATTTACATGCTGGCATAGAAAATTATCCATTAATAAACAAAACCAAACTTTGAAACCATCTAGAAAAATGTTATTGAAGTAATTGCAGTTTTAGCCATTATTTTCAATGGCAAAAACTGTAATTACTTTTCCACCAATCTAATAAGATGAAAGGGAAAAGCCAAGCACATTGCTGTGAGGCTACAGTCCCAGCTACTTGGGAGGCTGGGGCAAGAGGATTTCTTGAGCCAAGGAGTTTGAGTACAGCCTGGACAACATAGGAAGACTCTGTCTCTTCAAAAATAAAAAAAAAAAAATGGACTGAGGCAGGAGGATTTCTTGAGGCCATGAGTTCAAGACCAATCTAGGCAGCACAGCAAGACCCTATCTCTGCAAAAAATAAAAACATTATCCTGGCGTGGCGGCATGTGCCTACTCTCAGCTACTCCAGAGGCTAAGGCAGGGAAATTGCTTCAGCCCAGGAGGTCAGGCTGCAGTGAGCCATGATCATACCACTGTACTCCAGTATGGGTGGCAAAACAAGACCCTGTCTCTAAAAAACTAAAAAATGAGGCCGGGCGCAATGTCTCACGCCTGTAATCCTAGCACTTTGGGAGGCCAAGGCAGGTGGATCCCTTCAGGCCAAGAGTTCGAGACCAGCCTGGCCAATATGGCGAAACCCCATCTCTACTAAAAATACGAAAATTAGCCAGGCGTGGTGGCAGGCGCCTGTAATCCCAGCAACTTGGGAGGCCAAGGCAGGAGAATCGGTTGAACCCAGGAGGCGGAGGTAGCAGTGAGCCGAGATTGCGCCGCTGCACTCCAGCCTGGACAACAGAGCGAGACTCTGTCTCGAAAAAATAAAATTAAAATAAAAAATAATACAAATAAAAAAATGAAAATACAATCAAATAGAAAGGAAAATGGGTGACTATACTGGCATATGAAGAGGTCCCACAATAGATCAATGATGAAACATCACAAGACACACATTACTTAAAAACACAAATGAGCTGACGTTATAACTGATAGCCATGAAGCCAACTGCATATAAACTAAATTGACATCCTTGTAGATGTCATTTTAAAAAACTGACATCAATTAGTGTGATGGTACTCCATAATTTTTTTAAGATCTATGACTTTTCACCTAAGTTTTCCTTTATAAGCAAACATCTTCTTCACTGACTACATTTAAGTGATGGGTGGCACCACCCTTAGATCTGACTTTCAGGAACTTTAAACCTAACATCCAGCAACAGGAAAACCAAAAAACAAAGAAAATAATTCCATTTTCTTTGGGGAAAAAGTTCCCTCCCCATTCTTCTAAAGACAATAAAACTATAGTTGCTTTACTTTTGACATATTTTAATTCACCCAACATATATCTTAATAAACTTACATTTCACCCAACATATATCTTAATAAACTTTCATTTATAAAATAGTCTTTGGAAAATAAATAAGAATTTAGGGCATTCAAGGGAAAAAAGCTGATAAATAAACTTCATTAAATTCCAAAACAGAGCTCACATAACCATTGCAAGAACAAGAGCTTGTTCTTAATTTCTCACCTCAAAACAGTCATGCCTCAGTACTCCTAAGTTACACACTGTCATTTTAAAACATGTGAGCCCTACACAGTCACATTAGTTAGAAAGAAACTTACAGCCACTGAGATTACCCCATTCCATTAGCAACTCAATGGAATACAAGACTTGGGAAAGTGGATTATTTTTGACAACTTTTTCTCAAACATCTCTATTTCCATTTGCAAAACTAAATGGAAAGACTTAAAATTCTAGAAAAGAGATTTTAAAAAATATGTTTTTCTTTCCACACACCCTCCCTCTCTCCATCCCCTCTCCTCTCTTCATTTCCTCTCTCTATACCCATCTCTCTCTTCCCCCATCTCTCGCTCTATGCTCTCCCTCCTCTATATAATCCCTCCCTCTTTTTCCTCTTCCCTCATCTCTCTGCTATTATGAAGGCTAGACAGCATTCCCTCCCCTATCCACCCCACTTCTAAGCTATGAGACAAGTATGCAGCTGCCCAATGTCATCTCTATCTGGCAGCTGGATTTTGTTCTTCCATTTCCCAGCAGTTCCCCTTCCAGAAACTCTGTTCTGGGTTAACTGTATCACTCAGGGTCCCAGCCTGACACCTGAGAGGCATTACTAACTACTCACTCCCACTTCCCCCAGCTCCTGAATCATTCTCAACTCAGTTCAGGCCTTTATCATCTTTCACTTGCACAAATCAGCAGTTCTCCCTGCCTTCAATCTAACCCACCTCCCATCTGTCCTCCATGCTGCCCCCAGAGTCATTATTCCAAAACACACATATAACCATGCCACTCCCTTATTTAAAAATCACTACTTCCTCTCCTCAACACCAAAAGAATAAACTCTGAATTCCTTAGCATGACTAAGGGCATCAAAAGCCCTCTGTGATTTGCCTCCTACCTCTATTTCTAGCCTAAGTCACTAGCCCATCAGCACCCCTTTATCCCTGGTCGAATCTGAAATTCCCACAATACACTATGCTCCTTTACACCTACATGGCATTTTCATGAGCTCTTCCCTCTACCTGAAATAATCTTCTTCCTCTTCTTTGTCTGATCACTTCTACTTGTCCTTTAAAATCTAATTCAAACATCGTCCCTGGCAACCACTCCCTGAATTCCAATGGCAGTTCACTGTTTCCTCCTTTGTATTCTCAAAGCCCTTCAAACAGATAGTTATTGTCTTATAACCAAATAAATTTGTATAAATGGAAAAGAACATGGAAAGATAGGACAGTCATAACATATTAATTCAAATGAGAATGTTGCACGTTTTACTTACTTTTGTGGAGTCAAAGGAGGCAAATCCCATTAACTTCATCATTTCTATTTCTTCCTCTGTTTTGCCCTCTAAGTCTTCCTCTGCAAAAAAGAATAATTTTGTGACCTCTCTATCATTTCAAATATATACATAAATAAAAAGAGAGGTGGTAACAGATTAATAGTCATTCCACCTCACTAGCAGAGAACACACAAAACAATTAGCTGAAGATGAGTCTAATGAAAAAATTCCTCTTACATTTGGACAGAATGTAACTTATGGTACAAAAAAAAAGTCCTCTCCTTGAAGCCTTTAGACAGGATTACCTTTTAAAAAAAAACCTGGGTTTCATATTAAGGACTACCTTTAATATCAGGCATGACACTATATAGTTCTGAAGACACTTCCAAAATAGAATATTCTCATGTTTTTAACTATCGTTCTATATCAGGAGCACCATAGATAACCAGCAACTTGCTAGGGTGCAATTAAAACAAAATCTCAGGCTGGGCACGGTGGTTCACGTCTATAATCCCAGCACTTTGGGAGGCCGAGGCGGGAGGATCACCTGAGGTCAGGAGTTTGAGACCAGCCTGGCTAACATGGTGAGAACCCGTCTCTACTAAAAATACAAAAATTAGCCGGGCATAGTGGCGGGTGCCTGTAATCCCAACTACTCTGGGACGCTGAGGCACAAGAATTGCTTAAACCCAGGAGGCGGAGGTTGCAGTGAGCCAAGATTGTGCCATTGCACTCCAGTCTGAGTGACAAGAATGAAACTCTATCTCAAAAAAAAAAAAACCAAAAAAAACTCAAAACCATATGCAATGAATACTATAAAAGGCTTAACATTTAAATGTTCAAGATTAAACTTTTATAATTTTATCATCACTGTACTTTTCCTACAGTTATTTATCTAATAACATTACCAGTAATCTGCCGTTCTTTGCTCTTTGTTTCTTTTGTTTCTTTCTTTTCCTCATCTCTTCTTTCTTTCAGTCGAGAAGGGGAAGGAGATGTGGATCTATGTCGTCTTGGAGATCTAATATTTATAAGCAAAGATGTTAGAAACAGACAGACATATCAACTTTGTATCAATCAGCACAGATATACATGAGGTGAGCTCCACAGAACCACGAGTCATTCCGTATAGCAAAGTGAGGAAAAAGGTTCTGCCAAGGCCTTGATTGTTAACAAAAAAATTTTTTAATGTAGTTTACTGCTTAATCATCAGTTGCATTCAGTACAACTAGGGCTAGAAAGCTTTCTGGAAGGCAGAAAAATGTAAATTAAAAGTTTCTAACAACCACACACAAATATACAAAAAAGCTGACTTAAACAGCAATTGATGGTTATTAAGACTCAGAGCCAGGTGGGGCTTGGTGGCTCACGCTACTAATTCCAGCACTTTGGAAAGCAGAGGCAGGAGGATTGCTTGAGCCTAGGAATTCAAGACCAGCCTGGGCAACACAGGGAGACCCTCTCTCTCAAAAAAAAAAAAAACAAACCAAAAAAAAGACTCAGAGCCCATTTCTAATGTTCTTCCAAGATCATCCATTCTTGATTACATACTTGAATAAATCATTATCACCAAAAAGTTAATAAAAAAGAAACAACAGGCCGGGTGCAGTGGCTCACGCCTGTAATCCCAGCACTTTGGGAGGCCGAGGTGGGTGGATCACGAGGTCAGGAGATCAAGACCATCCTGGCTAACACGTTGAAACCCCGTCTCTACTAAAAATACAAAAAAAATTAGCTGGGTGTGGTGGCATGTGCCTGTAGTCCCAGCTACTTGGGAGGCTCAGCAGCAGAATTGCTTGAACCAGGGGAGGCAGAGATTGCAGGGGAGGCGGAGGTTGCAGTGAGCAGATTGCGCCGCTGCACTCCAGCCTGGGTGACAGAGCGAGACTCCGTCTCAAAAAAGAGGAAAAGAAAGGAAAAGGAAAAGAAAAGGAAAGGAAAGGAACGGAAGAAAGAAACAAAAATATAAAATACTTATTTCTTTTTCTTGCCAAGCACCATGCTCTGGGGTTTGCATGCATTATTTCTTACTTACTCTTTCAAGACAACTTTGTGATGTAGAGTACTATTAGCACCATTTAACCAAGGTGAATGTTAGCTTTAGAATAAGGTTGGATTAAGTTTCCTCCATTTCAGGAAACCGTAAATCCCCTTATAAGCGATGAAAACAAAGTTAAGAGCTGCGACCAGTTTCTTAGGGACTTTCGGTAAATAAAACTCTTGGCTTATTTTCTGCCCTTACCGGGAGCGTCTTCGGTGCGGGGATCGCGAGCGGCTCCTTCTCCGATCTCTCTCCCGAGACCTGGACCTTTCTCGGCGCCTGCGTTCTCTCTCCCGGGATGTGGACCGGGAACGCCTACGTTCTAATGCAAACGCACACAAATTGCAGAACTGATAATTACCTCAAATATCTAGAGCTGCGCCGTCCAGTAGAAAAATAATGCAAACCATTACTAGTCACATTAAAAAGGTAAAAAGAGGCTGGGAGCGGTGGCTCACGCCTGTAATCCCAGCACTTTGTGAGGCTGGCGGGCGGATCACAAGGTCAGGAGTTCGAGACCAGCCTGGCCAACGCGGCGAAACCCCGTCTCTAATAAAAATACAAAAATTAGCCAGGCGTGGTGGCACGGACGGGTAATCCCAGCTACTCGGAAGGCTGAGGCATGAGAATCGCTTGAACCCAGGAGGTGGAGGTTGCAGTGAGCTGAGATCGGCCACTGCACTCCAGCCTGGGCGGGCGACAGAGCGAGACTCTGTCTCATTAAAAATAAATAAATTGATTTAAAAAAAAAACGAATCAGGGGCAGAACCGAGGGTCTAAGTTAGATCTCCTAATGGAAGTCCAGGGTTCTTTACGTCGCGCTGCCTCATTTATGGGGCTGGTAGCCAGAAAACATTACGAAGTGAGCTCCCAGGACTCAAAATTCTTAATATCGATTTCCCTGTAATGACCTGGGCAGGAATCTAACATTTATTAAGTATTTAAGAACCAGGCAGAATCACATACTGTATGTTATGGGATGTGACATTAATTCTCACATCAGTTTTTAAAAGTTGGCAATACTACCCTCAATGACTCATTCTGGGAATTCGATTCAGAAAGGCTGAGTAGTGACTTGCCCACCGTCGCCCAGAAATTCAGCAAAGGAACTGAGGTCTAATTCTAAACCCACCGGCCACAGTGTAATAAAAGTTATTGTATGAAGGTGACAAAGACTTAATGAAACTAATTCAGAGACAAACAACTGCCTTCAAACCGGAGAGGGCGGGCTGAAGAGGGCAGGGCCCAGGTCTACGTTCCTTTATCCACCCCTCGCTCTCCGCCTGGGAAAAGGGCCCGCCTCTCTGCTACGCGGCTACCAAAAACAAAACAAAATAAAACAAAAGGGACAGGCCTCCAACAGAGCCCCATATCCTCCGAATTGCTACAGGACTCACCCCTCCGTGGAGAGCGGCTGCGACTGCGACCCATTTGGAGTCCCGCTTCCCGGAAACAACTGTGCAACAACTTCCGGGAGGGCCGGGAACCGAGCTTTTACCGCCGACCAGAAAACGTCAAAACGAGTTGCGAGGGTTCCGGTCTTCTTTGTTCACGGTGGGCATTAAAACATGCGATTTGGTGTTATTATAGAAATTCCTGGAAAATTCAGCCGTATACCCATTATCCTAACACAGCTTTCATTTTTCCCCCATTTTTGTCCACATGCACAAAATAGAGCAAACCAATTGTAAACATAGCATAGACAAACAGCTTATGTTCTTCCACTTTTCCACATAACATTCATAAGGAGTGAATATACCAAAGTTCACTGTCCATCTGCTTTATATTTTCTCATGCCAGCATTGAGAAGGCACCCAAAACCTCCTATGGGCTCTTGGAAGGAAAACTAAAGGCCCCAGATTCCATCCTACCCGACAAAGTACTTCCCCAAAGTTGCCTCTGTCCTCAGGGAAAACAACAACAACAACAACAAAAACTTTAGAATGTTCAAAACTACAAAAATTAGGAGAAAGACTGTCTTGCCCCAAGGCTGAACCGTCTGTGGTAGAGCATAAATATGCTTACCAGGAAAGACTCAAACCTCTATTTCTTATTTTATTTTATTTTGTTCCAGGGTACATTTGCAGGATGTGCAGTTTTGTTACATAGGTAAATGTGTGCCATGGTGGTTCGCTACACCTATCAACCCATTAAGCCTTGCATCTATTAAGCTATTCTTCCCAATGCTCTCCCTCTCCCCAGCTCCTCCCCCTACAGGCCCCAGTGTGTGTTGTTCCTCTCCCTGTGCCCATGTGTTCTCATTGTTCAGCTCCTACTTATAAGTGAGAACATGCAATGTTTGGTTTTCTGTTTCTGTGTTAGTTTGCTGAAGATAATGGCTTCTAGTTCCATCCATGTCCCTGCAAAGGACATTATCTCGTTCCTTTTTATGGCTGTGTAGTATTCCATGGTGTATACGTACCACATTTTTTTAATCCAGTCTATCATTGATGGGCATTTGGGTTGATTCTATGTCTTCGCTATTGTGAATAGTACTGCAGTGAACATATGCGTGCAAGTATCTTCGTAATAAAATTATTTATATTCCTTTGGGTATATACCCAGTAATGGGATTGCTGGGTCAAATGGTATTTCTGGTTTTAGGTCTTTGAGGAAACACCACATTGTCTTCCACAATGGTTGAGCTAATTTACATTCCCACCAACAGTGTAAAAGTGTTGAACCTCTGTTTCTAATCAAACCAACTCTTTTCAGTCAGCTCTCTCTAGAATTATCAAGTCTAGTGACCTGGCTTTTAAAATACAAAGAGCTGGGGGATGGAAAGGGACTTTATTAGGTTGGAAAAAATGCCCACCAATCACATAAATTTTTAATTAGATTTATACATTCAGAGTGGCCTGTTTAATACCTGTCCCAACCCAAACTTCCAGGAAAGATCCAGCCATGACATCTAGGATTTCTACCAACAGCCCCAACCCCCAGATGCCTTTGGAATTACCCTGGCAAAGCATGCACTAGGTGTAGAATGGGGAGGTTCAAGGGAGGTGCAGACCCCAGGGAAGAAGATTTAGGGACATCATTGGAGAAACACACCACTAATGATAGCCAGGCGTGGTGACGCATGCTTGTAATCCCAGCTACTTGGGAGGCTGAGGCAGGAGAATTGCTTGAACCTGGGAGGTTGAGGTTGCAGTGAGCTGAGACTGCGCCACTGCACTCCAGCCTGGGCGACAGAGTGGGACTCCGTCTCAAACAAAAAAAAAAAAAAAGAAAGAAGAAGCACACCACTAATGATTGAAGAAATTATCCACAGGAAAGACAGGATTTATGGGAAGCCTAAGGGGGTATGTACTAGATGTGTAAGAGAGGAAGAACATGGTGGCCTCAGGTGGTGGCTGAAAATACTCTTTCTTTCTCTTTCTCTTTCTCCTTCTCCCCTCAGGGCTGGGGTCTCATCTGATGAAAATGCTTTTTAAGAAACCCCTCACCCGGCGCGGTGGCTCACGCCTGTAATCCCAGCACTTTGGGAGGCCGAGGCGGGCGGATCACGAGGTCAGGAGATCGAGACTACAGTGAAACACCGTCTCTACTAAAAATACAAAAAATTAGCCGGAGGTGGTGGCGGGTGCTTGTAGTCCCAGCTACTCGGGAGGCTGAGACAGGAAAATAGTGTGAACCTGGGAGGTGGAGCTTGCAGTGAGCCGAGATCGCGCCACTGCACTCCAGCTGGGCGGTAGAGTGAGACTCCGTCTCAAAAAAAAAAAAAAAAAAAAAAAAAAAAAGAAACCCCTCTAGGACTAAAAATGATTGGAAGGTATGCTGGGGATCAGTTGAATACACAAAGATTTTTTGAATGCATGCGATGCACAGGACACTATACCCCTTTGGCACTAGATTGAAAAGATGAGTAAGACATGGTCCCTGCCTCAAGGAGCTTGCACTCTAGCTGTGGAGGCAGACAGAGGAAGACACCTCTTCACTGTAATGTGGTAATATAAAATATGCACAGTGTGCTAAGGTGACATGAAAGAAGGCTATTCAGCCTAATTTGTCCAAGAGGGTTTCCTGGAATAATAATAATAGCTAATACATACTGTGCTAACTAAATGCCAGGCACTGTTATAAAAATGTTTATGTACACACACATTCACACACAATTAGTTGAGCTGTGAGACTGAAAAGAATACATTGTCCAAGCGAAGAGTAGGAGTAGCAGCAATAGCAAAGGCACAGAGATGTGTCACATTATGACATACACAAGCACTGAAAGAGGTTTGATATTATCATCACTTTGAGTTCACCATGGCAGACCTTACCAAGTACCTGGGACTTTATCCTTACAGTTATGGCTGGCCACTGGAGCATTTCAGGCTGGGAGTGACCTGACCAGATTTGCATTTTAGATGATTCATCTGGATGCCAGATCTAAAGACCTGAGCCAGAAAGAACAAGTGGAGGGAATGAGGGGTTGTACTAAGGCAATGATAGAAGAGAATGAGAAAGAACAGAATCAGGAGACATTTGAGGAATAGCATGGCAGGTATTGGAGGCTAGTTAGATCCAGGCAGTGGGAAGAGAGAGAAGAAACGACTTCCAGGCAGGGCCAGCTTTATAGGCATGTGACCTGTGTAGTCACACAGGGTCCTGGGCATAGAAGGGCTTAATACTCAGCTTTTGCTACTCTTGAAATTCCTACTAATCTTTGAACAAGAGGTTCTGCAATTTCCATTTTGCACTGGGCCTAGTAAAAAGTGTATCTCATAGTGATGCCTACTGAAGTGAGAAAGTCACAATTTGTCAGTTTACTGCTTAACTGAGACACGATGGTGAGTCCATGTGGGAGACAGTGGAGAAGGCAGTAAAAGGGAGATCCCTTTTTTATGTGAGAGCCCCTCTGTCAGTGATTAGTATGGACCCTTCCCTGCCCCTAGATCCCGCCATATCCATTCAGGGGAATTCCTTTTGTACACGTTTGCTCCACAGCATGAGGACCTAGTTACACTTTTGCTTTTGATGACAGGGAGAACATGAATTTCATTTTAGAAGATTATTAAGTGTGAGGGACTTGAGGAACATCCAGATAGATATATTTTTGGTAGGCATCTGACCAGCTACAGACTGAGTCTGATAATTAGGGAAGCAATCTGGGCTAAAGATAGAGATGGTGGGGTGGGCACGGTGGGTTATGCCTGTAATCCTAGCACTTTGGGAGGCTGAGGTGGGCGGATCATGAGGTAAGGAGATCAAGACCATTCTGACTAACACGGTGAAACCCCGTCTCTACTGAAAATACAAAAATTAGCCGGGCGTGATGGCAGGAGCCTGTAGTCCCAGCTACTCGGGGGGCTGAGGCAGGAGAATGGCGTGAACCCGGGAGGCGGAGCTTGCACCAGTGAGCCAAGATTGCGCCGTGGCATTCCAGCCTGGGCAGCAGAGCGAGACTCCATCTTAAAAAAAAAAAAAAAAAAAAAAAAAAAGATACAGATGGGGGAGTGATGCATTACAGGAGTCCATGAAATTGTCCCAGTGAGAAAAGTGTGCTAGATGAGCCAAGGATGGCCCCCATGTGGGGTTAAACAGACAAGAAAAGGCCCAAAGAAGCCAAGATGCAATTGTCAGGTAGCAAAACAAGAGTACAGAACAATGTGCTAGAATTCAGAGGGGTGGAGTTTTGAGAAAGAATGAGAATGTTCAGTGTAGCAAGCTGAATAATGGCCACCCAAAGATAGCTGGTTCTTTCCTCTGGAATCTGTGACTATTACCTTCTGTGGGAAAATGTTTACAGATGTGATTAAGAATATTGAGATAGGGAGATTATCCTTGATTATCCAGATAAACCCTAAATGCCATCACTAATGTCCTTATAAGGGACAGGCAGAGGGATGTTTGATACATACATGAGAGAAGGAGGCAATGTAACCACACAGGCAGAGATTGGATGGTGCAGCCACAAGCCAAGGTCTGCTGGCAGATTCTTCTCTAGAAACTCTGAAGGGAGCACATCCCTACTACACTTTGGGTTTGGCCCAGTAAAACTGGTTTTGGACTTCTGGCCTCTAGAATGGTAAGAGATGCTCTTGTTTGAAGCCATCAGGTCTGTGGTAATTGGTTGCATCAGCCTCAGGAAACTAATACCATCAGCTATGTCAAATGCAGCAGGGAATCCTTTAAAACAGGGGTCCCTAATTCCCAGGTCATGGACCAGTATGGGTCTGTGGCCTGTTAGGAACCGGGCCACATGGCAGGAGGTAAGCAGCTGGTGAGCCAGCATTACTTCCTGAGCTCTGCCTCCTGTCAGATCAGCAAGGCACTAGATTCTCATAGGAGCGCAAACCCTACTGTGAATTGTACATGCGAGGGATCTAGGTTGCATGCTCCTTATGAGAATCTAACTAATACCTGATGATCTGAGGTCAACAGTTTCATCCCGAAACCATCCCCTGCCCCCATCCTGTGGAAAAATTGTCTCCCACAAAACTGGTCCCTGGTGCCAAAAAGGCTGGGGACTTCTGCTTTAAAATAAGAACTGAAAACTGTCCACTGGATTTAGCTTTATAGAGGCCATTGGTGAACTTGCTGAAAGTTGTTTTTGGGGAGAGTAGGTAAGACAAATTACAAAGAATTACATTCATCTTTCCTGCTCCCAAAATCCATACCAGCATGGGACATTAGGGAAGATGCCATCAGCAGAGCAGAAGCTGAGGAATTTCCCAACCAGAAAAATCATACCTAAGACAGTGGCAACTCAACACAGCGAAAGAAGTGATGACTGAAAAGGTGAACAGATCTCTCTTTGTAGTCACATTCATCCACCTCTCCTTCACCACCCCAGGCCTGCGGCAACCACTAACATTTTTTCTACCTCTGTAGCTTTCCATTTTAAGAATGTTATATACATGGAATCATGTGATACATGACCTTTTTTTTTCTTTTGAGACAGAGTCCTGCTCTGTCGCCCAGGTTCAAGCGATTCTCCTGCCTCAGCCTCCCCAGTAGCTGGGTTCGCATGCATGTGCCACCACACCCAGCTAATTTTTGTATTTTTATTAGAGGCAAGGTTTAGCCATGTTGGCCAAACTGGTCTCAAACTCCTGGCCTCCAGTGATCCACCTGCCTCAGCTTCCCAAAGTGCTGAGATTACAGGCATGGGCCACCGTGCCTGGCTGATACATGACCTTTTAAAATGGACTTTTTTCATTACAATGCCCTTGAGATCATCCAAGTTATTGTATCAGTAATCTGTTCCTTTTTGTGGTGGAGTTGTATTCCATAGTATGAATGTACCACAGTTTAACCATTCACCAATTGTAGGACATTTTGCCGGTTTTGGCTTTTAGCTATTACAGATAAAGCTGTTATGACAATTTGTATACAGGTTTTTCTACTGATAAACGCCCAGGAGTGTGATTGCTGGGCTTTATGGTAAGTGCCCGTATAGTTTTTTTTTTTTTTTTTAAAGAAACTGCCAATCTATTTTCCAAAATGGTTATGCCATTTTACGTGCCTACCAGCAATGTATGAGAAATCCAGTTTCTACACATCCTCACTAGCATTTGGTGTTGTCACTATTTTTTAGGTATTCTAATAGGTAGATAGTGATATCTCATCGTGGTCTTAACTTGTATTTCCCTAATGGCTATCTCAATATATTTCCATATTCTTATTTACCATCCATATATACTTTTTGGTGAAATGTCTCTTCATGTCTTTTGTCCATTTTCTGTTTGGATTATTGGTTTTAACTGTTGAGTTTTTTGTTGTTGTTTTGTTTTTTGTTTTTTTTATTTTTTGATACGGGTCACCCACGTGGTGTGAACACAGCTTACTGCAGCCTCGACCTTCTGAGCTCAAGTGATCTTCTTACCTCAGCCTCCCAGGCAGCTGGGATTACAGGTGCATGCCACCACACCCAGCTAATCAAAAAAAATTTTTTTTTTTGTAGGGATGGAGTCTCCCTACATTGCCAAGGTTGGTCTCAAACTCCTGGACTCAAGCGATCCTCCCGCCTTAGCCTCCCATAGTGCTGGGATTGCAGGTGTGAGCCACCATGCCTGGCCAATTGTTGAGTTTTGAGAGTTCTTTATATACTCTAGATATGAGTCCTTTGTCAGATATATGATTTACAAATATTTTCTTCCAGTCTGTGGTTTATCTTTTCACCCACTTAACAGGATCTCTTACAGAGGAAAGTTTTAAATTTTGAGTAAGCCCACTTATTATCTTTTTTACAGATTGTGCTCTTAGTGTCATGCCTAAGAACTGTCACCAAGGCCCAGAATCCTGCTGTAGGTTGAATGTTTGTTTCCCCCAAAATTCGTATGTTGAAACCTAACCTCTGGTGTGATAGTGTTAGGAGGTGGGGCCTTTGGGAGGTGAATAGGTCATGAGGATGGGGGTCCTCATGAATGGGATTAGTGCCCTTATAAGAGAGACCCCAGAGAGTTCCCTTTCCCCTTCCATGATGTAAGGACACAGCAAGAAGGCACTATTCTGTTCTATGAACCAGGAAGTAGGCCCTCACCAAATGAAGAACATGCTGATGCCTTGATCTGGAACTTCCCAGCCTTCAAAACTGTGAGAAATACAATTCTGTTGTTTATAAAGCCACCCAGTCTATGGGATTCTGTTCTAGCAGCCTGAATGGACTAAGACTGTCCAAAGACTTTCTCCTACGTAATCTTCTAAAGGTTTTATAATTTTACATTTTATATTTAAATGATATTTTGACTTTTGTATAATGTGTAAGGTTTAGGCGAAGATTCACTAAACCTCTTAGTGTTATATTTGGTCAAATGCTTTTTCTGCATCTATTAATATGATCATGTGATTTTTCTTTAGTTTGTTAAAATGGTAAATTACACGAATTGATTTTCAAATTGGTTCATATTGAACCAACATGACCCAGAGAATCCCTCTGTTGGGTATGTACCCAAAGGAAATAAAATCAGCACCACAGAGGTGTCTGGGCTCCCACATCAATTGCAGCATTATTCACAAGAGTCAATCTATGCAAACAATGTAAGTGTCCATTGATGGATAAATGGATCAATTGTGCTATATATAAAATGGAATATTATTTGGCCTTAAAAGAGGAAATATTCCATTTGCAAAAACATGAATCAAACTGGAGGACATTATGCTAAGCGAAAAAAGCCAGACACCGAAAAATACTGCATGATCTCATTTATATATGGGATCCAAAAAAAGTCACATACATAGTGTACAACAGTAGTTACCAAGGGCAGAGAGGAGGAGGAAATGGGGAGATGTAGGTCAAAGGGTACAAACTTGCAGTTATGTAGGATCAATAAGTCTAGAGATCCAATGTGCCACAAAGCTACAGTTATTAATCTTGCATATTGAAGTTTTGCAAAGAACGTAGATTTTAGGTGCTTTTACCACACAAAACAAGAGGTAACAGTGGTAGATGATGGATATATTGTCTGCATGTCCTAATCTTTTCACTATGTATATCAAAACATCATGTACACTTTAAACATACACAATTTTTTTTAAAAGGAAAACAGCTCTGGGATTTGAGTTTACTTTCAGCTCCACTGCTCCACAGCTTTACCAACTTGGCTTTAGGCTTTCAGTTTTTTCTTCTCTAAAGTGGGAATAATAAAGTTTAATACTTTAGACTATTGTGAGGAATAATAGCACATAGCCTTTAGTAAAATGTGTGTTTTAAAAATCTGGACTGTTTTAATCAGATATGGTGGCTTAGTCTGTTTCTACTGCTATATCAGAATACCACAGACTGGATATACAAAGAAGAGTTTATTTGGCTCGTGGTTCTGAAGACTGGGAAGTCTAAGAGCATGCTTCCAGCATCTGGTGAGGGTCATCTCATGGTGGAAGGCATCGTGTGGTAAGGAAGCACGTGCAACAGAGAGCAAGAGGCGGAGGGGGCAAACTCATCATTTTCATCAGAAACCCCCTCCCGCAGTAATGGCATTCATTCATTCATGAGTGTGGAGCCCTTGTGACCTAATCACCTCTCCAACGTCCTGCCTCTCAACACTGTTAAAATGGGAATTCAATTTCCATTTTATGAACTTTTGAGGGACACACTCAAACCATAGCATATGGTAAGACACAGAGACACAGAAATGAATGTCACGAAGGAAGATGTTTTTAACTGGGTAAAACATTACAGTTTCCTAGAAGCAGGAGGCATGGCATCCCACACAGGGAAGCACTAGGGTTGACCAGGAGGTGAAGGGAATGAGGGGAAAGCATGGGTGAGACTTTACTGTGGTTGTCATGGGAAGGAATGGGCGAGGCAGGGTAAGCAGCTTCTAAGACTGGCTAGTTTGAATAATTTCAGCAGGCTCTCAGGTGAGAGGCTGGCCCTGGGGTGATTAGGGGATGGGAATCTTGGCTTGGCTTATGAGAGTTTGTTAAAGGAGGTAGTTGGGGATACAGGCTTTGGATTGGCTGGGGTGTATATGTAAGGCATGCTCCAATGGGAGTCTTTTGCAATCTCTAGGAATTAGTCCTAGGAAGAGAAGTCTTAGCAAGAACCCAGATGTCAAAACATCAGAAAATAAAAAGGCATGTGACTACAGTTTGTCATTATTCACACATTTATGGCACACTGCATGTATCAGAGGATTAAACAATGAAAAAGACACAAGTCCAAAAAAAAAAAAAAAAAAGACACAAGTCATGAGTAGCTTGCAGTCCAGTGGGGGATACAAACAAGTAAACAGTGTGAAAGTGCATTAATGGGGAAACAGAGTATTAGGATGGCACATACCATGGGAGGGTTGTGAAGAAAAGTTTCCAGGAGAAAATAATGTCCAAACAAGACCTAAAGTATGAGCAGAAACTAGCCAGGTGAAATGGGGTGACATCTGTGGTGGGGAAAGGGGGAAGAGATTGTCCAGGCTGAGGAGACTGCATGTGCAAGGGCAAGAAGCGAGGCACAGGATGGGCTCTTTACAGAACTAAAGAAAAGTATAGACAGCCACCTTGGGGGCAGAGTGCAGAGATGTGAAGACAAGGCTGAAATAGACTTGTTAGCTATTGTACAGAGTTATCCTGAGGGCAAATGGGGAACATTCAAAGAATTTTAAGGATAGGAGAATAGATAAGAGATTTGAGTTTATGCAGATAATGGGTAATGTGGAGACTCAATTAGAAGGGGAAACACAGGAGGTTGGTGCAAGAATCTAGGTTGGAAATTATCATGGTCTGTACTAGAATGGTGGCAGTGGGCAAGGTGAGAAGTGGCTGCATTTGAGATACAGTTGGTAAAACCAAAAGAACTTTGTGATTTCTGGATGCAGAGCATGAGGGAGTTGGAAGATTCAGAATGACATCTAGGTTTCTGGCTTGCACAATTGAGTAGCGTGATTTGCTGACATGAGGCATACAAGACAAATTCTGGGGAAAGCAGATGCATGCAGATCTGGACACGCTAGCTTGAGATGCTATTTTGAACACTCAAGAGATGTCAGCTAGATGTGTATCTGGAACTTGGAAGAGAGATCTAGGCTGAAACTACAAGAAAAGGAATTACCAAAATACAGATGGTCATTTGAAGCCATGAGAGTACATGAAATCACCTGGTGCAGGCTCAGGAGAGAAAAGAGCCTGGAGACAGTCAGAGGAAGAAAACAAAATGAGACCAAGGAGTGGCCGGAGAAATAGAAATAGTGTGATGTCAGAGAAGTTTAAGAGAAGATTCCTTTTTAAGGAGAGCAAAGTGGTCAATTTTAAATGTTAGTTAAAAGGAATGCACATCTAACCTACAGGATTGACAGCAAAGTCTTTGTTGACCCAGGAAATTTTATTTTGAGCCAGGAAGTTAGATTTTTTTTTAACCTTTGCCAGTCCTAGTTCTTATAAAATTACCAGCCATTACAAAAGTATTCTAGTTTATTTTTAAGAGACAAGGTCTTACTCTGTTGCCCATGCTGGAGTATAGCGGGCACAATCATAGCTCACTGCAGCCTTGAACTCTTGGCTCAAGCAGTCCTCCGCCTCAGCCTACTGAATAGCTAGGACTACACCCAGCTAATTTTTATTATTTTTATATTTATGTATTTACTTTTTTGAGATGGAGTCTCACTCTGTCGCCCAAGCTGGAGTGCAGTGGCGTGACCTTGGCTCACTGCAAACTCTGCCTCTCGGGTTCAACAGATTCTCCTGCCTCAGCCTCCCGAGTAGCTGGGACGACAGGCACGTGCCACCATGCCCGGCTAATTTTTGTATTTTTAGTAGAGACAGGGTTTCACCATGTTGGCCAGGCTGGTCTCAAACTCCTGACCTCAGGTGATCCACCCTCCTTAGCCTCCCAAAGTGTTGGGGTTACAGGCGTGAGCCACTGCGTCAGGCTTCAGCTATTTTTTTAAAAAATATTTTTTGTAGACATGGGGTCTTGCTATGCTGCCCAACCTGGTCTCAGAACTCCTGGCCTGAAGAGATCCTCCTGCCTTGGCCCCCCAAAGTGCTGAGATTACAGGCATGAGCCACCATGCCCAGCTTTTTATACTTTACAAATGAATGCACGCTGTTGAATAATTCTGCTCCATAATTAGATACAGTCTGACCACTAGTAAATAATGATTGATGCCCTTTGAGGATTTTTGCTCTTTGTACCCGTGTACCTTAGACCTTGGGAAGAATTAAAACTCTCTGGTTGAGGAGAGTTTGTATCATGCCCTTTTTAAAAAATTATTTTAATCCAATAACATGATTGGGTCCATATTGGTTGAACATATTTCAGGAGATTGACAAGTCATCTATGCTTATCATTTGTACCCCTGGCTCTATTATTTTCTATTCTTTACACAGGTTCATCTTAAACAGTATAACCATTACCAGTCCAATATTCTACATCAGCTATCAGAACTTTCTGAAATAGAAATATTCTATAGCTGTACTGTCCAATATGGTAGCCACCAGGTACATGAGTTACTGAGCACTTACAGTGTGGCTAGTGTGACTGAGGGAGTACATTTTAAATTTCTTTAAATTTTAATTAACTTACACTTAAGTGGCCACAATGATCTTCAGTAACCCTATTTTTTTAATGTATTTTTTGAGATGGAGTCTTACTCTGTCACCCAGGCTGGAGTGCAATGGTGCGATCTCGGCTCACTGCAACCTCTGCCTCCCAGATTCAAGCGATTCTCCTGCTTCAGCCTCCCGAGTAGCTGGGATTACAGGTGCCCGCCACTACGCCCAGCTAATTTTTGTATTTTTAGTAGAGACGGGGTTTCACCATGTTAGTAAGGCTGGTCTCGAACTCCTGACCGCAGGTGATCTGCCCATCTCGGCCTCCCAAAGTGCTGGGATTACAGGTGTGAGCCACTGTGCCCAGCCTCCAGTAACCCTATTTTTGCATTTGATGTTGAAAATTGCTCACATATGATGGTAATCCTATTGAAAGACTTGAAATTAGATAAAATGTTAGCTGTGAAACACTTCATAAAAAAAACAAAACAAAACAAAACAGGCCGGGCAGTGGCTCATGCCTGTGATCCCAGTACTTTGGGAGGCCAAGGCGGGCGGATCACGAGGTCAAGAGATGGAGACCTTCCTGGCCAACATGGTGGTCAAGAGATCGAGACCTTCCTGGCCAATATGGTGAAACCCCGTCTCTACTAAAAATACAAAAATAAGCTGGGCGTGGTGGTGTGCACCTGTGGTCCCAGCTACTCAGGAGGCTGAGGCAGGAGAATTGCTTGAACCCAGGAGGCAGAGGTTGCAGTGAGCTGAGATCGCGCCACTGCACTCCAGCCTGGCGACACAGCGAGACTCCGCCTTAAAAACAAAACATAACAAAACAAAACAGTGACTACCACTGTTCTCCACATGGTTTTGCCTATCTTGCTAAGTTTCCATGCCAAACCATTTTTTTTTAAAGGAAAGGTATTTATATCCCTTCTTAATAACTTAGTGTGAAACTCTAGGACATATTCTCTTAAAGACCTCTTCCTTACTAATAGACAAACACAAATCATTCTTAAAATTAAATATTGTTTTCTAGCTCTAGCATAAAAAAATAGTAGAGGCTGTAAGACAAAAGCTGACAAAACACAAAGCTTTCACAAACCATGGTTTATACAATACTTTATCTTACACTATTAACACTTTATTGAAAATATTTCTATTGAAAAGAACTCTGGAAACACATAAAAATATTTGGTAAGAAAACAAAAGCACATCTTTACTACCAGTGTGAATTACTACCTGACAATTATCAACTTCTCAAATAAGAACATTAACCTACTTGTGATTGAAGAAAGAATTATCCTGTCTATGGATGACATAAGCAACTTGGCCAGGACAGAACCAATGGATGAAACCACATATAAATCCAATTTGGCCAGTTAACTTATGTAAGTGAAATGAAACAGTTAACTTTATTCATTAATATGATCAAAACATTATCTTTACTTCCAAGATCTGCAAAAACTTAATTATCCAAATAATTTAAGTTTGGAATTTATATATTTTTCAATACATAAAGGGTAAGGAAACTCTTATACAGTAATGAGACGGAAAGAAAACAACAGCTTCCCGTGAAAAAGACCTAATGTAGTCAAATATAAAAATAAGTACAGTAGCCTCTTTTTTTTTTTTTTTTTTTTTGAGACGGAGTCTCACTCTGTCGCCTAGGTTGGAGTGCAATGGCGCAATCTCCACTCACTGCAACCTCTGCCTCCTGGGTTCAAGTGATTCTCCTGCCTCAGCCTCCTGAGTAGCTGAGATGACAGGCGTGTGCCACCATGCCTGGCTAATTTTTATTTTGTGTATTTAATAGAGATGGGGTTTCACCATGTTGGTCATGGCTGATCTTAAACTCCTGACCTCAGATGATCTGCCTGCCTCGGCCTCCCAAAGTGCTGGGCTTACAAGTGTGAGCCACCACACCTGGCTGACACCCAGCTGAAATGTAACCTCTTGATAACAGCCAAATCACTGTATTAGAAACATTTAAATTCCAGCTCTGAGGGTCAAGGGTGAGGCATTTAAAAGGTTCCTTTAAGTTAAACCAAATGGATGAATTTTAAAAGAACAAAAGCAATTTATGAACCTATGGGCATATCATTAAAAAAGAAAAAAATTATTAATAAATTCCAAAAGTTAAAAGGAGTTGGGAAAAAAACCTAACTAGAAAGAAAAAATTTTGGTTTCAATTAAGGGGGATTTTTTGGTCCATTTTATGTAAGAGCTTACTCTTTTTCCAAATGGGCATTTATTATTTGCACAGATACATAAAAATGATTCCCATTTTAAAAACCATAATAAAAATATACATTAACCACAGAAGTACTTACTCTAACTGGAAAGAAAATGAACATGGCTATTTTCAAAACAGTAATAAACACAAAAGGTCAACATACATAAATCATGACAAGTGTACATCTCATTTTTGACAAAAATAAGTTCCATTTTTACATTAATGCTTCATCATCAGGCTCCATATTACATCCTCTGACCTTATTTACATTTACTATGAAATTTCTATTAGCATGTGTCACTCAAAGGCACTCAATTCAGAGGGTAAAAAGTCCTGAGCTTAAGTAGGAAACAAAGTTCCCAACTAAAATTTGAACATAAATAATTCTAAAGATCAGAGAATATTAAAATGTTTAAAACTATAATATCTGGTACATAAATAATTCAAAACCTAATAATAAAGGTGTACAGACTGTCAAAGAAAAGACCATGTAAGGCAAGAAATATCCTTGGAATCAAACTGATTTTTCCCTCATTCAAGATCATTTGAAGGTGCAAAGCTAACTTTCACTGTTCTTAAACTCCTAGGAAAGTCAAATTAAAAAAAATAGCAATGACAATGCTTAAGTTTTAAAAAAAGTTTATCAGCTTAGTCTCCAAAACCAGGAAGAAAATATTTAATGATTAAAAACAAGTATGACCTGGAAAGATATTAGACTAAAAGGAGGAATCACAATGAGCAGGTGAAAATGTTAAAGGAAAGCTTTCAATACACCAACTGAAAAAGGCATTTCTAATTGGCCAACCAAATTATTCTTTTAGATTATTTTAGCCAAATAAAAAGAAATTTACAGATGGATAACTGAGGTCCACTAACATAAGGTAGAAACAAAGTTTAAGCTAAAAATTAAATCTATATTTTGTTGCAGATAAATGTGAGATTTACCTACAGCAATTTTCTATTGATGCTAAATTAAAAGCATGAATTGACATCGTTCTAACAGAAATGGTTTGACAGATATTTTCTTGGCTTTAAAATGTTCTTACGCATATGCATAGAAATGCAATGAGGATAAGAATAATCTTCTGTATTGTCTGTACAGTTCATAAGGCCTTTGTCATTGTTAGTCACCTTCGATGTGAATATCAGTAGGGCCATTAAATTAAAGCTGGCCTAAAAAGTTTTCAAAGTGCTACTGTTTCCAACTGATGAAATCTTCAGTTTTCTGGATTTTCTGGGTGACGATTATTTTCAATTCTTTTTTTCTGGTGATATATACAAGAAGTTACAGCAGATATATAAAGGGAAGATCAGAAGCCTGCTGTCCAAGTTCATCACCACTTGTTCCTATAAGACAGATTTGTAGATTCAATGACAATTAGATAAAATAAAAACAAAAAACCAAACTGTTGAACTGAGTGAACCAAAGGAGATAGTGTCCTGAGTCTGAGATCCACAACTCCACTCTCCAAACTCCCACCCATTAGCTGTGTGACCTTGTCAAATGCAGCTTCCTCACTGTAAGATGGGGACAGTAAGAGTACCTGACTTAAAGGAGGATTACAAGAGATAATACACAGGGGGTTTTGCAAAGCCAGCTATCTATTAAGTACTCAATAATGGTAGTTATTTTCATTATTGCAAAAATTTCTATCAAATACTTACATATTTTGTCAACAGATACAATGTCTAGAAATACATAAACTTCTCACTGGGCTTCAATTTTTAAAAAAATTTATTTCCTTTTACAAAATTAATTAATTATTTTTAAAAATGAGATAGGGTCTTTCTATATTGCCCAAGCTGGCCTTGAACTCCTGGGCTCAAGAGATCTTCCTGCCTCATCCTCCCGCCTCAGCCTCCTGAGTAGCTGGGACTACAGGCAGGTGCCACTGTGCCTGGCTACTTGGCTTCAATTACTGATGGCCGTTGGGTACAGCAAATCACCCAGATGAAGGTCGGGAGTCATTATCATCATCAAAAAGCAGGGTTCCTACTATTGACATTTCCCACTGTCCCTATGACAAACATGTAATTTGTCTCCTGAAACATAAAATACATTATCATGGAAAAGCAATTTCAGGTTCAGTTACATCAACACACACAAGAATGCTCAGAACTCCCAGAGACAGGAGCTGACACTACACAAATATAACATCCCTGATGCTACAGATCTCTGTTTGGAACCTCATATATCCTTTACTAGAAGCATTTGGTAAATAGAATCAATCCTCAGAGTAAAAGAAGAAACACTAAAATGAGAATTCCTACGTTTTAAATGCCTGGGATATGCTCTCTGCAATAGTATGCATTAGTTACACTTTATTTATTTTGGATAAGATACTATTAAACACTGTTTAAATCCAAAGTTTTAATTTTTTACTGAGACATGTATTCCTGCATGAAGAGGAACTAAAACTAGAATATCTGTGTGACTGAAGCAGACTCACTAGACACAGCTTCTGTGTTGAGGGAACAAGAAGATAAATTTGAATAAAGAAGGTAGAGAGTACAAATGTCTCACACACACACACACACACACACACACAAACACACAATCTCTCTCTCTGTACGAGGGAAAGTGGTATTATAAAAAGACATCAGTGAACAAAATCAGGGGAGGCCATCACCTAGACTGTGCTAACAAGTGTCACCAGAGAGGAATTATGCCAAAGCATGGTTGGTCTTCAGATGCTTGAGACATCCTGAACTAGTCAAAATTTATATCAATAATCTGGGTGAAGGCACATTTACCAAATTTGTTGAGGACAAATGTTTTGATGATATGTATATCTGATGATAAAAATCAAGATTCTGTTCCATAACTAAAAGGCTCTGAGGAAGATTAGCCTTCTAGTATTTGAATACAGTTAAGATTGAGGCAGGGAAGGGTAGGTCAAAGGGCCAACTCTGGAGAAAGAAGGAAGGCACGTGGATATCACTTGGCTGAATGGATACACCAATTTTTGAATATTAAATTGTATTAATCCCCACTCTCCATTCCCAAACAGGATAGGTCGATCCGAGCTTCATCAAATCTGTTGTTTCACCTAAAGGTTCAATCTGCATCTACATTTGCATTGAAGTACCTTTATAGCAAAGTTCTATTTTCCTTATTCCATTGTGGATGGAATCTGTGGAGCCCACATATAGCAGCAGCAGAGCAGCAGCAACTTCCTAGGTCCCCATTTCTACTTCCAGACAATTAAATAAATTTCTGGGTATTTGTTGTTGTTGGTAGTGTTTTTTGTCTGTCTGTTTTTGTTTTGAGACAGGGTCTGACTCTGTCACCCAGGCTGGAGTGCGGTGGCATGATCATGGCTCATTGCAGCCTCAGCCTCCCAGGCTCAAGTGATCTTCCTGCCTCAGCTTCCAAGTAGGTGGTACCACAGGCACATGCCACCACGCCCGGCTAATTTTTCAATTTTTTGTATAGATAGGGTTTTGCTAAGTTGCCAGGGCTGGTCTTGAACTCCTGGTCTCAAGCAATCCTCTGGCCTTGGTCTCCCAAAGTGCTGGGATTACAGGCATGAGCTACCACGCCAAGCCTGCAATTTGGCTTTGATTCTCCATCCCAGCTTTTCAATGTCTCACCAGGTTACCTTTTTTGTCCATCTCTTAAATACCAGTGGTCCCTAGGGTTCTATCCTGTCATATTCTCTACACATTTCCTGTACATTATCTCATCCAATTATTATTTCTAGTTCAGGCATTACTTGTAAACTCCAAATCCATTATTCACCAGCCTATCAAATTTTCACCTTGATGCTCTCAAATTAAACATGCCCTAAACAGAATTCATCATCTCTTCACCATCACCAACACTATGTCATGTTCATTTTCCTTCCTATAATTCAAATCTCAGGTAAAACCACTACTGTAAATTAAATTGCTCAAATCAGAAAACCATCTGACATTTCCTCATGCACACACACAATTAAGAATCAAATTCTCAATTGCACCACTTTATTTCCAGAACCCATCAATATTTTCCTCTTCATTGCTACATTCTTTAAGGTTCTTATCACTTTTAATCTGAATTATAGCTATATAATCATAAATTGTTTTATTGCCATTATCATATCTTTAATCCTTCCTACACATTGCTGTCTGACGGAACCTTCTATAGTGAAAATCCATTTAGCATGGTCTTATAAGATGGACAGTTACAAAATAAATATACAAAAATCACTAACTTTCTTACATTATCAAAAACTATTAGAACAAATGATTCATTTCATATTAGCAACTGAAATGTAAAATACTGGCTGGGTGCGGTGGCTTACACCTGTAACCCCAGCACTTTGGGAGCCTGAGGTGGGCGGATCACGAGGTCAGGAGATCGAGACCATCTTGGCCAACAGAGTGAAACCCTGTCTCTACTAAAATACAAAAAAGCTGGGCGTGGTGGCATGTGCCTATAATCCCAGCTACTTGGGAGGCTGAGGCAGGGGAATCGCTTGAACCCGGGAGGTGGAGGTTGCAGTGAGCTGAGATCACGCCACTGCATTCCAGCCTGGCGACAGAACAAGACTCCGTTTCAAAAAAAAAAAAAGAAATGTAAAATACTAAGTGTTATACTTCCAGGAAATACACAGGAACAATATGGGAAAAACTACAAATTTTAGAGACAGACATAAGGGAAGACCTACGTAAATGTAGAAAATACCATATTCCAGAAAGGAAGACATCAATGGTCCACAAACTACTCTACATATTTAATCATATAAATTAAAATCCCCATAGGAATTTTTGCAAGGAAACTTGATAAAATGATCCTACATCCCATACAGGAGAATAATCATGCACAAAGAACTGAGAGATTTTTGAAAAAAAGAAAAATGAAGGTGGTTTTGCGTAACTAAATATTAAAATGCATTTTAAAGTTAGCCTAATTAAAACAATGCCTTGTCTTCATAACAAAGAAATCAATAAAACAAAAAGTCCAGAAATGAAAGCAAGTTTATAAGTATTTCATGTACAATAAGGCATTTCAAATACATTGATACATCCAGTACATTTCAGATATATCGTCAAATACTCCAAAGTAAAAAATTAAGCCATAAAAAGAACAGAAGAATATATAGATGACTATTTATATAATCCTAGTAAGATGGAGGCCTAAGGATAACACCAAAAAAAAGAAATCATAAAAGAAAAAGATAGATTGTTTTGAAGGTTGAAAAGACAAATGACAAAAATGTAAAAACTGTTTGGGCCTGGTGGCTCATGCCTGTAATCCCAGCACTTTGGGAGGCGGAGGCAGGTGGATCACTTGAGCCTAGGAATTCCAGACAAGCCCAGGCAACGTGGCAAAACCTCGTCTCTATAAAAAAATACAAAAAAGTTAGCTGGGCATGGTGGTGCGAGCCTGTAGTCTCAGCTACTTGTGAGGCTGAGGTGCGTGGAAAGGTTGGGCCCAGGAGGTGGAAGCTGCAGTGAGCCAAGATTGTACCATTGCACTCCAGCCTGAGTGACAGAGTGACAACCTGTCTCGGAAAAAAAAAAAAAAGTAAAAACTATAGAGTATCACAAATGTATTTTTAATATATAAAAGCTGTTAAAAATTAGCAAGAAAAAAATGAAATTTTAATAAAAAATTAAACAGGAACAATATAAGCTGTCAGTTTACATGAGATGATACGTTCAATAAGCATAAAAAAACCCAACAATACAGTAACCAAAGAAATGAAAATTGAAAATTAAGGGCCAGGCGCGGTGGCTCACACCTGTAATCCCAGCACTTTGGGAGGCCAAGGCAGGTGGATTACTTGAGGCCAGAAGTTCAAGACCAGCCTGGCTAACATGGTGAAATCCTGTCTCTACTAAAAATTAGTGCACTCCAGCCTGGGCGACAGAGCAAGACTCTGTCTCAAAACAAACAAACAAAAAGAAATGAAAATTAAAACAAATATTTGTTTTCACATTTACTACGCTGGGATAGAGATGAAAAAGAATAAGATACAATATTGGGTATACTCTCCTGTACTGCTGCCAGGGGGAAGTATAAATTGGACAGTAGCTTTGGAGGGCAATTTGGCCATTAGAAAATTGTATGCACCATGCAACAAGAATTCTACTTCTTGGAATTTATGCTTTAAAAATATCATAAAAATGGACAAAGATATATGTATATTTCCTATAGTAATGAAAAAAAATGAGAAACAACTTTATCCAATAAAGAGGAATTATCTAAGTTACGGTATAGCCAAAACAACTAATATTATGCCGTTCATAAAAATGATGCTGTGAATATATATTTATTGACCAAAAAAAGCTATGTACAACAAAGTGAAAAAAAAAAAAAAAGGTTACAATTACTACCTCACTGTCTGATGCACCTAGGCTCACCTGGCCTTGGGCTCTGAAAGAGGACCAAGCCTTTCTTCTACTGGGCCCAGGCCAGGTGACCCCATTTTGCCTCTCCCCCAGGCCTGACCACTATGCGACCAACAAGTTCTCCCAGGCCACTGACTTGGCCATGAAGAAGACAGAGGACAACAATGCACTTGTGTTCATTGTGGATGTCGAGGTCAAAAAGCATAAGATCAAACAGGCTGTGGAGGAGCTCTATGACACCAATGTGGCCAAGATCAACACCGTGATCAGGGCTGATGGAGAGAAGAAAGCCCATGTTCAGCTGGCTCCTGAGCATGCTGCTTTTAGAGGCTGCCAAAAAATTGGGATCATCTAAGTTGAATCCAGCTGGCAAATTCTAAATATATATGTTTTTCACCATTAAAAAAAAAAGCAGGTTACAAAATAGCTAACCTACTGTGATCCAATTTTGCAAAAATGATACAGGTGAAGGAAAAACTCAGCAATGTATCTGAGTGGTACATGTATGATTGTTGTTTCAGCTGACTCATATTTTCTATTTTTTCGACAACATCTATAACCTATATAAAACACGGAGACAACTCCCAAAGTAAATCTCCCAAACTCCATCCACAGCCCTCATGCCCTGGCTCTAGTTATACTGAACTCTTCCAACCATCTTTCAGTTCCTTGAATATGACCCATGTATTCCCTTGCTTCCGGAAATCTTACTCACCATTTGAGGCTTGGTTCAGGTATGCATTCACTTTAACACTTTTCCAGGAGAGGATGTTTTCCCTGAGCTGTCTTTCTTTCTCCTCCTCCTCCAATAACCACCCCCAACCACGGCAGCTGCTCAGTTACAGGTCAGAGTCTTCTCCCTCAAGGTTGCACACTCTGAGCTAATTCTATCATGCTACTTACACTAGGCTATATTAACACAAGCCTGTCTTTATTTCTTCTACTTCTAGCTGAGAACCAAGCACATGGTGGGGACACAAATGTTTGCTGAAGGAACATGGGAATACAACTATTATCTTGGCCTGGTGCTTTTTTAGGTCTCTGGCTGGGTTTGAGCCATGACAGTATTTTTCATGAAGTTTCAGGTAGAAGATAAAGATAGTCATTGTCTGTTCAGCTGCAGAGGTTACAAGAAGGACCAACAGAGAGTTCTGATGGAGGCAGATTTGGACTTTCTCATTATATACCTGCCTTGAAATGGACATTCCTACATATTACCTTTCATGTAAGATGGGGGTCAGTTAGAGTTTCAACAATGGGTGGATGACCCCCTCTGTAAGAATGCTGTTAAAAGAAGTTCTCATATAGGGCATGTGAGGTTACAATGATCACTTCCGGGGTTACTTGCAATGCTAAGGATGTTCTATGATAGTCTCTTCAGTCTGAGGAAAACTACTAACTTCTCATAATTTATGTAAACTATAACAGGCTTTGAATCCTTTAATAAAACATTATGCCCTTTGGAATGATGATTACTTTTAATAGAAATAAAGTTCCTCAATATTTTAACAGCTTTCAGTTTTACTTTTAAAAATGGTCTACTTTCTCATCATGACACTTTGAAACTTCTCCATGTGTGTGATGTATGAATAAATAAATGGCTTTGGAGATAATCTGGGGAACATTGCAGAGTTTGCCATCTTACGAACCTAATGGGCTAGAGAATAATGCTCTTATGATATTCGGAGCTATGGAGACATACAGGATTGTCTTTAAGATGCCTGCTGTGAATGTATAAATAAATGCACTATGTACACAATGGATAAAGCACTTAAGATTCCTAAAATTTTAGGAATGAATTTTAGTGCTGCTGATATTCAGGATAAACAATTATTTCCTTATAATCAGTGTTTCCCTGCCCCTCAAACAGTGTTTTCTTTTTTTCTCCTAATTATGCTTCCATTGGGATGGGGTCAATTATGCATAAGTGAATGTGGTACTTTCATCTTTACCTTCAAAAGACTTTTAAACCAACTTTTAGGTCAAAATGCCATCACTTTAATGTTAATTCTACTTAAGAATTTTCAAAAGAGGATTCAAAAGACAAATATTATGATGACATACCAGAAGATAATCGAACATACCTGATCCTTTTCAAGTGTAAGTATTTGATAGCCAGTTGTTCTACTACATATTAGTTTTCCACTACTATCAAAAGAAGCCAAACGTAATCTAGGATTAAAAAAAAAATAAAAAATAAACACAAGATTTTTAAACCACAGATTAAACAAGCTCTTCCTTACTTTCATATTTACTTTTTCCTCTGTTTTTTATTTGATAAAAGACTTTTAGGAAGTCTTTTCAAACTGTAATCTGACTGCATTCAGTGACAAGCCTGTGCTATTATACATATCTGGCCAAGAGAAATCATTTATAAATGTTTTTATTGTGGTAAAATATACGTAACATTTATCATTTTAACCATTTTAAAGTATATAGTTCTGTGGCATTAAATATATTTCCACATTGTTCTGCACCCATCTCTAGAACATTTTAATTTTCCCTCGCTGAAGCTCCTTACCCATTAAACACTAACTCCCCACTTTCCCTTCCCTCAGGCCCTGGCAACCACCAGTGTATCCTCTGTACCTATGAATTTGTCTACTCTAGGTACTTCGTATGAGTGGAATCTTACAATATTTGTGCTTTGTGAGTGGCTTATTTCACTTGGCATGTCTTCCAGGTTCATCCATGTTTAGCATGTATGAGAATTTGCTTCCTTTTCAAGGCTAAATAATGTTCTATTTTATGTATATACCACATTTTGTTTCTCTAGCATCTGTCAGTGAACATGTGGGTTGCTTCCACCTTTTGGCTATTGTGAATAATGCTGTTATGAACATAAGTATACAAAAATATCTGTTTAAGTCCCTATTTTCAATTCTTCTGGTCTATAGAAGAGAAACTGCTGGATCATATGGTAATTCTGTTTAATTTTTTTGAGGAAGTGTCATACCATGCTCCATAGTGGCTGTGCCATTTTACATGGCCACGAGCAGTACACAAGGGTTCTAAATACTCCACATCCTTGCCAACACCTGTTACTTTTGTTGTTTTTTTTCTATTCTGTTTTTACTAATAGCTATCCTAATAGGTGTGAAGTGATAGCTCATTGTGATTTTGGTTTGTATGTCCCTAATTAGTAATGTTGAACATCTTTTCATGTGTTTATTAGCCATTTATATATCTTCTTTGGAGAAATGTTTATGGAAGTCTTTGGCCCATTTTTGAGCTGAGTTGAGTTTTCTTTTTAAATTATAGAGTTGTAGGAGTTTTCTATATATTCTGGGTATTAATGTCTTATCAAATGTAGCGTTACAAATATCTGCTCTCATTCCATGGGTTGCCTTTTCACTGTCTTGACACTGTCCTCTGATACACAAGTTTGTGATTTTGATGAAGTCCAATTTTATCTACTGCTTCTTTTGTTGCCTGTGCTTGGGTGTCTTATGGAAGAAATCACTGCCAAATCAATTGTTATGAAGCTTTTCCCCTATGTTTTCTTCCAAGAGTTTCATAGTTGCAGTTCTTATGCTTAGATCTTTGATCCATTTTAAGTTAATTTTTGTATTTGGTGTAAGGTAAGTATAAATATATGACTTTTAAATCATGTTCATTAAGCTACTGTCCAATTTGTCAGCTTCTGGTATCCTCTCAGAAAAAGATTGCCAGCAACTACTGGGCAAAATTTAACATATTAAATCCTTTAAAAAGTTAAGGATAATATGTGTTTTCCTGGAAACATACCTTGCTACATATTTCAACAGTCTGGATCTTTTATTTGCTAGGAATAGCAACAAGGCAACGACTTCAAGGCTGATATTCCCTACTGGTATATATTCCAGCCTATTCATTCTCCCTGACATACTAGATCCTATGATTCTGATTACTAACAATAGATTTCACAGGAATGGAGCCTCGTCATTTCCTACCACTTCCACATATACTGTAGCTTACCAAAGTTCTACTAATGTTGGTGTAAATTATCAAGGTTTTATTTCTTATATTTTCTCTGGAGTGAGGAGGAGTGGGGTGGGGAAATCTCATCCTACCTAAATGCTATGCTCCTTCGAGGCTGTAAACTGACAGATCCGCTACATGGCTGATTCAGTGTATTGCGTTTGAAAATGATGTATCGATTGGTGTAAGTTACAAGTAGGTCGAAGCCGAAGTTAAAACCTGTCCAACGCCAGCAGTACTAAAAAATACAAGAGAGAAGACTTATTTCAGTTTATCATATTAGCAAGTAGAAAATAAAAAATTCAAAATGTCTTTTTGTCTCTAACTCATTCCAAGTATTTCCCTCATGGGTGGTCGACTTTTTGTCAGTGACTTTTTCTTAAGGCTTACCACCCAAAACTATTTATCTAAGCTAGAAAAGCTGCCCTTAATGATCATAATTCTCTAAGCTACTTTCCTCTTCATGATCAGTTTCCTTATCTCTCCATACTGCAATTCTACCATAAATAATAAGGCTTTTTTTTTTTTTTTTTTTTTTTGAGACAGAGTCTCATTCTGTCACTCAGGCTGGAGTGCAGTGGCATGATCTTGGCTCACTGCAACCTCCACCTCCCGGGTTCAAGCGATTCTCCTGCCTCAGCCTCCCAAGTAGCTGGGACTACAGGTCCCTGCCACCACGCCCGGCTAATTTTTTTTTTTTTTTTTTTGAGACAGAGGTTTGCTCTAGTTGCCCAGGCTGGAGTGCAATGGCATGATCTTGGCTCACCACAACCTCCACCTCCCGGGTTCAAGCGATTCTCCTGCCTCAGCCTCCTGAGTAGCTGGGATTACAGGCATGCGCCAAGCCTGGCTAATTTTGTATTTTTAGTAGAGACGGGGTTTTTCCATGTTGGTCAGGCTGGTCTCGAACTCCCGACCTCAGGTGATCCGCCCGCCTCGGCCTCCCAAAGTGCTGGGACTACAAAGTGTAAGCCACTGTGCCCGGCCTTTTTTTTTTGTATTTTGAGTAGAGACGGGGTTTCACTATGTTGGCCAGGCTGGTCTTGAACTGCTGACCTTGTGATCCACACGCCTCGGCCTCCCAAAGCGCTGGGATTACAGGCGTGAGCCACTGCACCCAGCAATAATAAGGCTTTTCACTGCAACTCTAAGTGGGTATATAGCTTAGAGCACTAAGAGTTTCTAGAGCACTAAGGTAATTAAGAGCCCATTAAAATCCACCTTGCTTTAAAAATACTCTTAAGGGCTGGGTGTGGTGGCTCACGCCTGTAATCCCAGCACTTTGGGAGGCCGAGGCGGGTGGATCACCTGAGGTCTGAGGTTCAAAAACAGCCTGGCCAACATGGCGAAACCCCATCTCTACTAAAAATACAAAAAAGAATAAAAAAAAATAAAAATAAAAATAAAAATAAAATACTCTAACTCAAGTAACACACAACTGGGTTATTTAAATATCATCATGGGGTTCACGAGTTTGTTTATTCTATCAGCTAATAGTTAATGTGAGAGTATCAGATAAGGTAGTGTGATACAGAGAAGTAGTTAGGGCTTCAAGTGTTTGGCTGACACCCTGAATTGCAATTCAGTATTTAACTGATATTTATTGAGCACATATTATATGCCAGGCACTCCTCTAAGCAATGGAATCATAGCAGTAAATAACATACAGTTTCTGCCCTAGTAGAGGTGATAACTGTAAGGGCAAAGCTTTTTTTTTTTTAAAGAGACAGGGTCTCGTTATATTGCCCAGGCTGAACTCTAACTCCTGGGTTCAAGCAATTTTTCCACCTAAGCCTCCCAAGTAGCTGGAATTGCAGGTGCATACCACTGTGCCTGGCTGGAGCAAAGCTTTTGAATAGGTGAGCATGGATAGAGTCCAGTACAAAGAGAGGGAATGGACTAAGATAGAAGTAGGCAGTTCATTTTTCTAATAAGATGAAATGCATAGCGCATAGCTACAGGTGCAGGTAGACTGGCAGAACTACTGGTAAGATGATGTACAGATTCTCTTTTCATTGCAGTAGGCAGCAAGGCCATCAGATAAGAATAAGGGTGGGAGCATTGCCCTTTTAAGGAGAGAAGGTATGAGTTACCTCAGCTAATGGGAGGATCAATTCACTAGGAAAATGCAGACAGATCATGATGCAGCACTAACCTACTTCAAGTTCATGGTTACCACATTCAAGTGGAACCCAATGGGGTACGGTGTTTGTCTTTAATCACATTCATCTGTCTGGATGCAGGCATGGAGTGCAACCCTTGACAAGAGTTGGGGTTTAGCCAGGTGAGTTTAACATGTCAATGAGGAAAAAGAAAAGTTAAAAGAGTATAAGCAAGGGACCAATTTTACGATGGAACATAAAATATAAGTCAAGCAAAATAAGAAGTAGAAATGTGGTCAGAAAGGTGATAGGGAAAGGTTGTAAAAACAATGTATTGTATATCCAGAATGGAGTTAAAAAATTGTTGGAGTCCAGGTGCTAGAGAGAATGAGCTAGAAAGACGAGGTGGGGTCTGAAAACGGGATGCCTGAAATGGAGATTTTGAAGGTGGTGTAGTAATTAATAATGCAAAAATTGAGGGTATGCTCACAGGAATGGATGCCTGAGGTAGGGTGGAGCACAAGAGCATGGGGGAAGGAAGGTCAGGGAACAGAGATATTGAAATCAACACGACCGAGAATAAGAGTAGTGGTAAAGAAAGGTAGTGAGGGCTGGACGTGGTGGCTCATGCCTATAATCTCAACAATTTGGGAGGCCAAGGTAGGAGGACCACTTGAGCCCAGGAGTCTGAGAACAGCCTGGGCAACATAGTGAGACCTCGTCTCTACAAAAATTTTAAAAAATTAGCCAGGCGTGGTGGTGCATTCTTGTAGTCCCAGCTACTTGGGAGGCTCAGGTGGGAGGATCACTTGAGCCCAGGAAGTCAAGGCTTCAGTGAGTCATGATCATGCCACTACACTCCAGCCTGGGCAACAGAGTGAGACTCTGTCTCAAAAAAAAAAGAAAGAAAAGAAAAGAAAGGCAGTGAACTCAGTGAATTATGGCCACAATAAGAGTAGTAGGTGGTATAGTAGGAGAATTTGCTTCAAAGTAACAAGAAGATCTGAAAGCAGCAACAAGGAAGAATGAGAACTAAAGAAAACTATTCTTTTATACTCTGAACATTTATCATAATACAAAGGCAAACATAGGCTGGGTGTGGTGGCTCATGCCTATAATTCTAGCACTTTGGGAGGCTAAGGCAGGAAGATCTCTTGAGCCCACTAATTCGAGACTAGCCTGGGCAACACAGGGAGACCCCCAACTCTACAAAAAGTAAAAAAATAAAATTAGCTGGCTGTGGTGACACGTGTCTGTAGTCTCAGCTACTCCAGAGACTGTTGCTTTTAGTCCAGAGCATTGAGGCTGCAGTGAGCGATGATTGTGCCACTGCACTCCAACCTGGGCGACACAGTGAGACACTGTCCATCAGTCAATCAATGTGAACGTAAAATAATCAACTTTTAAAAATTAAAAATAAATAAAGTCAAAATGAGGAAAAGTTTGGGAGAGAAATAACCAAATAGGTATCTATATAAGGTTGATTTTTTTTGAAAAACAAAAATTATGATTAGTTAGGGGGGAATATTTAAAAATGTAGTTCATGTCTCATTAGTGGATTGTAAAATCAATTTAATAAGATACAATCAGTTTTTTTTTTTTTTTCTTGAGATGGAGACTCGCTCTGTCACCAGGCTGAAGTGCAGTGTCACAATCTTGACTCACTGCAACGTCTGCCTTACGAGTTCAAGCAATCTCCTGCCTCAGCCTTCCGAGTAGCTAGGACTACAGGCATACACCACTACGCCCAGAGAATTTTTGTATTTTTAGTAGAGACAGGGTTTCACCATGTTAGCCAGGATGGTCTTGATCTCCTGACCTCATGATCTGCCTGCCTCAGTCTCCCAAAGTGCTGGAATTACAGGCATGAGCCGCCGTGCCCAGCCACAATCAGTTTTTTTAAAAAAATATTAAATAGAAGGCTGGGCATGGTGGCTCATGCTTACAATCCCAGCTATTTGGGAGGCTGGGATGGGAGAAGTGCTTGAGCCTGGGAGTTAAAGGCTGCAGTGAGCTGTGGTCACGCCACTGCACTCCAGGTTGGGTGACAGAGGGAGAGCCTGTCTCTAACAAATAACATAAAATAAAAGTATTAAATAGAAAAAATAATTTCTGGATGCACAGGGGTAAGTATTGTTTTTAAATACTTTTCTTTCACTTATATACATTTATATTGGGTGGTAATGAAAAAATATCTTTTTTTTTTTGAGATGGAGTCTTACTTTGTCGCCCAGGCTGGAGTGCAGTGGCATGATCTCGGCTTACTGCAACCTCTGCCTCCCGAGTTCAGGTGATTCTCGTGCCTCAGCCTCCCTGGTAGCTGGGTTTACAGGCATGCACCACCATGCCTGGCTAACTTCTGTATTTTTAGTAGAGATGGGGTTTCACCATGTTGGCCAGGCTGGTCTTGAACTCCTGGCCTCAAGTGATCCGCCCATCTCAGCCTTCCAAAGTGCTGGGATTATAGGCGTGAGCCACCGCACCTGGCCAAGAAAAGGTAATTCCTAATGTGGGTAACAATCAATGGATTTGAATGTCTTTGATTTAGGACAACTGTAACACAGAATCACTTTTAAGACTATGTAACAGATCCCTCACAATTTCTTCTTTATCTTAATTTCTGGATTGCTAAGGGACCCTCTTCTTGTATGTCTTATCTGAACTCAAAATTTAAGTTCAGCATTCTCATACAAGGCCAAGTAATCAATCACTACTGAGTGTGGTGGCTGTAACTACTTTCCCAGCAGATCATGCTACAGAAAGTGTATCAAACAAGCTCTTCTGAGGTATGACAGGTGTCATGATTACTACTTACAGGTGCAGGATGTGCTGATAATACAATTTGTATAAGAATATTAACAGTCACAACCCATACTTACTTCACCATCTTTGGCAAGCTTTCTACCACACCTCATGCTGTTTCCCTCTAGTTCTTCTTTATTGATTTCTTGAGGCCTAAAAATATACATAAAATATGAACGTTCATAGAAAATATGCAACTAATAATTAAAAAAGAACTATGAGTTAAGAACAGAAAATCTTGCTACCAGATTTAAAAATAAGTTTTTGTGGTACAGATAAAAATAAGAAAGTGTTGATTAAATTTAGTCCATTATTTTTGCTAGATAAAAAAGATTTAATATCTTCTATGTTTCACTTATTGCCCTGACTTCTGGACTACTTTTATTAGGGCTCAGCCAAACCAGAGTAGAGGAAAAAAAACCTGAAAAATTCTATTTGCCAAAAAAAAAAAAAAAAAAAAAAGTAAAAGTCTAACTACAAGTAAAATAAGCTAAAATCTATTATTTCTGTAAATAAGATGTGACTTGATATCACCTACCACTTAATATTACTTGTTTCACATGCAAACCATTTTTCATATAGTGTAACTATGCAAAATCAATATTAATAGAAAATGGCTGTAAAATTTTATCAGTTAAGTCTTTATTTGGTTCCCTAGTTTAAAAACCTTAATCAACTAAGAGAAATACTGTTATCTAAAGTTGTAATAAATATGGTATTATAATTAGCATCATTATTCCAAATGATAACAGTAATATAATACATTCATTCATATATTCATTCACAACATGAAATGCCTAGAAATTGGGTACAATAATAGCATATATAATACATAATAAAATAATGAAACAAATACAATAAATAAATAAGTGTAAATAAGACTAATAAAACATATCCTTGATATCCAAGAGCTCAGTTCAGTAGGGAACTAGACATAAATAATAATTATACTACAGTTAATTATAATAATATTAATAATTTGTGGTTTGTGATGTTAAGCACATGAAGAAGGTACAGATTTATTGCCTAGGATTAGAGGGGGATCATTAGAGAGTAAATATTATTTGTGCCCGAGTGGAAGCTTGTTGGGTGGGGTGGAGGTGAGGGGTGAATTCTATGGAGGGGTAAGAGTATTCCAGGCAGAAGAAATAGTGGATAAAAAGGAACTGGAGCATAACAGAAAACCAAAATGTAAAGGAATTTAATGCAGCTGCAGCATATGAACATAAGAATTTAGTGCACATTTAGTGCAGATGAACATGAAAGGAGAGGAAGCTAAAGACATCTGGGATAGAATGCTGACAGTCCCCACAGATCATGCTAAAAAGTTTCAACTGCTCTTGTAGGTAACAAGTTCCCAAGCATTTATTCTGTAACTTTTAAACTTTTTGTTACGAAAAACTACAAACATATGAAAGCAGAGAAAATAGTATGAGCCAAATTTTCTTACCATCTAGCTTCAATAATCTTGAACAGCAATACTATAATCCCTTAACTGTCATCAAATATCCCTGGACATATTTAAGTAGAGAAGTGACACAGTTTTATTTCTGTTTTAGAAAGATAACCCTCTTGGCAACATAGACAAGAGTTTTATGAGGAGAAGCCCAGAGGGAAATTTGACACCAGATTATAACCTAGCATCCAGGGAATATAGTGTCTTCCTCACTTTAGCAGTCCTGCAGCAGTGAGCAGATGCTTGGTATCTGCTGAACAGAACATTTCCTAAGAGGGGATATATCATATACAGTTGACCCTTGAACAACAGGTTTGAACTGCTTGGGTCCATTTATACAGATTTTTCTCAACCAAAATCAGATCAAAAATGCAGTATTTGTAGGATGTGAAATCTGTGTATATGGAGAGCCAACTTTTCGTATATGTGGGTTTTGCAGGGTCAACTAACTGCGGGACTAGAGTATGTGTGGATTTTGGTATACGCAGGGGTCCTGAAACCAATTCCCCCAAAATGACTGTACTTCTTAAGGCAAAAAACTAAAGACTTATTCTAGTGCAGTATCTTAGATGAGACTCTGTATTACCTCAATAAGGACATGGGTGAGGAAAATCATGAAAAATAAAGAACATCCAAAATTTAAAAATTGAATATACAGAAGAAGTAGGATGATTTATAAGTTACTTCATACACTACAAAATGCTTCAGTTCTGAATTCCATTAAATAGCTCATCGTTACTTCATATACTACAAAATGCTTCAGTTCTCAATTCCATTAAATAGCTCACTTTTTGATTTCAATTTATTATTTGTATTTCAACAATCTTTTTTTTTTTTGGGATGGAGTTTTGCTCTTGTTGCCCAGGCTGGAGTGCAATGGCGCAATCTTGGCTCACTGCAACTTCCGCCTCCCGGGTTCAAGCGATTCTCCTGCCTCAGCCTCCTGAGTAGCTGGGATTACAGGCATGCGCTACCACACCCAGCTAATTTTGTATTTTTAGTAGAGACAGGGTTTCTCCATCTCGGTCAGGCTTGTCTCGAACTCCTGACCTCAGGTGATCCACCCACCCCGGCCTCCCAAAGTGCTGGGATTACAGGTGTGAGCCACCACACCCAGCCTCAACAATCTTACTATTATTTATGCTGGATAAATATACTGGGAATATGTTTGAAAAAATATATAATTATAATCAAAGTAGAAACTAGGATCCTGGATAATAAAAATGACATAATCATCATGAATTTATGTAATACTTTCATACACTTACTGTTAGGATGAAAACTTATAATTAGGTCATTATTTAAAAAAATTATTTAGTATATAAAAATGAGTTCAAAGAGATCAGGGCAAAAAATTAAACTTTGAAGGTCTTTCTGTACACTCAGTCTCTCCACAATACCTATATATTAAGAAGCTAGCAGAAGGATCAAATCACAAATATAAAAGTTCTGTGAACTACAAAGCACTATAATAATCTTTCCTTTAAGATGAAGAAAGAGGATTAATGTTTTGTGGGGGGAGTCATATGTTTTTGGGGAAGGTATCTGTAACCAGATGGTGTTTTTTTGTTTGTTTGTTTGTTTTGTTTTTTTGAGACTGAGTCTCACTTTATCCCCCAGGCTTGGAAGTGCAGTGGAGCAATTTTGGCTTACCGCAACCTCCACTTCCAGGGTTTAGTAGAGACGGGGTTTCACTATGTTGGCCAGGCTGGTCTCGAACTCTTGACCCCAAGTGATCCTCCCACCTCAGCCTCCCAAAGTGCTGGGATTACAGGCGTGAGCCACCGTGCCCAGCCTGGATGGTTTTTAAATTCATTTTAGACTTAAAGATCTTCAAAAACTATTTATTACATTAATCAGAATTTGACAATACTACCATAAGAAAAACAGATTTACCTAGACATAAATATAAAAATTATGCTTTATGAAAGCATTACCTCAAATAATAGTTCAGTATGTTGAAAGAAAATCATATGATACTAAGTGAAACAAAGTATATATGGATTACATGTTCAATTTTACTAATAAAGCAAATGACATTTCCATAATTGCATTATACTATCTAATTGACCAGAAAGACATTTATAAGACTGATAATGTTGCAAAAATATAATAAAAAGTGATTATATGATCTTTACTTCAACAGCTTGAGTTTTCAATACTGTTAATGATTTTTCAACATAATGAATGCATTAAAAAATTCATAGCAAATTTTTTTAATGAAAAATGATAAGGTATAATATACTTACCCCACCTCACTGTCCTGTTCTGCCCGCAGCATAGCAAACCACTGCTGTTTATACACAGAAGAGAGCCATTCTGAAATGTAAGAATAAATTAATAATAATAAATAACGACTGAAGAACATAAAGGATTTAAACATTCATAGTTGACAAAATTGTTACCATTTCTAAATACAAGTTTAAAATAGCAATTTAAAAATTAGGTAGCTTAGGCCAAGCATGGTGGCTCATGCCTATAATCCCAGCACTTTGGGAGGCCAAGGCAGGTGGATCACCTGAGGTCAGGAGTTCGAGATCAGCCTGACTAACATGGCAAAACCCCGTCTCTACTAAAAATACAAAAATTAGCCGGGTGTGGTGGTGGGCGCCTGTAATCCCAACTACTTGGGGGGCTGAGGCGGGAGAATCGCTTGAACCCAGGAGGCGGAGGTTGCAGGGAGCCAAGATCATGCCACTGCACTCCAGCCTGTGTGACAGAGCAAGACTCTGTCTCAAACAATCAAACAGACAGACAAACAAACAAACAAACGAAACTGGTAGGTAGCTTATATTTTACAAAAATACTATAATGGCTGAATGATCTTTAAAGTGGTAAAGGTTTTACAGCTTTGTCTCAGGCTAGACTGTACTTATTACATTGCATACATTTAAATTGGGATAGTTAAAAGCATATTCTTGCGTTTAACGTTTTCCCTTTCATAGTTCATATTAATTTTTCAATTGTAAAAATCATATCTGAAACTATATTTTTAGTGTTTACAGAAGTTCTGACAGAAAATTGAATAATAAACTCTTCCATTATTAACATAAAAAAACAATTAATTGGTTTTTTGGGAAATAAGCCATCCCTAAATTCGTAGATGAAACATGCACACTCAATAAATAATTCTAGAATATTAGATTTAGATAACATAAAAATTAAAATATTTTAAATTATTCTAAATAGAATAAAAATTGTAATTACAGACATTCCTTTAATAATAAATATTTTTCCCACAAAATAAGCCTGTGTAAGTGGAAACATTAGCTATTTTAGATAAAAACAGATTAAAAATAAGAGTAGGCCAGGTGAGATGGCTCATGCTTGTAATCCCAAGCACTTTGGGAGGCTGAGGTAGGAGGATCACTTGAGCCCAGGAGTTCTAGACCAGCCTGGGCAACATAGTGAGACCTGATCTCTCCAAAACCACAAAAATTAGGTGCGTGCACCTGTAGTCCCAGCTACTCAGGAGGCTGAGGCAGAAAGATCTCTTGAGTCTGAGAGATCAAGGCTGCAGCGAGCCCTGGACATGCCAATGCACTCAAAACCTGGGCAACAGAGCAAGAACCTGCCTCAAAAAAAATAAATAAATACAAATAGAATTGGCTCAGCACTATTTATCTTTCTGCTCTTGTTTATTCCCAACTAGAATGGGTAGTTTTTCTATTTTTTTTTAAGTTCTTAAATTATTTCTCAATCTCTATGTAAAAGAGGGGTAGAAATCGTAGTGCAATTAAAATCTGGATTGTCACTTCCTAGGTCTCTACTTAATAAAAGTAATCCGGTGACTTCCAATGATTTACTGGTGTCTTTCCTTAAAACATCCCATATATACTTTTTTTTTTTTTTTTAGAGAGAGAGAGACACGGTCTCACTCTGTGGCCCAGGCTGGGGTCCGGTGGCCCTATCTTGGTAAACTGCAGCCTTGAACTCCTGGGCTCAAGCAGTTCTCCTCTCAGCCTCCAGAGTAGCTGGGACTATAGGTGTCTGCCACCATGCCTAGCTAATTTTTCCATTTTTTATGGAGAAGGGGTCTCCTGCTTCGGCCACCTAAAGTGCTGGGATTACAGGCGTGAGCCACCATGTCTGGCCTAAATACACTTTTGAATCTTTCTTTCAGGGTCCTCCAAAATTACATTCTTGCTATTATAAGGAATTTAAGTGTCTAGTACAGATAATTTGTCTTCATAGGTAAATACTAGTAGCAACTATTACATGACTCAGCACACATACACACATATATTTAAAAAAATTCATATATATATATATATTTAAAGCTGATCCCTACCTATTAAAATACCTGGAGTTTGAAACTCATTGATCTAGAGATAGCATATGGCATTTCATGACTCATTTGTAAAATTGGAATGAAAGAGTCAGACATACGTAAATATTCTCAAATATCATGTTAGATGTATCCCATAAATTTTTTTTTTTTTTTTTTTTTTTGAGACAGAGTCTTGCTCTGTCACCAGGCTGGAGTGTGGTGGCGCGATCTGGGTTCACAGCAACCTCCACCTCCCAGGTTCAAGCGATTCCTCTGCCTCAGCCTCCCGAGTAGCTGGGATTACAGGCATGTGCCACCACACCTGGCTTATTTTTTGTATTTTAGTAGAGACGGAGTTTCACCATGTTGGTCAGGATGGTCTCGATCTCCTTACCTCATGATCCACCTGCCTCGGCCTTCCAAAGTGCTGGGATTACAGGCGTGAGCCACCACACCCGGCCAAAAATGTTTTAGAATTTAAATTCCAACAATTTTTGCATAACCTCCTTTAAAACCAAAAGCATTTGAACAAGTTAAAAACATGAGTACATATTTTTGTTCCTCTTGTCATAGTTTAATCCAAAAGAATAAAAAGTCAAACTTGAAATCTTTCTGGTCATTGGTAGCTCAAGGATTCTAGGTCCCATGTCTTAAAAGCAGCATTCCAAAAATAAGTCAATGTAACACAAGTTCAAATGCAATGTTAATAGCATTGCAAAAGGAAAAAAAAAGAATCCCTGGTAAAATATGGGATGAAAATAAGTGAAGCAGGTTCTTTTACACAGAGTTTTCAATATGTTTGTATGCAATCATCTCCAAAAAGGAAGAAACACTAGGAAGAGTTTGCCAGAACCCTTTTTGGCAGAGAGCTACTGTTAGCTGGAAAGATTCTGAAAAAGTGCCTTCAAGAAACTTTGACTAAGTAGACTAAATTTTGACTAAATAGTAATATGTTTCCGCACTTATTTTAAACTTTATCAGACCAAGGTCCAAAACAAAAACTCAAAATAGGGGCTGGGTACAGTGACTCATGCCTGTAATTCCAGCATTTTGGGAGACCGAGGCAGAAGCATTGCTTAAGACTAGAAGTTTGAGAACAGCCTGGGTAACATGGCAAGACTCTGTCTCTACCCACCTGCCCCTCCCCAGCCTGCAGGGGGAAAAAATATGGACATTTCAAGGTGGTATTTGACAGCGTCACGGATCTGATCTGCAGCTGTGATCTAGTCTACAGCAGTTTTGAATATAAACCCAGTATTTTCCCAATGGAATAAATGAGATACATTAGATTGAATTTATTTAGATTATTTCCCTAGTTTTACACAAAGAATATGGGAAAGGGCCCTCTAAAACCATATTATTTGAAAATCTCATGTCTTACATTCACAAACTTTAAAAAGCAAAAAAAAGATACTTCCTAATTTGCCCAGTATTTTTTGTTTAAGTGAAGGGAAAAGTGTATCTTCAGGTATACATACACTAACATGAATCCACTTAAAACTAATATGGCTTATAGCAAAAAACTAAGCCTACAAGTTGAACAACTTATGAAACACATAAATTAGATGTAGATAATGAAGATGAGTGACTAAACATTTACATAGTAAAAATTCCTACATGGACAAATAAGAGTATTCTGTATAGAGTATCTAGGTATAAAATATTAACACAAAATTATGGAGAAGCCTGGTTCAAAAATGCTTATGTATAATAACGTCAAAATCTAGTTCTGAAGCTATTTTCTGAGTTTATTACATGGATTTACATACCTTTTCATTTTCAGTAACTTATTTTCACAAAACTGACAATGAGGTAATTGGGTAGAAAGTTGGAACAGAGTGGCAGAAATTGATACAATTGCTGAAGGAAATGAAAAAGAGAAATAATGAACTAAAAGTAGTGTAAGAAGTCCCAAGGTTCAAGCTTAGTGTTGAAATGTGAATTTGCAGTGACACCAATACAAAAGCTGTAGGATGATCTGCAGTACTCAGCACAAAGTAGAGGGTATAGGAACAAAGAAGGTTTAATTTAGTTCTAGGATTTTGCCAAGTGAAGGACACAGAGTTGAAGACAACTGTGAGAGTGACCTAACATGATCTATCATGAAATCCAAGCCTGAGAGGGAAGAAAAGACAGGAGAGGTTTGAAAGACTGGCAGAAAATGAAGGGCTTAAAATGGGTTGGAAGTTAAAGAGCAGTGTAAAAGGGAATGAGGCTATGAACATGCTAGGCTATATAATAGCCTGAAAACTACCAGGTTTCTGATGCTGAGAAATTCTGGGTTCACAAGGTTCATGGCATATCCAGGTTTTAGGAAGAAAGTGCCTAATGTTTGGCAAAGAGGTCAAATAACTAGGAGGCTGAGAGCTGAGGTCAAAAAACTACTAGGAGGCTGGGATATTAAATGTATTTGTTCATATGGACATATTATGTGACTGGATTGGGGGAGAAATAGACAGTAAAATAAGTGTCTAAGTCTTAAATGAATGCAAAGAAATGATTAGGGGTCAGAAGAGAAAACAGGCTCAGATGGCATGCAATAATGGTTTGGAAAGTGCACACTGAGGGGGCTAGGACGGTGGTCTCCTGGCCCTATATTAGTAGGGTGTGAGAGCCAGAAAGTCTTCTACGGAGGGAAAATAGCTTATTCTGGAAGTTAAAAAAAAAAAAAAAAAAAAAAAAAAAAGGAGGGAAGAGATGGAAGATTTTGTTGTCCCTGGTTCCAGGGCATATAGTAGAAAGGTCTGGGAGGAATAGTAACAAGATAGGTCAGAGGTATCCAAGTGGAGGAAAGCATGACAAGAGTATGGAATAAGACAGTTAATGAACCTAATGACCTAAGATAAACCTAATTCCATGAAATAATGGAGTTGAACTGTGCTTGACACAGTTGAATCCTAAAATAAAGTGCTTCTATACAAAGTCCCAATTCAACTTTTAATTAAACATGCTTCTAAATTTTTCACCTAAAGATGGTAAACAGATGTACCCAAATTCCCCATATTGCCAAACGCCTAACTTTGATTAACGTTAACACATGTTTGGCACTATTTCTGAAAAATGATCAAGTTTTAGGTTGATTAATCAAAATAATTTCAACTAATTTCAAATCTAAGATACCTTCCTACTGAGAGCATATATCAGCCTATCTCAATAATGTGAATTAGGTGGCTTCCTTCTGTCTCTTCACAATGTGATAAATAATTATCTGTAAGATACGGTAACAATGACTGAAATCTGCCAAAAAATACAGGATCTAAATTCTTTCTGATTTTATACTGAACAAAATATTTTAGACTAGAAATACTTGTACCCATCTTGCAATCCAAAAATATAAAGCTTATCCACTTGCATCACAGGCACACTTAAATTAAACTACTTTAGAACAGACTTTTCCCCAATCTCTTACAAAATACATTTGCAAAAAGCCTTAAAAGGAAGTACAGTTAGAGCGGCATATGTAATTGGCTTTGGCATCTAACATTACATTATTGCTAGGGCCTGGTATTTAACAGATACTAAAACTATTATAGAACTGCTATACTATAAGCAATGTAAAATTCAGAGAATTTGTGACTTAAACAGTATCTATAAACTTGCTAAAGTGATTTTATAAAAATGCATCACTTCCAAATATACCAGAAGAGTTAACTCTAAGTTTTCCTTCCCTTCAATTTCTTTCCAAATAAGTATACAGATATCAGGAACAAAAATCTATAAACATATAGCTATGTCACAATTAAGGTGTCAAAAATAATCACAACTTTTTAGACAAATCTATAATTATTACTACAAACATTACATGTAAATGTTCAAACAGAAATTCTATTTTCAATTTTGTATATGTATATATAGTACTAAATAGAATTATTCACAAGCACTAGAGATTTAACTCAGAAAGGTAAATCAGTAGTTATTTCAAAAAATTTAAATTATAATTAGCAAAGACACATTTGCTTCAACATGAAGTTTAAGACTTTAGAATAAGAAAAAATCAAAATAAACAAATTTAAGGAGCACTAATAGAAAAATCACTTATGATCTTTAAATACTTCAAAAGTCATTTTAAAAAGTCTCATCCAAAATCATGTACTGGTTTATTAAATTAAAGAACATCCATATTACAGAATACTAGATAATCATTTAAATATTCTAGAGAGTATTTCATGAAATATGATATGGGAAAATACTCATGATATGTAAGCACAGAAAATTACTTCTATAGGATGATTCCACTTTGGCATAAAGATGTATACCTTTTTGGGATTAATAATAATTTCTACTTCTTTCCTTGTTCTTTTCTATGATCTATATTACTTTATAATCAGAAATATATTACTTAAAATTACAAATTATGTTCTCTTACCTGAAGGTACTACAGCATCTTGTTCAATAATTCTTGCAGAAGCCAGATCACTGATAATATATTGTAACCTTAAATGTCTGAATACTGACACAAATGGTTTTCCTTGTTCAGTTTCAAGAAAGGCCATACCTTCAAAATCTATAAAAAACCATGTAAGTTAAACAGCCATTCTTTTCAAACCTATTATTCTTAAATGTTTTTGTGGACGGGGGATACGTACATTCATGTCTATTAGAATACAAAATAAGCTAGTTTTAAAGTTCTCAAGAATTTTATAAACCTTAGGTTTACAGATAAGAACATAAGGAGATTTATTTTAAAATCCCAGGAAATTAACTTTGGTCTTAATGAAACCCCCAGGCTGGGAATTCAGCTGTTTCTGGGCATTTGGCATGTATAGTGCAGCAAGTTGGGAAAGGAAGGCTTGAGAAAGGTACTTAGGATTACACATTCTCGCCAGAATCCCCCTCCCAAGACCTGAACAGGCCAGTGAAACTCTGGAGCCCAAAAGCCTCACTCAAGGATAAGGTACACAGGACAAAGAATATCTCTTAATTTCTTTTAACTTACATTTCAGCTACATGTAATGAACACTAGTTAATATATTAATTCTCTATTGAAATACAAAATAAGAAAGACACTGTATGGCTAGGCGTGGTGGCTCACGCCTGTGATCCCAGCTACTCAGGAGGCTGAGGTGGAAAGATTGCTTGAGCCCAGGAGTTTCAGCTTGCAGTGAGCTATGATTGCACCACTGCACTCCAGCCTGTGTGACAGAGCAAGAACTTGTCTCTAAAATAAGTAATAATGATAATAATAATAATAATAATAATAATAATACTGAAAATAGAATAATTTGGCTGGGCGTGGTGGCTCACGCCTGTAATCCCAACACTTTGGGAGGCCGAGGAGGGTGGATCACGAGGTCAGGAGTTCAAGATCAGCCTGGCCAAGATGATGAAACCCTGTCTCTACTAAAAATACAAAAAAAATTAGCTGGGTGTGGTAGTGGGCATCTGTAAACCCAGCTAACTGGGAGGCTGAGGCAGAGAATTGCTTAAACCCGGGAGGCAGAGGATGCAGTGAGCTGAGATTGCGCCACTGCACTCTAGCCTGGGTGACAGAGTGAAACTCTGTCTCAAAAAAAGAAAAGAAAATAGAATAATTCAAGTTTATGAAGTATATAATTTTTTTTCTTTTAGGGAGAATTTAAGGTTATTCCTAAAAATTACCCTCAGTTACATTCCAGTGTGCTTTCATGAGTCAGAAGGAAAGGTTTAGAGTTACTGCTATCAAACAGGTATTTGTGCATGAGCCCTAGTCTATGTTTTCTGTTAAACGACATATACCCAGGAGAGTATGTATACCCAGTCCTGTTGCTATTAAGGATAAGGAGAAAAACATGACAGTTGCCATTATAGACTATTATGTCTCAAACCATGCTTCACATGGAACACAGGTTTTCTGTAGACCAGAAGGTGTTCCCCACTAAAATATTTTTTTCCTGAAAATTGTAAAAAGACAGCCAAGTTAATGAAAAGAATTTCCACATTATCTCATATATTTTTTGTATTCCCTTGGCACCTGCCTAGAGTCAGCAAAGCAAACAAGAAAGCAGTAAATTCATTAAAAAATTAATAGTTAACTTCACTTATTTATACAACAGGTGTGTGACAGTGGATTTATATCTCTTGAGTTTAAAAATAACAACATTGGTTCCAGTTCATATGTTGAATTAAATGTGCCAATTTCAGGGGGTGTGCTGAGAATACCATTTTGTTTTTACAAGTGTTCTGTCACATGAACAAGATATAAAAATCTAATTCTGGATTGTCTCATAGAAATCTGGTGATTCTAACTCATGAAGCCTTTTCGTCACGGCTGTAGAAGAGACTGGCTCATTTACTTCTGTAAGAATTTATAGAACCAAAAAAAATGTTTTAAAGTTTCTTGCTGGACAACATGTGGCCATACTTATTCCATCAGCCAAATTCAATAGCAATCCTTAAGTATAATTGTGTAGAAAACTTTCTAAATTTCTGTTGTTTCTTGTAGTCCTGATCCATATAGATCTGAAAAGTCAAATAATTAAGAAAACTTAAAAGAAATATACAAAAATATATGGCAGGTGTGGTGGCTCATGCCTGTAATCCTAGCACATTGGGAGGCCGAGGCAGGCAGATCACTCGAGGACAGAAGTTCAAGACCAGCCTGGCCAACATGGCAAACTCCATCTGTACTAAAAATACAAAATATTAGCTGGGTGTGGTGGCATGCACCTGTAGTCCCAGCTACTCGGGAGGCTGAGGCAGGAGAATTGCTTGAATCTGGGAGGTGGAGGTTGCACTGAGCCAAGATCGCACCACTGCACTTCCAGCCTGGGTGACAGAGCAAGACTCTGTCTCAAAAAAAAAAAGACAGACAGACATATGCCAAAATATAACGAGTGAGGGATCACAGGTGATTTTTCTATCCTATTTCCTAAGTATGCATCTTATTTATAATTTTAAAACTATTGAAAATGACTCTGTAAAATCTTCATAGAAAAACAAGAGCATCAGACATACATTTTGGTTTGTGCAATCAATGTCTCCTTGAAAAGTTATCTTGAACTGTATACTTTCACACCTCAGGGGCTGGGAGGGAGAGCCTCAAGTGGGAATCCAGAAGTGGACCACAGCTTGCTTCTCTAGTTTCTGCCACTTAGGCTACAGGGCAATTTCTCTTTTGATTGATTGCTGTGGTGGATCTATCTGGAGCACAAATGATCATAAGGTTCTATCAACATTTGCCTAATATCTACTGTTTCTACTGAGTCTCTTTGTCTTTTTAACTTCTTCACCATCCTTGTCTCTTTCAGCTTTTCTCTCTCTTCTATTTAAATGCTTTCCCCTACTTTTCTCCTCTATAATTTCCCTAGTCCTTCTTTAATTGCCATAACGTAACACAAAAGTATAATTTAAGATACAAGTTTAGTATTTTTGTTCTTCAAGGAAATCAAGTTATATTTCACTGATATGGTTCTTTACACATTTTTACTTCAGGAACTTTATAGAAAATTAATTTATCTGGCTCTGAGGTAGGTAATTTGACTACATAAAATAATTCTATAAAATGTATTTAACTAAGATATAAAGAGCATGAAATTTTAAAACTAAGAATATCTATTCATCAAAAGACATTTTTTTTCCTTTTGAGACAGGGTCTCACTCTGCTGTCCAGGCTGGAGTGCAGTGGTGTGTGGCCATGGCTCACTGCAGCCCTGACACCCCCAGGGTCAGGTGATCCTCCCCCCAGTAGCTGGGAATACAGACAAGTACATGCCACCACGCCCTGCTAATTCTTTTTTTTTGAGACAGAGTTTTGCTCGTTGCCCAGGCTGGAGTGCAATGGCGCAATCTCGGCCCCCTGCAACTTCCGCCTTCTGGTTTCCAGCGATTCTCCTCCTTCAGCCTCCCTAGCAGCTGGGATTATAGGCGACCACCACCATACCCGGCTAATTTTTGTATTTTTAGTAGAGACAGGGTTTCACCATGTTGGCCACGCTGGTCTCCAACTCCTGACCTTGTGATCTGCCCACCTCAGCCTCCCAAAGCGCTGGGAGTACAGGCGTCAGCCTCCCAAAGTGCTGGGAGTACAGGCATCAGCCTCCGTGCCAGGCTGCCCTGCTAATTCTTTAAACTTTTTGTAGGGACAGGGTCTTGATATGTTGCCCAGGCTGTCCTTGAACTCCTGGTCTCAAGTGAGCCTCCTGCCTTGACCTCCCAAAGTGCTGGGATTACAGGCATGAGCCACGGCACCCAACCAAAAAGACATCTTTAATAAATTAAAAAGATAACCTACAAACTGGAAGTGCAGAACATATGTATGACAAAGGATTAGTTATCAGGAATACATAAAGAATGCCTACAAATCAATAAGAAAAGACAAATCTGACATTAAAATAGGAAACATACCTGAACAGATATCTCACAGAAGAGGAAACATATGGCTAATAACCATATTAAGAGTCATTCAATCTCTTTAGTTATAAAGGACATTAAAATTAAGGCCACAATGTGACATAGTTCCATAACAACTAAAACAAAATGATATATTATACAGTGGCGTGTTGCTGCTAGCTCATAGGAGCTGTGTGCATCTCCTTTCTCATTCAGTGATGTCATGTTGGTAGCTTGCAATCAATCAGCCATGATGGGAAAATTTGTACCATGGGAATTAAGAAATGGTACTAATCAAGGATTATTTTTTCAGAGTCAGCTTATTAGCACACCACTATGTAATATATGTTAAGACGTATATACATGGTGCAATAATATATATTTATAAAGCAAAAGAATAAACATGAAGTTCAAGATAGTGGTTAGGAAAAGTCAGAGGGACACAATAGAAAAGAAGCACATGAGTTAAGACTGAAGTTACTGATGTTCTAGTACTCAAAGATTAGGTCACAAAGGCTCAACGTATTAAAAATAAACCAAAAAGGTGGCCATAAACTAAGAAAATCACGAACTAAGGATTTATCCAGTTCTTTGCACCTGACAGCCGTAAAAAATACTTTTTCTAGATATGTTTTAGCAAAGTAAAAAATAACATACATACATTTTAACTTAGTATACACATGTATTTTTTTTATATTGCATGCCCTCCTTTGCACAGATAAGACCTTATAGCAGTTGATCTTAACCAATTTTAGATCAGTCTCCACTAAGAATCTGACGGAAGGTATGGAAGCTCTCCTCTCACAAATGTATGCAGCAGCACACACACATATCAAATTCTGTACCCACTTTTGGGAGTCAGTGACACATGAAAGCCTATCTATGGCCCCTATGTTAAGAATGGTTGCCTGACGGGGTATAGCTTGTTAGAGAAAACTCAGTGTGGTCAAGACAAATGCAATCAACAAGATCTGTTAGTGATAAAATGGGAAAAACAATAGTTTTTGGCGATCAAGAGTATGATGACAGTTCAAGGAGTAACAATTCAGATAATGATAGTTAAGGTATTTTTCTTATCTAGCCTTGATTTTCTCACTGTAAATGAGGGGTGAAGTAGATAATTGCTAAGGTCTTCTCCAAGCTCTAAAATTAAGTCTATAAACAAGTCAGGGCCTGATTTCATTTAATTAATTAATTTATTTATTTTCTGTTCTCATGGGGCCTGATTTTAACAAATTTCCTTTTAAAAGACAAGTTCTCAAAAACTTCAGGCCTACCTTTCCTCTGTTTAGAAAACCAGACATCTGTTTCTGTCAAAAGCTGTTTTAAAGATCCATTCCAAGAAGGCACAAGTTGAAGGAACATCCACTAAGTTAAAAAAAATTAAATAAGAAAACAATTATGAAATTTCATCATTTTATGATTTTACATTTTCAAATTGCTTTCACCTTAAAATATAATAGCTAAAAAATTTAACTTCTACTTTACCAGCAATTGCAAGAAAGAAAGTACAACTATAAGCACTCAATTTATCATGGCATTATCATAGTCCAATGGCTGGGTGCTGTGGCTCACACCTATAATCCCAGCACTTGGGAGGCCAAGGTGGGCAGATCACTTGAGAGAGGTTTAGACCAGCCTGGGAAACATGGTCAAACCCCATCTCTACACACAGAAAAAAAACTAGCTGGGCATAGTGGTATGCATCTGGAGTCCCAGCTACTCAAGAGGCTGAGGTGAGAGAACCTTTTGAGCCCTAGAGGTCGAGGTGCAGTGAGCCATGATCGCACCACTATGTTCTAGTCTAGGTGACAGAGCGAGACCTTGTCTCCAGGAAAAAAGAAAAAAAAATCATAGTCCAGTGATAAAAATTGGATGTGTGTGCTAAGGAGTAAGCCAATCCTTCAGAAGTATTTATGGTAACACACTGGAGATTACTGTATTAAAAAGGTAAAGGTTTAATATATATGTATATTAATTAGAAATTTTATACTAATTTATTCTACTAACAACTCAATTTCACTAAATACTATATGAGATTATAAAAGCAAGAAATGAACATGGGAAAAAGGAGCTTCTTTGTCTTACTGCTGCTGAGATAATACGCAGAGTAGGTAAGAGCAAAAACTTTTAAATCCTGAACCTGGCACTTAAGAGCCGGGCACATTACCTAGTATCTCTGGGCCTTAATTTCTTCATTTGTAAAATGAGCATGATAATATGTTTACCTCATAGGACATTAAAATATTTAATATACATAAATACTTAGAATGGTGCACGGCACGTAAACATCCTGTAAGTATTAGTACTTACCATTACTGGCAAAAAGCAGTTTTAATAACAGAAATGAATGCCACTGTGACAACTCACTGCAGGCTCCACCTCCTAGGCTCAGGTGATCCTCCCACCTCAGCCTGCTGAGTAGCTGGGACTACAGGCACGAACCACCACACCCAGCTAATCTTTTGTATTTTTTGTAGAGAGGGGTTTTTGCCATGTTACCCAAGCTGATCTTGAACTCCAGGCCTCAAGCGATCCGCCAGCCTGGGCCTCCCAAATTGCTGGGATTACAGGCGTAAGCCACTGTGCCTGACCTCTGCACCAATTTTTTAAAAGATTGGATAGCCCAGATAGTAAAGTTCCTTGAAGAAAAACAGTAACAAAATTTCACCTCTACCATAGAAACAAACAAACAAAGAGTCCCTATGAGATAAGCTAGAAAGTGTCTCAGTCTGAAGTTTCACAACTGTGTTAAATACTCACAACACTGTTTTGCGGACAAAAGGGTAAAGGCAGGATTATGCAGTAGGAAGAGGGCAATGGACTAGGACTCCCAAGACCCAGTCTCTGCCTCAAACCTGCTCTGAGTCTCACTATCTACATGGAAGAATAATGGCTGATCTGTGTCTTCAAAGAGTTGTGAAAATAAAATTAGATTTTTTAAATGTTGAAACTTTTCAAAAGCATGAAGTAAAACATATGCCAGACACACAAACAGGCCTTTAAAAGAAAAATTTCAACATTTCTTAGAAAAAGCGTGTGTAAAAATGCCATCATTAACTGAAGCTCAACTTTGAAAACGTTCCTAAAAACAATATAAAACATTTTTGATTATGTAAATAAACAAATAGCAATAACATATTTTTTGTTAAAGAAAAGTCTGGGAAAAAACAGAAAAGTATTCCTAAAATAGAAAAGTACAAAAAATAAAGTTAAAATCACTAATGATTCCAAATCCCTAAATATAAAGACTTTTTAAGGTTTCGGCCTATTTCCTTTTCCTACATTTATAACCATCCCTTTATTACTGGATACTGTTTCCAGTTTTTCACCATTATACGCATTGCTGAGGTGACATCCTTGTATAATATGACATCATATTACGTCAGTACCTTTTTTAGAGCAGTGTATATATCCATCTCCACTTGCATCACAAATAAGTTAGATGAACCAATGAGCTGTTTCATGACATTTATACTGAAAAGGATAAATAGAGGGAGTGAGCTTATCTTTAGGCACAGGCTAAAGGATCCTGGTAGAAATAAAAGCTTTAAGTCTTTCTTGTAAAAAAATATGTGGAATTAAAAATGACAGCAGTCCTTCTGCCCAAGACAAAGAATCTTAGAAAACAATCTATCTGGATACAAGGATACTTTTAATTCAGATAGTGCAATCTATCTGGATACAAGGATACTTTTAATTCAGATAGTGTGCTGTGAAAGGTCCTTTTCACACTGATAGGGAAACAAAGAGCTCTGATCTGCTGATTAATCAAGTTAAAGCAAGGTTCCGGTAAGATAACTTTAAGTATGCTCTGATAAAATGGCAGTCTTCCTCTTTTGCCTTCCACCACTCCACTTCTACGTTTTGTTTTGTTCTTTAAAAAAAGGCCAGGCATAGTGGCTCACATCTGTAATCCCAGCACTTTGGGAGGCAGGAGAATCATTTGAGGCCAGATGTTTGAGACCAGCCTGGACAACATGGTGAGACCTCGTGCTACCAAAAAAAAAAAAAAAAAAATTAGCCAATCATGTTGGTGTGCACCTGTAGTCCCAGCTACTCGGGAGGCTGAAGGGGTGGGAAGGATCGCTTGAGCCCAAGAGGTGGAGGCTGCAGTGAGCCAAGACTGTTACCACTGCACTCCAGCCTGGGCAACAGAGCAAGACACTGTCTCCAAAACCAAAAAAAAAAAGACACTAAAACAGCTATATCGTCAAAGTAATCTTTAACCTCTAGGCTTAAGAGAATTGCTTAGTCATAAACTATGGTTTTAGTACTATTCAAGACAATAAGATCAAGAAACGTGCTAGTTATTTAGAGTGAAAATGATATCACCAGTTATTTGTTTTGTTTTGCTTTTCCTTTGTTCTTTCTTTCCTTTGAGCCATAAAAAGCCAAGAGAGCACGTGGGTTTTTAAGAGGATCCTGCTCCTTTTTCAAAAAGTTCAGTGAGAAATTAGAGTCATCCCCCTGTATCTGTGGGGGATTGGTTTCAGAACCTCCTACAAATACCAAAATCCTCTATGCTCAAGTCCCTTATATAAAATGGCATAGTATTTGCATGTAACCTATGCACATCCTCTCATATACTTTAAATCATCTCTAGGTGTTCTTACAGTACCTAATACAATGTAAATGTTATGCAATAGTTGTCATACTACATTGGGTTTTTTTGTTATTATTTTTTATAGTTTTTCCCCCAAATCTTTTCAATCGGCAGTTGGTAGAATCCACAAATGGAGAACCCATGGATAAGCAGGGTTGACTGTATTAAAGTGTTTCTAACGATTTTCAAATCAAACATTCTACGGTGATTTATTTATGCCTTGACATCACCAGGTGATGAAAGTCTCTCACACTTCTCTACCAAATTATCTCGTAAAGGCAAAAGAAAGGAAAAAAACCCCATAATCTAGGAGGTGGTCTAACCATAAAAAGTAACATTTCTATAAATTGTATCTTGAGAGTTCAAGGAAATTTGAATTCCCTCTATTCCATAATGTATTTAAACATAAAAATATTTACCTCTTCCCCACCTCCTCCCCACCAAAAAAAAAAAAAAAATCAGTAAAATTCACATTCTGGGAAGCTATGTAATGTTTGACTTTGGTTTTGTACATTTCCATCAGAATGTCACATACTCTCGGACACATTTGTATCCTTGTCTCAGAAGCACTGCTGTCAGGGAAATGCAAGCCAGAAAATGACTGTAATGCCAACCAGCCTTCAAAAGTTAACTGCTAGCCAGATTTTCTCAGACCCATCACAAATATCTTAGTCCCATTACTACAAATAAGCTCTTTGACAGCAAGAGACCATGACAAAATCATCTCTGCATTCTTCACAGCCCCTAATAGAGTATCTTTACATATAAAGGACAGTCAGGAAGTACTTGCTGCAGGAATAAATGGATAATATGCGTACTTAATCCAAAAAGCCAAACTAAGCTGGGTGCAGTGGTATGTGCCTATAATCCCTGCTACTTGGAGGCTGAGGCAGGAGGACTGCTTGAGCTCAGGAGTTTGAGTCTAGCCTGGGCAACATACCAAGGCCCCCATCTCTTTAAAAAAGAAAGGCTGCTCTGCAGCTTGGGTGGTGGGCAGGGTGGGCAGTCCTCATTGTCACCGCCATATTTCTTGTAGGTTTTTAGAACCCTGGAATCCATTTCTCACGGGTGACTGCGGTCCTATTATTCCAGCTTGGACTACATAGTCCACAGGTGATGGAGAAATCTTGGACCTCTGGCTCCATCTCCAGGACCTCTGGCTCTGCGCTGTGCTGCGTCTGACCAGGTCCCGCTTGAGGACGAAGGCGGCGCAGTTGACTGCAGGAGCCTCTGCAGCCCCAGCCTGAAGCCTGCATGGGACCCTGTGTGGCGCTAACAGGTTTTTTTTAAAGGAAGATTGATATTTTCTCAAAGAGAGGGGATGTCACTATGTTGCCCAGGATGATCTCGAACTCCTAGATTCAAGCAATCCTCCCACCTTGGCCTCCCAAAGTGCTGGGATTATAGGTCTAGGTTTTCCCAAATCGCTTTTCTGGTAGAGAAACCCTGAGGACTGATTGGCTTTTGCTTGTCTAAAACCATGGCCTGTGAATTTGTAACATTCAGGGACATGGCCACAGACTTCTCTCATCAGGAGTGGGAATACCTTGACCTGGTTCAGAAGACCTTGTACCAGGAGGTGACGGTGAAGAACCATGGTAACTTGTCTCACTCTCACTGAGGCTGGAGAGCAGTGTCGCAATCACAGCTCACTGCAACCTTGACCTCTATGGCTTAAGCAATCCTCCTGCCTCAGCCTCCAGAGTAGCTGGGACTACAGATTTGGATTCAAGGTGTGAAATAATCAGAGATGGAAAAATATACATTTATAGGAGACACACATTTGTTACTCCACATCAGAGAATTCATCCTAGTGAGAAAACGGATCAACATGAAAAGTTTTTGAAGGTAAAAAAAAAAAAAAAAAAAGGCCAAAACAGTTTCTTCAAACTTATTTCTCAATAAAAAAGATGATTTTTAAAATATAACTTTTAAATTCTCTAACAGCCTGGCAAAACCTGAAACTTTTCTATAGTCTTATAACAGTAATGCATTTTTCGGTTAAAACAGTAGACATAATATCCATTATATTATTCACAACAAAGAAATAAGTTTGCACAGCATTTCTTCAGTTTATGGATGTAGTCAAGCCCTTTCATTAAATTGTTTGCTTTTTCATAATATATTTTTGTGTTCTACAAAAATGTTATGTACTTTAACAAATGATAAACAATATTTTAGGATGACTAATTATGAAGTTACTTGAAATTCAAATACCTGAGTTCTTTAAAAAGTTCAACATTCTGGTGAGTCATCAAATTGTTTAGAAGCCATTCAAGGCACCTGAAATTAAAATATATAATTATTACATTATATGCCATGTATTTACAATTTATTAAGTAGGACTTATAGTTAAAATAAAATCAGATTAATCTTGCCAGAACATGCTCAAAACTTTTAGCTTAACAATAGGAAATTTAGTATTATTTTTGTCAGTGGATATTATTAAGAGAATATTTCCTTTATATTAACGAGAGCATTTCCAGTTTTAAAACTTCATTTTGAGTTTGTGTTAAATAGTTTATTAAGGGGTCTGCATACTAGTATAACCTTCTTTAAAATCTCAAAACAGGTACTGCAACTCTCAAGAGTTAGAAGGACTGTCAGTCTATCAGGCCTACTTCTTAAACAATTTTAATAGAAAATATACTATAAAGTGCAGTGGCATGATCACGGCTCATTGCAGTCTTGAACCTCCTGGGCTCAAAGAATCCTCTGACCTCAGCCTCCAGAATAGTGGGGACCACAGGTGCATGCCACCATGCCTGGCTAATTTTTAAAATTTTTTGTAGAGATGGGGTCTCCCTACATTGCTCAGGCTGGTCTTAATCTCCTGGGCCCAAGTGATCTTTCTGCCTTGGCCTCCCAAACCACTGGGATTACAGGTGTTAGCCACCACACCCGACCAAGGTGACCATGGTTTTTATAAGCATGTATATAACCCACCTATGGTCACTTACAAAGACGACACTTTTGAGGAATTTACTAATTAGTCCAAAAGTTAAAAGGGGCTTTTTATTTAATAAAATTCCATCCCCCTATCCTATTTTTCCTTAATTCTTTCTTTCTTATAGCTATACATTCTCTTAAGAAACTAAAGCAACCAAATTCCTAAAAGTGGGATAGGAAGAAAAACAAGAAAGGCAACTCACTTTTTCTTTACAGAATCTAATCCATAGGTCCCTGCTGATGTGTAATAGCCACATACAGTTTTCACATTAACTGTTTCCTTCATTGTCTCACCACACTGCTGTATTAAACCGTCCTGTAAATATAAATAAGCACTGGAAAGGCCCATTTCACGTGGGAAAAATTAGCTCTGACAGCTTTTACATATTAAAAAGTAAAAGAAAAAAAAAAAGAAGAAAGAAAAGAAAGAAAACTCATTAAGTGCAGCAAACCTAAGTTTTTTTTTTTTTTTTTAACAAGTCCAATAAAAATACTGAAAAAAGTTCAGCAAGTATTCAACTAAATACTTGGAATTTGAAAATGGAAGGTGGGGGGGAGTAGTAAGGTAGAGAATGAATACTGCTATTCTTTTTCTTTTCTATTCTTCCCCTGTCTGAGACCTTTGCAAATTTCTTTAGCAGCATTTTGTCTGTTTTGCCATTTCTTTTTAAATTAAGAAGTCTACATAGTCAGTTAACCATGTGATGGGACTAAACTAACAGTATGCATTAGCAGAAAGTGATCAAGTTTAAAATAACTACAATATCTAAGAGATAGACTTAAAACAAGTATATTATTATTTCAAATGATTAACATTAAAGTTTTAACCTAAAATGTTTATATAGGTTTTAAGTGAACTAACTTTAATATATGGGAAGAATACTACTTTTCATTCAAATTTCTGAAATACATTCATCATGCAGGTATATTAAGTTAAAGAGTTAGTAAATCATAAAAGTAAGCAGAAGGTGAATTTAGAACAAAACCAAAAGGACCAGAGTTAGATAATAAAGTATACTTATTGGAAGTAAGTATTGAAAGGATCAAAACATTTTGAAAATCAAATGATCTCAACCAAGGATATTTAGCAAGCTATTAATACTTCAAATAAATCAGTACAAAAATACCACATAAAAGTAAACAATTTTTTAAGATTAAAATAAAACATTGACTCCATTAGGATTTTAAACTTACCTGGAAATCATTCTAGACTCCTCCCCTTTCCTCTTAACATTTAGTCTATCACCAAGTCCAGTGGATTATCCCTGAATCTCTCTGGTATCCACTTTTTCCCCTCCAAGCTTATTGCTACTACCCTACTTTCCTCCCTTGGACGAATGCAACAAGTTTTTGTCTCTAATGCTGTACTCATCTTTCCTTCAATTCATCTGTCACATTGTTACTGAAGTATTCTTTCTAAAACATAACTTCGTCTTTCCCCTGATTAAAATATTCCAAAGGTACTGTGTATGCTAAACTTCTTAGCAATGTATAGATGTATTTTCATGATCTGGCTTCTGCCCCCCTCTTCTGCAATCCTTCTTATGTTTATGTGGGAGCCATGTTTCTGTTAGAGTCTTGAATCCTCCATTATTTCACATCACTAGATCTTAGTTTACTCTGTTCTCTCTGTCTGAAATGCTCTTCCTTCCCCTCTTCTTACTTTGCAATACAAACACACTTTCAAGACTCTGTGTGAAAATGTAACTTTCGTATGTGACACCACCAGGATGAACTGACCACTCCCTTCTTTATCCATTCACTAAATGCTACAGGATGTTTATTATCATACCTATAATATTGAACAGCTCTTACTTTACCTTTGGGTTTGTATATCAACCCTCCCTCCCCTCTCCACACATACATACTATGTTGTGAACTTTTTGAAAGTAAGGATTACGTCTTAAGTTACCTTTGGCTTTCTGTGTCTAGTTTGACACAGTGCTCAACACACTTCTCTTCAATGAACAAATCTGTCATTCTGCCAGTAGATTAAAATACATATATGTGATTTATACACAATTCTTTCAAAATTAAGAGAAATTTAAATAGTAGGCATGCATGTTTATTTGAACCCATGAATGAAATTAATTGGTAATCATAAGCCATCTGCTTAATAGTCAAGTCATTAATGAAATCTGTAAATGACCTTAGACAAGTACGTTTTTTCCACATTATAGTCATACTAAGATATCTACACAGAAATGGCCTGCATTCATTTTATGCAGACATCATGACTCCCTCGGTTGTAATAAATTGCTTTTGGTTAGGCATTTTAAATGATTTATAATAAATGTCATATTTATACATTTCATTTTTATTTAAAAACTCCAAAAAAGCTAAGCTTTATTTTTGTTTTTGGAGTACACACTTTGAGACAAAGATTATTATTCTGAACCTTTCTTCGAATAACGTGCATACTTACCAACTGCAGCAAACAAGCTGCTGCCAAAATGGCAACAACTCGACTGGGCTTTATCAAGACATCATCTCGATACAGTGAACCAAATGCAACCTGCAGTGCTGAAAGCAAGGTACACATGTAGGATGAAATAATATTTATATCTATTACAAGTGTTATACAAATAACAACAACGACTGTCTTCACACACAAAGACATCCGTCTAAATGTGGCATGCACATAAAAGGATAACAGAAGTATCTCTAATTAAAACGCTAGTAATGGTTACTGGTTGACACTGTTAATTTAATAACAAGGTTATAAATTTCTGTTTATTCTACCAAATCTAGCTGCATTCTTCTAACATGTAATCTTGACATCAGTGGTCACAACCAAGATGCCTTGCAAGAAGTTGTATAAGATACTCCTCAGTAGACCAATCGTTAAGTACAAATACGCAGACTCAAAGATAATCTTAACCCGGCTGCTTTCAGCACTCCACCACTGAGAAATGTGGTACAGCTCCTGAGTCCTGTCCATGCCACACTCATTCCCAGCCCCCACAGTGATCTATGCCTGTTCATCCTTCCTCCACTGCCACTGTTATGAATGTCCCACATGGTTTGCTTTGTAAATATTCTTTTTTTTTTTTTTGAGATGGAGTCTCGCTCTGTCGCCCAGGCTGGAGTGCAGTGGCGCGATCTCGGCTCACTGCAAGCTCTGCCTCCCGGGTTCACGCCATTCTCCTGCCTCAGCCTCCCAAATAGCTGGGACTACAGGTGCCTGCCACCACGCTTGGCTAATTTTTTGTATTTTTTTAAGTAGAGATGGGGTTCACCATGTTAGCCAGGATGGTCTCGATCTCCTGACCTTGTGATCCACCCACCTTGGCCTCCCAACGTGCTGGGATTACAGGCTGTAAATATTCTTAACTAAAGTATTTCTTTGCCTTTGTATCGCACCAGGTACTTCCATGTGGACCACCAATGAGGGGAGCAGCAAGAGCACTGGAATGGGAATGAGGAGAGCTGTAGTCTGACACAGGCTCACTAAACTGCTCTGAGATCCAAAATAAGTCCCTTAACTCCTCTGAGCCTCAGCTTCCTCAACTAAGGATTCTTTTAGCTCTAAAACAATATTTTTATTTATTGTTCCCAGAAAACATCTTCATACATAGGGAATAATCAGTATTATTTATCAGATTTTCTATGTAATTAAAAAAAAAAATGGTCATACTTTTCCTTCCTCCATCCTACATCTTCCATATCCCAGGTGGGCATATTTACAAAGATAAGTAAACAAACTGATAAGGCCCAAATGACAAAACAGATTAGTGATAAGATGGACAGAACTGATAAACTATGGTGTAAATCAACATCAAATTATCACCTTGAGGTGATAAAAGGAGTTTTCTAGACTACAAGGCTGGAAGGAATTATTTATCTTCTACCAGAAGAATAAGATTATGTTTTTACGATTGTTGCATAATAGTAATTATTGTGGTAGTTACCTTCTACATCAATGTTCTGGTCAGGAATCTCCAGTTCAATAATATTCATGCTGGATTCTTTCCAAGAACCACTGAACATACTAGAAAAGTAGCCAGACTTAAACAAAAAAAAAAGTCAACGATTATCAAGTACTTTCTGTGTCTTCCAAATTATTTGCCCATTTCTAATTCTAAGCAACTATTCTATCCATTAACTAAACTCATCCATTCTATTACTTCAACAGAAAAAGAACTGCCAAATATGTCCACAGGAGAAAAGAAATTAAGATAAGGACACTATTAGGTGTATCAAAATATACTTTTGGTTTAGTACTATTTTTGACAAAAAACTAAAATTCTTATATTACTATCTAAATTGAATTCATGTATATTATTTGAACCTGGTTAGCTTTTTACTCAAACTGTTGAATCTTTACTGTACACCTGAATGGCTATAAAGGACCAAACCAGTCCCAAGTCAGCAAAAACAGGATGATCGCCAAAGAAACCAGGGAAAATCCAAAATTTAGTTTAATGAGAAATGTCCAGAATGGACCTGAATTCTTGGAAAGGTACAGAATGAAGTCTTTAGGTATCTGCCAGATAGCACTCCTCATAATTAGAATTACTTTGAAATGGATCAAATATTAACTAATTTATTTAAAAATGTTACTGAGTACTTAGTATGTAGAAGGCACTGTGAATATAGCAATAAACAAAATCGATATTGTTTCTGTCCTCAGGGGGCTTATATTTTAGCATGTGGCTTGAATTATAATACATCTTCCACGAGGGGTAAAGTTTTAACAGAGGTATTCTTACCCTCAAGTTCACAAAACTGCTTTCAGATATTAAAAAGAAACAACATGAATCATACCCTGAAGTTAAAAGCAATATTCTGATATAGTATCTGGGCAACATACTTCAAGCCAAAATAAATTTGTTTCAAAAACACATTTTAAAACATGATTAAAATGTTAGAGAAGGCAATTCATTTTCAAATACTTTTACTGAAAAATTTTATACTATGCTGTCTTACCAGTAATTATTCTCAAATGGTAAAGAGGAAAAATGTAAGTTCCAAAGGATAAAAACTGTTGTTTTATTTCTAGTGCCTCAAACAATACCTAGCTTATAGATTTGATGAAAGAAAATGAATAAAATATTTGGGCCATTAGAGCAACATTGTATTCTATTTTGAAAGCTCCGATTTTTTTTTTTTTTTTTTTTTTTTTTTTGAGACAGAGTCTCGCTCTGTTGCCCAGGCTGGAATGCAGTGGTACGATCTCAGCTCACTGCAACCTCCATCTCCCAGGTTCAAGCAATTCTCCTGCCTCAGCCTCCTGAGTAGCTGGGATTACAGGTGCCCAACACCACGTCAGCTATGAAAGTTCTGAATTTTTAAAGTGGGGTGGCAGGTAGTAATATTTTCAGTACAGAAATCTACTTAGTCTATATACTTTTTGGTGTTGTCTTTACCTGCATTTTTCAGGAGAGAACTTTCTATTCACACTCAATGTGAACTACAAAGCAACATTTCAGATGAGTTTATCCAATTTAAATAACCATAAGCAAAATAAACACTACAATCTTAACTTTAATGTTAAATATTTTTTCCCCAACTTTTCCCCTTTTATCAACAGAAGGCACCGAAAAAAGCATTTTATGAAGTAATGACAAATACGTAGTATTAGGCTAGTCTGATACTGAAATATCAAAATCTCTTTCTAGACCAAACTTAGTTTTCACTAACAATGTTTGCCATTTTTCTTACAGACTGATCAAATGAGAGGATTTAACCACTATGGTGTTCATGCAAAAGATTACTGTGAAGTGCAATGAGGAAGAACATGACTTAAGAGTTTCAGTGACTACCCTGTTACTCAAATAGAAAAAATACTTACTTGACATAAATATATTTTGTGTAAGCTCCATTCTTCTCCTAGAGCACAAATCTTAATGTCACTGTTTTCACCATTCAAAAATAATGTTTGATAAATATATTTAGATGTACTCTTTAATTTTTTCCTGTTAAAAGAAATGAAAAAGTCACATATTTATATAAAACTGAATGTTTTACTGATTTTGCATATATTTCTAAATACTCCTTTTATTCAATTTCTATTAAATAGAGTCAACTTACCTATTGTGTAAAAGGATAGGGAGATAGTATATATTCAAATTTTCTTGTGTCTAGAAGAGTACATAAGAAACTAATAATAGTGGTTATCTCTGGGGTCCTCTATGCACGGGAGAGATAGTGGAGAAAGGGGGGCAGCATGGGAGGCAGACTTTTCACTACACATGTTTTAGCAATTTTGGACTAATTTAATTACCCATTCAATAGATTAAGAAGTTAGCATGTTGATTTTTTGCTTATTTCCTTATTTAGAAACCAGCACTATGAAGGAGCTCAAATAGCGCAATAATCTGCAAGTAGGAAATGGAGAACAAGAGTAAACATTTCACCTACCCAAGTAATTTTAAAATAATTTACATTTAATCTTATTTTGGTACCAACCTATTCTTAAACTACTTAAAATGTTTTCCAGCCACTGGACAAACGGTTTGCAACCTTAGATCAAAGGTTTTCTTTTCTTTTCCTATTTGTTTTTTAAAATTATTTATTTATTTATTTTAGATGAAAGGTTTTTAAAACTGCTCAAAGGAGAAGTCTTAGGGGCCACCAAGGAGAGCTAAGGAGTGAACTGTGAGCATCCCATCTAACTTCAACCAGAGCAGCATCACCTATTCTATCTGTAAACATACTGGATTTCTGCACAGATTTAATTTAAAGGAAGACTTGACTAAAAAAATAAAGTTTGAAAATCATTGCTCAAAATGATCCAGTAACTAAGAAAAGGCCTTAGGCAGAGGCTGATCAATATCTTAAATTCCTGACCAATTCTGAAAGCTTTCCTAGCACATAAAACCTTCAATCTCTTTTTAAAAATGAAGTAATTGTTTCAGATGACATCCTGAATTGGCGAATTTAACACCTGTGTACTTAACACCTCTTCCTAGCCGACAATAAAAACAGCACATGTCTTAGTGGTAACAGACTTGGGTTTGAGTCCCAGCTGCTCAGTTATCACAGCTGTAAAAAGAGGACATTAATAGTATCCACTTCACTCGTTATGATGCGAAATCAAGAGACAATGTAGTTTCCAGTTCCTGACGGCAGAATGTACACATGTTGGCTTCCCATCCCTCCCCAAATTACATTAAAGATTAAGAGTACAAAAAAGGAATAAGTCCACACCAGGAAAAGGTGAGGGTAGGCTCATCACTTGATGAGAGATTTATACAGATCTGAAAGTTAGAAAACAAATTCAAATGAAAAAGAACAGTGACAGCCACAGCCAAAAAATACATTATGGAGGACTAGGATGGAGGCTAAGCTTATCTGCCCATCAGAACCCTTGGGAGAAAAGAAGGATGAGGTCTCAGGGAAACAAAGGCAGAAGTAAGAAGAGGGGCAGAAAATGGGGAAACTAGTGCCTTCTCCACTCTATGAACACAGAGTATAGATAAGGAGAGTACAGATACTGAGGCAAAAAGATTCCAAGGTTTTTCTAGAAATAGCACAAAGCTAATGGAAGATCTAAGGCTGTAGTGTAGCTGCTGGTGCCCAGACAAAGCAATCCTCATTCTGAAATTTAAAGAATCTGTGGCCTGTTCACTCCCAATCCATTCACCCTAAGTCATGGTTCCCAAACCGTGTGTGAAATTCACCAGTTCAGGATACCATCTGAACTTAGAGCACCACAGCCAACTCAGAGAGGCATGTGGAGTATTTTAAATTCGAAGGAAACACAGTAACATCTTTCAGATACCATGCAATCTGCTATCATTAGGTTGTTTGGCCCTAACTATGAGGTATTTCTTTTGGACCAGGGGTGAAAATTACTAAAATATGAAATGTGCTGTGATCCATGAAAGCTTGGGAACCTCTGCTCTACAAAGCATGCCCCACCTATAACCAACTTCGTAGTCTTCTTACTCAAAGAAGAGGTACATTGGAAATAGATCTATTTCCTCAATTAAAACACCATACACCAGTTACTCCTTCTTAAATATAAGTGGACAAGCAAGGAAGGATCACCCACCATGAGGAAGAATAAGAGCATATCAGAGAGACAGAGAGACTCCCTCCACCCCTGGAAACATATAATTCAGGGAAAAGAGAGGAAAAAAACACCCTCTCACCAGTATACCTAGAGATCTGAGATTATTATATTTACCCCATAGACTGCTATGATAAAGGATCACTCAGAACAAGAAAGAGCTTTTAGAGACTAAAGACATGATTACTGAAATTTAAAAAAACAAATAAACCAAAGAATAGTTTGTTTGTTTTTCTTCCTCATGTTGGGTGATCCTTCCTTGCTTGTCCACTTATATTTAAGAATGAATAACTGATGTATGGTGTTTTAATTGAGTAAATAGATCTATTTCCAAGGTACCTCTTCTTTGAGTAAGAAGACTACGAAGTTGGTTATAGGTGGGGCATGCTTTGTAGAGCAGAGGTTCCCAAGCTTTCATGGATCACAGCACATTTCATATTTTAGTAATTTTCACCCCTGGTCCAAAAGAAATACCTCATAGTTAGGGCCAAACAACCTAATGATAGTGATGAAAAAGTTAAAGGAAATTTCCCAGAACATAAAGCAAAAAGACAAAGAAAGGAAAAAAGAAGAGACAGGCATAATCCAAGAAATCCAAAATCCAGTTAAGAGGCATCCCAGAAAGAAAAAATAAAGATAAGAAGCGAAAGGAAATTATGGAAGAAATTAATGGAAAAAAATTTCCCAAAACTAAGGTAGTATATGAGTCTCCAGATTATAAGGATCCAACAAGTACCAAGGCCATTAAAAGACCCACACTTAAGCACATTCTAATTAAATCCCAAAATACCAAAGAAAAAGTTCCACAAGTTCCAGAGAGCAAAAATGGTCACCTGAAAAGAGAATTACACCAGAATCAAATTTTTCATCAAGACTGTAGGCCTGAAGACAATGAAGCAGCGTCATCAAAGATATGAAGAAAGTTACTTTAGATTTCCATACCCAGTCAGAGGATGAATAAAGTAAAAGAGACTAAATTTATATTTAGATACGCACAAATTACCCCCTTTTGCACCCTTCCTTGGAAAATACTTGAGGATGTATTAAATAGTTCCTAAAATAAGCGAGAAAGAAATGCAGGCTACACAAAATAGTGGATTCAATCCTAGAGATGGGGTGAAAGTAAGTCCCAGCATAAGAGTAGACAAATCCAGATTGGAACAGGAGGATGGAAGAGGTCTAGGTTTTAGAGAAGGATTCCATGAAAGTGTGTTTCAAAAGACTTTTCTGTGTTTTTTCAGAAAAACCCGAAGCCATGATGAAGGAATATTGTTATTTTGACAAGAGTGGGGGAAAGGCCATTATAAACTCTAGGACAATAAAAAAGCAATACAAAAAAAGGCACTGTCCAAATAAGATAAAAACAAAAGCAGGGCCTGACTTTAAGCACTTGATGGAATACAAGAAAAGATTCCATATGACTGTGAGGTTAGAAAAATTTCTCCCTTTGAACAGACAAGCAGTTGTGACACTGGACCCATCAAGTATGATTTATAATCCTAGCATACTACTTAACTCTTCTGAAACAATATTTACTTAGTTATAACTATGTAATGTCGTTTCAATTTTTTAGAGACAAGCTACGGACAAAACACTCAAGATCTGGTTGTAGAACAGTGTGGGTTTTAACAGTCTCGTAAATGTAAAAGTAGAACATGCAGTTGACAAAGGTATGAGGTGGAAGTTGGGCCTAAAAGCTAAAACTTCTCATAAAGTGGTCTGTTGATGTGGGAGAGCACACCAGACAACCTCAGGAAGTATATACTAGGGCCAACACACAAAATTCAACATCTTAATACTTTCTCTTTTAAATTTTTATTTGTTTAGTTTTTGAGACAGGGTCTTACTCTGTTGCTCAGGCTGGAGCGCAGTGGCGCAATCTTGGCTCACTACAACCTCCGCCTCCTGAGTTCAGGTAATTCTCCTGCCTCAGCCTCCCAAGTAGCTAGGAATACAGGCGTGCACCACCAAGCCTGGCTAATTTTTGTATTTTTTGGTAGAGGCGGGGTTTCACTGTGTTGGTCAGGCTGGTCTCAAACTCCTGGCCTAAAGTGATCTGCTTGCCTTGGCTTCCCAAAGTGCTGGGATTACAGGCGTGAGCCACCACGCCTGGCCCGTCTTAGTATTTTCTTACACCCTGCATCCGTATTGGGCTGAATAATCCAAGCATCTTCCAGTAATATACAGACACTAAATTCTGATATGCATTTTCCGATAAAGGTTTGCCTTAAAAACTTTCCATTCCAGTCCACTCATGTAGTCTAGGAGTTGGTACACTTTTTCTGTAAAGGTCTAGATAGTAAATATCTTTAGCCTTCTGGGCCAAAAGGCCTCCAAATAATTTTGTTGGCATCCTAGTAGGCAGTGTCCTACTTGCCAGCCTCAGCTTACCACACTTGAGCAAACTTTTCCACCATCCAGTGGGCTACAGCCACACCTCCTTCAACATCATCTGAATCTTAGCTTGGGAAAGGGGTGGGGGCACCTATTCCAAATTTGTTCCTTCTGTGGCTATTCTGCCTCAGCCTTAGAAGTACTGACTACTACATGTATTTTCTAGGGATCTCTTTACCTTAGCGTTTTGTCCTCAGTAGTTAATTCTCTGTGCCTTGTTAATAATGTTTATATTAAATTTCCTGTATTCAAATTGCTGTGTGATTTCTCTCCTTCAAATGCACTGTGACATATATTTCAATAATTACGTTAAATATAAGTGGTCTAACTACTAATTGAAAGGTTAGATTGTCCTGTTGGACAAAAGAAGCAAGACTCAACTATATGCTGTTTACTTGATATCTGTTTTAAATATACACAGGTAAAAAGTGAAAGGAGGGAAAATAAGATATCATTCAGACATTTATCAAAAGAAAGTGGCTGATGGATACACTACAATCCCAGACTTCACCACTACTTGTTATATACATGTGAGAAACCTGCAGCTGTACCCCCTAAATATAAATAAATAAATGTATATATGTATGTATGTATGTGGTAGTGGCTAAATTACTAGGGATAAAGAAGGATGAACATTTTGTTATGATAAAGGGGCCAATTCATCAAGGAGACATATTTACTGCATGCTTACATTCTAGACATTGTGCATTTGTTTGTTCTCATATTTGTCAAAGCCTAAAAGGCAGGTATTTATATCTCCAATTTACATATGAGGGAAATAAGGCTATTAAGTGCAGAATACAGACAAGAAGTCAGAATTTTTTTTTTTTTTTTGAGACAGAGTCTCACTTTGTCACCCAGACTGGAGTGCAGTTGTGCGATCTTGGCTCACTGCAACCTCGCCTCCCAGGTTCAAGCCATTCTTCTGCCTCAGCGTCCCGAGTAGCTGGGATTACAGGCAGCTGCCACCACGACTGGTTAGTTTTTATATTTTTAGTAGAGACAGGGTTTCGCCATGTTGGCCAGGCTGGTTTTGAACTCCTGACCTCAGGTGATCTGTCTGCTTCAGCCTCCCAAAGTGCTGGGATTATAGGCATGAGCCACTGCACCTGGCCAAGAACTCAGAACTCTTAAAACTATGCTATAGGTTGGCAATGGTGGCTCACACCTGTAATCCCAACACTTTGGGAGGTCAAGGCAACAGGATCACTTGAACCCAGGAGTTCCAGGCCAGCCTGGGTGGGCAACAGAGTGAGACCTTGTTTCTACAAATAAAAAAATTAGCTGGGTGTGGTGGTGCATGCCTGTGGTCTCAGCTACACAGAAGGCTGAGGTGGGAGAATTGCCTGATTCTGTGAGGTCGAGGTAGAGTGAGTCATGATCCCACCACTGCATTCCAGCCTGGGCGACACAGCGAGACCCTGTCTCAAAATAGAGAAAAATTTTTCCAAAGGAAAAAAAAACTATGCTACACTGACGCTTCAAAAAGGTTACAGGGTCAGGCATGGTGGCTCACACCTGTAATCTCAGCCCTTTGGGAGGCTTAGGTGGGAGGATCGCTTCAACCCAGGCGTTTGAGACCAGCCTGGGCAATATAGTGAGACTCCTTTAGAAAAAAGCTCCAAAAATCAAACAAACAATTAAAAAAGTTACTGAATAGTATTCACAGTAGGGGTACATTTTTGTATAATAAATACAAATATTCATACAAAAAAAGGTACAAAAGGTTTTATAAACCAAACTATTAAGTTTTTAATCTATGATTCCTTTTTTACAATATATAACACTTGTATAGCAAAACCTTTTTGAATCTGCTTTTAAAGTTTAATTTTAGGCCGGGTGCGCAGTGGCTCACGCCTATAATTCCAGCACTTTGGGAGGCTGAGGCCAGCAGATCACCTGAGGTCGGGAATTTGAGACAAGCCTGGCCAACACGATGAAACCTGTCTCTACTAAAAACAGAAAACATTAGCCAGGCGTGGTGGTGCGCGCCGGTAGTCCCAGCTACTCGGGAGGCTGAGGCACAAGAATCGCTTGAACCAGGAGGTGGAGGTTGCAGTGAGTTGAGATCGCACCACTGCACTCCGGCCTGAGTGACAGAGCAAGGCTCTGTCTCAAAAAGAAAAAGAAATCATTTAAAAAATTTCATGTGTGACCCTACCAAATAACCTTTAAAAACAAAAGCAGAAAAACCAAATTGTTTGTGTAAGCATATATTCTACCTATAAACTACATTCCAGGTCACAAGTCAATATTCCATCTTTCAACTCATCCAAAAAAAAAAAAAAAAGGGGTTAAACAAGCTGCAGCAGCACCGCCCTACATACAGTACATCCACGGTCAACGACTTCATCAACTACTAGAAACTTGCACAGACTCTGTTCCTAGTTAGGAACAAATGTACACTATTGATAAACTTCACCTTTACAATTAACAAGAACTCCTGTGTGCAATTACTTACCCTCCACTGAGTGGGCGACAATAAGAGTGCCTATTTCAGAGATTACATTTAGTGTCTGTACTAAGGCAACCGGATGCAAAACAACTTACTCTGCGGCTACCCACTTGAGAGGGCAAAGGTGGACTGGGAAGGCCAGCCAGCCGGGCGTCTCTAAGGTTTAACGAGACGCGAGCTCGGGCTTGGCGTTTCTCATCCTCATCTTGGGGCTGTAACAACACCCTGGAAGCGTCTGTGGTTGAAAATGCGGAACACCTGGCGTCTCCCAAGGCGCTCCCCAGTCCGCCCCGCATCGGGCCGGCTTCCACATTCACCCTGTCAAGGGCACGTCCCCTCTCCATAGGCTGGGGAGCGCTGCACCCCGCAAGCGCACGAGGCGCCGGCTCGGCCCCAGGCCCAACAGGTGCGGGTCCGGGTCCGCGCGGGTGCGTGCCCCCACGTACCTTCGAGGGGTGTTGAGGAGCCGCTGCTGCTCGTCCCCCTCCTCCTCATCCTCGTCCGTCTCCGAGTCAGGGTGACAGTAGCAGAAGGACCCGCTGCTCCGCTTGCGCTTGTGGCTGCCCGCACAGTAACAGAATCCGTGGCCCGCCGCATCGTCTCCAGTGTCCGGCCTCCGGGCCGAGCCCCCCGCCCTGGCACCCTGCGCCTGCTGGGCAAGGGCTGGTCTTGGCTGGCGCAGCACCCGGCTGCTCAACGATCCCATGGGTCACGGCTCCCCGAGACTTCAGGGAGCCCAGAGAAGGGGGTCTCCCGCCATGGCTCGGCCGCCGCCGCCAGCCTTCCCCGAGCGCAGGTGCCTACACCGCCACCTTCTCACGCGCAGCCCCAACCGTTGCAGCGGACGCCACAGTCTCCATCCTCTTCCCCGCCCGCAGCGTCCGGTCGCGCCGCGCTCTAGCACCGCAGCACCTCGCCCCCTCGCTTTCGCAACAAAGCGCGGGACGGAGGGCGCATGCGTACGGCGAGCCTCCGGAAGGGGCGGGGCAAGGCGTGCGTGCGTGGCAGGTGGAGCCTGCGCACAATCCGGCGCGCCAGTGCAGGCTGGTGTTTTCGGGCCTGCGGTGGGCGTGGCCTCTGACTAACCCGAACTTCGGCGTAGACGTAGTGTTAAACCGTGGTTCATACGCGCCTCTGTAGTGGCAAGACCTGGGACTCCAGTCACTCATTGTTTCTACAAAGGTGCCTTGAGTCCCCGGTGCTTATGGGCCTGTGCTAAGCTAGTGGCAAAACCCCGAAGCTATTTGGTCTCCTTGCGGGAGCTCGGCGCTTGCTGGGGCCACGCTCTGCTTGCTTGGGCGTGGCCTCCTGTGAGAGGGGGCCCTAGGATGAGGCGATATGCTGGATTCCTGGGCTTCCTTAACATGAGCCCTCCCCTGCTGTAGACGTGAATGGAACCCGTTAAGTTATGGGAACGTTCCCGGCACTCCTTTCCTTTCCTCTCAAGTGCCAGTGGGATGTCCGAATAGGGTCTGGCACCATGACTGTCTGGACTCAAAAGTGCCTTCAGGAGGCCCTAGCAAAATTTACTAGTGTCTGCTTGGAGTAGTAGCAGCTCTTGTGATGGACTCCGGACAGCCAGCGTTCATTCCCTGACTCCCTTCTGTTACTTTTTAAGTAAAATAATGAAAATATTTCAAATAGAGTAATACAGATTCCTGTGGACCGACCACTAGCTTGAAATTTTATCAGACTTGCTTTCATTCTTTTTTCCTCCCAGCTTTATTGAGGTGTAATCAATGATTCATTCTTTTTTAAATAGAACAATACATATAGGCAGAAGCCCCTGCGTACCTCCTCCATCTCATTCTGTCTCCCTCCCCAGTGGCAATCACTGTGCTGAGAATGTTGTATATCATGTCCATGCATGTCCTTATATGCATACCCATAAATAATATTTTCTTTTGCATGTTTAGACATATCATGGAATGGAATCATAGTTGTACCTCTCATTGTGCACCTTTCTCCTCTCTCAAAATTATACTCTCAAGATTTATCCATTTGGTCAATCGCTAGATAATTTTCACTGCTCATTGTATGACTGACCCATATTTGTTTTTACATTCCTTAGTGAGAGAGGTTATTTCTACTTTAACGGCCTTACAGAGCAGCAATGAACATCATGTGCAATGGATTCACCAAGCAGATTCCCAAAAGTGAATTTGCTGCGAAATCTGCAACTTTGTTAGCTATTACCAAATTGCTCTCTGGGTTGATTGCATCAAGGTACCAATTTAGACTCCCATTGGCAGTATACGTAGTTTGAGGGTCCCCGTGGACTAATGTCTGATTCATGCATGAGAAATCTGAACCGAGAGAGGCTAGCCGAGGCAGCTTGGGGTGGAGGTGGGAGGCGGAGAATAATGGCTGCAGAGGGATCAGCTTGCATACACAGAATTTGCCAGCACAAAGAACGTGCAGGTGTTTCCCATGGAGCAGATGTGGACCACCATGAGACAGCTTAGGTCCTGCCCAACAGGCCTGGGAGGAAGGCAATGAACTTCAGCACTGAGAACCTCAAAGAGTCACCAAATTCCTAGAGGCTGAAAAAGGAGTACACATTTGCCTTGCCAGAGGAACCTCAGGTGAGTAGCGTGATGAGGTTGACAAAGGAACCCACAAGAATGCCCACAAGAATCAACTTTAGTCTGTCAGGGTCACATAGGGCTGATCCTCTACCACCACAGCAATGACAGTCAGGTAACAACTTTCCTGCTCCCCTTAACTCTCTTCTTTGCTACAACCCAGACATGGTAGGTTGGGGCAGGGGGAGAACATTGAAGGAAACCTAGGTGGAAAAAGAAGAGAAGCCCATGGTCTCCCTTTCCCCAGAAACCAGCTTCCTACTTGCAATAGGCCAGAGGTGAGTGAGGGAAGAAGCATCAACTGTAAATCAAGCTTGCAATTTTGACTGGATATATTACTTACTAAAATGACACTGTTTTATGACCTTAAGGGACTACACAGTAGGACTTTAAAACCTAAGAGTGAACAGAAAAGTCATGACTCTATCTGAATTTACATCTGAAGAAGGGGAAGAACTGCCCACTGAATAAATGTAAGTGGACAGTGGGAGGGAAAAACAAACATAATTATATCTCAAAGTCATGCTAATTCAATATGACAAACATTCGTCCAGGGTGACTTTATCCCACCTTCTAGAAATCTTCTGGTGAATCAATGCTATTTGTTTTAAAATTTTGGCTAAGCTACATATCATTTAAAGATAAAACTTCTACCAAAAAAATCACCATGCTTCCAAAGACAAAGCTGATGTGGAGATTCTGTGGTCTTCTGGGAAGGCATTGAAGTGGTAGTATTATTTCCTGTAAGTAACTGGAGTGACTAAATATTCACATAAGTAGCTTCTACCAGTAGCTGTAGCTTTTATAATAAACAACACTAAACTAAAAAATTCTTATTATTTCACTCACCAAAATACAATGGATGCTATAAAATCAACAAAAAAGGCAAGTATTCCCACTATAAGAATATGAATGTCCTTTATACATTTATGATATTTAATATAAATGGTCTACTTAGAGCAGAGGGCATCACTCATTTCCAGAGAATAAGTTCATACATTATTTTATGTTATTGAGTAGTGTTTGGCATATGTGAACATTAGCCAGTAGGCACGCATAAGACTAAATATGATTTTTTTTTTCTTATCTTGTAATTCCTGTAGAAACTGAGTAACACAAGTCCTTCAAAAATAGCTCCTTTCAGGGGCCAAGATGAAAAACCTCAGAAGGTGAAAAGTGGATCAGAGAAAGACTATACCTCACTTTAAAGACACTTTTTTTTTTTTTTTTTTTAGATGGATTCTCGCTCTGTCGCCCAGGCTGGCGTGATCTCGGCTCACTGCAACCTTTGCCTCCTGCCTCCTGGGTTCAAGCAGTTCTCCCTGACTCAGCCTCCGAGTGGCTGGGATTACAGGCACCAGCCACCACACCCGGCTAATTTTTATATTTTTAGTAGAGATGCAGTTTCTCCATGTTGGCCAGGCTAGTCTTGAACTCCTGACCTTAGGTGATCCACCCGCCTTGGCCTCCCAAAGTGTTGGGATTACTGGCGTGAGCCCCCGCCCCCGGCCTAAAAACACCATTTTTAAATTAAAATTATTTTTCCACGTTCTTACAAAGTGAACTTTTTAATTAAATCCAAGTACATCTTCAGAATGTTTCTGGAGTTGAAAGGCACAGTGCAAATAGAAATTACTACAATCAACAAAATTGATTTTAAAAAGTATTTTTAGCACAAAAAAGTTTTCTTTATATCATACTAAATTCAGAGCATTACATCATTCCCAGAATACCTAGTTTGAAGCTTATTTTTTTTTCCATTCACTTGCAAGCTGGATTAAGACATTAACTATAATAATATGGAATGTTCAGCATTTATGTTTGGTAACCAGATGTATATGGTTTGTATAACCATACTTTAGAATTTAGTTCAGATAAATTGGTTTTGGTATACTTTGACTACAGAAAGTGATTTCAACATAAGATGTGATGAAGGAAGTCTCCCATGAAAAACTTAGTAAGGATCAACTGATGCTATGGACAAAACCTAAAAAAAGAGATTTGTAGATGCTTTCAAGGCTTTGACTATGAAATATAGAAAACTGGATGGGCATTCTTACTGACCGGATGCTTACAATTTCAAATGAAGAAACTACTAGCCACTCTAAAAATTGGATTAGGGAAAAAAGTGATTTTAGAACAGTCTTCCATTTAAAAAATTTTTCACTGAAAAGAAAATATGGAATAATTTAATATATTCAATGTCTGTGAAACACAAAGTAGAAAGTAATCTTTTAAAAACATGGAATACATATTTATTTCTACTTTAAAATCTCCATTTATATCTTATAAGCTTTGAAATGCAAGTACAGCTTTAAAGCATCATAATGACTAATTATAGGTGAATAATAATACAGACAGTCTATATTCTAGGAGGCAGCTGTAGGCGTTTTAATTGGAAATAAGCATTCTGAGATAATGATAATAGCAGTGTAGAAAAATGAAGTTAAAAAAATTCAAAGTGTTGAGAATCCTCCTGTCCTTCTGGGATTTTTATTTTAATCATCTCCTCCACAGAGAACAAGCAGTACTTTCCTGTAGTCTCCAGATGTGTCACCCTGTTCGATAGGGAAGCAAAGTTAGATAAATAGATTTTAAAATGAAACACACAGTTCAAAGTCATCTAAGCCAACTTTTTCAAGCTTGGCTGGATTTTTCTTAGCTTTAAATTTTTTTTGTTATTTTTTATTACGAAGGTAATACTTATTCAGTGTAGAAAATAAAGACAAAAAAGAACACAAAAATCAACCATTATTCCATCATCTAGAGACTACTATTCTTACCGTTTTGATGTGTGAATGTCCTTCCAGTCTTTTTTCTATGTATCTAGATACCCAATGTGATAGAACAGTAGTATTCTGTGTTCTGCTTTTTCACTTAACAATATAGCCTATTTCCCTATTTTGTTCATTTTTGTTTGTGGTTTTTTTTTTTTTTTTTTTTTTTTGAGACAGAGTCTTGTTCTGTCACCCAGGCTGGAGTGCAGTGGCGCCATCTTGACTCACTGCAAGCTCTGCCTCCCGGGTTCACGCCATTCTTCTGCGTCAGCCTCCTGAGTAGCTGGGACTACAGGCGCCTGCCACCATGCCCGGCTAATTTTGTTTTTGTATTTTTAGTAGAAATGGGGTTTCACCATGTTAGCCAGGATGGTCTTGATCTCCTGATCTCATGATCTGCCAGCCTTGGCCTCCCAAAAAGTGCTGGGATTACAGGCGTGAGCAACCGTGCTAGGGCCCTATTTTGTTAAATATTATTCTACAACATTATTTAATGGTTACAGAATATCCCATTGTATGCAGGTAAAATAATTTATTTGATCACATCCTCCCTCTCCCTATTGTTGGATATTTACGTTGTTTCAATTTTTCACTATTATAAACACTGCTTCAATAAGCATATTGTAGTTACATTTTTGTATATTTTCTTAATGATTTATTCTGGATAAATTTTCATAAAATGGGAATTACTGGACTAAATGCATTTTCTTAAACCTTTTTTTTTTTTTTTTTCTGAGACGGAGTCTCGTTCTGTGGCCCAGGCTAGAGTGCAATGGTGCAATCCTGGCTCACTGCGACCTCCGCCTCCCAGGTTCAAGTGATTCTCCTGCCTCAGCTGCCTGCGTAGCTGGCACTACAGGTACACACCACCACGCCTGGCTAATTTTTATTTTTTTAGTAGAGACAGGGTTTCACCATGTTGGCCAGGCTGGTCTTGAAGTCCTGACCTCAAGTGATCCACTCACCTTGGCCTCCCAAAGTACTAGGATTACAGGTGTGAGCCACCGCACCCAGCCTGTTTTCTTAAACATTTTGATATGGGTTACAAAACAGTCTTCCGGAAAGGTTCTATAATTTCTGCATATAAATTTTTGTGGTCTAATAATTGATTAATTTTTTAATCTTTAATTTTATTTATTTATTTTTATTATATTTTTAGAGACAGGGTCTTGCTCTATCACCCAGGCTGGAGAACAGTGGTGTGGTCATAGCTCACTGCAGCTTCGAACTCCTGGGCTCAAGTGATCCTCCCACCTCAGCTTCCCAGAATGCTGGGATTACAGGTGTGAGCCACTGCACCTGGCCTAGATTAATTTTTATTAGTCATTCGTGGGGACTAGAAAAGATGGAATCTCTGTATATAGGGTTCAAAGTTTAATAAGTATCTGTTAAGCTCAATCTTAATATATCCTTGTTTATACTTTGCCTCATTGATGTGCCAAAGCATAGGATGTATTAAAGTCTCTCGCTAGCATACTAATTCCATTATATGTTTTCTTCTGGAGCCTCAAGTTTCTTATTTATACATTTGAATGCAATATAATTTGGTACTGAAAGTTTCATAACAGTTTAATCTTTGCTGTGAATTGTTGCCTTTGTCAGTATAACGTGATCCACTTTCTCCTATTTAATACTTTTTCTCCCTAAATTCTTCTTTTTATTAATAGCATAATCTCCGCTTTCTTTCTTGTATGTCCGCTTTCTTTCTTTCCCTGGTGTTTTTCTTTAAGCTTTTTACATGTCACTGTATTTTAGTTGTTTCTTATAAACAGCATGAAGTTGGATTTTATATTTTTACCTAACCTGAGAGTTTATTTATTTTTATAACTTTTATTTTTATCTTTTGTCATTTTTTTCTATTATTTACATATTTTATGCTTCTATTCTGCTTTTTTCATTTCTTTTGACAACTATTATTGAATGAGTAATGTATTCTTTATTTTTAATCTTTTCTAGTGGTGTGTGTGTGTATACACACATATATTTACATATTTATATATACAGACATATATACACTAGATTATAGTGTTTTCTTCCCAAGCCAATCAATATATTTGTACTCAATCATTTTAGTGTTGGTATAGTATTATATTGTATGGATTTTCCATAATTTGTTATTCCCTATTGATTAATAGTAATAACAATATATAATAAATTATATACTATAATACCATATTATTGATATAAATATAAATAACATAAAGCCATGTAAATAATATAAATAATGCTATGATGAAGTATTATACTTCATCTATTCTTTTCACATTTCATTAAACAATTTTATTCAAATTCAGAGACTTTTTCTTGTGGTAAAAAAATATATATATATAATTTGTCATTTTAACCATTTTCAAGTGGCACTAGTTACTTTTACAATGTTATGTAACCATCATCACTGTCTATTTCTAAAACCCTTTCATCACCCCAAACAGAAACTCTGTACCCACTAACCAATAACTCCCATTCTTTCCTCTCCCTCCAAATTGCTGGTAACCTCTAATCTACTTTCTGTCCCTATGAATCTACCTATTCTACATATTTCATAAAGCAGAATCATACAATATTTGTCCGTTTGTGTCTGATTTATTGCACGTAGTATATTTTCAAGGTTCATTCACGTATCAAAAATGTCATTCCTTTTTTTCATGACAGCGTACCATTGAATATCATTGCTTTTTATGTATGTATATACATTTTGTTTATCCAGTCATCTGTTGATGGATATTTAGGTTGTTTCCACCTTGTGCCTATTGTTAATAATGTTTATGTTGATGTACAACTAGCTGTTTGGGTTCCTGTTTTCATTTAAGTATATAACTGAGAGTGGAATTGCTGGCTCATATGGTCATTCTATGTTAAAATTTTTTCTTTTTCTTTTTTGGGATGGGTCTTTACTCAGGCTGGAGTCTTGAAGTGGTACAGTCATGGCTCACTGCAGCCTCGACCTCCCCAGCCTCAGGTGATCATCCCACCTCAGCCTCCTGAGTAGCTGGGACTACAGGCGTGCACCACCACACCCGGCTAATTTTTGTTGATTTTGTAGAGACAGGGTCTCACTATGTTGGCTAGGCTGGTCTCGAACTCCCGGGCTCAAGTGATCCACCTGTCTCGGCCTCCCAAAGTGCTGGGATTACAGGCATGAGCCACGATGCCTGGTCTATATTAAACTTTTTGAAGAAGTTTGGTGCTTAAAGTTTCGTAACAGACTGTTTTTCACAGTGGCTGCACCGCTTTATATTCCTACCAACAGTGCACAAGAGTTCTAGTCTCTCCATATCCTCCATAAATCATTTGTCATTTCCTGGGGTTATTTTGTTTTTTTCTTGTTTGTAGTATATTTTCCCATAACTTCACTTACCGTCATCCTTGAATCTTAAACTAGTTATATAGTTCAGCTCTGCAAAATCAAGTTACCTCATAGCCTAGTCAGAAATAGAAACAAGTTCCTGCATGCCTTGTAGACGTAGTAACAAAATCCACAGCTTGGTGGGGCATGGTGGCTCACACCTGTAATCCCAGCACTTTGGGAGGCCGAGACGGGTGGATCACTTGAGGTCAGGAGTTCAAGACTAGCCTGGCCAACATGGTGAAACGCCATTTCTACAAAAAATACAAAGCTCATGCCTGTAGTCCCAGCTACTCAGGAGGCTGAGGCAGGAGGATCACTTGAACCTAGGAGGTGGAGGTTGCAGTGAGTGGAGATTGCGCCACTACACTCCAGCCTGGGCGACAGAGTGAGACTCCATCTAAAAAAAAAAATCTGCAGTTAAAATCACCTAATTGTCACACCTCTCCAAGCTTTGAGTAGGATTCAGAATATTTAGTTCACAGATCGAACGCTGATTTGAAGCTTGCAGTGCAGGCAACCTTAGCTCCTAGGGAAATCTGTCTCACTTTCATGTCCATGAGACTCTTCCAGCATCCTCAAGAAACAAAATCCCAGGAATGCCTGGCTTTGAGGGAGGTGAACCATTTCTCACCACTACCATGCCCTCTTAGGACTCCTAGAAGTCTGGTGCCTGGTAAAGAACAGTAATTCAGGATAGCTAAAATGCTTTCCCATATTCCCAGCAGACCTCAGCTGGCCCCTGCCTAGGACTCTGGATTCAGTTGTTTATCTTCTCTCATAATTAGGTAGACGAGGAAATTGTGTGCTTAAAAGTATTCATTAAAATGTAATCTTTGTCTGAGGTCAACATAAAATAATTACTGTATTTAGAAGGCAAATTTCCAGCTTGTATCCTGGCAAAGGTTTAAATATCTGTGTGAAAGAGGAGAGACTGGAAATATCGGGAGCATAATCTTTAAGGGAAATGATATATGCCAAGAAGAGGGGGACAACAAGTGCTAAATGCCAAGGTCAGAGGGGTCCTTTTCTGGATCCTTTACTCTGGACTTAGGCTGCTGTGACCTACCTTGATGAACGAGTACAGAGACTTTCCATAGAGTCTCTTGAAGTGTGCCCGGATATCCAACATGTCAATTTCTGCTCGAGAAACCATCACTCTGATGAGGGTGTTATCATCGGTGCCCAAGCCCTAAGGAAGAAAACGAAATCCAAACATATACAAAAACCTAGCTGTTTTTCAGTGTCTTCTTTAGTCTATCAAAGCAAGACTAGAGATGACTGTGCTGACGATGTCCTTTGCTCCACTACTTGGCAGGCCTGAGGAATATCCTCACTCTTTATCATGGTATTCAAGGCTCTCCACAACTCACTTTTCCAATGCTCTATGTTCTGACCACAGGATGCCGTTCCCTGCTTTTCTAGAGCCATAACCTGTGCTGTCCAGACATACCCTGCCACCTGGCTCACCTACGATTCCTTCTCATGGAGTATTATCCTTCCCTCCCCAGCCTTATCACCCCTTCCCTTCACCACATGAAATCCTCTGATGTAAAACTTCTACATTTGGAAGGTCCTGCTCAAATATACCAACTGTTTATATATTCTTTGCAGATTCTCCACCTCAAAAAACAAATATTGAAAAAAAAAAAAACCCTTTCCTCTGTGTTTCTACAATGTTTGGATCCTCAACTACTGTCTTACATTCTGTCTTGTTATAATTGGTGTTTTGCACATACTTGCCTAGGCTAGACATTCTTTGAGAGCAAGGTCTACATTTTTGTTGTTGTTGTTTTGTTTTGCTTTTTTTTTTTTTCTTTTTTGAGACAGAGTCTCACTGTGTTGCCTAGGCTGGAGTGCAGTAGTGCAATTTCAGCTCACTGCAACCTCTGCCTCCTGGGTTCCAGTGATTCTCCTGCCTCAGCCTCCCAAGCAGATGGGATTATAGGCATGAGCCACCATACCTGACTAATTTTTGCATTTTTGTAGAGACGGGGATTTCACCATGACGGCCAGGCTGGTCTTGAACTCCTGACCTCAAGTAATCCACCCGCCTCAGCCTCCCAAAGTGCTGGGATTACAGGCGTGAGCCACCGCACCTGGCCAAAGACTACATTTTGACCTTCCCTGCACCTCCTGTGATTCTCAGCCTGCAGAGTACGATGGAGGGTTAGGAATACGGGCTCTGGAGCTAGAATGCCAGGTAAACACCTGGCATTCTTGCTCCATACTTCCTCACTGAGAATCTTGGGCAAACTGCATATCCTTTCTATGCCTCAGTTTCCTCATCTGTAAATTGGAGGTTAGTAATAGTACCAGCCTGATAGAGCTGTTGTGGGGATATAATTAATCTATTAAAAACAGTGATCCATACATCCTAAGTACTCAGTAAATATCACCTAGTATTATTATTAGCAGGCACTCACTGAAGTATTTGATGAATTGAATTGGATCTTTCAGAGCAAAGTTTGGATAGGGGATATAAGTAAGCTTAAGAAGGTGGACACAAGATAACTCAAATTCATTTAGATGCTGAAAATAAGGCCATTTACCTTCATCGATTTATAGAGCTTTTCAGCAAAATATGCAGATTTGTTCCTCATGCACTTTACTGTCAAAGAAAAAAAAAGAAGAAATGAAAAGATTACAGATAAGACCCATGAAAAAAGAAAAGTGACAGTTGTTTCCTCTGTTTCTACAAGGTATCAATATTTGCTTTGCCAGGGAAATTTTAGCCAAGCAATGTTTCATGAACATAGGCGATGCTCTATGTATTTTCACAGATAGAAAGTACCCTCAATTTATCATCAAGTTCCTGGAGAAGTAATTGATAAAGTCTATCAAAGCAAAGGGTGGTATTTCATTTCAAAATAAGGATTACTGTATCTGCCATATGAGACAGTTACTAGTTCTAACCATTCACAGACTTGCAAGCTGCAGCCTGTATATCTGCACATTATTACCTTTCACATAGGACATACAAAGGCACAGAAGATATAAAATATATAAACCACATGGCACAATAGCAATCAGGTTGTATATAATATTTCTTGTTTAAAAATCTGGAATGTAACATGAGTGATTCATGATAAACAACTTTTATCTCTAAAAATAATTCTATATCCCCATATTGCAAACTGATAATGAGAAGGAAAATCTATAAACATTTGTTTCTCTACTCCCCCTACCAGCTTACCTATAGCCAGCAGAGCATCTTCAAAGCTACCAGATGTTTCAGATTTAATACTCTGTTCAATATCCTTCTGTGATATCCTTTTGTATTCATCAAACACTGCAGACAATAACAAAATAGTATTATTGGGAAGAAAAAACAGAGGAAACTAAAATTTATGGAGAGAATGAGCATTTTTAACTAGCCTACACTATTTATTCTTTGGCATATTTCAGGAGGAAACTAATTAGTAATGTGGGCAAGCAGCCAGGAGGGATGTGCAGAGTGGAATGGGCCCCAGATAAGGAGGAAGAAATGCTGTGATGTTTGGAGGACATCAGTCAAGTCCTTTCCCTTATCTGGGACCCTCACACATAAAATGGAGATGGCCTCTGGGGAGCTTTGCTTTCCTTTCTCATTGTTTCCTTAATAAGCAGAATGTGTCTTTTTGTGTTTTTGTCCTTGGCAATCACCTCCCTGTCATCTCCCTTTTGGCTCATCAAAACTAGAACAATTCAACTGCTTCAGAACTGAGTCACAGTTAATAACAGCTGGTTGCATCTTTTAAAATACTTAAACATAATTACATTTGTTGTTGTTTTTTGCCAAGTATTTTTGAATGTGGTGAATATGTTCCCCTCTCTTGCTGTCTCCTTCTGGAAACTTCTTAGAGCAGGTATCTATTTTATCTTCTCACCATCGCCTTCTTTGGGGTGCTGCCTCACTTCCATCAATGTGATTTTAACAGGGCTGTCAATCAAGGGACACCATACCCAACAACATACACCACAACCTCTGTCAAACACGTGAGCAGTTGACCCAGTCAGGACCCGTTAGACTCTCTCCTGGGAACTTTTTAATTGAGCAGCTCACGGGGATGGCCAAAAGCACTGCATCATCTTTACCCTCAGAGAAACCTATTAAACTTCCTGGGTGTCACACTCAGAGATTCTAATTCAGCCAGTCTGAAGTAGGGGGTCAATATTTAGCATTTTTAATAGAAAACGAACTTCAGAAACTCTGCTTTAGAAATAAAATCCATTATTCCCTTCTACTGAGACCCCCAGAACTGCCTTGATTTCTGTTCTTCCTGAAGGTGTTCAGCTGTCTGTTCAAATCTGTGAGCTACCAGTATTTTCCATTTTCCCTCCTGTGCCATTCTATATTATTTCATCTTTTCTTACTTAAATTGAAGTCAGTGTGTGTGGCTTGGAATCAAAGAACTTAATTGACACATTTTCTAAGCCTCAGTTTTCTCCACTGTAAAATGGGGAAAATAATTACTGCTCCATTGAGTGTTGCAAGAAACAATGCTTATAAAATGCTTAACACTGCACCTAGAAAATAGAACATTATTAACAAAACGGTAGTTATTATGAAATCTCACCATTATTGTTGGTTGGTAAGACAATTATGAAGTTTTCCTAGTCCAAACAGTGCTTAAAATATTTTCTCCCAGTGGCTTACAAACAGATATTTCATAACTGCCTAACTATTGACTTGTACCCAGAAGTGAAAATTCTTGCAAATGCATTTATGCACTAAATCGGCTTCTGAGGACCTGCAGTTCTTGGAAAACACCACCAGGGGGAGATTCCTGTTATTTGTAACCAGGCAAGGGAAGGAAGTGAAGAAAGAAGCTGAGTCAGAAGTTTGTGTACCTGATGGTAGCCCGGGATATTGATTAACAGGAGTAATCACCTGTTTTTTTGTCACTGTGAAAAACCTGAAATAATTACAACTTCAGAATGTGTTGTACTTCTCAATTGCTTTATGTTTTCAATTTAGCAAACTCATTCTCAAATTTCCCACAAGCTTTGCAAATCAGTGTGTGTGATTAAAAGGGTATGGTGGGTGGGTTTATAAAATTATAATGTACTTAAAGATCTAAAGAACTCGTATAAAAGATGAAATATCTTATTATATCCTTACTTGCTTGTTTAAAAGAATATGAACCTGACAGCAAATATTCTAAAATTGTCTAGTATCTTTCCCCCAAATAAGTTAAAATCACATTACAAAGTTTATATTTATCAGAAACAAATTAGAAACATATCAAATTTGAAATTATCCACTATTCATCTTATACAACATAACCCCTAAAGAAATCACTTGTATTAGCTTTACAGCTTGGATATTACACAGGAATAAATATCAACCAACATTGCTATTTTATTGCTACCTGATCTACTACAGATTACTTTCATATGTAACTACATTAGAATGAAAATACTGGGGCTACTTTAGAAAAAGGACTGACTGTGAAGGTCAGTTTCCTAGAAACAAGAATGCCAAACTTCTATGACTACATGCACTTTTTCTAATTATTCATAATTAATCTTTCAGAAATTAGCTTTCATATACATCATTGGACTAATACATTTCCAGGGTGAGAATCTAAGACACTTGGGTACAATCAGTTCTTTGTACCAACTGAAGGAGGAAGGTTATCAACTACTTATGGGCAATATAGTTTTTGCTATCTTTCACTCCTTTTCTTTGGGAAATGAAGTAAGTGCCTTACCATGCAACAGGTGATTTCGGTTCCGGGAACAGAGAACAGTTAGAAATTTCACCTCATCTGTCCCCCATTTCTTCTCTCCAGCCTCATACAGGTCCTGAAGCCAAACAAAGCACAGGTCTAAAATTCCAAAAACGATGTGCCAGGACACAGGCAAATATTTCCAGAAGCTCAAAGAGCTGAGCTGGCTTAGTTTTATTTTGTTGGTGATGGGGTTGGAAATGGTAGTGGTGAGTGGAAATGACTCAGGATCCTTCCTCAGGCATAAGGCTGTTGGGACCCTGTCATACCCCCCTGGGAGTCAGGGCAAACACTAGCAGTTCCCTAGCTGGAGACTACATGGTTCTATCTTAAGAGCTAAAAGAAATGCCCTAGATTTGGGCTGTCCCCTACAGTTGCCACTAACCACATGTGGCTGTTTAAATGTTAATTGAAATTAAATACAATTTAAAATTCAGCTCTTCAATCACATTGGCCTCATTTCAAGTACCCAGCGGCTACAGGTAGCCGGTAGTCACCCATACAGGACAGTGCAGATGTGGAATGTTCTCATCACTGCGGGGAGTTCTATTGGATAGCCCTGCTCTAGAATGATCTGTGATTTTCCTGAGGCTACAGGTCTCACAGTAGAACCAGGGACCCATTGCCAATTGCTTACATTCCAACCAGGTAGGAATATAGGAAACTCATTCTGCTCAATTTAACTACATTATTGCTCAATCAGAATTACTGTTCATTTTTAATAAGCAGCTTGCCTGTTACATTTCTCAAAAAGATCTTAACTCACACATATTGTGGCTCATTGGGCTTACCTCCATATACTCCCCCATTTTTTCACTTCTTTCTCTGATTCCCTCACTGCTTTAGAGTCAATTCACATAATCATAAAAATTTAAAGCTGAAAGCGTTCATCTAATTCACCTAATTCAAAAGAGTTCATCTTATTCAGCACTTCTGAAACTTGAATCTCAACAGGCTTGTGACAATTTATTTTATGTCAACTTGACTGAGCCATGGGTTACCCAGATTTTTGCTCAAACATTATTCTGGGTGTTTCTGTGAGGGTTTTTGGATGATCCAATATGGAGGAGGGGCCCTCATACAATCAGCTGAAAGCTTTTGTTTTCAAGAAGAGGGCTGACCTTCCCAAGAGTGAGAGGGACTCCTCCTGCCTGACTGCCTTGAGCTAGGACATCAGTTTTTTTCCTGCCTTTGGACTTGAACTGGAACATCAGCTCTTCATGGGTTTCCAGCCTGCTGGCCTTCAGATGGGAACTGCTCCTAGTTCTCAGGCCTTTGGACTCAGACTGGAACAAAACCATAGGCTGGCCTGCATCTCCAGCTTGCTGATTCCCTCTGAAGATCCTGGTACTTGCCCAACTCCATCCTCTCTCTCTTTCTCTCACACACACACACACACACACACACACACACACACACACACACACACACACCCCTCTGTGTCTCTCTCGCTCTCTCTCTCTATTGGTTCTGTTCCTCTTAAGAATTCTGACTAATACATTGCTTTAATTAATAAAGCATAGTTGTGGGCTGGGCACGGTGGCTCATGCCTGTAATCATAGCACTTTGGAAGGCCAAGGCAGATAGGTTGCTTGAGCCCAGGAGTTTGAGACCAGCCTGGGCAATATGGCAAAACCCCACCTCTACCAAAAAAATATTTAAAACTTAGCCAGGCATGATGGCACACGCCTGTAGTCCAGCTACTCAGGAGGCTGAGGTGGGAGGATCACTTGAGCCTGGGAGGTGAAGGTTGCAGTGGGCCGAGATCATGCCACTGCACAACAGCCTGGGAGACAGAGCAAGACCCTATCTCAAAAAAAAAAAAAAAAAAAAAGAATAAAATACAGGTTAGTGGAAGTGACACTGATCTCTGAGGCTAGATCATAAACAATCATGCAACTGCCATTGTTTCTATTGGAATGCTTGCTTTCTGGGTGCTCCTTCTTGAAACCCAGCTGCCGTGCTCCAAGAAGCCCAAGCCACACACATACCTCTATCCCCTCTAATGAAAGCAACAGGTTCTTTTTTTTTGCATAAAACAAAGTTGTTCATACCTCACAAACTGAATGGAACCAATCCCTCATTATGGTTATGTATTGGTTAAGAATACTGGGTCTATGGTCAGGCGCGGTGGCTCATGCCTGTAATCCCGGCACTTTGGGAGGCCATGGCAGGTGGATCATTTGAGGTCAGGAGTTCAAGACCAGCCTGGCCAACATGTTGAAACCCTATCTCTATTAAAAATACAAAAACTAGCCGGGTGGTGGTGGTGCATCCTGTAATCCCAGATACTCAGGAGGCTGAGGTGGGAGAATTGCTTGAACCTGGGAGGGGGAGGTTGCGGTGAGCTGAGATCACACCACCACACTCCAGTCTGGACGACAGTGAGACCCTGTCTCAAAAAAAAAAAAAAAAAAAGAGAGAGAGAGAGAGAGAGAATACTGGGTCTAGATGCCAATTGGTTCAAATCCTAGCTCTGCCCTTTATTATCTTTCTGAGCTTGAGCAAGGTACTTGACCTCTCTGAGCCTCAGTTTCCTTGTTTGTAAAATGGGGATAGCAATACTTACCTTATGAAGTTATTGCAAAGATTCAATGACATACTTAATATAGAATTTAGAACAGTGGGCCACGCGCGATGGCTCATGCCTGTAATCCCAGCACTTTGGGAGGCCAAGGCAGGCGGATCACCAGAGGTCAGGAGTTTAAGACCAGCCTGGCCAACATGGTGAAAACCCGTCTCTACTAAAAATAGAAAAAAATTAGCCGGGTATGGTGGCAGGCACCTGTAATCCCAGCTATTTGGGAGGCTGAGGCAGCAGAATCACTTGAACCCAGGAGGCGGAGGTTGCAGTGAGCCAAGATCATGCCATTGCACTCCAGCCTGGGCAACAAGAGTGAAACTCCATCTCAAAAAAAAAAAAAAAATTTTAGAACAGTGTTTGGTACCTGGTAATGACCCACTTTTTATTAGCTATTATCGTTAGTGTTATCTGGCCACAGCTGATTAGACCATGGGTTGGTTCCAGGACAACCATCACTGGGCTGGGAAACAGAGAGGCAAATGCCTCTTGGGGTTTGCTATTAATTTTACCCAGCAGGGTATACACTGTGTCAAGCTATTTTATATAGGTCCTATCAAATGTCCTCTTTGATGAAGTAAAAGTGCACAGTGAACAGTCCCTTTCACCTCCACGGGATTCGGAAGACAGTGGTTCTCTGGGATTGCCACACAATGGTCCTAATGTTGAGAAACTTGGAACCCAGGAGTGCTTATATAATGATGTCCAGCCCCAGGTACCTCTGCAAGAAACCTGTTATTAAAGGCTATCTGTGGGAATATTTTTAAAGAACATATCCAAGCCTGGCTAATATACACTGTAATATAAGTTGCTATCCACCCACTAAGGCCTGTCTCATTGGCGAAAGAGAAGAAAGCTGGAAGAAAGAAGCTGCAGTTCTACCAACCTGGGCATCCTGTCTCACGAGAGCATCGTCCAGATAATTTCCTTCATCCCTCCCACCCTGAGGATGAGAAAAACAAATAAAAAATAATTCGAGAGTATACATGAAGATCTGGGGACACCATTAAGATAGCAGGTCTAGAGTAATGAGACAAAATACCACAAGAATTGGAGCTTCAGACCCAGGGAGGGAGGACAGACGTCCTCTAAATGCGCTCGCATTATTACAATGGCTCTGATGTGTGCCTAGAGGGCTGAGCCTCAGTGTGGCCCCTAACGTTGCATGAGTGCCTCTGCCAATAGCAGGAGAAGCTTCCCAAGGACAGCTCCCTCCACTATCTCCTGGCCTCCCCCACCACCCCACTCTCCTGTGTCTTCCCAGCTGACTCATGCCTTCCTAACTGGCAAATCTACATTGATCAACCTCTGCCAAAAGGGGGTCGGGATGTGCATGTAGTTCCAGCTACTCGAGGCTGAGGTGGGAGGATGTCTTGAGGCCAGGAGTTCAAGGCAGTGAGCTAAGATGGCACCTGTGAAGAGCTGGCCTGGGAAACATAGCAAGACCTTGAATCTTAAAAAAAAAAAAAAAAAAGGTGGGGAGGTTGGGAACAGAGGAGAGTCGAGAGAATATGAGACCTATGGTGGGACTTGAGGATCCCATAAAAATGTCCCCCTACCCCTCACCAACACCAGCTCACAAGAAGGCAGGGTGGAAGCCTCTGAAGAATGCTAACAAATGATAAAATGGGCTACTTTCCTCTAGTTTTTAGGCTATTTTTATTGTTATACTGTCTCGATGTTCCATGGTCTAGGCATGGCTCATCAGAGTGGTAAATATGGGAGGAAAAGAGAAAGTGGGAAAGAAATATGAGACACAGGCAGGCGTTACTAAGTAAATATTGGAGACAAGAGCAAAGTGGAAATTGGAGATGATTTCCAGGGTTCTGCTTCTTTAGGTGTAGGAGGAACAACAGCAATATTAACAGAAACAGGCAAGTCCGGAAGAAGAGCTGGTTTGAAGGGAAAATGAGTTCTGGTTCAGTTCATTAAGGGTATAGTAGAATATCTGTAATGAAACATCTAAAAAGCAATGTGAAATGAGAGTCTCAAGCTCAGGAAGGAGGCCGGGGATAAAGATGCAATTGGGAAGTGATGTGAAATGTCTGAAGTCTCCAGCTTCCCTTTTCAGGCAACCCTGCCCCACCTAGCTCAGTCCTGCTTTATTTTCCAGCTGGAATTTTCCAGGTAGCTTCCTACCTGGTCGTCCAGCCTCCAGTTCCTCTCCACTGTTCATCCTACACGTCACTATTACATTACTCTTCTGAAAGTGCAGCTCCAGTCACATCACTCCCATCATCGTTGTCATCATCACGTCATCTACTGCTCCCAAATAAATAAGTGTAAACTGCTCCCAACATAGAATTCCAGTTTATCCTCCCACCCTGTTTCCAGAATCACCAGCCCAACTGTTCACCCAGTTGTTCCCTGAACCCCATGTTCCCTGCCTTATTCTTGCTGTTCTTCCTGTCTGCAATACACCCACCCACGTCTCTGCCTCTTGAAATTCTAGTAATCCTCCAAGTCCTCTCTGAACCAGCATCTCTGTCATGAAGGCTTTTCTTTGTTTCTACAACCAAATTTTCTCCTTGAATCTTCTTTTTCCTATGCGCCTCTCCTTTGGCATGTAATCTTTTCATGCCTTCTAGCAACTGTGTACCTGATGTATTCCCTTATGACAATATATACTCTTAAGGCCCAGGAACTGCCTCTGAATCATCTTCATAACTCTCAATGCACTGAGTGACAGGGGGACCTGGCAGGTGTTAGGTACTTGTAAATATCAAATTAAAGTAGAAAAAATGGGCAGGCAGGATTAGCCAGAGTCTCTGAAGGAGAAATAAGATAAAGGAACAGAGGGGTCTGAGAACACTACCTGGGGAATATCCACATGTCAGGGGCTGAAAGGATGAGAAAGGCTGGCAAAGGGGATAGAGTGGACATTTCGATAAAACCCGCCCCCCATCAGAAGCAGTCACTCACAGCTGACAGAGACACCAGCACTCGCTGGAACATGAACGATGTGTCAGAGCGAATGTCATCTTCAAGGCTCCGTCCATATTCTAGCAAGAGAGTGAAATTAGCTACTTCAGAATTAAGAGTCTTGCCCAATGCCCTGTCACACTCCAGAGCAATCTGTCCCCTCAAGACCAGCCTGCTTATGGAAGCAGCTTATCATGAGGTTTTTTCACCCCACACACAGTTTTTCAAAAACTAAACTCTGGTAAAATGGTCAAGATCAGCTTATCCTGTCACACGATATTCCTGTTTTTGTTTTGTTTCTTTTGAGATGGAGTCTCATTCTGTTGCCCAGGCTGGATGGAGTCTGGAGTGCAGTGGCACCATCTCAGCTCACTGCAACCTCTGCCTCCTGGGTTCATGCAATTCTCCTGCCTCAGCCTCCCAAGTAGCTGGGATTACAGGTGTGCCCCACTATGCCCAGCTAATTTTTGTATTTTTAGTACAGACAGGGTTCTGTCATTTTGGCCAGGCTGGTCGTGAACTCCTGACCTCAGGTGATCCGCCTGCCTTGGCCTCCCAAAGTTCTGGGATTGTAGGCGTGAGCCACCGCACCCAGCCAAGATATTCCTGTTTCTTAAAATGTGGGGTTGAAAAAGCTGGGTCTGAAATCCTCCCTCTGTGCTTCCTGCCACCCAGGGGTCCGATCTGAACGTGGTTCTCAGTGACACAGAGGGAACCACAGCTGTGGAGCAGCCTCTGCTGCTTCACTGATGGAAAGCAACCAGATAGGAGCTTCTGAACCCAGCTTTGAGGTGGGGCTGGGGTTGGAGCGCTGTCAAATGCAAATCCTAGCATATGCCTCTCTGCCACGTCTCTCACTTGGGAGGTTCTGACAGGTTATCCATGAGAAGCTCCACGGCCGAGCGCAGTGGCTCATGCCTGTAATCCTAACACTTTGGGAGGCTGAGGAGGGCAGACTGCTTGAATCCAGGAGTTCGAGACCAGCCTGGGCAACATGGTGAACCCCCATCTCTACAAAAAATACAAAAATTAGCTGGGTATGTTGGCGCATGCTTGTAGTACCAGCTACAGGGGAGGCTGAGGTGGGAGGATCATCTCAGCCTGGGGAGGTCAAGGCTGCAGTGAGCCATGACCATGCCACTGCACTCCAGCCTGGGCCACAGAGCGAGATCCTGTGTCAAAAAAAATAGGCAGGGGGAGCTTCAGCAAGAAATTAAAAATCACTTCTTCATAATTAATTTTTAAAAAGCAAAAACGAAAAGAGAAGCTCCAGCCCTTCACAGCCCTCAGGGAAGAAAACCCTCATTGGGCAGATGTGGGGATTGGGTTGCTAAATCCAGACTCCTAAGGTTTAGAATCTCCTGCTCTGAACACTTCCCACAAAGCTCTTATTGTGGTTGTTTTCTTTCTATAAAGGTAACACATGTTGACCACAGAAGGCTTAGGAAAAAACAAATAAGTAAAAAGAAGGGGCAAGGCGAGGAACTCCACTGCAGTCTAATCACCCAGAAATAAGAATCATTGACAACATTTCTGTAAATATCCTTCCTCATTTTCCCCCACATGCACAAATTATTTTCATTTATTTAAAAAATACTGTGTTATTAACTGTGTTAATTTTTTAAAAATGGGATCATAGCATACTATTTTATGGCTTGTCTTTTTCACTTACATATACCAAACCATTTAATAAATATTTTAATAGTATTCTTGGCCAGGTGTAGTGGCTCACATCTGTAATCCCAGCACTTCGGGAGGCGGAGGTGGGCAGATTGCTTGGGCCCAGGAGTTTGAGACCAGCCTGGGCAGCATGGCGAAACCCCATCTCTACAAAAAATACAAAAATTAGCTGGGTGTGGTGGCGCACACCTGTGGTCCCAGCTACTCAGAAGGCTGCAGTGGGTGGGTTGCTGAAGCCCAGGAGGTCGAGGTTGCAGTGAGCTATGATGGGGCCATTGCATTCCAGCCTGGGCAACAGAGTGAGACCCTGTCTCAAAAAAAAAGGCTAAATAAAAGAAAAAAATACTCTTTAATATAAGTTTTAATGACTACATAATAGTTCATTGTGTAAGTGTATAATATTTTGTTTAGACAATCTGCTACTCTTGGGCATTTTTAGCTAATGTAGACAATGCTGAATAAACACTGTGAGATCTGAACCTCTGTGCATTTTTAGTTATATTCTTAGGGCAAAAAGTCAGGCATTTTTTAAAGGCACTTCATACGTATCACCCTCTGGAGGTCTCTAAGGGGGAGTGAATGGCTGTCATTCTGATTTGGCTGGAGGACGTACAGTCCAGTCTGAAGGGAAGAATTTGGGCCAGACGGCCCCTCCAGACCATTCCTTGGAATGCTAAGATCTGCTGGTGCCACCACTTTTGAACAAGTACCTTAGATTCTTTGTCTGATAATAAGGAACAACTTTCCAACTTTTAGGGTAATAAAATACTGCACTGGGTAGGCAAAATAGAGTGTCATCTTCACCTGAGAAATCTTAAGGAGCCAACAGACCGCCATTTGGCTAAACAGGGATCTCCCTCGAAGCAGAGCTTGGCACCGAGGATCCCTCATGCTCAGCGTTCTGTGAAAAGTCTAATCAGCAAACAACAACCCGCTGCTACCCTCATTCTCTAATCACAGCGAAACCTCAGCCAGGGCCACTGCGGATGTCACGTACGCTGCTGGTAGGTTTGGCTTATGCGCCGGATCTCCTCAGGGGTCCGGGAGGCCAGGATCTCAATTAGGCAGCCCTCATCAGTGCCGGCTCCCTAAACAAGAAACCAGAGGACAGGGCTATATGAGCCAGTTTACAAAGCTGAGGCCCAGACACAGAAGGAATACATCTGTCATGAATCTGCAGAGAATAAAGACAATCCACTGCGTTCTAACAACAGGGTTTGTTCACTTTTATTGTCCCACCCGAAACCCAAAGTGTTTGCCGTAACAATTATGAGTAATAACAAACATTTCTAGGCTGTTTATTATGTGTTCGTTACTGTGCCCGGGTAGGTATGGTTTCTGCCCTCTGGGGACTTAATTTTTCCTTGACCTCTTCTGCTCTCTTCCTCTGAAGGGCAGAATTTTCTGGCAAAGACTTTGTCACCTCTTTGCTTTCCCAGAGCCTGGCCCAGAACCTTCCACAAGTCTGAGTATTTATTGACATGGTTGAGGAGGATAATTGTACTCCTCGACTTATGATGAGGAGTACAATACACTGAAAATTTTTAAGTAGAACCATCCTAAGGTGGGGACCATTTATATTTGCATTACATACTTGGTCATTAAAATTTGGCAGACCAGGCTAGGGCACAGTGGGTACGTCATCTAGGGAAGCCAGGAACTCTTTTGCCAGAAGTAAGCCTATAGTAGACCTGGAGGCCCCTAAAGTGTCAGTCATAAAGTTACATATCTCAAAAGTAGTTAGCTGTCTAGAGATAGCTAAAAGTCTCTAGAGCTGTACTAAAAGCGACAATTATAATCACTCCCCATTGAGCCACAGGAAGGAGCAAATGATTCCCTAACTTTTTGGAAAAGAACTTTTAAATTATAATTGGTATAATGTAAAGTAATGATGTTTTCAAGTTGTCGTAAATGAAGGAAAATCTCCTATACTTTACACCTGCTACTCTCAGAAGGCCTTGGTCATAGTTTCTTTCTTTTTTAAAAAAATTTAACTTTTACTTTAAGTGCAGGGGTACATGTGCAGGTTTGTTATATAGATAAACTTGTGTCATGGGGGTTTGTTGTACAGATTATTTCATTACCCAGGTATTAAGCCTAGTACCCATTAGTTATTTTTCCTGATCCTCTCCCTCCTCCCACCCTCCATCCTCCAACAGGCCCCAGTGTGTGTTGTTCCCCTCTATGTGTCCATGTGTTTTCATCATTTAGCTCCCACTTGTAAGTGAAAACATATGGTATTTGATTTTCTGTTCCTGCCTTAGTTTGCTAAGGACAATGACCTCCAGCTCCATCCATGTTCCTCCAGAGGACATGATCTTGTTCCTTTTTACAGCTATTCCATGGTGTACATGTACCACATTTTCTTTATCCAGTCTACCATTGATGGGCGTTTAGGTTGCTTCCATGTCTTTCTTATTGGGTGACAGTTTCTTAAGAAAGCACATCAGCGTTTGCACCAACAGCACCAAGAGCACGAGAGGAAGAGCACAGACCTTCATGGCCCTTCGCAGCTCTTGCACGTCATACAGCACCGTGGGCGTCATCATCCCCACAATCACCTGCTCGAAGTTGCCACTCAGTTCTGACTTCAGGTCGTCTATCAAGTCCTGCAATGCAAGAAAGTAGCTCCGCTTAACTGCTATAGCAAATTAGACCAGCTACTCTCCAGGTGTGGTCCAGGGATGTCTGGGGTCTCCAAGACCCTTTCAAGGGGCCTGCAAGTCAAAACTATCCTCAGAATAACACTCAGATGTTATTTGCCTTTTCACTGTCATTCTTCCACAAGCATACAGTGGGGTTTTCCTAAGGCTATTTGACATTGTCTGTGCATCAACAACTGTCTGTTCAAATACTCCCCCCATTTTCAAGTACATATCTGTACAAGCCAGATTTTCTTCATATACCCCAACCAAAACCACATATCATAACAAATTGAAGTAGAAATAGATATGAGAAGCCATCTGTCTTCCATTAAGCCAGACATTAAAGAGATCTGCAAAATGTAAAACAATGCCAATCTTCTCACTAAATGTTTTTTCGTTTTGGGATATATAGCTATTTTTCATTAAAATGTTATTTACAGTAACATACAATATACTTATTATTTTTACTAAGTTAACAAATATCTATTTTTAAATGCCCTCAGTTTTAGTTTCTAATAGGGCAAATATCAAAAGATATAACCCACAAAACCAAAAGTCCTAAAAAATTTAAGAGGTAAAGGAACTTTGAGGTGAATATGTTTGTAGACACCGATGTAAATGTATTTGCCTACTTAACAATATGTCTTGAATATACTTCCAAGTCAATATTCACTGATAACCTTTTTAGCAGCTGTGGAGATTTCTATAGATAGGTGCAACATAATTTCTTTTTTTTTTTTTTTTAGATGGAGTCTTGCTCTGTTGCCTAGGCTGGAGCGCAGTGGCACGATCTTGACTCACTGCAGACTCCGCCTCCTGGATTCAAGCGATTCTCCTGCCTCAGTCTCCCAAGTAGCTGGGATTACAGGTGCCCACCACCATGCCCAGCTAATTTTTTTGTATTTTTAGTAGAGACGGGGTTTCACCATGTTGGTCAGGCTGGTCTCGAACTCCTGACCTCAAGTGATCCACTCGCCTCGGCCTCCCAAAGTGCTAGGATTACAGGTGTGAGCCACCACACCCAGCCTAATTTCTTTAACTAGTCACCTGTTTCTATTTTTCTACTGTTATATACATAAGGCATTTAGTTGTATCTTTGTGATCATTCATGACTATTTCTTAAGGCTCAATTCCTGAGATATAGTTTCCAAATATAATTATTTGGAAAATGGACCAAATTCTAAAGATGTTTATTCACATTTCCTCCTGGAATGGGTCAGAGAGTTTAAGAACTTGTTTAAGATCAATTGACGAAGAAGGAGCTGAATCGCTATTCTTTTTTTTTTTTTTTTTTTTTTTTTTGAGATGGAGTCTGTCTCTGTTGCCCAGGCTGGAGTGAAGTGGCATGATCTTGGCTCACTGCAACCTCCACCTCCTGGTTCAAGCAATTCTCCTGCCTCAACCTACAAAGTAGCTAGGATTACAGGTGCTCAGCACCATGCCCGGCTAATTTTTGTATTTTTTAAGGAGAGATGGGGTTTCACCATGTTGGCCAGGTTGGTCTCAAACTCCTGGCCTCAAGTGATCCACCCACCTCGGTCTCCCAAAGTGCTGGGATTACAGGTGTGACCCACCACACCTGGCCTCAAGAACATCTTTAAACAAGACAAAGGATCGATCTTTTAAAACACAAGGTCACTTCGGGAACCTAGATCAGGAAGAGGCCCTGCTTCCTGTTGCTGCGAAGTCAGCCAGACAGAGCAGGAAAGACTGTGGCCTACCCTGCCGATGGTGCTCTTGTAGGCTGTCCTGATCTCCTGGCGCTGGGCGGTGTTGCGGTAGGCAAGGACGCTAATAATGGCGTCTTCATCGGTGCCTGGGGGAAGAAGGGAGACAGCAGGTAAGTGTGATTTGAGAGAGGAATGAGAAAGCAGGTTCCTCTGTGGACATTGGAGTTACCCAAACACATGCAGAGGGCTTTCTAAGAAAAGAGGCCCTTATTCAGAGGGTTTGTCTACTTTTTGGGAAACAGATGCTAGGTTCGGGACTTAGCCTCTCCTTTAATTAGCTGTTTACTACTGAAGAAAATGGTTAACTTTCTAAACATTAGTTTCCTTATCTGCAAATGTGAATGATGACAGTGATTTCCCTCGATAGGCTGCTGCAAGTGTTAATATAATTAAATGCCTAGCACTTACTAAACATTTAATAAATGTTGGCTGGAGTAATTTTTTCTCTCCTCTAGAATATTTTTTTTTTTTTTTTTTTTTTGAGAGAAAGTCTCACTCTGTCACCCAGGCTGGAGTGCAATGGCGCGATCTCAGCTCACTGCAACCTCCGCCTCCTGGGTTCAAGCGATTCTCCTGCCTCAGCCTCCTGAGTAGCTGGGATTACAGGGCTGTGCCACCACCCCCAGCGAATTTTTGTGTTTTTAGTAGAGACAGGGTTTCACTATGTTGACCAGGCTGGTCTTGAGCTCCTGACCTCAAATGATCTGCCCTCCTCGGCCTCCCAAAGTGCTGGGGTTACATGTGTGAGACACCACGCCCAGCCATCTCCTCTAGAATTCTTTTCATGTCTTTTGAATCTCCTCTCTCTCTCTTCCATATTCTTGCCTTTTTTTTTGTTTTTATCTTTTTATCATCTCCTCTGAGTTTTGAAACAATTCAAACTTGTCTGTTAATTCACCAATTTGGCATTTTGCAGAGTTTAAGTTGGCTGTTACTGCATTCACTGTGTTTTAAAATCTGGAACTATGTTTTGCACTTCTAAGCTATCTTTCCTGAACACAAATGGTTCCCTTTTAGAACTGCTGACAAATTACCATGATACAACATCTTACCAAAACTTTAAGCAAAAATTACAAATTAAAAATGTTCTAAGTTTTGCTTGCCTGTTTCTTGCAGCAGCTTTAACAAGGAGACTTTATTCTGATTTTTCAGATTGGTCCCTTGTCTTTATAACAGCTGGCTGTTCATAAATGTTTGGTGAATCTTCTGTTTCCTCGTTGTTTGTGCTGTATGGGGGGTTGGAATGGGTTTCAGAAATGATTCTATTGAAAATATTTCAGGGAGAAATGAAAAAATACAGCCAAACTTTAGTTATCCTTGGCAAGGTTAGAGATGCAAAAAGATGTGAGGTGTGGAGAGGAAGCTATAGAACTTTAAGTTTACATACCTTGGGGACCTACTTTCTGTTCCTTTTTTTTTTTTCTTTTTTTGAGATGGAGTTTCGCTCTGTCACCCGGGCTGGAGTGCAGTCCAGCTCACTCCCTCTCCCTCCCAGGTTCAAGCAATTCTCCTGCCTCAGCCTCCCTAGTAGCTGGGATTACAGGTGCCTGCCACCATGCCTGGCTAATTTTTTTTTGTATTTTTTACTAGAGATGGGTTTCACCATGTTGACCAGGCTGGTCTTGAACTCCTGACCTCAGGCGATCCACCTGCCTCAGCCTCCCAAAGTGCTGAGATTACAGGCATGAGCCATCATGCCCAGCCGTGTTCCTATTTTTAAAAAGGAGAGGACAATCCATATAACAATCAATTTCTCCCTTGGCACTCTCAGCTAGGAGGGGGTGTGGAAGGGGCAGAGAGGGTTCATTACCTTTTGTTCATTCCCTGTTTCTGTGAAAGGGATCACTCTTCCCCCCAGTCAAGCCAAGCTGAAATCCTCAAAATAGATTCAATTTTTTTTTTTTTTTTTGAGACAGAGTCTTGCTCTGTGGCCAGTCTGTAGTGCAGTGGTGCCATCTCGGCTCACTGCAACCTCTGCCTCCCGGGTTCAAGCGATTCTCCTGCCTCAGCCTCCCCAGTAGCTGGGACTACAGGTGCACGCCACCACGCCCAGCTAATTTTTGTGTTTTTAGTAGAGACGGGGTTTCACCTTGTTGGCCAGAATGGTCTCGATCTTTTGACCTTGTGCTCTGCCCACCTAGGCCTCCCAAAGTGCTGGGATTACAGGCGTGAGCCACTGCACCCAGCCCAATAGCTTTGATTTTTTTACCCTCTCCTTTCCTCTTCATTCAAGTCCACGGTCATGCAAAATGTTGCTTTACAGCCTCTTTTGCATTCTTTCACTCTTTTTATTTCCTATCACAACCATTCCAATTCAAGATTTCAGGGTTTCTTCTTAGACAAGTGCAGATGTCTGCTAACTAGTATTCTTAACTCCTGGTTGGTCTTCCCAGAGTCTTGCCAGATTCATTTTTGTAAAAAGAAAAACTCTCACAATGTCTCTCCCCTGCTCAGAAATACACAATGGCTCCCCATCATCTGCTGGATTTACTTTAGGCACTGCAGCCTGACATTTGAGACTCTCTACAGTATCCCATTCACTATTGTAAATAGCCACATAAAAGGACACTAGGCAGCCAAATTCATGGACTCAGCTCTTGAAATATTGTGCTTTACCCAACTGTGCTGCACTCCAGGCTCCTGACCCCCTTCATTACCAGTCTATTGGTTTATATGTCCTCTTAACCCCCTCCATTTAGCATCATGATTCTGTCATATGTTGTTTCCCAGCCAGTGCCTGTGGGTCATTCCCGCATGTCTGTGATTCTTATGGGTGCTTTCTCAGTAGCACCCCTAAAACCTCCTTCTGGTACCTGCTTTCTCAGAAAGCTCCCAACCAGCCTACTTCTGCTTTGCAAGTACCTCCTGCTGATACAGGAGATAGAAAGAAATTGTTTAAGCAGATAGTGAGGGCAGGTCGGGTGTGGTAGCTCATGCCTGTAATCCTAGCACTTTGGGAGGCTGGGGTGGGTGGATCACTTGAGGTCAGGAGTTCAAGACCAGCCTGGCCAACATGGTAAAACCTTGTCTCTATTAAAATATAAAAGTTAGCCAGGTATGGTGGTGGGGGCCTGTAATTCCAGCTACTCAGGAGGCTGAGGCATGAGAATCACTTGAACCCGGGAGGTGGAGGTTGCAGTGAGCCAAGATCATGCCAGTGCATGCCACAGCCTGAGTGACAGAGCGAGGCCCCATCTCAAAAAAGAAAAAAAAAACAAAAAACAGATAGTGAGGGCAAAAGAGTCCTTGGCAGAACTTCCCTTGTAACAAAAAGCAGCCCCCAAAATCATTTTTTTTTCTAACAAAGAGCAGCCTGAAAAATCAAGCTACAAACGTAGATAAGGAAACTGAAAGCTTGCACAAGGGAATGCTGGCCGCTGTACCAACAGAAAAGGGCTACCTGGGGGCCAGGCATGTCCACCATGGAAACTCCACCTTCCCTTTTTTGTTAGCATGTGTACAGTAAGAAAGAAATGACCAATACAGTACAGCTCAGGCTGAAAACCCACCTGCATAATAAAAGACTGGGGTAGGGACTGTCAGAGATTCATGCCCTATGCAGATAGCACACCTGTTTCTAACTGGTTTTTGGTGCCCTATGTAGATCAGACATCAGCCCCCCAACCCCCAGTGCCTGCCACAGCTCATCTATAAACCCCTCTGCATTTCACCGTGAATTGGTAACCCATTTTTCTGGAATCCCTCTCTGTAGCAGAGAGCTAGTCTCTTTCTTTTCCCTATTAAACTTCCACTCTTAACCTCACTCTTTGTGTGTCTACGTCCTTGATATCTGTGGCCGTGAGACAACAAACCATGGGTGTCACCCCAGACGAGGCCACTTCACTGCTGCAAGACACTTTTCTGTGGATTTACCATGACTCCCCTAGACCTCCGCACATGCCATTCCATTCACCTGAAACACCTTGTCCCTTAATTCTGTTTACAGAAACTCAATCATCTCCCAAGGTCCATTTTAACATCTACATCCTCCAAGAAGCTTTGCCCGATGCCCCCAAGTGAAATGTGATCTCTTCTCTTTGAACCCCAGTGGGATCTTATTTGTGCCCCTCCTGTCACTGTTATATTATGAATTAATCATAGTTATTTTTGTGCATGCCTTAGCTGTGCTAGTATTCATAGACTATTTGAACACAAGAACTAGGGATTATAATCCTTGTCTTCTCCAACAGTCTGCCTTGCATTGGCCCACACATAACAGGCACTGAAAAGGGGTTGGTTGTGCCAAATGTCTCCTCACCCTTTATGCTGATAATTCTGAATGTAACATGGGCTACATTTTGAATTATGGTGTCCTTGTAACCAAAGAATTAGGATAAACTGAAAAAAAAGGTGGGTCCTATGCCTTTCTCTTTTTATGAAAAAGGGAAAAGAAGAAGATACATAGATTCAGGACAATGTTCTCTTCAGAGATGGGCAGCAGCATAGAACAGTGGCTTGAACTCCAGCTCTGGAATCAGACTTGAGGCAGCTGATCATGCAAAGATGAAAGGAAAGTGTTCTAGGAATTATCTAGAATCCTGAATATACCACTTAATAGTTCTGAGACCGTGGGCAAGTCAGCCAGCCTCACTCACTATACTTTACCTTCTCAACAGTAAGACAAGCTTCTGTCAGGATTAAAACAGATAACCCATGGAAAGCATCTATCTCTATGTCTGACACATAGTAGAGCTTAATAAACATTTTCTATTATTGCTACGGTTGTTGTTACTGTTAGCAACATTGAGGCTGAGTAAAATGAATTCTTTTTGGATAGAAAGATGGTCTCATGGTCAAGTGTTTTTACCCAAATCTCAAGGAGATTCTAAATAGCAGCTAAGAACCAGGGGATACTTCTCTGGCCAAAAGTCTACTGAGACAAGGTCTTGGGGGCAGAGGCTAGGCCAGGTAGTTTGTGGTGCACATAGAATCACTGTACCTACCCAGCATGAAGGTGTTGGCCCCCAAGGAGCTAACTGGAGGGTAGCATGCTGGAAGACACTACCAGTGTTATAGGAGGCAAAAAGAAATTATTTAGGTAGACATTTAGGGTAAAGTGAGTCCCCAGCAGAAAACTTTCCTTTTAACAAAAAGCAGCTCAAAAATAGCTCCCTTTCTAACCACACACAGTTAAAAAAAATCACTTCTCTTCTAACAACAAGTAACCTGAAAGTTCAGGCTGTAAAATACAGATAAGACAGCTCAAGCACAGAAGAAGGGGTGGAAGTCTCCTGGGTAATTGCCAAACTTCACACTTATACAATGGGCCCCAGTAAAACAGTGGGTCTTAATAAGCACATTCCTTTCCCTTTAGGTGCACTAAGATAGAGAAACTAAAAGCAGACTCATGGGGCGGATGCCTGCAGCTGCAAGAAGATGTATGGGAACAGACACAGAAACTCTCCCTCCCAGATAAGCAAGACAAAGAAACACAGACTAAGAGTCAGCCTATGTGGTCAGGGAATGGGATAAAAGCTGATAAAAAAAATTCTGCTCTATATAGATAGCACACTTGGTCGCAGCTAAACCATCAGGCCCTAAGAGGATAAGACATCCCCTCCTCATGAGGCCCCTCCTCCCTAGACCATTTATAAAAACCCTGACATTTTTACTACTGCTTAGCAACCTGCTCGGGACCCCTCTCTGTGACTGTGAGCTGTTCTGTTCTTTTGCCTATTAAACTCCTGCTCCAAACTCACTCGATGTGTGTGTGCATGTCCTTGACCTCAATATCTGGTCGTGTGACCAAGAACCTCAGTATTCACCCCAGACAACAAGGCTGCTTCATTTTGAGGGCTCGTCTGGGATTTGAAGGTGACTTCATCAGAATGGTGAGTAAAGGAGCGGACTCTACTTTCACTTCCGAGGCTTCTTGTCCTCCGTTTTTATTCTCTCAAATAACTATCAAAAACACCGGGCATCTGACAGCTGATTAAGGAGCCACAAGGGCTGGCCACCAGTCTTGAAGACTCAGATGTGAGGCTTGCTGGGGAGGACCTGCCCTCAGGGTGCCGGGAATGTTGGCTGTGTCCAAACTAGTTTCTTTTCACAGAAAGCCTGGTTGTTGTATGGGGCTGGAATAGGTCCTGGAGCAACTGAGAATTTCTGGCCAGGGCCACACCCTGGTGTTATTCAAAAGGCTCCTGGACTGACCCCAGCCTCTGATTGCCTGACTGGGTGTCAGCCATAGGATCTCCAAGTTTTCCTATTGCAAATCTTATTTTCCTCCTTTCCTTTCTGCAGTCACCATGTCTCCCATCTCCTCTCTGTATGCAATGCTGCAGGAATTTTTATAGCCCAGGAAATAATTCAATTAGGCAGGTTTAGCAACCACCGTAGTAACCAGGAATGCAGGTTAAGGGATTGCTGTTTTTCTGACTTTTTACAGACAGGGGAATTCCATGATCCAGATCTCAAAGACTATTTAACTCCTAATGATAATACTTCCTGGGGTTGGGTGGGAGGTTATTTTCCCCCCAGTAAATGCCCCTCTGTCCACTTAGGCTGTTTCTTTTCCCATGTGAGGAACCAGCACTGTCCAGTCGGACCGGATAGCCCCTCTATGAGGCAAACTAACTTTCTCCTGTTAGGAGGTATGCTGTGGGGACAGCATGCCACAGGTCAGACTTCTCTCTCCATCCTTTGTTTAAAGAGCATATGGAGGCAAAGTTACTGCCTGGTATTCCACTAGCACCACCTAGTAAAATGGGAATCCTCTCCATGAGGAATCTTGTCTGCCCTTTGCTAAAAGTCTCTGGCTTTTCAGTTCTCCTCCCTTTTACATCCCTCTAATAGAGACCAAACCTTATGCCCCCTCTGCAAGTGGGAGAACTCTGCTTTCAGCAGCAAGGAGGAACATGTCCTCCAAAACCAAATTTTAGTCTCAGTACTCTCTCTGTTAGCAGGAAGGCCACCATTTGACCCTTACGTTCTCTGAAGACACCCATTCTGCCTACAACTAGAATGGCATCTAAATAGAAAGGGGATTTTATGTCTGGAAGTTAACCGGAACCACCACCTAAGAATAAATCCTCTAGTCCAGTCCATAATAGCAGAGTATAAAGCTCATTCCAGTACACTCCCTCTATTAAGGGGCCTTGCTTAAATGCAAGTGTTACATTATCTCTCCGGAGATCCATTTATCAAGAAGCCACACAGGTCACACAGGTCTAGGAGGTCAGAGAGTAATTACCCAATTATTAGGCAGAGGACTGAGGTCATATGGGTAAACATGACTAGCCCATTGATTAGGTCCTCTGGTATTACGCTTGGGGGTCACACCTGCAACCATGGGGCTGCAACTATGGTGCTGGGACCCGGGGACCAAGGAGGGAGAACAGCCAGGAGGACTCTCCTACTGTGTCCCCTCCTCCCTGAGTCACATTGAAAAGAACCAGGAGACCGAGGAAACCTCTATTCTTGTCTCTTTTGCAGATGGGTAACAAGCCATCTTCAGCCGGCACTCCTCTGGAGTGCATTCTGAAGCACTGGGAGTCCTTTGACCCTAAAACTTTGAAGAAAAAGCAGCTCATTTTCTTTTGCAGAAGGGCATGGCCTTCTTACTGTCTCAGGGATGAACAGACATGGCCAGCTGAAGGGAACCTTGATTTTAATCTTATCCATCAATTAGATCTTTTCTGTAGACAGGAGAGCAAATGGTCCAAGGTCCCCTATGCACAGGCTTTCTTTGCCCCGCGAGACAACCCAGACGTTAGCAAGCACTGCACAATTGACTCAGCTCTCTTAGCAATCATATCAGGCGGGTCTGTGGAGAGTAATTCCCCTAAGTTAGAAGAGCAAGTTTTGCAGGAGCCATTGGGGGCAGCTTCTAAGTGCCCCAGTCCTTCTAGTTTTCCTAATCTGGGGCCCCCTCCAACTGCACCATCAGCTTCTCCAGCTTCACCATCTCCAAAGCTCCCCACTGCCCCAGCTTCACTTCTACCCCTACAAGAAATGCCAGATGGAAGGGGCACCCCTAGGGTACATGTTCCCTTCTCATTACAGGACTGTAGAAAAATAAAGGGAGACTTGCGCCGATTTTCTGATGTCCCTAATAGGTAGACAGAGACCTTCCAAAATCTAACTCAAGTGTTTGACTTCACATGGAGAGCTGTTATGTTGCTTCTAAGTCAAACCCTCACTGCAGCCAAAAAGCAGGCAGCTCCTGATATTAGAAGGAAACCACAAAAACAGGCTATAGGACCAGATAGTACCTTGGAAGATCTCCTGAAGGTGGCCACCTTGGTCTTTTACCATAGGGACTGGGAGGAGCCCCAGGAGAAAAAGAGAAAGTGACTAAGGCTCAAGGAGATGCTTTGCAGGCTTGCAGAGTCCAGGATCCTCAGGAAGCATCCACTAATTGCTACTGGTGTGGCAAGCCAGGGCACTTTAAGAAGAATTGCCCAGGCAACAAGAAAAAGCCACCTTGACCCTGTCCAGCGTGTGGTGAAGACCACTGGATATTAAACTGCCCCTGGATATGGAGGTCACTAGGTCCAGAACTAGTCTCACAGATGGTCCGGCAGGACTGACAGGTCCTAGGGCTCAGACCCCTGGCTCCAGTGGCTCAGACTGCCATCACTGTTCAGGAGCCCCGGGTGATTCTGGAAATTGAAGGAAGGAGGGTGGGCTTCCTCCTGGATACTGGAGCCAGTCTCTCTGTTCTCCTGTCCAATCAAGGCCTCCCCTCTTCCCATAGCACAACCATGGTGGGTGTCTCAGGAAAGACTCTAACCCAATATTTCTCTCACTGTAGTTGGGGGGAACTTATTATTTACACATGCCTTCTTAAATATGCCTGAAAGTCCCCCCACTCCTTTACTAGGTAGAGATATTTTAGCCCACATGGGGGCCAGCATCCTCATGGCCCCAGGACAAACTCTTTGTCTTCCCTTAGTGAAAGCCAACATTAATCCAGAAGTGTGGACAACTCAAGGAAGAATAGGTCAAGCTAAAACTGCTAGGCCAGTTCAGATCCGCCTTAAAAATCCCACTTCTTTTCCTAACCAGAGACAATATCCTCTAAAGCCAGAGGCCAGGAAAGGGCTAGAAGCTATTATTAATAACCTAAAAATGCAGGGCCTCCTCAGACCCTGTAACAGTCCTTGCAACACCCCGATACTAGGAGCATAAAAACCCAATGGGGAATGGAGACTAGTTCAGGACATCTGCCTCATTAATGGGCCATAGTCCCAATTCATCCGTTTGAGTCCTTGCTGACTCAAATACCTGAAGGAACTAAATGGTTTATAGTCCTAGATTTAAAGGATGCCTTTTTCTGCATACCGTTACATCCTGACTCTCAATACCTGTTTGCCTGTAAGGATCCCTCCGGCCAGACCACACAGTTAACATGGATGGTGCTGCCTCAGGGATTTCAAAACAGCCCTCACTCATTTGGACAAGCACTGTCAAAGGACCCCTCTAAGTTTTCCCGTCCTCAGGTCAGGGTCTTGCAGTATGTAGATAACACTTTCCTCTATGCCCCAATCAAGGAAGGCTCAGGAAGATGCTAAGACTCTCCTTAATTTCTTAGCTGAAAGGGAGTATAGAGTCTCAAAATCCAAAGCTCAGCTCTGTCAGACTTCAGTAAAGTACCTAGTTCTGGTCTTATCAGAAGGGACCAGAGCACCAGGTGAGGAAAGGATTAGGCCCATTTCCTTTGATAGTTAGGGAAATTCTTGGGCATTACTGGATTTTGTAAACTGTGAGTACCTGGGCACAGGGAAATGGCTCACCCTTTATACCACCTCATAAAAGAAACTCAAACAGTTAAAACTCACCCCTCTCTCTTTTGGGAACCTAAGGCTCAAAAAGCCTTTAACCAGCTAAACCAAGCCTTCCTGGCTAACACGGTGAAACCCCGTCTCTACTAAAAATGCAAAAAAAATTAGCTGGGCATGGTGGCAGGCACCTGTAGTCCCAGCTACTCGGGAGGCTGAGGCAAGAGAATGGCGTGAACTCGGAAGGCAGAGCTTGCAGTGAGCTGAGATCATGCCACTGCACTCCAGCCTGGGCGACAGAGTGAGACTCCGTCTCAAAAATAACATAACATAACATAACATAACATAACATAACATAACATAACATAACATAATATAACATAACATAATATAACATAACATACCAGCCCTCAGTCTTTCCATGGGGAAAGCATTCAGTCTCTATGTAACAAAAAGGAAGGAAATGGCCCTGGAAGTTTTAACTAAGGCTTGAGGTCCAGCTCAACAGCCAGTGAGTTACTTAAGCAAGGAACTTAAAACTTGGTGGCCAAAGGATGGTCAGCCTGCCTCCAAGCAGTTACAGTGGAGGCTTTGCTGGTGTCAGAGGCCACTGGGTTAACCATGGGAAATAACTGTTTAACCCCACACAATGTAACAGGACTGTTGTCCTCTAAGGAAAGTCTCTGGCTGACAAACAATTGCCTCCTCAAATACCAAGCTTTGCTGCTAAAGGGATCTGCAGTCCAGCTGAAAACCTGCCCTTGCCTGAGCCCAGCCACTTTCTCCCAGAGAAAACTGGAGAACCTAAACATGATTGTGAACAGGTAAGTGGAGCAAACTGGGTAAAAGAAATAATAAGAATTACTGTTTGCATTCTTTGTAAAGTTTTAATTAATGAAAAAGGATTTTCTTAAAGAGCATTCAGCTTAATTAAAAGTGGATATCCAATCAATGGGTATATTTAAAAGGCCTTTATGTTTTTCTCTTCATAAATCTTCTTAAATAAATCTTCATAAATCTGGAAACTTTTTTTTCTCAGTTGACTGAATTGCTTTTTTTTTTTACTGTGTCTTGCCACTCTTGGTGCACCTAGAATGGCTTCCGGTGGCCTGGGACTCCTTGGGGAAACAGAAAATGCACCACAAATCCCATTTTAGGAAAAATCTGTTTTCCTCGGAGCCCCTGGAATTAAAGGTGAATAAATACCTCTCAAAATCGTCTTTGTCTTCTGGCTATGCTTGCTTATTAGGCCCTGGAAGCTGTATTCCTAGCTCTGTTCTGAAAGAACCTCACTCAGAGGCCAATAATCCAATTGGGACATTGGCAAATGCAAAATCTTATAACTGCTGGATCTTCTTCTGTTTGTGTGGTTATATATGTGTTACTTGTGTAATGCCTATTAAAAAAAGGAGCTCTAATTAATTGGCCTAAGAAAAATAAGCGCTTAAATCAAACATTTTTAAGGGAAAAGTAAAAGCTGTGGTACCTTTCAGTTCATGTGACTTTAATCTTTAAAAATAAAAAGAGTCTTAGGAATTATTGGTAAAATACAAATGTCTTCAAGGTATAAAAATGTGGTCTAAATTATGCAGGTCAAATACTAGTTTGCTAAATGTTTTAAGGTTGTAAACTGCTTTTTTTTTTTTGAGATGGAGTCTTGCTCTGTCGCCAGACTGGAGTGCAGTAGTGCGATCTTGGCCCACTGCAACCTCTGACTCCCTGGTTCAAGTGATTCTCCTGTCTCAGCCTCCTGAGTAGCTGGGATTACAGGCACGCGCCACCACATCCATCTAATTTTTGCATTTTTAGTAGAGACGGGGTTTCACCATGTTGGCCAGGATGGTCTCGATCTCCTGACCTCGTGATCCGCCCGCCTTGGCCTCCCAAAGTGCTGGGATTACAGGCAGGAGCCATTGCGACTGGCCATAAAACTACTTCTTTATTTAGCCTTTAAAAACTATCAACGTGCCTGCTTCACAATTGGTAGCACCTGGGAACATACGGAAGCAACCAAGCCCCTAACTATGCTGAAAGGAGTCAAACATTATCTGCATCCAGCACATAATTAAAACAACCTAACAGGTTTTACATTAAAGTTAAAAATTACTAAAAGTTACCATTATAACATGTGATTGAAACTACTGAACATGGAATTACATGGAAAGTGTGTAAAAACAGTAAAAGATGTTTTTATTTAAAGATTATAAGAGGGCATGGAAATGTATATTTTGCTTAGAAATAAAGAATTGTCTTAAAGTAGAAGGTTTAAGC